>NC_000005.10:102609807-103234807 GCF_000001405.40 Homo sapiens | reverse complement strand
ATCCCAGAAGTAATCCAATCTCCCTCATGCTGCCACAAACATCATGCATGTACTCATTCTACAAATACCTAATGAGGGCTTGCTAGTACCAGGAGCTGTTCTGAACAAGCACCTCTGACTTTTTTCCTTAATTGAAACAAATATTCTTACCTGTTGTTCTTTCTGCTCACAGGACTGTGTGCTGAGGATAGGAAAAACTGAATCAGGCATTCAAGAAAGAGATTTTCCCCTCCCTTTGGGCCCTAGAGGGCTGAGCCAGCCCCGAGGTGTGGATGGAAGAGTATGTGAGTTCTGTTTGGTCCACTCTTCCCAGTACACTATTTTGGCATGTACACCTTCATTCAGTCCTCAGTAGGAGGGCTGTATGACTCAGAGCCAAGAAAGTTACAAGGGCTGATTAGAAGGAAAATTATGAAAACAGAAAATACCATGTTAAGCACATTATACATGTTAAATCTGTTTTCACTCTACTTGAAGAAGACAAAGTATTTTCCTGTCTCTGGACCAGACCCAAGCAAGTTACAAGGGCTGATTAGAAGAACAATGATGAAAACAGAAAATATTTACCATGTTAAGTACTTTATTCATGTTAAATATATTTTCACTCTACTTGGAGAAGGCTAGGTATTTTCCTGTCTCTGGATGAGAACTTAGGCAGGTCCCATAATAGTTTTCATAACTTCAGTAATAACATAAATTGTCTAATCCCCTCTAGGTACAAGAATATTCTTGTTTTTGTAATGAAAATGTTTGGTGCAGTGTAACAGTTAACGTTCCAAAGTCACTTCAGAGTGAGCGTTCCTTCCCTGCCCCAGCATGGCCTGCTTTGGACTGAAAGTCGGCAGTGAAAAAGCTGGGACTGGTCGGGCAGATTTCTTCCCTCTTGCTCTCCATGAGTCTTATTTCAGAGTTGGAGTTGGGGTAAGGGTGGGAGGAGAAGTAAAGAACAGGAAAGTTTTACTCGTCTGGCACAGATCTATCCTCTGGGACCACCCTGGGGTGATCTCTCCGTGCTTATTGTTTCTCTGGTTGACTCCTCAAAGACACTGCTGCTGGGGCCCTTGGACTGTGAGGCTGGCAATACCTCGCCCCAACCAGAAACCACTGTTCTTTCCACATGCCCTGTGCATGTATCTGATGGCCCATCCCCTTTATGGGTATCACATTGTCCTTTCAGATAGGGATTCTTAATACCCTTGGAGTTTATTTCTGGTCTGTGAGAAACACTTGTGCTTTTTTGCCGGTTAGCCATACAAGTGTACATTACTTCCAGTGCAGCTCTTTTCTCTTGGCCCTGTGCCCTCAGCCTTAAGCAGCCATAACCTCTCACAGTTTTCATGTGCTTCATTGCTAGGGGTCTCATGTCAACAACTCCCAGTGACTCTCTTGAGGATCCCTTTCTCATTTAGTTGAGAAAAAATATTACCCACCCTGCACTATGGTGATTATGCACAGTTCTCCAACAACTTTCTCTCAATAAGTTGTCTTTTAAAAGAATCCATTCATTCACCTGTCCATATTCTTTTATATGCTTGAGGCATGTATTGAGCTAAAGTTTGCAGTTGTTGACCATCCCCTTTGCAAGTACTGCATCAATGGTCTATCTAACACATTGCTACAAAATGTAGAGGTACTCTGAATCTGTCATTTCATTCTGGGCCTTTGGGGATTCAGTGAAAACTGATGTAGAGATTTTCACTTTAACATCCTGGTACACAATCTGTCTCTGCTTTTAAATGATAGGGGTTCTTTGGTTAATCACTAGATTCTAGTCAGTAGAATATAAGCTTCATAAAGGCAAGGATTTCCGTCGTTTTTCTAAGATGCTATCTCCCCAGCTCGTTGAACAAATGTGACGTATAGAAGGAATTCAACAAAATTTTGTTAAATTCATGTAGTATTTTACATATAAGAAAATTTAAGCTTATAAAAGATAAACTTTTCAAAGATTATTCAGACAGTAAACTATAGATCCAGGATTTGAATAGTGACAGAAAGTAACTAATGGTGACAGTAAGTAATAAATCAGATGTTTTATTTAAACTTTTATTTTGTGAATATTTATGTGACCTGGTATTTGCATAGAGATTTTAAATTCATCTTATTTTCATAGAAATCTTCTGGAATTTGGTGGTCCTGTATTTCAGACAGTCATGCTAGCGCGTCTACTGGACTACATAGCTATCTAACCTTGGGTGGCCACACTGTCATCTGGTGTTAGATATATGAATTGCAAGTTCATTGTCACTATATTACAGGCTGTTAAGGAAATAATCATAATTTTCTAAACTTTACATTCATCAACTCATTTAATCGTCATAACAACCCTATAAAATAGGTTATGTGCCCATTTTATGGATTAATTTACAGAACCACAACATGATTCCAGGCTATCCAGCTCCTAAAGTTACTTTCAACTCTTATATTCTACTATTTCTCTAATGTAGGAGCATTCAAGATTTTTAGATTCAGGAATCCACTTCTGAGTTAGCCAAATATATTTTTATTAGATAACAATAGTATGCAAGAGATTTGACTAAAACATGAATCAAGTACAAATAGACAGAAAAGTTATTCATGGTTATTTTCCTTTGTTCTTAATTCTTAATAATGCTCTACTTATTGGACACAGATTCAGGGAAAGTAAACTTTAAAAGCACAGAATGAAATATTGAATTTTTATATTAGTTTTCTAGATCTGCCAAAACAAAATACCCGACTGGGTCGCTTGAACACAGAAATTTATTTTATCAGAGTTCTGGAAGCTAGAGGTCCAACTTCAAGATGTTAGCAGGTTCCGTTTCTTCTCAGGCTTTTCTCTCTGCCTTGTAGATGGCCACCTTCCCACTGTACCCTTATACAGCCATCACCCCTTGGTTTTTGTGTGTCTGTGTCCTAATCTCTTCTTATAAGGACATCAGTCATATGGATGAGGGTCTACCCATATGACCTTGTTTTACTTTAATTATCTCTTTAAAGGTCCTGTCTCTAAGTACAGTCTCATTTTGAGGTACTAGGAGTTAGGACTTCAACATATGAATCTGTGGGGAACACAATTCAGCCCATAAGAAATTTTATTCTAAAGGACTATCATCAACCAGATCACTCTATTTCAATAATGTCTAAGGACCTCTGCTTTCTTACTCTTTGCTATGGTTTCAACGCTTTTGTTCCCTCTAAAACTCATTTGTTGAAAACTTAGTTTCCAATGCAATAGTGTTGGAAGGTGAGACCTAATAGGAAGTGTTTAGGTCATGGGATCTCCACCCTCATGAATGAATTAATACCACTATAAAAAGGGCTTCTTCGAATAGGTTCTCTTTCTCTTGTTTTTCTGCCAAAAAAGAAGTTCCTCCTTTCTGGAGGATACAACATTCAATGCACTATATTGGAAGCAGAAAGACCAAGTCTTAACCTCCTAACACCTACATCTGAACTTCCCAACTTCCAGAAATGTGAGATAATAAATTTCTATTCATAATAAATTATCTATCTGTTATTGTGTTATAGTGGTACAAAACAGATTAAGATGCTCTTCTACAACCTGCTTATTTGATTTTATGGGGTTATAAACAAGTCCATTAGCTATCTAGCTAATGCTGGAAGGAGGGTAGTATGGTTTGGCTCCATGTCCCCACCCAAATCTCACCTCGAATTGTAATCCCCATAATCCCCACATGTCAAGGGCAGGACCAGGTGGAGGTAATTGGATCATGGGGGTGGTTTCCCCATGCTGTTCTTGTGATAGTGAGTGAGTTCTTACAAGATCTGATGGATTTATAAGCGTCTGGCATTTCCCCTGCGTGCACTCACTCCAGTCTGCCACCCTGTGAAGAAGGTGCCTGCTTCTCCTTTACCTTCTGCCATGATTGTAAGTTTTCTGAGGCCTCCCCAGCAATGCGGAACTGTGAGTCAATTAAACCTCTTCCCTTTATAAATTACCTAGTCTTGGGTATTTCTTCATAGCAGTGTGAGAATGGACTAATACAGAGGTGAAACTGAAAACTATTATACTATTTACTCACATAATTTTCTTCTTCATTTCTTAGTATTTTACTGCTGATCCAAGTCAGAAAAAAAATCAGGTATTTCACCAACTATAATGAAGCCTACTTTTTAATATTTATCATCACTAATTCAACAAGCAATATGCAAGAATTCACATGTGATACTGTTGTAAAATAATGAGCCAGCTGGAAACATCTACTTTTTTATGTTTAATTTCCATTTTTTCTTTGTTTCGAATTTTTTATTTGTGATTATTGGGGTACATGTACAGGTTTGTTACAAGGGTATATAGCATGATGCTGAGGTTTAGGATTTTATTGATCCCATCACCCTGATAGTGAACATAGTATCCCACAGAAAAATTTTCAGCCCTTACCCACCTCACTGCCTCCCCTCTTCTGGAGTTGCTAGTGTCTATTCTTCTCATGTTTAGGTCTGTACGTACTTGATGTTTAGCTCCCACTTAAGAGAACCTGCAAGTTTTGGTTTTCTGTTTCTGTTAATTTGCTTAGGATAATGGCCTCCAGCTGCGTCTGTGTTGCTGCAAAGAACATGATTTCATTCTTTTTGTGGCTGTGTAGTATTCCATGGTGTACATGTACTACATTTTCTTTAAGCTACTGTTGATGGGCACCGACATGGTGATTCCATGTTTTTGCTATTGTGAATAGTGTTGTGACAAACATATGAATGCAGGTGGGTTTTTTTGTAGAACAATTTATTTCCTTTGGGTATTAATCCTGTTAATGGGGTTGCTGGGTTTAATGGTAGTTCTATTTTTCGCTCTGTGAGAAAACTCCAAATTTCTCTCCTTGGGGGCTGAACTAATTTACATTCTAACCAACAGTATATAAGTGTTCCCTCTTCTCCACAGTCTTGCCAACATCTGTTATTTTTTGACTTTTTAATAATTGTCTTCTTTTGAGAAGTGTCTGTTCATGTACTTTGCTTCTTTTTAAATGGGGTTTATTTGTTTTTCACTGGATTATTTAAGTTCCTTATAGATTCTAAATATTAGACCTATGTCAGATGCATCATTTGCAAATCTTTTCTCCCATTCCATTTATATTTATATATAAACAGAGCAAATGAGTCTTAAATATTCTCTCAATTCATATGTTGTCTGTTTGTGTGTGTATATAAGTTTTTAATATATATAAGTATATATATTTATATATAAACAGAACAAACAGGTCTTACATTTAAATCTTTAATCCATCGTGAGTTAGTTTTTACACACAGTAAAAGGTAAGGGTCCAGTTTCATTCTTCTGCATGTGGCTAGCCAGCTAGCCCAGCAATATTTATTCAGTAGAGAGTCTTCCCTTATTGCTTATTTTTTTCAAGTTTGTCCAAGGTCAATTGGTTGTAGGTGTGTGGCTTTATTTCTGGAGTTTCTATTCTGTTCCATTTGTCTATGTGTCTATTTTTGTACCAGTACCATGCTGTTTTGGTTGATGTAGCCTTGTAGTATAGTTTGAAGTTGAGTAATGTGATGCCCCTGGCTTTATTGTTTTTGCCTAAGTTTGGTTTGGCTATTCAGGTTCTTTTTTGGTTCCATATAAATTTAAGAACACTTTTTTTCTAATTCTGCAAAAAACGACATTGGTAATTTGATAGGAATAGTATTGAATCTATAGATTGCTTTGAGCAGTATGGACATTTTAATGATATTGATTCTTCCAATAGCATGGAATGTTTTTCCATCTGTTTGTGTCATCTGTGATTTCTTTCAGCAGTGTTTTGTAGTTCTCCTTGTAAAGATCTTTCACCTCCTTGGTTAGATGTAATCCTGGGAATTTATTCTTTGGTGGCCATTGTAAATGAGGTTCTGGTCTTGATTTGGCTCTCAGCTTGAATGTTATTGGTGCATAGAAATGCTACTGATTTTTGTATGTTGACTTTGTATCCTGAAACTTTACTGAAGTCGTATATCAGGTCTAGGGGCCTTTTGGCAGAGTCTTTAGGGTTTTCTAGGTATGGCATCATATTGTCAGTTAAGATCAATAATTTCACTTCCTCTTTTCCTATTTGGATGACTTTTTCTCTTGTCTGATTTCTTTGACTTGGACTTCCAGTAATATGTTTAATAGGAGTGGTGGCAGTGAACATCCTTGTGTTGTTTTAGTTCTTCAAGGAGATGCCTCCAGCTTTTGCCTGTGCAGTATGGTGTTGGCTGTGTGTTTGTCACAGATGGCTCTTGTTATTTTGAGGTATGTTCCTTCAATGCCTAGTATTTTAAGGGTTTTCATAATGAAGGGATGTTAAATTTTATTGAATGCTTTTCTGTATCTATTGGGGTGATCATATAGTTTTTGTTTTAACATTCTGTTTATGTGTTGAATCACGCTTATTGATTTGTGTATATTGGACCAACCCTGCATCCCAGAAATAAAGCCTACTTGATTGTGGTGAATTAACTTTTTGATATGCTGCTGGATTCAGTTTGCTCATGTTTTGTTAAGGATTTTTGCATCTAAGTTCATGAGACATATTGGTATGTAGTTTTCGTTTTGCATTGTGTCCTTTGCCAGATTTTGGTATCAGGATGACACTGGTTTCATGGAATGAGTCAGAGAGGAATCTCTCCTCCCCAGTTTTTCAGAATAGTTTTAGTAGGATTGGTACTCGCTCTTGTTTATACATATGGTAAAAATTGATTAGGAATCCATCTGGGGTTCCAGAACTTTTTGGTTGGTATATTTTTTATTACTGATTCGATTTTGGAACTCGTTATTGATCTGTCTAGGGTTTTGATTTCATCCTGATTCAATCTTGGATATGTGTTTCTAAGAATTTATCCATTTCCTTTAGATTTTCTAGTTTGTGCACATAGATGTGTCAGTAATAGTCTCTGAGGATCTTTTGTATTTCTGTAGGATCAGTTGTCATATCACCTTAGTTATTCCTTATTGTGCTTATTTGGATCTCTCTGTTTTTCTTTGTTAATCTAGCTAGGAATCTATCAACCTTATTTATCCTTTCAAAGTACAAACTTTTCATTTTGTTGATCCTTTGTATGTTTCTTTGAAGGACTCAATTTCATTTAGTTCTGCTCTGATTTTAGTTATTTCTTCTACTGGCTTTGGGATTTGTTTCTACTTGATTTTCCAGTTCCTATAAGTACAATGTGAGATTGTTAATTTGAGATCTTTCTATCTTCTTGATGTAGGTTTTTAGTGCTATACACTTTCCTCTTAACACTGCTTTTGCTATATCTCAGGTTTTGGTATGTTGTATGTCTATTTTCATTTGTTTCAAAAAGTGTTTATGTATGCCTTATTTTTATATTTACCCAGAAGTCATTCAGGAGCAAGTTGTTTAGTTTCCATGTTTTGAGAGTTTCTCTTGGTGTTGATTTTCATTTTTACTATGCTGTAGTCTGAAATGCTTGGTATGATTTCAATCTTTTTTGAATTTACTGAGATTTGCTTTGTGACAAAGCATGTGGTCAATCTTAGAGTATTTTCTATGTGCACATGAGAAAAAAGTATGTTCTGTTGTTGGTGGGTGGAGTATTCTGTAGATGTCTATTAGGTTCAATTAGTCAACTGTTGAATTTAAGTTCAGAATTTGTTAGTTTTCTGCCTTGATGATCTATCTAACACTGTCAGTGAGGTGTTGAAGTCCCCCACTATTATTATGTGGCCGTTTAATTCTTTTCCTAGGTCTAGAAATAATAGTTTTAGAAATCTGAGTGCTCCAATCTTGGGTGTGTATAGGATAAATCTTGTTGAATTGAACCCTTCTTCATTATGTAATGCCCTAGTCCTTTTTCTACTGTTGTTGATTTAAAAAGTCTGTTTTATCTGATACAAGAATAGTGACCCCTGATCTTTTTTTCCATCTGCATAACAGATCTTTCGCCACCCCTTTACTTTGAGCCTATGTGTGTTATTACATGTACTATGGTGATATGTGTCTTTTGAAAGCAACAGAATGATGGGTCTTTTTGTTTGTTTGTTTGTTTTTGTTTTCTTTTCTTTTTTAAAATAGAGACAGGGTCTTGCTATGTTGCCCATGGTGATTTCAATCTCCTGAGCTCAGTCAATCCTCCTGCCTTGGCCTCCCAAATTCCTGGGATTACAGGCATGAGCCACTGTGTCTGGCTGGGTCTTGTTTTTTTAATCCAATTTGCCACTCTATTTCTTTTCAGTGGAGCATTTAGGCTGTTTACATTCAAGGTTAATACTGATACGTGGGGATTTGTTCTTGTCATAGTGTTGTTAGCTACTTGCTTTGTAGTATCAATTGTGTAGTTGCTTTATAGGATCCATGGGCTATGTGTTTATACATGCTTTTGTGGTAGTGTATTGTTCTTTTGTTTTTATGTTTAGTACTCCCTTAAGCATCTCTTGTAGGGCTGGTCTGGTGGTGGCCAATTCCCTTAGCAATTGCTTGTCTGGAAAAGAGTTTATTTCTCCTTCGCTTACGAAGCTTAGTTTGGTGGGATATGAAATTCTTGCCTGGCATTTATTTTCTTTAAGAATGATAAAAATGGGCCCCCAATCTCTTCAGCCTTGTAAGGTTTCTGCTGAGAAGTCTTCTGTTAGTCTGATGGGTTTCCATCATAGAAGTGCACTGTTAGTCTGATGGGTTTCCTATCATAGCCTGATATAGTCCTTTTCTCTAGCTGACTTTAAGACTTTTTCTTTTGCATTGACCTTGGATAGTCTGATAACTATGTACCTTGGAGACAGTCATTTTGTATAGTAGTTCATGGAGTTCTCTGGATTTCCTGTGTCTGCATCTTGACCTGTCTAGCAAGACTGGGCACATTTTCATGAATTATATCCTCAAATGTGTTTTCTAGGTTGCTTACTTTCTCTTCTTCGCTCACAGGAATCCCAATAAGTCATAGATTTTACCACTTTACATAATCCCATATTTCTTGAAGGCTTTGTTTTAAATTCTGTTTTCTTTATTTTTGTCTGAGTTGATTTGAAAGAGCAGTCTTTGAGCTCTGAAATTCTTCTGCTTGGTCTAGTCTGTTGTTAAGGGTTCAAACTGTATTTTGAAAAATCATGTAGTAAATTTTTCAATTACAGAAGTTCTGTTTGGTTATTTCTTAATACAGCTATTTTATCTTCCAAATCCTGCATCTTTTTTCTGTTCTCCTTGTGTTGAATTTCAACTTTCTCTTGTATCTCTTTTAGTTTTTTTGTCATCAATATTCTGAATTATTTATCTGTCATTTCAGACATTTAATGTTAGGATCCATTGCTAGGGAGCTAGTGTGATCTTTGAAGGTGATGAAACACTCTGGCTTTTTGTACTTCTGGAGTTCTTATGCTGGTTCCTTCCCATCTGAGGGAGCTGACACTTCTTTTTCTGAATTGTTTATAATTTAGATGGAGTTTTTTGATATTTTATTCCTTTTTTGCCTTGAGGTTATGACTGTGGTGGATGTTGTGTATGATCTGTTAAAACTTCAGACAAATTAAATTTAGCAGCGTTTAACTGAGCAAGAAAAAACAAACAAACAAACAAACAAAAACCTATTCACAAATTCGGCAGCCTCCAGAAACACAGCAGATTCAGTGAGACTCCAGGGATGCCTCATGGGCAGAACAAATTTATAGACAAGAAAAGGAAAGTGACATACAGAAATTGGGCGTGAGTTACAGAAATAGCTGGACTGATTGGCGTTTGCCTTATTCTAACACAGTTTAAACACTTGGCAGTGTATGAGTGGTTGAAGTATGACTGCTGGGATTGGCCAAGACTCAGCTATTGTTACAGGTGCATACTGCTAAGTTAGGTTGTCAATCTTGTCTACCTATTAAGTTAGATTACAGTTCATCCACAAGGTCTAAACTACAGAAGTATGGAGTCCTTCTCCGGCCGTATTAACTCTGTTTTAACAGATCGATTAGCTTTGTTTCTGGATGCTGTTATGGGAACAGGGCTCTGTAGAGTTCCTTGGTTGCAGATAGCTTCATATGATGGGTTTTTCAGACTTGCTTGGTGTAGCAATGTATTCTTATTTGGTGGTGTAATTCAGGCTGCAGTCCAGTAGATGGTGCTTAAGAGTAAGAGATGAGCTGGCAGGAGGCTCTTAACTCTGCTTATGCACGCCTTCAGCAGGGGTGGAGGCAACAGAAAAGCACGAGTGCCCTCCCACCTCTTCCCCATACCGTTTGTCTTCATCGGGGGTGGAGCCCCTGGAAAAGCCTGAGAGGCACCTCTTTCACCCTACACTCCCTGGGACCCAGCAGGAAGAGGCGCTGCTATGTCCACGAAAGTACACTGGGGAGGCTGTCTGGAAGTGAGAGATGACCCCCATCTCCAAGTCTGTTCCCAGGCTTTGGTGTTGTGCCCTTTGGTGGCTGTCACAGCACTCATAGTTCCTTTGACCCCAAAGGGACTTTGGCGGGCTGCACTCCCCCTTCGCTTAGTGGCAGTTCACACGGAGGGTTAGATCTCCAGGTGAGTGGGGTCCACCTCCCTCCTACTCCTTGCAGCTGGTGAAGCACTCTCCCTCAACTGACCAAGGAAGCAGTCTGAGGCACCCATCAGTGACCCACACAGACCTGCTTCAGGTCGCAAAGCTGTCCCTGGCTGCAAGTCATGCTGCTCAGGAGAAACGCAGTAGGCTTCTGCAATTCTCCTCCCATTCCAGTCTTGGGATGAGAGAGAGCTTAGTTTCAGCACCCACTGCTAGGCACTCTCCAAACTCACTGCCCATTTCCGGCTGTGGGGACCTTTCCCTCGCTCCAAAGCAAATGCTCCAATCTCTGGCCCAAGACTAAAATGCCTGCCGTGGCTACCATTGCCAGGTTACCAAACAACGACCGACTTTGTATGAGCCCAGATTTAAAAAAGTATCCTCGGCCGGGGGCGATGGCTCAAGCCTGTAATCCCAGCACTTTCGGAGGCCAAGGCAGGTGGATCACCTAAGCTTAGGAGTTTGAGACCAGCCTGGCCAAAATGGTGAAACCACATCTCTACTAAAAATACAATAATTAGCTGGGCATGGTGGCGGGCGCCTGTAATCGCAGCTACTGGGAAGGCTGAGGCGAGCGAATCGCTTGAACCCGGGAAGCGGAGGTTGCAGTGAGCTGAGACCGCGCGATTGCACTCCAGCCTGGACAACAGGAGCAAAACTCCGTCTCAAACAAAACAAAACAAAAAAAGTGTCCTCTCAGTCCCAGGTCTGGAAAAATGCCTGCAGCTTTTCCCAGTGTCTTTCCCTCTCGGTATCTCAGCCTCTCCCCAAACTAGCTCCCGGGCTTGGCAGAAACAGGGTGCTCTCCCTTGGCCTGGGCTGCACAGATCACTAGCGGAAAGGCGAAACGCAAGGGGAGACTGGCTGTTCCTCTCACATACTAGGGCTTCACACATTATCAGCAGAACGCCGACGTGGGGGCTGCTTGCCCACCTTCTCCACAGAGTCTGGGGTATCCTTTGCTATTCTAGTGAACTGCTGCTTCCCTTCCTCAATTAAAGCTCACAGAGTTGACCTTTATGCACTATGTTGCTAATTCCAAGCGGAGGAAGCCCGCTGAAAGCCTCCAATCTGCCATCTGGGGCGCTCATGCTCCACCAGCCATGTTGGGTACCTCCACCTCCTCCACGCAGGCCGCAGGCCAGTGTGGCTTCCTCCTGGCCCGTAGGCCCCCCACCCCTGTGACTTGGACCCAACCAAGGGGCAACTCCAGCTCAGGGATTGCAGGGCTGGGAGGGGGCTGCACGCAGTCTGTGCAGGAGCCTGAGGGCCAGAGGGGGCAAAAGAGGAAAGTGTGTCACAGACTGGGAGGGGCAGGGGAGAGACATTTGCCTTATTATGTTTTAGTTATTTCTCCTAAAATTAATATTTCTGTATTTGAAAGGTTTCAAATAGAACAACTCACCTTTACAACATCAGGAAACATGATTACTACAGATCATTAATCTAATGTCAAAGCACATTTAAAAAAATGAGTAGGGCAAACATTCTTAGATCAACTTTTAATGCTATACTAATTATTTTCTTAATAGTTTATATCTTTAAAATACCTTGCAATTTACATGGCCATTTCTCAGTTTCTTCTAATCTTCAAAACATAATCTGAAGTATTCCTGTTCTCATTTTACAGCTGAGGAAATTGAGGCTCAGAAGGGTGTTTGCAACGTGTCCAGGCACATAGTTAATAAGCAGCAGAGCCCAGATTGGAACCATGTCTGATTCTAATGCAGAGTCAACCTATTTTAAAGGCTTTCCTAATGTTCATGCTAATATCAATTTCTAAATTAACTTTCTTTCCCAAGAGATACCTTCATGAAAAAAGGATTTCATGGTCAAGTTGTTGGTGGAGGGAAATATTGCCCATTAAATTTGCCATTAAAAGAATCACAGACATCATTTTTCAAGGCTGCAACGACTCCTGCATTAATGAAGCCTTTTAACTTTGTTAAATCTAGGCTTATTCCTTGATTCCACCGATCACTCAACTTTTTTTTCCCCAGTAATTGCTACTAACACCAAGAGGACCTACATTAATAACTTTCTAAAAGAACAGCTTATTATCAACCATTCAAAAGGCCTGGGTGCTACCAACACTACCTGTGGGCAAGCAGTATTTCAGATGTGAGTTTAGCAAAAATTAGAGCCAGAAAGTAGTCTTGAAATAACAGAAAATGTATGCCTTTGTTCTTTAGTTCTAAGTTAAAGGACATGGTACACTATAAATGCCATAAAAGTAAGAAACATTTCTAAACTTTTATCTGAGACATATAGTGCAATCCACTATCAAAAAATGTGTTAGATGCACATTTATTTCTCAAGTCAGTTTAACCATAAACAATGGTTTATAAGAAAACTGAACAAGTTAAGTCTACTTTCCTTCTCAGTAAGCAGCACAGCACTGGGGTATTCTGCTGCAGAAAGATCATTTGAAAAACCTGCTTTATGATTAAGGGACTTCTCAACATCATCACTTAATCACTTGGCCAATATCCCATATAGAGGCATATTTTCTTAAAGGGCCACTTGCAAACCAATGATATATTAGAGAGTATTTAAATATATTTGAAAATAAATTATCTTGCAAGTGGAGAGAGGAATAATTATTTTCTATGGTAATTTTCTGACAAATCAATTCTCTTTCTGTTTTCTCCCTCTTTTCTATTCATTTATTAACCTATTTTTATTGATCCAAATTCTTTATTTCAGAACTATATAGTAAAGGAATATCAAGAGCTGAGCAGAATGGGTAGAAATGGATAAGGGTCATTTACATCTTCTTTAGTGCAACAAAAGCACTAGGACATTTGGACAACCTCAAATATAATCCCTCATATAGATGCATATTAATTTGGCAGATTCTGCTCCCCTCCTCCCCACCAGAATGGAACAGAAAAAATCCAAGAATCTCTTATTACAGCACATTTCAGTCAAGTCTTTTAGATAAGTATTTCATATTGGTAGTAGATTGTATTCTTGGCTCCATGAATCTTCCTTGAGTAACTGCTTGTGATAAAAAGTCAAAAACAATTTTGAACAATTCAGTTTGCCTCTAAACATTTAGTTCTTGCTTGCATGAGTGCCTAAATATACATGCCCACCCGCCCAGCACCACAACTCCCTCACGCACATTTGCCAAATTATTTCTCTTTCCAAAAACTGAATTCCTTTGGTAAGAAAATTTGAAAACCCAGCAGTCAGACAGAAAGTCTGAAAACAACTAAACTACTTGTAAACTACTAAATTATAGTGAACTTGGATTTAATCCTACAGTTTGCACTCTACTCTCATCCCTAAACCTTGAAATTTCACCTTGCTGTAACTGATGTAACTTTGTTCCTGAGGAAGGGGCACCTAGCCTATTGTAAACTGCTACCCTTGAGTTGCTTTCATAGTGGCAATTTTTACTGATGGTCAGCTTGTATTGTTGGAGCAAATAAATGCTAACAGCAGCTAAGGCTGAAATTTCATAAATGGCCTTTCACTTTCTTCCTTGAATTAGCCTAAGTGGTATCCTTTCACCTGTTCTGCAGTATTGAGGAAAAATATTATTTTACTTTTCTGATGTGCTTTGCAATTTGCCAAGCACTCTCTCATATATTATCTTATTGTTGCTTATCTCACACACACACAAACACACACACACACACACCTGGCAAAGCATGAAAAGCAGATGCTATTCCCAGTTTTACCAATGAGGCAACTAAGGTTAAAGGAGGGTAAGTGGGCCGGGCGCAGTGGCTCACGCCTGTAATCCCAGCACCTTGGGAGGCCGAGGCAGGCGGATCACGAGGTAAGGAGATTGAGACCATCCTGGCTAACATGGTGAAACCCCATCTCTACTAAAAAAATACAAAAAAAAAAAAAAAAAATTAGCCGGGAGTGGTGGCGGTGCCTGTAGTCCCAGCTACTCAGGAGGCTGAAGCAGGAGAATGGCGTGAACCCGGGAGGCAGAGCTTGCAGTGACCCGAGATCACGCCACTGCACCACTGCACTCCAGCCTGGGCAACAGAGCGAGACTCCGTCTCAAAACAAAAAAGGAGGGTAAGCGATTTGCCCAGGGTTATGTACCACTACAGAAAAGGGATAAGACAGACAAGACACCCAGATTCTCATTCAGTTCTCTTCCCATTACCACACTACAGTTAAAGAGTTAACTGGCTAGCCACATGCAGAAAACTGAAACTGGACCCCTTCCTTACACCTTATACAAAAATTAACTCATGATGGATTAAAGATTTAAATGTAAGACCTAAAACCATGAAAACCCTAGAAGAAAACCTAGGCAATACCATACAGGACATAGGGATGGGCAAAGACTTCATGACTAAAACACCAAAAGCAATTGCAACAAAAGCCAAAATTGACAAATGGGATCTAATTAAACTAAAGAGCTTCTGCACAGCAAAAGAAACTATCATCAGAGTGAACAGCCACCTACAGAATGGGAGAAAATTTTTGCAATCATTCATCTGACAAAGGGCTATAACCAGAATCTACAAGGAACTTAAACAAATTTATAAGAAAAAAACAAACACCCCATCACAAAGTGGGCAAAGGATATGAACAGACACTTCTCAAAAGAAGACATTTATGCAGCCAACAGACACATGAAAAAATACTCATCATCACTGGTCATTAGAGAAATGCAAATCAAAACCACAATGAGATAACATCTCACGCCAGTTAGAATGGCCATCATTAAAAAGTCAGGAAACAACAGATGCTGGAAAGGATGTGGAGAAATAGGAATGCTTTTACACTGTTGGTGGGAGCGTAAATTAGTTCAACTATTGTGGAAGACAGTGTGGTGATCCCTCAAGGATCTAGAACTAGAAATACCATTTGACCCAGCAATCCCATTACTGGGTATACACCCAAAGGATTATAAATCATTCTACTAAAAAAAGATGTGTCTGAAAAGACACATGGACACATATGTTTATTGCAGCACTGTTCACAATAGCAAAGGCTTGGAACCAACCTAAATGCCCATCAATGATAGACTGGATAAAGAAAATGTGGCACATATACACCATGGAATACTACGCAGCCATAAAAAAGGATGAGTTCACATCCTTTGTAGGGACATGGATGAAGCTGGAAACCATCATTCTCAGCAAACTAACACAAGAACAGAAAACCAAACACCACATGTTCTCATTCATAAGTGGGAGTTGAACAACGAGAACACATGGACACAGGGAGGGGAACACCACACACCAGGTACTGTTGGGAGGTTGGGGGCTAGGGATAGCATTAGGAGAAATACCTAATGTAGGTGATGGGTTGATGGGTGCAGCAAACCACCATGGCACATGTATACCTATGTAACAAACCTGCATGTTCTGCACATGTATCCTAGAACTTAATTATTATTATTATTATTTTTGGGACAGAGTCTTGTTCTGTCGCCCAGGCGGGAGTGCAGTGATGCGATCTCGATCTCGGCTCACTGCAAGCTCCGCCCCCCGGGTTCATGCCATTCTCCTGCCTCAGCCTCCCCAGTAGCTGGGACTATAGGCACCTGCCACCACGCCCACCTAGTTTTTTGTATTTTTTAGTAGAGATGGGATTTCACTGTGTTAGCCAGGATGGTCTTGATCTCCTGATCTTGTGATATGCCTGCCTCGGCCTCCCAGGAACTTAAGTATAATTAAAAAAAAGAAAGAAAAGAAAGAGTTAAGATGTAAGCTGAATAAATAAAAAACAAAAATGAACTATATTTCTTGAATGAAGACTATTGGTATCCAGTCAAGTTACTTGAATTTTTGTATACTAACTAAATACTGCTTTTAATTTGGAAAATACGTCTTCAGTTATTTGTATCATGAACTACAAAAATCCCTAAGAACTATAGCCACGTAGCAAGGTTTGAAAGTTAAACATAAATAAACCTGAGAGAGAAATGTACAAAGGTTGGGCAACTTGAATTCTTTTTCTAGTTTTGTCAGTGACTTACGTGTTTCCTCTCTGGGTGTCGACTGTCTTATCTGTCAAGTAAGAACAATAATACATACTTTGCTAACTTCCCAGGGCTTTTTGTAGAACTCAGCAAAACAATTTATGATGCAGCTAAAAAGAATGTCTCCATACAAATAAAGGGCCAGCAGTTGATTTGCTTGACTGCTTTAACGTTAATTTATTTATTTTAGAGACAGAGTCTCACTCTGTCACCAAGGCTGGAGTGCAGGGCATGATCTCGGCTCACTGCAACCTCTGCCTCCCAGGTTCAAGCAATTCTCCTGTCTCAGCCTCCCAAGTGGCTGGGATTACAGGTGCCTGCCACCACTCCCAGCTAAGTTTTGTATTTTTACTACAGACAGGATTTCACCATGTTGGCCAGGCTGGTCTTGAACTCCTGACATCAAGTGATCCTCCCATCTCAGCATCCCAAAGTGCTGGGATTACAGGGGTGAGCTACTGTGCCTGGCCAGCATTTTTTAAATTGTGTGTTTTATTTCTGGTAAAATGTATAAAGTTCTGAAAATGTAATTACATAACTTTATGTTCCTTCCTGATCTTCTAATGACTACCCTCATCTATGATTTTGCTTCTACTTTTGTTTCTCATAAAGTTGTCATGGAAGGTGAGATGTACACACAAAATATTTAGTGGCTCATTTTTAGTGTGATAAGAATGAATCAGGTCACTAGAACTTATCAAGTCTTTAAAAAATAATAATAAATCAGGAATCAAAAGTTTGGCATGTTTCAATCCAAACAGATTTTGTTACAAATTAGTCTCTTCCAACTGAAAACAGAAACAAAACTAGGAATATATTCTGTGCAGTTTTGGCAATTAGCTTATTAGTAATACAAGTAGAACAATGGGTCAATGAAGCTGTCTTCTCATTCATACTAGTTCAATGTCATATCTAAAAGCTGGCAAGATTCCAGAAAGGTAAAATAACTTTATATATGGATTACAAAAGCCTGTTAGTGAGACTACTCATTTTTATAATACCAATTGTTAAGCTCTAGTTAGATGCAAAAAGCACTGTTCAACTTTCAAATGCTTAGCCTGGAGAGCCTGGGGTGTTTGCCATTTGAGAAAACTTAGAAGTAATTTGATACATAGCAATTTTCCAAATCTTGAGACTTTTCAAGGGTAGAAATGGTAAATGTGGAATTACAAGTTTGTTAAGGAAGTTATATAACAGGATATTGACATCATGGTGTCTACTTTCCTTTTTATTATTTTAAGTCATATTTACAGCTACTTTAAATTTTATTTATTTCCTTTAATTTTACTTAATTTACTTTGCAGAATATTTTTGAGAATAAATATTGTCTCTTAATCTAGAATTTGAGTATTGAGACTCAGATAGACTTAAAAAAAATAAATTGGTTATCATGTAGCTAGCAATTAACATAACTAGGAGTTGAATTGTACTATCTTCAAAGCCCACACTTTTTCTACTATTCCACACCGTATCCTTTTACAGCTTTTCACCCCATAATTCTACCTCTTGTGATTTACTGCGATGAAGTAATGTATCAGAAGAAAACAAACAGTGGGGTGCAGGGGAGGGGAGGGAAGAAAGGAATTTAAGTGCTTTACAATAAGGGATATTTAAACAAGTTACAGTACATCACTTAATGGACTATTATACATGTTATAAAAAAATAAGATTTCCCATTAAATGAAGGTTGAACTTGTGCAATTTATCTATACTTCCTTCCCAAACCACTATACACCAAGAAAAAAATAAAATAATATTAATAATAAGCTATAAAGAGAATGTGAATAAAAATAATATCACATGAGGGATGTCAACAAATTTTTGGAAAGTAGAAAGCTCAACACATTGTGATAATGAATTTAAAGAGCAGAGGCAACTGCAACCAAAGACACTGCAGACAGGGACACCAAAGAAAAGCAAACTGAATGCTCCAAGAAATGCCTAAAGGCTTGGGGCATATGGTAACTGGGAAGCAAGGATGATGGCATGGAACTTGAATGAAAGCTGTGTAAGGGACATCAGTGGTTTCTAGGCTTACCCTTCCTCCTTCCTGGAAAAACACTGTGACCCTGTCACCACGTGATTCAGAGGAAGGTACGGGCAGAGAATCTAAAACACACATGAAGTAAGACAGGAAATTAGGGGAAGCAACTTAGAGAGAATTTGGCCCAAACTGGAGCAGAAGGAGGTGACCCTGTTAAATGTTTTTTAAATGGCCTCAAGGGCAGTTTGGGGACACAAAAAAGATTAGAGAGTAGTCTGTCTTTTAAAATGTTTAATTTACTAAAGTTACAAATTCAAAGATAACATTTTCTATTTGTAAATCCAGCAAATTTTAGTAGCTTTTTGAAGGATCTTTTGATTGATGTTCAGTTCCATTTTCTTGATGAGTTCATAATACCCATTTAAGCACTTTAAACTGCATTATAAATGCTTTAAATGTCAGAAAACCATTCCTAGGTGCTCATGGAATTCTTATAATGTGAAAATAAATTAAATTTGATTTGAATTTTAAATCAAATTAAATCAATTACATGTTTTAAAATTAGAATCACAAGGCTGATCTGTTAGCTACAGTTGGCTAAATTTTTAAAAATATTACAATTAGGCAAGGTGCCATGGCTTACACCTGTAATCCCAGCACTTTGGGAGGCCGAGGTGGGCAGATCACTTGAGGTCAGGAGCTCAAGACTAGCCTGGCCAACATGATAAAACCCTGTCTCTACTAAAAATACAACCAAAAATATCAGCTGGGCGTAGTGGCGTGTGCCTGTAGTCCCAGCTACTTCGGAGGCTGAGGCAGGAGAATCACCTTGAACCTGGGAGGTGGAGGTTGCAGTGAGCCAAGATCGTGCCACTGCACTCCAGCCTGGGTGACAGAGCAAGACTCTTGACTCCAAAAAAAAAAAAACAAAAAAAACAAAAAAAACTTAGTTACATAAAAATACAAAAATGTAGTAATTCTTTAATGCAAGAAATATTGTTACTTTAGTTTGAATCCCTTAAATATTGCTCTATTTAATTCTCAAGCTTCCCATTGTTAGAAGATAACTCTTTCCCACTAAGGAATAAATTATGTTACCCACCACCACCACCACCAAAATTTTGAAGCTACCACTTCATGCCATTATAGTGGCCACCTTTTCAGCTCAAAGTTTCTTTTTTTTTTTTAACTTATATTTTAGGCTCAGGGGTACAAATGCAAGTTTGTTATATAGGTAAATTATATGTTATGGTGGTTTGGTGTAGAGATTATTTCATCACCCAGGTAATAAGCATAGGTAGTTTTTCAATCCTCACTCTCCTCACTCCCTCCACCTTTACGTAGGCCCTAGTGCCTATTGTAATTCTTTGTGTCTGTGTGGACTCAATGTTCAGCTCCCACTTCCAAGTGAGAACATGTGGTGTTTGGTTTTCTGTTTCTGTGTTAGTTCGCTTAGGATAATGGCCTTCAGCTGCATCCATGTTGCTATTAATACAGAGCATATCATCTCATTCTTTTTTGGGCTCGGTGGTATTCCATGGTGTATATGTACTATATTTTCTTTATCCAGTCTACCGTTGATGGACATTTAGGTTGATTCCATGTCTTTGCTGTTGTGAATAGTGCTGCGATGAACATACACATGCATGTGTCTTCATGATAGAATGATTTATATTCCTCTGGGTATATACCCAGTAATGGGATTGCTGGGTAGAATGGTAGTTCTGTTTTAAGTCCTTTGAGAAATTGCCAAACTGCCTTCCACAATGGTTGAGCTAATTTACATTCCCACCAACAGGGTATAAGTGTTCCCTTTTCTCTGCAACCCTGCCAGCATGCTATTTTTTTACTTTTTAATAATAGCTATTCTGACTGGTGTGAGATGGTATCTTGTTTTGGTTTTAATTTGCATTTCTCTGATTAGTAATGTTTAACATTTTTTATACGCTTGTTGGTGACATATATGTCTTCTTTGGAAAGTGTTTGTTCATGTCCTTTGCCCACTTTTTAATGGGGTTATTTTTTGCTTATTTAAGCTCCTTATAGATTCTGGATATTACACCTTTGTCAGATGCATAGTTTGCAAATACTTTCTCCCTCTCTGTAGGTTGTCTGTTTACTCTGTTGATAGTTTCTTTTGCTGTACAGAAGCTCTTTAGTTTAATTAGGTCCCATTTGTCAGTTTTTGTTTTTGTTGCAATTGTTTTGGCCTGAGCAGGGACTGGATTCATGTTCTTACTGAGAGCATTGTTTATAGTTGCTATGTTAAGCATTCTATGACCCAAAAAAGGAGGTTGTTGTGTAGCATGAATGCCTTAGATTCAAAATATACATCGTCTAATTCTTCTGTCTACTCAGAGAAATCTTCAAGTTTGCCACCTCTATCTAATTGGCTATATGCCTTACTGGATTTTCAATTTTTTTGGTCCTTTTTAAAATATAAATGTCTCCATGCCTAACATTAGAAACTGAATTTTATGAATCCTTCATTCATTTCAAATTCTTTCAGTGGTTCTGTGTAGGGCCACACAACTCTTAACAATAATAACATGACATTGATTGATTTCTGAGAATCTGCCATTGTTTTTTCCTAGTTTTTTGGGCCCAGCTTCCATTAACAAGCAACAGGAGGAAATATTCAGGGAGAAAAAAAAGATGCAAATGGTTATCTATAATGTTGAAAATAATACTGAGCTCTACTTTACACATTCATTGAAGAATCTAAAGAATCTGAAATATGTATACAATGAAAACCAAATAAATAATTAATTCCAAGCAGAAACAAATATGGTATAAGAAATGACCGTAATATACTACTTGGCTCAGCAATAACAATATTTACGTAGCCATTAATACTATAAGCATTGATTAATGACTTAATAATATTAAATTATTGGAGGAAAAAGAGGAAGAGTAGAGTTTAGAAGGTTAATTTCTTACTTACCAAAACAAGAAGTCAATAAATAATATCTAAAATTGGTAAATCAAAATATAGATGTATAGCATTACTATATAGAAACATGGTGGTAAATATCTGAAGAAAAAGCTAGTACTCTTAAAAGGAGATCCTTTTAGAAAATGGGACTTGAGGTAGGTGTGGGTATAGGTAAAGGGAAAAAAAGAGGCAAGGAACCAAAGCACTTTGACATACTTTGGTATGTCACTTAATTCTCAAGCTTCCCATTGTTAGAAGATAAACAAGTCTTTCCCACTAAGGAATAAATTATGTTACCCACCACCACCACCACCAAAATTTTGAAGATGCCATTTCACATCATTATAGCGGCCACTTTTTCAGCTCAAAGTTTCTTTCCCTTTTTTTTTTAACTTTTATTTTAGTTTCAGGGGTACAAATGCAAGTTTGTTATATAGGTGAATTACATTTGACCTTCTAGATTATATGTATGTATTACTCTAATAAAAATTTTAAAATTTTTAGAAAAATGCCAAAATTTTAAAGTGATATTTATGAACTTTATAAATATTTTGTAACATAGGAAATATTGTCCAATATAAAGAATTTAGGAAAGACAAATTTTTTCACAATACAATGATTGCAACTACATTAACATGCCTAAGGGTAATGGAAATAAACAACTAAAAGGGATAATGGAAAAATGAAAACAGTTTTACTTGGGTAATGAGATTACAGATGACTGAAAAAATTTTTAACTTTACAATAGTAGCTTAACATCACTTTATTTTACAAAGCTTTTATAACATACACAATAACATTTTAGAATACACACTTCCTTTGGGATTCTATTAGCATTTTATGAAAAATCTAAGAGAGTCTATTAAATAGCATCCTTATTTCCAGCAGTTTATACTCCAATATTATGAAATTCTTTAAGTTCCCTAAATTAAAGCCTTCCATTAAAGGCCAGCCCAGGCACATTTATGAAGTCATCATTGAATGCCTAACTTTGCTTTTAAAAACCTCTTCCTACCCTCATGTCTTATTCTGTTCCCTATATGCCAGAATAACATACCACCATCTAGTTCCTCAGGCAACAACTCTCCTGGGATGCCAACTGTTTCCTGTAGTTTACAACTTGTTTTAAATTGTGAGAATGTCTTCAGTGTGGTTTCCTATTGCGGGAGTCATGTGTGTGCCCTGGATTGTGAAAGTGTCCTCATGGTATGTTTTGGCATTTTATTTCTTTTATGGACCTATAGGGCTTATCAAGATAATGAGAGGGCATGAGATTTTATATTTGTGGTCCAGTCAAGAGAAACCCTTTCCTGCTCCCTCCTTTGTGAATGGAGCCCAATTCCAGCAATCTGTCATGCATATAATCTACAACCTAACCCCCTGTTTATCTCTTCCCCTAGCTATAATTCATGTTGACCAAAAAAACAAAACCAAAACCAAAACCAAAACCAAAGGTTGAGGTACCTTTCATATCCCTTGGACAGGAAGACTTTAAGCTTGATTTAGCCGTTGATTCCTTTTACATTCAGATAACTAGTTTTAATTCTTGCTTTTCACCTGTAACATATATTTCCAAAATAAATATTTTATCTATATTTCCAAGTTTTTGTAACAAAGCAGTTAATTATGTGGGTTATTTTGCCATGAACTTTATGACTGCTTTTGAGCACTTGGTTCCTCATTAGAAAGTAAATTCCCTGGAAACAGGACTTTTCATATTTGTATCATCAGGGCTTAGTGTAGTAACTGGTTTATAACCAGCATTCAGCACACATTTAGAGAAGGAATGCCTGTTTTCAGGTCACTGTGAGAAATGCATATGATTAACTATGGGGTTAATGGCAAGATTAATAAAGCTGGCCTTCAAAGGGCATTTGCATTTTAGAAGGGGCTACCTGTGTGTTTACCTGGGAGTTCTCTGAGCTTTCTCAATGATATTTTTAAGGTAGAATCTCCAAGGCTAACATTACAAACACTATATCTAGTAAGTAGGTGAGAGTTTTTGAGCAGATAAATTCCTCCCAAATTCCCACACCATATTTGGCAACTAACTTTTCTATGTATATGGTAGCTTCCTGGCTTCACCCAGTAACATGTCATCTGATCCCTATGATCACTCTAGTTTTCTAGGGACAATTTTTTTTGAGGGAGGAGTGGTCAAAATGAGTTATAATAAACTGTTAAGATAAAATGAGTATAAGGTCTAGTCTTTCTCATAGGGTAAGTAATGTTTTTATTTGTGGTTGCAGCATTGGTCAGAATGGAGGGCAGAAAGCAGTAAGGAATGAAATATTCTTAGAATCACAACATTATGGACTGTAAGAGATAGGTCAGAACCCAGATCTCACTTTACAGATTAGTTTTACAGATGTCAGTTTAAACAACCACTCAGACAAGGGTAATAATGCATATGCAGTGGGAACACGAAACACATCCTATACACTCAGATTTCCACTCACGGCCATCTGCCTTTACAGTCTAGAAGACTACAGCACCTCTAAATATGTATACTAGTTGTATGTAATTCTTTTCTTGCAGCAGAAATATTTCCATAACTGTATTTCATTTTATTTAGGCTAACACAAAAAAATAGTTTGCATTCACAATATCAAACAAAATCCAGAACTAAATGTATTCTGGATAATAACAAAAAGCTATTATGCAAATAAATTGTCTCATGCTGATAATTCTCAAAATTGTTATTATAAGTATTATACTATTAACTGTATTAACCAAGTAAATTCCTCAAAAGAGCATCCAGGGAACAACAGAGCATGATAATGGGAATCAGTACTAACTTTTAGGGTATGTTATTTACCTCAATAATTGTTCAAAAAGCACTTGTTGACTATGAAAGAAAAGGGAGCTAGGAATAGTAGAGGGAATGGTAAAGATTCTAGAGTCTCCCAGATAGTCTACCACTACATAGCTCTACCATGTAGTGGTAGAGCTGAGATTAATACCCAGGTCTCCTTTCTCCCAGCTCCTTATTCTATCCATTAGAGCAGACAACTTTGCTCTTTTCTGAAGAGGCTTCTCAAAAAGTGTAGAGAAAAAATCATCATAACCTCATGGTTAAATATAAATATTTTCAGAAGCACAAGGTTCATTGTCAAAAATGGAATTAAAGCATCTATTCAATGATCTATCCTCTTGCTCAGCCTGTGGAAAGCATATGGTAAGATTTTCAGCCACATGATTCCAAACTAGACATTTATCACTTCTTACTGGAGTTCTGAAATTACTCCATGCTTTCCTTGAGTTGTGAATTGATCAGTTTTCACTTTGAAAAGTAATTGCTTTTCCCACTGGTGAAGTCAACTCCATTCGCTTCCAATATGAGTGTGGCTCATTGATTCTCTCTTTGTGGCTTTTACATCTATTTCACCGAGGAGGCAGGTATGGCAGTGGGACTTTCAAAAAGGCTTCTGGATGACCAGTGAAGAATCAGTTATATAAAATTGTGGTAGTTAATAACATTTGGGACTCCCAGGTCTCATTTTATTGTCATGACTTTTGAGTACAGGCATTGTTGGACAAATCAGCATATCTATGTGGCATGAAAAAAAAGTCGTAATGATATGACTTCCAATTTATTCCCCACACATCAGCGATGCTGCTTTTTGTTAACAGTAGAGCCTGTGTTCTTTTGTTCTCTGTCTCACCCCTCCTCTGCTTTCTCTTTTCTCCTAATTTTTCCTTCATTCATCCATCCATCCATCCACCCACCCACCTTTATCATCAAGCTTTCTATTCAGCATTGACTAACTTAAGACAAATCTATGGCTTTTAAAAGCAGCAAAAAACTTTCTGAAGGCATATTCATTTTTCCTTTTTTTTAAAAAAATCCTTCCATATATCAAGTACTCCTGAAGCACTAAATGTAGAATGACAAAAGAGACTGCTTTCCTTGTCAAGTTACATCTTTCTAACTGCTTTAAAATGGGTATCTAAACTGTACATCCACTATCCTACCTGGGTCACACAATGGTGCCACTCATACCACACAAAATGTAAGATAGGTGGGTGGGATGGTATCCTTGATTTTATTTAAATACTTTTTTTTTTTAAACACTGCTTTGGGAAGAACTGAATTCTCTTATTTTAAAGATTTTTAAAAGGAGAAGATGCTAGAATAACCTTTATTTTTTGGTTTTTGGGGGGTGTCTGTTAGATTGTTACTAGGCAGGCTGTTGCCCTGGCAACAGGAGCAGCCATAAAAGAGCATTAGGAGCTATCTTGTACATCTTTGACTATAAAAATGCTGAAGAGGCCTGGTTGACATCTGGACTATATACAACTCTATTACAACAAAAACAAATAGTCCTTCAAATTTGGTCTTCACTTTATAGTTTACCAAATATTATTTCATTTGATTCTGACAACACTACTGTTAGCAGGACAGATATTAACTTCATTTTTAAAATATAATTGAGATGGGCAGTCTAAAGAGAGGCAGGCTTCTTTTGTTCTTCTTCCTCCTCCTCTTCCTTCTTGTCAAAGAATATTAACCACAAAAGAAATGATATCCAGTTTGAAAATGAAGGAGAAATTAGGTCTTAATTTAAAAAATTATCATCAAATATGAAGAGAAACATAAACTATCTTCAACAAAACTAGAAGACACTTTAACCTCAACCCCAAAATAGGAGATAGAGCTGCCAGGTGCAGTAAAGGTCAGATAGCTCCATATCGCAGCCAAAGTCATTAGACCAAAATACTCCAAAATAGATGACATAATCTGAGACAGGGAAAAAAAAACAACAACAACTAGTTCCTTCTCTAAAACAATGGAAATGGGATGAGTGTCAGTAGTAGGGGATTTCCTGGATATTGTCTGGTACAGTGGCAGGAGGGGCAAAGCTGAAGAAGAAAATACATGCATATCACATTGACAAGCAGTAGTCTGTAGACGTGGCAGACAGGAGGAAAGAGACTCCAAAGGTGGTAACCCTGTAGTTGCCAATCTTTGTTGACTGGAGAGAGTAAAAGGCTACAACAGCTCTCTCAGACCCACAATCCTGTCATAAGGAGATTCACTGTCACCTTGGTAGGATTGTGTGAGCTTAAAATGCCAACCTACGGCCGGGCATGATGGCTCATGCCTGTAATTCCAGCATTTTGGGAGGCTGAGGCAGGAAGATCATGAGGTCAGGAGTTCGAGACCAGCCTGGCCAACATGGTGAAACCCAGTCTCTACTAAAAATGCAAAAATTAGCCAGGCGTGGTGGCGGGCGCCTGTAATCCCAGCTACTCTGGAGGCTGAGGGAGGAGAATCATTTGAAACTGGAAGGTGGAGGTTGCAGTGAGCTGAGATCATGCCACTGCACTCCAGCCTAGGCAACAAGAGTAAAACTCCATCTCAAAAAAAAAAAGAAAAAGAAAAAGAAAAGCCAACCTACCTAACATATGAAATTGCATTTTAAAAAACAACAAAAACAAAACAAAAACAAACAAAAAAGAAATTGTATCAAATAGATGAGCCAGAAAGAAATTTATCTCATATAAAGGTAAGTAATACTTGAAAATAAACCTGCACAGTGTTCATGCACAAACACTTCAAGAAAAGGAGAAATGGAACAAGCAGAAACAATTAGCAGATAAAAACCACTCAACAGGAAAGAATGAATCAGCTGAGCACATGAAAAATGTGACCAAATATACTGTCATAACTCAAAGAACTTAAGGAAATAGAGTTCATAAAGAAATGTAGTTGATCAGAAACACCATAGCAAAACAACCAAAGGAAATGCAACATAAGCTAACAAAGTTCAGAAAAGAAATGAAAAGGAAAAAATAATCAACCAAAACTGTGCAGTAGAGGAAAAAATACACTAATTGGATATTGTTCACAGCAAGGAGTCAACAGATAGGATCTATATATATATATATATAGACTTTAAAATTAAATATAATTCAAAATCATAGTGAAGGAAAAAACCATTAGCACAACAAGTGAACTATAGCAAATGTGAATAACATAATGCAAGTGTAGTATACAGCATACATTGCTGATTATGTATCCATTATCCATGCCCTCACTATCCAAAATGATGATTTTGGTCATATATCCTTCTTTTCCACAGAATCATGTGCTTTAGGGCAGTGGTTCTTAACTAGGGTCAATTCTTCCCTCACAAAAGACATTTACTAATGTCTGGAGACATTTTTGACTGCCACAGTTTGGAGGCGATGCTGCTGGCATTTAGGGTGAGGAGATATGTTCCAGGCCAAAGTCTGATGTGTGATCTTTCAGGCCTGACCATAAGCAATTACAAAGGCTTTGCCTGACAGGCTTTGTAGGGGAAAGGTGCCCTTCCCACATGAGATTTAAACACAGCCAGTCTCTGGAGGGAGTTGTATCTGGTGCTCAGGACCCCCTGGGCTGGCCATGTCTATAAACCTAGCTGCATTCCTAGACCAGGTACCTCCATGCTGAGTCTTCCTTATCAGGGGGCCTTGGTTGAGACACTTTTCAGGTGCCTCCACAGAGACCTCGCTATTGGTGGGCCTTGACTGAGACACTCATCTCCACTCTGACTCAGTTGTTTTCTACTTCTAACCCTTCCCTGCTCCCTGTCCGCAGTCCTTGAGGTCCATAAGATGGCAGGAACCTTTTGTTCATTGCTCCTTAGCAGTGAAACAATTTCCTCTGCCTGGACTGCATGTCGTCTGATTGACGCATGTCCAGTGCTAGTCCATGGTAGGGGAAAAATGGAACAACAAGGAGCTGGCCCTACTTTCCTTTTTGGTCTCTTGCTTATAATTTTATCATAGTAAGTGAATAAAGATGTGATTGTTATTTTCATTTCAGCTACTTACCTTAACTGACTCTCAACACTTCACAGCTAGGTACAGAGATCCTACTAGACATGCTGCTATGCATGGAACAGCTTCCTATGATGTAGAATTTTATGGTCCAAAATGTCAACAGTGCTGAGGCTTTTCGGAAAAACTGACTCCATCATCTGCTCTAGGGTCAGTAAGGTCATGGGAATCTCCTGGAGTATTCTATTTATCTAGGGGTGAGTAGATGATCAAAGAAGTTGGCTCAATCACACTGAAGTAGATGGCTTAATATTAATATTCCAGGATTGGGACAGAACTTCCCTCAATTTTTATTGTGTTGGACATGAACAAAAAAAATATGTAGTCCTCACTGAAACCGACAGCAATTATTGTTAACACGAGAGAAAACAACTTTGGGATAAAGTTTATACTATGCCAGAGGTGACAAGGGAGGTCACTTGGGCTTTTGATGACAATATGGCTAATGCAACTGTGGCTGAAGCCAACCCCACCTTTGGACCTTCAGAAATGTGTAATAATACATTTTCTGATGATTTAAACCAGTTTCAATTGGAATTTTCCTACTTGCAGTGGAAAGTATTGTTACAGAAAGACAAAAGAATTTTAAAGCAATAAAAAAAGCAAGCACAATCTAAAAGCAAAGATACATTACATAAAACAGACTACACTAATCTATTAAGTAAAAGGGATCTTAAAATTGAATCACAAAGCAAAACCCAATATATACTATATTAAATAACCTAAAACAAAGTGACACAAATACCAAAAAGTAAAAAGATGAATATCAGGCAAATGCAAGCCAAAATAAAGCATAGGTCATAATCTTAATATCTGACAATTTATAGAACAAAAAGTATCCAATGGACAAAAAGGACATTTTAATAATGATAAGGTAAAACCTATAATGAAAATCTAGCATTCATGAATTTATATGCACCAGAAAACATACCCACATACTATATAAAAAGTAAAGTAAAAACCATTGATAATAAAAGGAGAAATTGACAGTGATCCCTAAGCGAAAAGATGTTTTTCTCACAATCCATGACAAAGCACATGAACCAAAAGAAAAGCAGTTTATAAAAATCTCAATGAGATATCATCTTACAAATGAGATACCATCTCACGCCAGTTAGAATGGCGATCATTGAAAAGTCAGGAAACAACAGATGCTGGAGAGGATGTGGAGAAATAGGAACACTTGGTGGGAGTGTAAATTAGTTCAACCATTGTGGAAGACAGTGTGGCGATTCCTCAAGGATCTAGAACTAGAAATACCATTTGACCCAGCCATCCCATTACTGGGTATATACCCAAAGGATTATAAATCATGCCACTATAAAGACACATGCACACGTATGTTTATTGTGGCACTATTCACAATAGCAAAGACTTGGGACCAACCCAGATGTCCATCAATGATAGACTGGATTAAGAAAATGTGGCACATATACACCATGGAATACTATGCAGCCAAAAAAAAGGATGACAAGGACATGGATGAAGCTGGAAACCATCATTCTCAGCAAACTATCACAAGGACAGAAAACCAAACACCGCATGTTCTCACTCATAAGAGGGAACTGAACAATGAGAACAGTACTTGGACACAGGGCGGGGAACATCACACACTGGGCCTGTCAGTGGGTGGGGGGCTGGGGGAGGGATAGCATTAGGAGAAATACCTAATGTAAATGATGAGTTCATGGGTGCAGCAAACCAACATGGCACATGTATACCTATGTAACAAACCTGCACATTGTGCACATGTACCCTAGAACTTACAGTATTAAAAAAAAAACTCAGTAATATATTTAGTTAAGGAGCTATAATTCACATAGATTATATAGTACACAATACTAAATAGATTTTTTAATGTGCTCTGTTCTCTGAAAATAGAAATTAGATCTTCCACAAAAATTGACCTATATAAACAACACTTTACACAGTAATATTTTGGTACCTACGATTATGTACAGAGGGAAACCTGTTTCTATGTGGACTCCAATCACAAATGACTCCTTCTGAAGGAGTGTAAAAATTATTCCCATGAGCTGGGTGTGGTGGCACGCACCTATAGTACCAGCTATTTAGGAGGCTGAAGCAGAAAGATTTCTTGAGCCCAGGAGTTCAAGGCTGTAGTGAATTAAGACTGTGCCACTGCACTCCAGCTGGGGTGACAGAATGAGACCTTGTCTAAAAAAGAAAAATGTTCCCACTGGCAAGAATTCTGTTGTTTTGATATCTCCCAACACAGGAAAAGAGAATTAGAGAGGGGCTAAAACTGCTGGGCCACTCTAAGAGAAGAGATCCCAACCCCAACTAAGAATATAGGCAGTCTACACTGTCCAGATAGTAAGGCAAGGATAAAATGATGTAAAGTTAATAAACACTGTACACTATGTGTAAAGCAAATTCTTATAAATACACAAAGACTGAGAAATTTCTACCAAAGTATGAATACAAAACAAAAATGTGAAATCTTGGTTCAAACTGGCATGGCACTAGTTAACAGTGGACATTTAGGTCAGACAGAGTCAACCCAAAAAGAAATCCGGGTGAAAACAGAAACTTTTTCCTTGGCTAGTGAGTTTTAATTGGATATTTCTTGAAGAACTTTAACTTTTCTCTCATAATTTCCATCTATTGCCTTTGTGCTCTATGTTTATGCTAAGCACACTGCCACATGTTTTTGTTACTTTACTGTATTCCCTTCAGCCTCTATATCTTGTCTATCACTGACATAAGGTGTTCAGCACACTTTTCTTCACCCAAAATTGCTGTACCACGCCCCCCAAATTTGCTAGTATTTGAGAATGGACTACGTAACTCATTTAAACCAGGGCAGCAGAATCTGCCAGCACTAGACTTCAAGGGCTAAGTTAGGTCTGAGCCTATTATATGGCTTTTAAGGGTGAAGGAACTGAATAATACATTATGAAGATTAATATCTCAGGGTGACTAGACAATTCTTCATGCTGGGCTAGTTCACCTCTTTGGGATGGAGGACTGGGCTCTAAGAAGAAATATCTTCTAGTATTTAAAACCAAAAAATCCCACATCTTCTCAGGACAGAATCAAGTGAGAAACAGATGCTTCAGTCAAACTGCCACTAAACAGTGATAACTATAACATTTTGCTCTGATACAGTAGACTTTTTATTTGTTTTGGAAAGTGATTCTAAGATTTTTACAAATAGAGTGTCTAGTCTACAGAGCAATACTACTGAGTTTGGTGACTACAGGAAAGTAATAGTTCTTGCATAACAATGGAAAAAGTTAGTTGTACTGTACTTTCTAGTTTGGAAAGTAATATATTGCTATGTATATAGCCAATAATAAATTTTATTTAATATGTAAGTACTAGTTAATAAAAAAATTCCTGATTTTTTCTACTTTGAAAACTAAAAAGTAAGAGATAAGAAAATTTTAAAAATTTACCATTTAAGTCTCTTTGATTCTGGAAATATTTTAATTAGGTTCCACTTTAAAAAAAAAGTAGCTTCCTTATGACCTCCACAGTGAGTACATTAACTACATTTTCACAAACAGAAAACTTACATACATTCAACTGTTTACAAGACATGTCTCCATATAACACATTTACATTCATGTGAAATCTATGAACTTCTTTAATTGCATATATTTATGACTCTTACATCTGGTACCTTTTAAAACAGCTAACATATAGTATGCTTATTTCCTATAAGTTAATTAATATATGACTATTTAAGGTGAGAAGAGTCTCATTTGAAGAATTACAATAGTTATATTCATACCATGGGAAATCAATAGTTTTTCTAAACATAAATTTCAAGCTAAAGCTTTAGCAATTTAAGTTATTTAACTACCAATGCATGAAATTCTTATCAGATTGTCCCATTTGGATTACAGTTTAAGTCATTTCAAGCTGTTCACAATTATTTGTGCATTGGTGGGGGGGAAAGCACCAAGGATAATAAATTGATTTTTCACATCACAGATGAAATCACAGCGCAATGATTTCAATATCCCTTCAAAAATCTAATCATTTATAAAGAGCATTTATTTCAAATGCTCAATCTTTAAGCTTTCTTAGTGTGATCAACTGATACACTAGGGATAAGAATGGAAATGGTTAAAAACAGATGCTATACATAATACTTACTAACTTAACAGAATTCAGATTTCTCCTAACATTGTTGATTTCCATTTTTGAACTGACTTCTTTAGATCTAAAAAGAACTCTGAAAGTAAGTGTAACATTTATACACTTGTCAACTATACTTAAAAAGAAACTCTGAAGGTGCCTTTCTTGTCAAAATACAAAACAAAAGTTTTCCTGATGAACAAGGCACCTTGTATGGTAAGGAAATATATAAAGAAAATATTTTCTACAAATTAATATATAAATCTATGTGCACAAAGGTGTAGTTCTCCCAGCTGCATATGTAATATTTTAAATAACACACAATAAAAAAATTCAAAACACAGATTGAAAAAATAACCCATGTGGCTAATACTCCAGTTGTTAAATATTGCAGCATATATGTCACTGTAACAATTGGGAAAGATATTCTAATCTAAACGGTTAATGAAATCTCTTTGGAAAGACACTTTAAAAGTCCCCAATATGTAACCCTGGCTGTCAAATTTCAATCTAGAAGTTTTAACAGCTAAGATGCAATCCCATGAAAATAAAAGTGTGCACAAAGGCCAGCTCATCAGACTCTGCAGTACATAGCATTACTGCTGTGACTTTGGTACGAGCCTGCTGGGCTTTTATGTTCCTTTTCATTACTATGTGCACATGGTAAACATCATATTAACAACAATCGATTTTTATCACTATAAGTTTTGCTGCTCACAGAATGCTAACAAACATTGTTTTAAACATTTCCAGATCATGACAACAGTTCCTTACCTGAACATAAACAAAGAAAACCTTAGATTTAAAAACATTTTTAAGTGAACACATAAATGCATAAGGAGAAACATAAGAACATACTATTTTTATAAGTATAAAAAGTTCCAGCTTCTGCTAAGATTTCATTTCTTTTTCCCAGTGTTTTTTTTGTGTTCATGCGTTTCTGTTTTGCTAGTTATATTCTTTTTCCGAGATGAGGTATTAGGAACAACTGCACTAGAAGGTCCACTTGTAGCTACATAAAACAAAAACAAAAAAAAAAAACTATTGCTTAAATTTACACAAACAATCCAAGTTCAAATAATACTGCTGATTGACAAAACAATTCTTGTTATAATTGTGATGTAAATGAAATGTAAAAATTTAATATAGCATTTTTAACCTTTTACTTTTCAGAATTCAACACAAATATAGAAAGGTAATGACAATGGGCTGTGTTCACAAAATTAATTTCTCATTTTACTCTACATGCTTCCTAGGAAATGAATATATTTTCATAATTTTTAACTACCATCCATTGTGCTAATGATTTTTAAATTTATACTTCTGGCCTGGGCCTTTTCCTTTAGCTCAAGATATGTATATACAACTGCCAATTGAAACTTTCTTTAAAGATATCTGACGAGAAAGACAAACTTAATATGCATAAACTGAACTCATCATTTTCTCTACAAGCATCTATTTCCTCTTGTATCTTCTATCTTATCCCTCTCTAAAAAGCTAGAAGGTAAGAAAACTAGAAGCACGCTTGACTTAGGAATCATCCTTCTGTGTCTAAACCAACATGAAGTCTTCATGAATTATCAAAAAACTATTCTAGGCCAGGCAGGGTGATTCATGCCTGTAATCCCAACACTTTGGAGGGCCAACGTGGGAGGATCGCTTGAGCCCAGAAGTTCAAGACGAGCCCTGGCAACATAGTGAGACCCCCTTCTCTACAAAAAACTTTAAAAATTAGCTGGGTGTGGTGGCACACACTTATAGTCTCAGCTACTCAGGAGGCCAACGTAGGAAGATTGCTTGAGCCTGATAGGTTGAGGCTGCAGTGAGCCATGATTGCACCACTGCAGTCCAGCTTGGGTAACAGAACAAGACATTGTCTCAAAAGAATAAATAAATAAATAAATAAATAAATAAATAAAATAAAAAACCATTCTAGGTGGCATTACATTATTACATTTCTACTATGGATGAATAGATGTATGGGTAAGCTTCTATCAGACCAATCTTCCCACAGATAACAAATATACACTCTGTACTAAATATGAGGAAGAACTACCTGAAGATACTAAATAGTGAACAAGAGCAGGCCGTTACTAGATAAGAATCAGCACTTGGAAAAAGGGAATAATATGGAATAACATTCCCCTTCTTTTTAGCCTGAGGACAGGCCCTAATATGCACCATGTACAATGGCTACAAGTCCAACATAAGAAGCAGAAGACAAGTATTGCAGCAACTACAGCTGCTAGAAAGTAAGGTGGAAAATCTCAAAAAGGATGAGCCCACAATTCTATTTGTAAATGATGGTCAAATGTATGGCATGAGCAGAGTAAAGTCCAAGGAGCCCAGCTAAAGCAAAAAATGAACTGAAATTTTTGCCAGCCACTTCACGGAACACCATATTTTACAATCTGAGCTCAGCCAAGGCTAACTCTTTGTTTAAAAACAAACAAAACAATATTTTTTGGAGGAACATAACAGAAATAACAAAATCCAGAGTTTCTATAACATACCATTCACAATGTCTACAATATAATCCAAAATTAATATACTAAGAAACAGAAAAACATCTTTCCTGCTGAGAATGCATAAATTGATACAGATCACTTTGGAGATGAGTCAGATTAACAGACAAGAATTTTAAAGCAGCAATTCTAACTATGCTCTAGGACAAAGAAACATAAGTTTATAACGAATAAAAAGAGAAAAATCCCTGCAAAAAAACTATTTAAAAGAATCAAACAGAACATCTAAAAGAATAAATATCTGAAATAAAAGGTCTGAAATAAAAACTAGATGGGTTTAACAACAGAATGAAAAGTAGAAGTAAAAGTAAACAACAACCAAATCAACCAAATCAACATCAACCAATGAACATCTTTTTTGGAGTATTACCAAAAAAGAAAAAAAAAAATAGACATAAATATGCCTTAGTCAACCTGCTGAAAAGCAAAGATAAAGAGAAAACATTGAAAGCAAGCACAGAAAAACAACCCATTGCATTTATGTGGACAGTAATTCAAATTAACTAAGTCTTCTTATCAGAAACAATGGTAACCAGAAGACAGTGGAATATCATTAAAGTGCTGAAATAAAAAATTTTCTACCCAGAATTCTCTATTCAGCAAAAATTACACTGCAAGAATGAAGGCAAAATAAAGCCATTTTTCAGACACAAAAAAATGAATAGAATTTGTTGCCAACAGACCTGCAGATTAAGAAATGCTAAAAAACTTCAGGCTGAAGGCAAACGAAACCAGATGGAAACACAGACTTCAAGGAAGGAATAGAGAGCAAAAAATATGGCAAATATATGGATAAATATAGAATCTTTTTCTCCTCTAAGTTTCTTTAAAATACATATGACTGTTTAAAGCAAATATCATAACACTGTATTGTAGTGTTTATAATATATGTGGAAGTAACACATAAGGATAACTATGTGTAAAGAATGGGAAGAGGGTAAGGTAAATGAATCTATACAGTGGCAAGGCTTCTACATTTTACTTTCAGTGGTACAAAATTAACCCTAAGTAGATGGTGAAAAATTAGGAATATATATTTAGAGCAACAAAAAAAAATGCAAAAAGATACAGCAAAAGTCCATAGAAAAAGTTAAATAAAATTCTTAAAAATATTGAATTAGTACAAAATGAGGTAGAGTAGGAAAGAATAAAGGTATAATAATCAAAAGGAATAAACAGAAAACATAAGAAAGTAGTAGACTAACCTCAACATATCAACAATTACATTAAATGTTAATGAACTGTAAACTGCAACCATAAGGCAGATATTGTTAGAATGCCTTGCATAAATAAAGTTTGTTGAGCTATATCACATCAGACAAAATAAAACAAAACATTACTGGAAATTAAAGAGAAAAAAGTCATGATAATAAATGAGTCAATTTATTAAGAATATCCAATAATCAAATATGCATCTAATTATGTAACAGAGCTCCAAAACACAAAAAGCAAAAATCTACCAAATTAAAGGGAGAAACAGACAATTCTGCAGTTGTGAGTGTAATCGCTCTCTGTACAACTGATAGCACAATCAATCCCTTCCTTGAACACCCCTCTGCCAAAGAAAAACCAAATAGTAAAGACAGACTATCTGAACATTATCAACAACCTTCACCTCATGCATAATGATAAAATAGTGTCCATTAGGATCAATGAACTATAAGATAAACATTTGGGTTTTTTTTTTAGTACACAAATTATATTCAAAATATTCCAGATGTTAAGCCATAAGTCCCACATTTAAAAGACTGAAATCACACAGTGTATGTTTTTATAACTGCAATGGAACTAAATAAGAAATTGATTAAAAACAATAAAAAAACCCTGAATATTTGGAATTTAACCAATATACTTCTAAATATGCAATGGATCAAAGAAGAAATCACAAATAAACTAGAAAGTATTTCTAACTGAATGATAATGAAAATACAATATAACTTTTGTGAGACTCAACTAAAATGCTTAGAGGGAAACTTAAAGGTTTAAATGTTTGAAATAGATAACAATCAATGACCTAAGAAACTAGAAATAGAGGATAAAAGTAAACCCAAAGTAAGTAGGATGTAGAAAATAATTTTTAAAATAATTAAAATAATTAATTTAAAATAATTTTTTAAAAATTGTGTTTTAAGGCTGGGTGCGGTGGCTCACACCTGTAATCCCAGGACTTTGGGAGGTTGAGGCAGGCGAATCACCTGAGGTCAGGAGTTCGAGACCAGCCTGGCCAACATGGTGAAACTCCATCTCTACTAAAAACACAAAAAAATTAGCCAGGCGTGGTGGCAGTCACCTGTAATCCCAGCTACTTAGGAGGCCGAGACAGGAGAATCGCTTGAACCCGGGAGGTGGAGGTTGCAGTGAGCTGAGATCACACCACTGCACTCCAGCCTGGGCAACAGAGGGAGACTCCGTCTCAAAAAAAAAAAAAAAAAAAAAAAATTTGTGTTTTAAACATAAAACCAACAGAAATACAAAGAGCCAAAAGTTGGTTCTTTGAAAAAGTAAACAAAATTGATAAATCCCTAGTGAGAATGATCACAAAAAAAAAGTAGAACACAAATTACCAGTAACATGAATAACAGAAGTTATTACCACATTCATTAAAAAGATAATAAAAGAGCAACAATTTGACAACTTAGATAAAATGAACAAATTCATAAAAAAATACAGCTACCAAAAGTATCACAAAAAGGAAACATAAATTCTATCAAAATTAATTGATATAAAATTAATTCTATCAAACATTCAAGGAAGAAACAAAAATCTTATAAAAACTCTTTCAGAAAATAGAAAGCACTTCCCAATTATTTTATGAAGCTAGCATTACTCTGATACCAAAACCTGGAAAAAGGCATTACAAAAACAGAAACAAAAAAAACTACAGACCAGTATCCTATCTTTCACAAACGCAGATGCAAATTTCTTCAAAATCAAATTTAACTATCTTTTGTCAGCATTTTTCTATCTTAACTTCGTGGCACATCTGATTGTACTGTCGATCCTTCCTGAAATGCTCTCTTACCCTGACTTCCAAGATATTACTCTATCATGATATTCTTTCTGTTTCTCTGATCCTTCTACTTTCCTGGTTGATGATCCTTCTTTTTCCCACTTTCTTATCCCAGACAGTGACATGCTACTCTGTTCATTTGTCTTACCCTATGTTTTTTTCCTCAGAGAATTTTATAGACCTTCATATATATAATATATCATAACTGAGTAGAGTTCATCCTAAGGATGCAAGGTTGACTTAACATTTGAAATGTCAAATATAACACCATTTTTAGTTTATTACTTAAAAATGTATATGAACTAATGCATTTATTATGTGTCTAAAGAACAATGTACTATGAGTCAAAATGCATTCAAATCCTAGGTCTACTGACTACTAGCTATGTAAGCTGGGATTAAGTTACTATCTCTGTTACTTTTTTCATCTGTAATGGACATAAGAATGGTATTGACCTCTAAAGGTTATGGTGAGAACTATGAGAATTAATAGAAAAATGCTTATAATATAAAGAACTATACAAATGTTAGCTTTGTGTGGCATATGGGATGCATCACAACTTATGTTTAAGATACTTATTCAATTGTCTGTTGTTTCACATACTTATTAGTTGGAATGTGCAAGGTTCAAATCTGTAAGATTTGTGGTTTAAGATATTGCCTCTGACTTATAAGGCCTTGTAATCTGATAGAGTTATAATCTGGTATAATAGAACAAATCAGTAGCACAGAGTGTTATTGAAGTTCTTGTTTTGATAATCATATAAATACATTATCAGTGGAAGAGGTTGGGTTGAGTCTTCAAGGACGTGAGGTAAAAGGGAAAACATTTTAATAGAAAAAAATGGCATGAATGCTAAGGGAATTTATTTGGGGAGAAGTAAAGAGAACACTGGATACAGTATAATAATTAATAGCAGTTACCATTTAGTAAGTGTTTACAATGTGTGCCAAGTACTTTATATACAAGATTGCAATCATTTCTGACAGTTATATGAAGAAGGTACTATTAACCCGATTTTATGACTATAAGACTAAGGATCAGAGAGGTTAAGTAACTTGTCCAGAGTCACATAGCTAATAAGTAGCAGAACTGAGATTTTAATCTAGGTTTCTCTGACTGTTAAGCACAAACTCTTAACCAAAAGAACATTTGAGAGCACTAGAGGAAAAGAATGAAGACATCTGCAATGAGGCTGTTGTCAAAGCCTTGGAGGTATATGAAATTCTCTGAGGAAAAAAGATATATGGTAAGAAAAATGAATATCATGAGTATCATGTTCTTGTCTGGGATAAGAATGTAGAAAGAAGAAGGATGATCAAACAAGAAAAGTAGAGGAATAAGATAAATGGATAGAATATCACAATATAGTAATAGGGTAAGAGAGCATTTCAGGAAGGGTCAAAAATACAATTAAATGTGCCACATAATTAAAGTAGAAAAATGCTAATAAAAATTAATTTTGGTAGTCACATAGTCAGACTGAGAATGGAGAGATGAAAATATTATCAGGAAAGAGAAATTTTTTTTCTTTTTTTAATACTTGAGACAGGGTCTTGCTATGTTGTCTAGGCTGGACTTGAACTCCTGGGCTCAGGTAATCCTCATACCTCCACTTCCTGAGTAGCTGGGATTGCAGGTGGGCACCACTATGCCTGGCCTATAGAAATTTTCATGTAAGATGATGCCTTAAACTCAAAAGAAAGGCAAAAGAAGACAGTCCGTAAATTAGTTTGGGGAAAAGTGTGACTGTGAAATATATTTTGTTAACAGATGTGGGGAGAGGGGAAGACAACAGACAAAAAACAAATATATATCAATTGACTACAATAATCGATTTTTAACCCTTAGGATCATTACGCTCTAGGGAAGTGCAAAGATACTAATTAAAAACAAATTTGACATTTAAAAAGCAAGTTACTATTCCTCTAATTTCTGTGCAAATCCACAAACTCAACACACACACCCCTTACCTGGTTTGCTGCTTGCTTTAGTGCTCTTTAAGGTAGCTGGTGGTGTTGGGAGGATCTTTGCAGGTGTATACGTATTTAAAGATACTTTTTTTCTCATTATTGGACTGGAACGTAAAGCTGTAGAGGCTGAAAAAAAATAAACAAACATGTTAATTTAATAATTTCCTGCCAATTATCTCTTAACATCATAGAAAGTTTCTTATAATTTAGTGACCCTACGAATATTCATAATAACAGAAGAAAATGGTCAAGGTAAATTCAGCAAAATCACCTTTTTTTAATAAAAAGATAGTTCTGTTATGGCCTTAGACAAATAGATGTTTGTTTATACTGTAAATGATAAGCATTTAAATAGTATGCACCAAAGGAATGCCAAGAATAGAGCGACAGACTTTATCCTTTCCTTACAGAAACTGAGGTTTTTAAGGCATGGAAAAGAGCTAATGGCATAGTTTTCTTGCCTGGTAACAGAATCAGTAATCCCCTCACCAGGCGTGGTGTTTCATGCTGGAATTACAGGCATGAACCACCGTGCCTGCCCAGGGACTAGGAGGATAAATTTCAACTGGCTAATACAGAAAAATAATTTGACTTATTTATTACTTATAATTTAGTTAGGCAAGGCAGGAGGATCGCTTGACCCCAGGAGTTCAAGACCAGCCTGGGCAACACAGGGAGGCCTCATTTCTATTGAAAATTTAAAAATTAGCTGGGCCTGTGGTTCCAGCTACTCGGGAGGCTGAGGCAGAAGGACTGCTTGAGCCTGGAAGGTTGAGGCTGTAGTGTGCCATACTTGTGCCACTGCACTCCAGCCTGGGCGACAGAGCAAGACTCTGTCTCGGGGGGAAAAAAAACAAAGAGACAGAGTCTCAAACTGTTTTTGTCTTAAAAAAAAATAACAATTACAGATTCAGGGATGTTTCATCTACAAATATAATGGTATACTAAACTATCATATTTAGGAATAAACTAATTAAGTTATAAGTAATAAAAGATACTATTTTCCTATATTAGCCAGTTGAAATTTAACTAAATGAGAGGAAGGGAATTTTAAAGTTGAGTCTTTCCGGTTTTCTTTCTAACTAAGGCAGAGAAATTGAGAGGTGTAAAAAGGAGAAGTAGGGATAATTCTTAAGTATGGAATCCTCTGGGCAAGGACAGGCCAAAGTAGGGGAGAAGGAGACACTACTGGCATGAGCTTCTAGACTGCCTAAACAAAGGGAGAGGCAGCATGCTTTTGAAAACCAAGATGTGGGCTAGTTATGGCAAATGTGCCTTTGCTGGTTGACACCTACAATGAATGATTATTCATTTAACTGAAAGAGCTCAAAGTAGTCACTAATGAAAATAAAAAGTAGTCACTAATGGAAATAATCTAAGAGATAAAAAGTCCTTAAAACATCATAAAACAACCTAGCTTTACTTAGCCCTTTTCTGCTTGCATATTTTTACCCTACTCTATGAACTTCCATCACTAACTTATCCTAATTAATATACCTACTCCTTTTTCTCCAATCTGATATTGTCACTTCCCCATTGTAAGCTATCTTTTAGTATTAATATTTATTAATTTTGTGTTAGATGAGGAAAAAAACTTGGAAGGACAGACAATGATTAACAGTTCCTTTTCCCTTGTTATAAACACCACAAAATGAATATAATTGTATGTATATGATACTACAGCTTGATAACTCAGGGAACTAACTGTAAATAATATAAATATCCTATAATTTAATAAATAGTATTCCTACAGTTACTCTATAAAATACATGATTCAAAAACTTTCATCATAACTGGCACCCTATTTTCTTTGCTATTCAAAAATAATGAGAAAAATAGAGGCTTTAGAAGACCTGGATTTTAGTCTTGCTTGACCACTAATTTATTGATTTCCTCAACTGTGTCTTTCTACGATTTTTTCTTTAAATAGTAAAGCTGTTCTTAAGTGAAATCTTAAATAAAATAGACCAAAGGAGATACTCTGGTTGAAGCAGCCATGAAAGACACAAGCCCTAACTATTCAGCATCTTTCTCTTCCTCATGGAATTTCCAAAGACTCTTGGGAATACAGTTTGAAGACCAATGAACTAGATTATCTCTAAGGTTTATCCAATTCTATGAGCCACATTAAGTACATTTACTTTCTCATCTAGTTCTGTTAGTAACTAATTGCATGAAATTTTAAGAGAGCTAGAGGGACTGAGGTACAATTTGTATCCATGATATACAGAAGAGCTAATTAGAAATTAGCACAACTGGAAAAAGAATCTAATATCCTTTGCCTCATTAATATCCTTCAGTAATACACTCTGATGAACTGAATTCACTAACTACAAAATGAATCCATCAAGAGTACCACAGAACAAACCTTAAAATATTATCTTTTTGTAAATATTCTACTAAAATTATCCTTTCATAACAAACATGTCACTACTATTTCTATTACCTTCAAATCATTCATTGCAAGTCTTCTACAATCTAAATAGTGTTGAGATCTACCCCTAAACTCTTATTTACTAATTAGAATAATTCTTTAATCTCTATTTTAAGATTTCAAATCCTTGCCCCAGGGAAGCAATGAAACATCATTAAGGGTGAAGGGGTAAACTAGAATTTATTCAGGTTCTCTACTGCATTCTGAGGTAACAGCATTGTCCATTCTAGCAGGTTATAGAGAATATAAAAGGAGATTACCACCTTCATTTTCCTGTCTCTGACGTTTACCACTTGGAGAAGTTATTTCATTTGAAGTATTATCAATTCTCATAATCGGACACATTTATATGCAAATTTTTAAGTTAAGACCTACTTCCTAAAACCATCCCTAAAGTGAAGTATTTTAGAACACTCACCAGTATACATCTCTATTACTGTTAATGATTGAAAGCTGGCCTCTACTACCAAAAATGGAAGAAAAGGGAAAGGTCACTACTTTGTATAAATGCAGGGGGTATCATTTAGACAAAATATAAAGAGAATAGAGCTCTCTAGAATTATACGATGTGATGGCCCAGGAAAGAGAAGAGAATGACAGTCAGACATAAAAGTGGCATTCATTCCGAGAGCTCTAATATCTCATTTTATTATTGAGCAAAATTTATTTACAGCACTCAGAAAAAGAGGAATGATACACAAAGAAAGTTTGTCACTTTCTAAGATATGACTAGAATAGTAAGATTCTTAGCTCTAAGCAAAGCACTCTCTCCCAAAACTAACTCTTTCTAAACTGGAATTTCCAAAGTACTGAGGAATCCTATAGAGCTGAAAACGACAACTGGCAGCTGACTTCTCACACCTAAAAAGGAAGCCCTGAGCATTTCCCCAAATGATGTCCCTCAGAATAGAGCCACATGATATTTAATGTGTTACCATAAAAGTGTTTTCTAAAAAATAAGTTTTGGAAAATCTGGGTTATACAGCTTTCTTTACAGAAGAACGTCAGCCTTTTATATGCTAATGTAGCTATACCTCTCCAAAGGGAGGTGGGATATAACATAGTTTCTAAAACTTATTTAACCATGAACATCTTTTCTTCAAACACACAAATTAACCTCTTCAGAATGTTTTCTGAGATACACAATTTGAAAAATTGTTGTCCTAATTTGCTGTCTTTAGTTAAAAGCTCTTTCTAACTACTTACCAAAGGTAGTCAGGAGATGAGTGTGTATGAATGGGTTAATGTGGACTGATATTTTGCAGTTTTAAAAAACTTTGCTATAAAATGATATACAATAGGAATATGAGATTTCTAGCAAACATAGTTTTAACAAAAGACCACAACCCTATATTTTGTTGACTTCTACTGCTATTGGTTTTTTGTTTTTTGTTTTTTTTTGGTAAGAAGAAAAGATTTTGGCAGAGTAAAAAAAAGAGGTACAGTTCACATTACACCAAAGAATTCCTAATAATGTCCCTTTACACTCCCCTTTGTACTCCTACTCATTACCACTACCTGCTTTTATGTTGTTATAATTCCTGTTATACTCAGATAGTATGTAGTTGCCCAGCAACTAAATAATAACAATGAAAGAAAAATTTCCTACAAATTTCAGCGGTCTTCCGTGGAACGTCAGATGATGGAGAAGCAATGGAAGCAAGAAATTCATCCACTTGCTTTAAAGATAGGGCATTATGAAGAGTTTCTAGAGGACAAATAGATGGCACCATGGAATACAATTCAAAGCCTAGAAGAGAAAAAAACCAAAAACAAAAAATAAAAGATGGATATTTTAAAAATCAGTAATTAGAAAGGAAGACTACTGCTTAGAACTGGACAGTTTAGGTCTTTTCAGTCTATCACATGCAAACACACAATATCTCTGAAGTCATGACACCAGATGCTATGCAATATGGAGCTGGAACAAGATGTGACAAAGATTTCTTTTTAAATGTAATCACGTAGTATCGCATGCACACAATTTCATTCTATATTGGTAAAATCTAAGAATAATACTTTAAAAAACCTAGGGAAAAAAAAACAAAGAAATACAAGTTTTCAGTTTTTATTTTTTGAAGTCAGGTCTATTCAATAGGTGAATAAACTGATGCCACATGATGTATCCCTGATGCCAGGACGCTAACAGTAAGTTCTTGTTGAAAAATTATATAATTACTTGTGAATAATTATTTTAGATACTTTTCCAGGTGTGCCAAGACCAATGATACTCTCTAGTATGAACCCCAAACAACATTCATTCATTCATGCTGGAATAAAAATTCCAAAACGTATTTCACCTACCTTTACTGAATTAACACATAATTATATTACTAGGAATCACTGGCTGTGTAAAGTTAGGCCAAGTAAAAAGCAATACAAATACAAATATGTTCCTATTTAACAATGGCACAGAAATACGAAAATTTTATGAAACAATCATGCAAATATGTATTAATACCATCAGTGAAACAAAAGCACTTAAATACACAGTTTATGTTTTTAAACAAATAGGATATAGGTTATTCACTTTTTTAAAAAAGAAAATTGCCTGTTTATTTAAACTTCATTCAACTGAATGGCTTTTAAAATTGCTTTCATATACTGTTAAAAATAACGAGTCTTTCTGCATCTACTCTTCCAAAAATTCAAATTAATTTCCCGCAGTTAAATACTTATAATACTCAAAGTTTTATATAAAGTCAAATATCATTAAAAGTACAAAATTAACCTCAGACTGCAACATTCTGCTTCAATAGGCGTGTGCTCATTTTTAAATTGACTGATGTTTGATTCATTTAAATATTGAAGGAAATATTGACCCAAGAACTGCCTAATTCTCAGTTAGAATAAGGAAACTTTGGTTAAAAGAGAATCTAATCTTCCTAGGAAAATAACCAAAGGACTTGCAAAAGTGATATGTCTGATTTTCAGGTGCAAACCAAAGCATGACAGAACATTACACATACTTTAAAAACAAAAACAAAAACAAAACTATACTATAACAGCAACTAAAGCACCTAAATTAAGCACTAAAGAAATTAGGCTTGCACAACTGTTACATTTTTTAGAAGTACAAGATTCATGCAAATGAGCGCAAACCCTTTCTTTGCATTACACTAAACTTAACGATGAGATCTTTTCTTCTTTCCTCACAAAGTTTATAAATCTTTTATAGCAATTATTTTATTTCATTTGCCTGCTAGATTTTATAACAGGCAAATGACAATATAATTAAGTTCCTCTAGACTACATTTTTTTCCACTTATCTTTAATAAACTTTTCCTTTAATGCACAATGAAAGGGTTAGCGCAGCAATTTAAAAAGCCACCCTGCTGACATGTTTAGAAGCTATAAAAACATACCACTGGAGCCTAGAAATTCCACAGAGGAAACGGACCAGCACCTATAGAGGTGTAGGTGTTCTGCACAGAGGCCCAGAAAATAAGGTAAAGCACTGTCAGAAGATACTTGTTTCACCATGTTCCTTGAACTAAAGATGAAGGGAGGGGTAAGTCCATGATATGTGTTAAAGATGGAAATAACATGAAAGTTAGGGGAAATAAAAAGTAAAAGGAAGAGTCAAATGACAATTCATAGGACAGATAAGACAACACAATATTAAAAAAGGAAAAAAGGAAACCTTAAAACTCAAAAGAAATATTTGTAGAATAGAAAAGAATGCACCTTATGTGCATTTGTATGTGCGGAAAACCCACATTTTTAAAAAAGAGCCTAAACCAAAGGAATATAAAATTACTCTATTTTCTATTAAATTTAACATAAATATTTTTCATTTTTAAAAACCTTCAGTTAAACACAGATTCTCCTAGATAATAATACCTCAAATACTGGTTTTAAACACACAGCATTCAGTACAAAAACTATGGTCTTAAACCTGCAATGTCTCTTCTTAGAATTTTTGTGGCTTCTGTTTTTCTTGTGACTTCTGTGTTTCTTCTAAGAGGTTCTTAGGCATGCGGTTTCTTTAGAAGCTGCAGCTGTATCAAATAAGAATCACTTTCTTCAAAAAGTAGCATTTAAATAGCTACAATGAAGGGAAAGCACATTAAGCTTTAAGGCTAAATTTTTACTTGTTGAGGATGAGATCTTCTTATTCCACCTTCAAGAATTATTAGTGCACTGTTATTTAGATGTGTTGTTAAAGGATCCAGAAGGGGGAGAATGACCATAAACTTGTGTTGAATCCTTTAGCTTCATAAAAATTTCTGAAAGATCTGACTTGAGTTTTTGAAAGACTTACTTGCAGTTAAAAAGAAAAAGAGTTCCAGGGATAAAAGTATCTTCATTCCATGTATAATACAAGCAAAAATCTGTAAGTGCTCTTTTAAATTCTTTGATCCTGAATTATTGTAAAATGATCAGTAAATATTCCCTCTTGCCCCACAATATCAAGCTCTATGTTAGAAGTTGTAATGGCAATAATTCCTTTTACAATAATGGTCATGAAACACTTTCCTATTCAGCCTCAAAAATGGAATTTAACAGAGCTGGGTTTCTAGATCTTAACTTAATCTTCTTCCTATCAGGAGTCCTCTAAATTTTAAGAAAAAGCAGTGGTACTAAAAGGAATTAGTTGCTTGATAATAGCAAACCACATTGCTACACAAGAACAAAGTGAATGCTGGACAAAGTTTTCAGAGTGCTCCAGACCGAACAGGGTTTTGCTTTAGAAAAATAGCCAGGAACAGACGATGTTATACAGTGAAATATGCATCACCAGGTGCCCAGGAATTTTTCAAAGACACATCTTATTTGGCTATTTGACATGGGTGGCTCTGTATTTTTGTTTAAATATCTCAATAAAACAACCATGTGATCAGAAAATTAGGAAGAAAAAAGTTATTGAGAATTAAGAAAAATTAAAGAATACTAATTATAATTTAAAAATTTGTGTAGACTGATCATCTGAGAAATTAGATGAAATTTTCAGGTGTTAATTTAGCATTAAAACTCATCATCATTGTGGTCATTAAAAGTTTGATGAGTAATGTTAAATTATTATGTGAATTACAGCTGAAAAGGGAGCTAGACAGTATCAATAATTTGGGTGAATAACAAGTTGGAATTGTACGCCAATTGACATTAAGGATGAAGAAATGAATGATACTGTATACCCCACATTTTGAAATAAAATAAAAATAAAAAAGGGATGAAGCAGGGGAGTATCTTTTAAAATAAAAGCAAAACGTACCATTGGTTGGGTGTCGAGCAAATGAGATAGAAAACCTTTTAACAGCAGAACCGCGTGTGGCGTCTAAGAAAGAGAAAAACAGGTACCTGAAATTCGTAACAGCTACAAAAAGAACACTTAAAAGAAAGAGGGGAAAAACAAATATATGAGGAGGTTAGAAAGGTGACATGCAGAAGGGACAATGAGAGAATGTAATAAGGTAAATATTGGTTAAAAGAAGTTAACTAGCTTGATGACAGAGGAAAAGTGTCAAATGAAATATACAAAAGAAAGAAAAGCAAGATGAGCTGGCAATTCTGGTAAATCCATGTTTTACTGTCTAAAATAAATTTGTTGATAAATAAGAAAATGTTTTAAATAAAGACGATCCTGAAAGAGCTAGAGCCACTTCTCTTAACAAAAGGGACACGCTTCCATGAGCCTTAAAAAATTCTTAATATTAAAACTTAAGGTATATTAACAACATTAAGAGGATCTCCTTCAGCTAGTGATCCTAAAATATTCTCATCCTGTGTTTATTTTTATAAAAATATTGCCAATATGATATTGTCCTCTACTTATAAACATTCCACTCACTTTAATTAGCTCAATAAGTAAAATAAGTGTTAACAATAAATAAAAGTTTAAAAGATCAAAGAAACGCTTGCTCTTTATAATATAATCAATTATCTAAAAGAAGAATACACATAATACTCTTCTAAGTTTTCCATTTCAACAAACTTATTGTACAAGTACTGTAAATCTAACTACAATTAACTGTCTGATGAAACATGGATCCAAGTTGTAGATAACAGAGAGCACTGATAGTCATTTAGGCAAAAGATGACAGGATTTCACTCGAATCAGTCAGTGGCCTTAGATTTGCCTTTGAGAAATACTGCTCATGGGTGTGTGCATGGGTGTAGGTATGAATCTGTGTGTGCATGTGTGCACATACCATCTATGCAGCCAGAAGAGGTCAGCTTTTTACGATGAGTACGAGCATAATCCTGTAGGTTAGGTGCGCTTGAAGAACCCCCGAGCACCGAGGTGCTAAACAGGCCCGCACAGTGAGACCCTGATGGGAGTTAGAGAAAATACATACACAACGGGTGTTCTTCCATTCACATTGGGAATTCATGCAGCATGCAATTAACATGGCTCTTACCACATATAAGGCAACCTTTGGAAGTGCCTTGAACAGGCTCACAATATTCTTGTAATTTCCTAATGAGGTCAGTTTTAATACAATACTTCTAAACACCACTATCATTTATCATAGGTACAAATGGGGTAATTTAACATTGGACAAAATGTTATCTTTGAGAAAAAAAATATGTCCATATAATAATTAGACATATACATCCTAAAGTATTAAAAACACTGCCATAAAAATAACTTAGGACAAGAAAGGACTCTGTTAATCAATTTCCAAGGGCAAGCCATATTTAAAGAAAAAAAAAAAAACACTCCTTCTAGCACAAATTAAGTCATATAAAATCAGTATTTTTAATGTATGTCTATAAATGACAAATCTTTCCTGATGCCCCTGAATTGAGAATTACTACTCTTTCTTATGAAATAAAGTATATCAAAATTTATTTATTTGTGAGACCAGGTCCTTTTCAGTCATTCAAGGCCTAAATCACTTTAAATACTTAACAAGTGACTTAAGATCTTAATTAATAAGACTCCCAATGAAAAACATTATAAGCAAATAAAACAGCCAGTATAAACTGATGCTCAATTTGTAGCAAAAGTTTTTACATCCAAATAACACTTTCATCACTGGGGAAGGATTAAATAAATTTCTATAAAATATACTATGATACATCAATAAGAAGGAGTAATATATAAATTTCTATAAATATACTGTAGGAATATTAAAAACTATCATTACAAGCTATATGAAATTAAAGAGAGATCCTCAAGTATGTAGGTATCAACAGTTCATATACTTAGTACAGAGATCACAGTACATACATAAACTTACAACGAGATCTGTTTATGCCTTTATTAAACCTATTAGGACAACTATTTACAGAAAATAATACGCCACTATTTCATAGTTTATCAACCATGAGCTTCAAACCAAATGAGTTTAGAAAGGTCTTTTTCAATGTTGCTTTGAGTGTTAGCAAAGAACCAATTATGTTCTATAGGTTAATAAAGACTGAGACTGCCACTGTGCATTAGTTTTGCTTGGTTTTCCTTACGAGCTGCTCAAAGGAAAATTAATATATTCATATAGGGTTTGAAGTATTCTGTACTTTAAAAATATTTTTAACCAGAAAAATGGAAAGTCCCTTTCTGCATGCAATAGCATCTTTTCATCTTTATCAACTGGGAAAATGAAGTTTCCTTCATAAATTAACTTACAGAGTACAAGATTAAAAACTAGCATTGGCAAGTGAACTAAGTGGTTATCATTGCAGGCATCCAAAAGGGTTATGTAACAAAATTAAATGCTATCTCTTCTTCATTTTATCAAAACTTTATTTTGAGTTATACAACTCAACATTTCTGAATTAGTACACATTAAATAAAAACTACAGCATAGCATTTGGTCATGCTTTCACCAAAGAGTTTTACATGTGTGCACAATAGTGAGTTTAAGAAGGGTATGGAACACAATTTCCTTTACACCACATACCTACAGTAGGATTCTGCTTCTGTTCCACAAGAGTTCTTGGTGTTCTCAGGTAATTAGCATTTTCAGATACAACCTGCATAAGGAATCCAAAATAAATGAAGTAAAAGAGTAAAATAAATTCATAAGTCTATACTTCATATGCAGCCTGTTCCAGACAGACAAAGGTTAATAAGCTGTATGATAAATATTAGTAGAAATACATAAAACATGAAAGATCATGCAAGATCCCCTTTTGAAGGGAGTCCATTTCATGAGGTCCTTGCAATGAAGTGGTGCGAAGCAGGCATTCAGAATGAAACATCATGTATGAAACAAGACAGATGAAAAGAAGCAATTAAGAGATTGATATAATTTCACTCTTAAAAGAAGCCAAATGCCCACTCTTAAACAGCTCCTGTATTTGAAGGGGGAAAAAACAACTACAAACAAAAGAAAGGACAGACAGAGACTCTTGAGATCACCATACAATTATTGATCCATGCATGGGCTTTATCAGAGTAACCTTTAAATATTCACAGCCTTAATGGATACCATAATCCCTTTTCCTATAGTCAAATGCATTATATTTCCAAAAGGAAATTGCTGAAATTATCAGAAACCTCATGTGTGACAGTAGACCTTCCAATGTAATAGAAATCATATATATTTTAAGTTTCCAAATGTCATCACAGGAAGTCCTTCTGAAGTCATTTTATTTTGACCCATATTGTTGATGGGCACATATGCAATTGTTCCCTCTTAAAGAGAACATTAAAATATTAAACAGTCCAAAGAAAAACAGACTATGTATTCCTTAAATTAGATACTTCCAAATAATGGAATAATGAGGAAGAAAATTATCAATATTCGATATATCCTGCTAATTAAAACTGGGCCACATAAATTCTGATATTTTAAAAAATGTTTACCTTCTCAGCAAATTCCAAATTGAATCTAATTTTTTCAATTATGGAAGAAAATATTAATACATTTTCTTACAATCAAATTACATAATTTGTTTCTGAAAGTTTTAAAAGACAAGTCAAAAAAGATTTCTTTCATTTTTAAATAATTTTATTAACAAGGTGAAATTCCAGGAGAATAACATCTATTGATTGTTTTAAAATCCTGGATATTTGGAAACTTCTCAGTAAAAATACTAAACACATGCCATGTAAGTGATTTCTTTCCCTTGAATATTGGCAGATATCATTAAGTATTTTTAAATGAACTCAAAATTAAAAAACAGAAGGATTTACTCTGATGTGAAATACAAGGGATTAGATGTCCTCAAAGACAGCTGTTTGTTGCTCTGAATGCAGGGAGGAAAAATGTTTAATGAAGTAAAGTTTAAAAACCTGTTGCCATGAGCCAAAAATACTGGATGTGAAAGCCAATGATTTGGGGGAGACAGGGGAAGAAGTGATTTGTTCCCCTGATCTGCGTCTTCGACGCCCAGTACCCACACCACTGGTATAATGCAGCCAGGTACCAGTACCCTCTGGGCTAGACACACTCAGGGGGCTCTCTTCCTGGAAGTGAGAAAGGGGGCAAAAAAAAAAAAAAAAAAAAAAAAAAAAAAAAAAAAAGCAGAGCATGCAAAGTTAGATACAACAGAGCCAAATGATCAGAAAGAAAAAAAAATACAGTTTGTTCATATTTGCTTATTAATTTTTTTAAAAAACCATTACACAGCAATTTGGGAGCCAAATATTTCACTATTTGAGAATTTGATAGGAATGACTAATAAATCTAATTGTATGTGATAACAACTATGGAAATATTTTATTACCTTAAAAGACATAAAATACTTATACTGCTTCATAATTGTCCCTTCCCTGTTAAAACTGGAAATATTTTAGTAAGTTTCTTTTTTTAGCAACTTTTAAAATATACAGGTTTTCTGCTTAATTTAAGATATTCAAAAGATTTTGTGCTATTTTGGGTGAATTTTTCAACCCGAGACACTAAAGAATTGTGCAAAGGGTCAAAGGGATTTCAATATACATAACTTAGAAAACTAAATCTGTCTCCCTGATATATTTAAAAAATTCAGAAATCATAAGATGGACTCAAATTGCACCTGTTTATACTTTCAAGCTATCTATTTGCCCCCTCCAGAGATATTTACAGATTCAGTAGGCAAAACATGCAGCAAACATTCTCATTTTACATGTTTGCATGTTCAGGTTTCAGAGAGTGAGGACAGAGTAAAATCTACTTGCACAAAATGAAGAGAACAGTCTTTTTCTCTGTGTGTCTTTTGGAAGTACAAACTTCTTATATCCATGGAGATGATGGACGCTGGAAAAAGTCTTCAAGATTTTACTTGAATAATTTACCTTATGGAAGTAAAAGTTTAGCATGGCATAGAAATAATCTCTTGAAATCAACTAAGTATTTATGAGAAAAAGGTTTATAAATGTGTTTTGCGTTTTAAAGATTAACAAGGGCAGTGATTTTGTTAGAGGTTTTATAAATATAGATGAGTTGCAAAATGAAGACTTACAATACATTTTGCTGTATTCAGTGTTATATAGGCTTTTTGGAGGGCAGAGGAGAGGGTTTAATGGTGAAATTCTGAATAATTTGATGAACTATAGATTGCTTATTCAATAACACATCAAAATCACTGCCCTCACACAAATAGTAGTGTAGGTTATATTAATTAATATAGCTTATTTCCCAAATTTTCTGAAATTAAGGATACCTGAACATAATCCCAGATTTTTCATTTTTTCCATTAAGTTATAACAGAACAAATAATTCCAAGTTCTATAATTGTTAAATACCCTCTTTAATAACCCTTTTCTTTTGTAATTAAAATATCACATTCAAGGGAACCTTAACGACTATATGATTTCCATTATAAAGTTATAAGGATCTACTTTATGGACAGATTTTTGCCTATACAAAATTGTCAAACTGGAGCACATATATATTTGAAATTTGAGAATCATAAAACACATATATTTGTATAATTCGGGGCTGTAGAAATGAGCACAATTCTTTTCATTGTTTTTATTCTCACCCATTAAATGCTAAAAAATGCTATACCTAATTCTTCAGAACTGGCATATTTAAATAATGCTTTATTCTAAAAGTTGATGGTTCTATCTTAATTTCTTCCTTTACACACATATACACATATATATGTATATATGTGTGTGTATTTATTTATTTATTTATTTTTTGAGACAGAATCTCGCTCTGTTGCCCAGGCTGCAGTGCAGTCAGGGGGGTGGTCTCGGCTCACTGCAACCTCCGCCTCCCAGGTTCAAGTGGTTCTCCTGCCTCAGCCTCCCAAGTAGCTGGGATTACAGGCTGGCACTACCAAGCCCAGCTAATTTTTATATTTTTAGTAGAGACGGGGTTTCACCATATTGGCCAGGCTGCTCTCGAACTCCTGACCTCAGGTGATCCACCCACCTCGGCCTCCCAAAGTGCCAGGTTTACAGGCATGAGCCACCACGCCAGGCCCCTCTTCCTTTATACTTTTACTAGAGCATTTAGAAAACAGTTAGAAGCACTGACCTCAATCAGTGCTGGGAGACTCATCCTACAGAAAACAGAGATAACCCCAAATAAAACTTATTTAAAGTATTAAAAATGTATACAGGTGCTAAAGCTTTATTTAACAAGCTTCATTCTAACTGCTAAACTTTCCTTTTAAATGTTACTTTATTAATTATTTAAATGTTTTTCTATTAGAGAGCATAAGAATTATTCTAACCTATTTATAGATCTTAATATAAAGGTAAAATTTTTTATTATATTATCAAACATTCAAATTCCTATATAGACTTTGCAATTAGGCTAACAATTTAGAATTTCATTTCTTTACCTATAGTATCACTTGAATCAGTTATTGCTAAAGCATCTCCAGCAAATGTTCTCTACTTTTTTTTTTTTTTTTTGGGGAGAGTCTTGCTCTGTTGCCCAGGCTGGAGTGCAGTGGCGTGATCTTAGCTCACTGCAAGCTCTGCCTCCTGGATTCACGTCATTCTCCTGCCTCAGCCTCCTGAGTAGCTGGGACTACAGGTGCCCGCCACCATACCTGGCTAATTTTTTTTATGTTTAGTAGAGACGGGGGTTTCACTATGTTAGCCAGGATGGTCTCGATCTCCTGACCTCATGATCCACCCGCCTCGGCCTCCCAAAGTGCTGGGATTACAGGCATGAGCCACCATGCCCGGCTTGCTCTCTAACTAAAATTATTCTTGATCCATTAAATCAGGCTTTTAAAAAAAATTCATTATTGAAGATCAACCTAATGTAAATATTCCTAATGTAACAAGACAAAAAAAAAGCATTCATTTTTCAAGTTCCTAGAAACAGCTTATTTTATATTTGCATCCTTTTTTTATGAAAACTATATGTAAAGCTCAACATTCTAAAGCTAATCTATTTTTGAACTGCCTCTATATTTTTTGTAATTTATTTAAAAATAGATTAAATAACATTTAAAAATTTGTTGGTTTCCCAAGCTCCACAATTAAAGCTGTATTTTCTTTTCTGTTTTATTAAAATATAGTTAGTTTACTGTATGAAAAATGTGTTCTGATACATATACTTACATCATTTGTAGCCGTCTTCCTAGATCTTGGAAGTGGAGACTTCCTGTGTATATGAATTGGCTCTGATACCATTGGTTTAAACAATATCACAGCTCGATCAACTTCATCTCTTTTAGAAGTATGTGGTTCATCATCATTATCAATTTTAAAAGGTCTCCTGCCTTCATTCTGTGAGCAAAGAATATAAAACACTTTTACTATTCAGATTTAAGAAATCTCTTCTGATGAACAGATTCAACTACCACTGGTAGAGGTACTTGAAATACATATACAAGTTTGTTTACTCAGATGAATTAACATTAATTGAACTCTTCTAACAGCTTAGTATTATGCTGTGTACTATGAGGGAAAAGGCAGAGTCTCTGAGTTCAAAAATACATATACTCTATGGAGAAATTAAACAGTAAAATGACAATTAAAAAACCACATAAGACAAAGCGTTTAATTACATTTCATCAAGTGCAAGAATAAATAAACAATAATAATAAATGACAGTAAGAAATAATAGAGATGAGCTTTGTTATATAGGAGTCTCATCAACCTGAGCATGAACTAAACAGCACTTGTATTTATATATTTTAGAATATTTAAATCTATTCCAAACATTTCTAATAAATGTGATAACTGCATTAAAAGTAATAATCATTCAGTGACTCATTAAGCATTTACTAAGTGTATAACATGTGCCATGAATTGTTCTAGGACACAGATGAATAAGACACAGTCCCAGATTGCAAGAATCCTCCAACACAGTATGGGAGACAGGCAAGCTAAAAATTTTTATATCAAATATCCAACTATAAGATAATGCATACGTTGGACCATAGTAATACAGTAAAACACATATTTTAAAGCAATAAGAACGCACAAACTAAAACTAAATGCAACTACATTGATGAGCCTCATAAACATAATATTGGCCAAAAGAAAATAAACTGAGTACATAAAAACCCTCATCAAATTAAGGGTTACAGAGAATAAAAAGGTACTTCTTTAATCAAATAAGGGATATCCAAAACTTGAAGGGCTCATCACAGTTAATAATAAGACACTGAAAGATAAGAATGTCCACTATCACTAAATCTATTCATCATTCATAGATGATGTTATGATCATATACATAAAAAATCCAGATGACTCTAAGGGTAAATTATTAGAATGAATAACAGCATATATCAAGTTATAAGTTTGCTAGCTATAAAATTTTTATACAAAACTGAGTTAAAATTTAATATGACAAAAACAAAAAATGAAATTTAAATAAATCATAAATGAAATTTAATTTATCATAAATAAATCATTTATGACAGCATAAAAAACTATAAAGGAACTAGGAATTAATATGACAAAGATGGTGTAAAACAATTATTTGGTGCAAAAGTAATTGTGGTTTTTGCTATTATTTTTAATGAAAAAATAATGATTTTATCAAAAAATATAAAGTATAGTTAAATAAACTCAGAAATATACCAAGTCCTTAGACTAGAAGACCCAATACTGAAAAAGTATCATTTTTCTCCAAATTGATCTGCAGAGTAGTGGTAATCTCAATCAAAATCTCAAAGAGTCTTTAGAATATTATAAAATGATTATAAAATTTATATGAAAATGCATGAAACATGAAATATTTAACATAATCTTTAAGAACAACAAAGCTGGAGGAGTTCTATACTCAATATCAATATTTATTATAAAGCTATAATAATTAAGACTGTGGTACTGGTAGAGAGAGAGACAAATAGAGCAATCAAGTAAGACTAAAAATTCAGAAACCAACCAATCAAAATACAGACACAATATATGTCTGCAGTATCAGATGTAGTACTATAGGTGGCAGAAAAAGTATGAACTCTTGAATCTATGATACTGGGGTTTAGTTATTCATAGAGCGAAGACAACAAAACTGGACTGCACATCACATGTACTACATCCAAAAAAGTCAATTTTGGTGAATTAAAGGTTTAAGGTTATCCATTCTAAACACGGCCTTAAAATTCAAACAATCTAAACAAAAGATAAAATTCCTAGGTATTGCAATATGCATAAAAGTACAGTCTATACAAATCACACTTTAAAAAATTTAAACCATTTTCCTGCTTAGAAGTTAAAATAAGAATTATTTATAGTACATTATAAAAATCTCTTATAGAAACCTCATGAAAATCTAGAACTGTAGTAACTAAGCACTGAGAGTTCCACCTTCATTACCTCTCTGGAAGCTGGTCTATATCCATAGCCAGATGGCAAATTTTTGTCTTCTTCACAACCTTTGGCTCCCGGACTAAAGTGTAATTCAACATGAAAGCGTTCTTCTGAGGAAAGATCCTAAGAAATATGACAGAACATTTTCAAAATGAGAAACTTTAAGCTCTTTATTTATGTCTGGTAAAACACAAATCAAGAGCTCTGTTTACCTTATTAGGATCCTCATAAAGCATGATAACAATCTGAGTCATGTAGTTGAGCTCATTGACAACGTTTAAATAATCCATAGCTCGTTTCCACTGTTCATCCTTTGATTCCTGAACAAAAGATACATGTGGTAATCATTTTCTCAAACTGTGTTACTTGAAAGTCACTTTATTGTCACTATGGTAGCTTGTTTAATCCTAGTGATACCACATAAAGTGAATACTTATCATATGCAAAATTTTAAAAAATAATTCCACTACATTTAAAAGTCTTAGTATGTTATTTAAGCTTGTTTTGATAAAATATTTTTAAAATCTCTACAAGTTTGAGTATCCCTAACTTGAAAATCCAAAATCCAAAACCCTCCAAAATTCAAAACTTTTTGAGCACTAACATGACACTCGAAGGAAATACTCATTGGAGAATTTTGGGTTTTCAGATTAGGGATGCTAAACCAGTAAGTATAATGCAAGTATTCCAAAATACAAAAACAATTCCAAATTCCAAAAAACTTCTGGTCTCAAGCACTTCAGATAAGAGATATTCAACCTATATTAGAAGTTCTAGTGGTAACCTTTTTTAACTGCTTATACAAAATGAAAAATAAATAATTTCTTGAAATATGACAAACACTAATGAATTCTGAGGGTAAGAGACCGTTTTTAACTTTGTCAGGTTCCAAAGTACCTAGTATAGTATCATATTTCATAACCACAGAATACTATCCTATAACAGGAATGCCATTTTTTCCCACCATCATATAGTTCATGTATGCAATATAGGCCTATCAACAAGTATCCCTATTACACTGAAGTGATATTCAAAAATCAGAAGAAGGAGGCATATGTAAATTCTATTGATCTTACCATCTCCTTCACCATTCCTCCATCTTCATTCTGAGAATCATTGGTCTTTAAACATGTAATCATAGAGCATCAGAACTGAAAAGGATCTTAGAGAACATGTACTACAAGCATTCAAAGTAGAAAATTCTATCTGAAAAGGCAAAACTACTCAAAGTAAAGTCTATAGTCAACAGTTAACAGGATCTACTTAAATTATACGTACATCACAGATAAATTTCCTTTGTTGTATACTATGTAATTACATTACAAATATATAAAAGGACAACATTTCCTTTTTGTATACACTAAGAGTATACAATATTATGGACTTTAGTACAGAATGCACCTTGTTTTAAAAGCAAATTATAAGACCACACATTGACTGTATGCTTTTTAAAATTCAGCGTGTATTTTATTTCTGTTTTAGACATTATACATTCCGTGTGTGTGTGTGCGCACATGCATGTGTGCAAGTTTAGGAGGTAGTATGTGAAAAGATGTATTTTTTTCAAAATTGATAAGGGAAAACATAAATTAGCATTACTGAGTTTCACTAAATGTAAGTTAGCACAAATGATGAGTTTAAATACTGAAAATTTTCATTAGGTGAACAGATAATTGATCTTGTGATTTTGTGATACTCCAGTATTAAGAACACCATTTAATATCTAACTCAGTGTTGCAGTTATAGATTTTGCTAGGTCTTCTCTAATAAATAGATAAAATTAAGTAATATTTAGTAGTAACTTCCAGAACGTAATTAATATGTAAGAAGACACAAAAATATCTTTTTAAATTAAGGCCCCATTACACATATTCCTGAAATCTTATTTATAATCTTAGTTCCTTAACAAACTTTACAAATAATTCTACAGAAAGATTTTACCCCATCCATTCTGAATAATTAAAAATTACAAAGGGGAATATACTGAGTAAGATTTTAATTATATTACTTACAGATTCTTACAAGGATAATAAGAGTTGGGATAATGAAAACAAAACATTTTGGCAGACTTTAATTTTCATCTTAGTAAATACATGTAATTATTTTTCCCCCTGGAAGCACTGATTTTTAAAATAATGAAGTTGTTCAGTTTTTGTTTTAGAAATGCAGCCTGAATTCAATATATGCCCAAAAAACTCTAGATCCACAGCTACCACCCTAGTCCAAATGACATCTTTTTGGACCACTGTAATAATTTCCTAACTGGTTTCCTCATACCCACTTTCACCTATCTGCTGTCCACACAATAACCAAAGCCACCCATTTCCCTGCTTAAAACCTTTAAATGGCTTCCCAATCCAATTAGAATACAAGGCACTGGCTCTTCAACCATATCTGCTGTCATTTTATCCAATACTTACTACTATTCTCCAACTACAGGCTTTCTATCAGTTCCTATATTACTCATGATCTTTATACCCTCTATGTATGTCAAAAAGGACCATGTAAGAGATGTATCGCTCCTCTTCACAAACAATTCCATCAATACTACTGGATATACAAGCTTTTTTGCCTTGCTAATTAAGGGTCATTTTTTTTCCCACTAATCCACATACTTATGTAAGGATGTCACTTTTCTATTCTTTAGTGGGACAAAGAAGAAACAAAAAACCAGAAGAAAGAACATATGGATTTGGAATTTTAATTGGAACAGAACTTTGAAACACCCTTAGGATCACTTTGATAATAATTACTCTCAAGGACCAGTAATAAGATTGATTAGGAAACAGACCTATACCAAATCATCACTATATATGTCACTGCCCTTCTTTTAAAAGTACATTAAGAAAACAAAATTGAGTTTTCTTTTATAGATCACTTTCTACACAGACGTGCACAGATGCGTATACCAATATACGCACAGAAAAATAAAAGAACATTCTTATCTTTTGGCTAGTTTAGAGATGACTGATTTAGATGAGATTCTGGACTTCAAGTAGTATTACTCTATTACAGCATGGCACTGAGTGGAGGGGGTGGCACTGAGGGAGATGTGAATTGAGTTTTGTATGTGGGAAGAATACAAATTACTGTGGCAAATAGGTATCACTGTGGCAGATTTTGTCTTTTCCAAAGATGGCTGACATACACATTCAATGCTACATACTCTTCTTACAATAGGACAGGGACACTCAGCCCATCTGGTGCTGTGGGTTGTTTCCTCTCCTTCTGAACCTGGATGAACCTCTGTGATTGCCTCAACCAAGAGAGCGCAGCAGAAGTGATGCTACATGATTTTAGAAGTTAGGTCATAAAAATGCCATGCACTTGCACCTTGCTCTCATAGGAAGCTCACTCCTGGAACTCAGGTGCAATATTTTGAGGAAGCAGGCCACATGAAGAGGCCAGATGTAGGTGTTCTGCTTGATAACCGCAGCTGAGGTCCCAGCTGACAGCCAACATGAAGCACCAAACATGAGAGAAAACCCTTGAGATTATTTGAGACCCAGCCACTGTCTGACTACAACCTCATGAGACTCTAAGAGAAACTTCATAATTGATCCTAGTCAACAATCTAAACTGTATGAGATAAAAATGAAATGACTGTGGTTGTTTTAAGCCACTAAGTCTTGGTATGTCATTACGTAATAGTAGATAATAGTAGATAGTACATAATAGTAGATCAGTGGTACAATGTCTAACCAAACACCAAGTTCCATCAATTCTGACCCCTAAATGACTCAAATTCATCAGGCTACTCTTTACTGCCACCAGTCTATAAAATCACCTAAAATACTTTATATTATTGTTTGCTTAAATGTATCTTCTCTGAAGAGAACATCTTTATCCCTAAAATCTAGCAAAATGCTTGGTATATAGTAGTCCCTTGAAAGACGACATTAAGTAGTAAAACTTAAGGATGAATTACTAAAATTTCACAGTAAAAATAGCAGTTAGTGATTTAATTACAAAATTAAATATATTTGTTAGACTGAAATAACTTATTCTACTTACATTGCATAAGGCACCATAGCGAAGAATAGACAGCAAAGAATGTACATGACTTTCACTGGTAAAATATAATCTAGTACGAACATGACGTTCAGGAGACAGAACACCTCTAGAATACCTAAAATTAGAAGCAGACAGTGTTCAAACATAACCATATAATCAAAAACTCACTAAATATTGAAATTATTTTCTAAAATTAAATGTAATTTCACTAGAAGTAAAAGACCACAAAAATCTATTATTCTTCCAACCACAATAGAGAATTTATCTTAGTATATATTCTTCTAACATGACACAAACTATAACTAACTAGGACCTCTGAGAGTAGTCAAAGAATAGACTTAATATTAGTCAAGTACACTGTAAATAGGTTATTTTATCTCCTTTAGTAGCAATGACAGAGGTTATAGACCTAAAGATGCTCACAGACATTAATGCTGCTAAATGGGGTACACATTGATGGTCCATGTGAACGATGACCTATATTCCCTTTTCCCCACTCACCTTAGTTTTCTCTAAAGTGGAGCCAAAAATAACTTTGGTTGGAACTTAATAGAAATACCTAGGTAATACTATTTTCACAGTATGCCAATGACACACTTCTGACTTCATAGGACCATCAAAGTATAATTTAAATTTGAAGTATGCAAAAATAGATGCCTAGAGATTTAAATAACCAGTACAGTTTCTTACACAGGATGAAGTTTATTTACAGTGTCATCATCTTGTGTCCTCTGAAGGTCTGAGCGAATTTTTCTAACCAGAGGAGTACAGTAGCCTTTGGCAATCTCCAGTTTTTCAGCTTTAGTTATACCATATTCCTGAGCAAAAAATACATGACATTAGAAAAAGGATATAATGACAAAGTACTCTAAAAAAATACACTCCTAAATTAGTCTAGTGAGAGACAAATATTTTATCAAGCCTTTTTTGAACGTTGGATAACTCCGAGTTTGCATTTTTTGCAACTGCAAATGTATGATTTTCAAACTATTAAGTATAATTGGAAGGATTTTGTGGTGGAACTGAACAAAAGCCAGTAATTTCTGAAGGCGGAGAATGAATGGGTGAATGTAATTTTTATGACTAGTATTCACTAAATCAGTGGTTTTAAATGTAAAAACAACCCTAAAAGAAAGGTGGATTAAGGCCACAAACACTAAAGCACAATATGTAATAAATATATGAAAAAAATTAAACCTTGAGATTTCTGTTTTTCCAAATGTCAAAGATTTAAAAGACTAACACATTCTTCAAAAGGCTTTGGCCAATATTTTTAAAGTTTTAACTGGAAGTGAGCAAAGATTCCATGAAATTATCAAATTTAATGACATAATCATTATGAGTTAATTGGATTTGTAAGGAATTAGCACAATGTGAAGTGTCCAGAAAACATGGCAATTTTAAGAGTAATTGCAATGAAAATTATAGTTCAAAGCAGTAGAAGAGGAGAAAGGAAGAAGGCAGAAAAGTGGGGGTAGAGTGGGAAAGAGGGAGAAAAGGGAAGAGGAAAGAAACACATATACCTTCTCTCTCCAAGTTCATTCTAGGATATTTCAACTTAAAGGCTATTTCCTGCTACTAGATACCTCCAGAAAGATTCACATGGAATAACATCAGTACAGACAATAGATCTCAAAACTGCCTAATAAAGAAAATGCTGACTGATTACAGATGAAAGACCTAGGAAAACAGGACTTCCTGTGGTCATTTACCTTAAACTAAAGCTAAGGTGGTTCAATAATCTTGCCAATGTAGGTGACTATATAGTGAATATGCAACTGTGTATTTATGTGTAAACAAAAGAAAAATGTTGGAATTAAAAAATCATCAGGGAAATAATTTTTTTTTAAATTTGTTATTAGCAAGATGTGAGGAAACAGGGATTTTCATACACTGCTGGTCTGGGTAAAAACTGATTAAAGATTTCTGGAGCTACAGAAATGATCTTGAATGAATGGAAAGACATGTGTAAAGAGAGTGAAACAAATTTTAAAAGTCTAGATTTCCAAAGACAAGTTGGTTAAATAAATTATTCTTACATTCACACCACTCAGACATTGGGAATAATAATGTATATATAGCCTTATTGGCATGGAAAGAAGTTCTTTATGCTAAATGAAGGAAAAAATTAGGTTGTAAAATAGTATGCTTTTTCTGATTCAGTTTTCATAAAGAATGTATTTGCTATATATACGCATTTATGGAAGCAATTATATGTAAATAAATTTAAGGAAAGAGGCCTTTAAGAATATTCCAAAACATTGATATGTTTTTCTTTTGTTGGTAATGTTATAGTAATTTTTTTGCTCTATCTGTATTTTCTAGTTTTATCACAAAGATATATTACTTTTATAATCAAGAAATTTCTCTCTTCAAAACAGTGACACATTTTGCTCATCTGCCTCTATCAACTAGGACCAAACAATTTTTTAGATATGCAAGTCCTCATATGTAGTTTCAATATTTGTGCCACAAATAGAACTGATTAAAATACCAGCTAAGGCGACTTGAAAGCTTTCTATGGTGATTTCAATGAGAATGTCATTGAACTGTCTTTGGGAAATGCTACTATAAAGAACTGTCTGCATTTCATAATCTACAGATAACCAAAGAAAACATCTTTAAACTTCAATTAATATGTGTCATCTCAATTAATATAATTTTAATATCAAATTTAGTCTTTAAATGTTTTTATTTACCACTATACCATCATGGCTATAAAGCATCATTTTTAAACCAGGGCCCCAATTTTCTGAGGATTAAGCCTGGTTAAAAAGTGAAAATTTGATTCTATTGTAGCATAAACACCTATCAGAACTAGTTTAACTGTTAAAATAACTAAAATAGACCATATGCATCATTTAAGCCTAGAAATGATTGGAATTACATAATTCACATAGCACAGACATAAAAATTAATCAATCAATGTAAGAGTAGAAACTGATTTTTTAAGGCATAGTATCATTTTGAAGTACACCAGAACATATGTATATACACTTCTCTTTCACAGTGGTACCCTGTTAATCTACATTAAATTATTCTAAACAAGTTAAAACTTTGTATTATTTGGCTGAGTCAAGTCTTGAAGCTGGAAATATTATTTGCTTGAGAACTATGTATGCAAAATTTTATTTTTTTCCATTACAAACCACATTTTCATTATAAATTACTGCAAATATGTTTATAATTGTTAGTTATATTTTTGGTGATTGAAAATACCTGCCTTCTGTCCACAGTTTTTGTATTTATGAGGCCTAAAGTAACAAAGCAAGATAATATTTATTGAACTGATTCAACACTCTGAAAAAAAAAAATCCAAAGTTTCTCTTACAATAAAGATTGTCATATGAAAAAGTTAGGGAGATAAACCCAAAGTTGTCCTCTCCTCAATTTATAAAATAATCTCAGGACACCAGGGAAGCATATAAAAAGACCTTTTGTTTTAAAACTATGAATTTACCAAAAATAGAACTGATTTATGTAAACTTGGGCATAATTTTATCTGAAGAGTCAAACGATTTAAAAAATAACTTATCCGAGAAAAATAATTTTAGAGTTGTCTTCAAATAAATTCTCAGACCGTCATGAAAATCTAACCTAATTGCAGCAAAGAGAATCACCATAACATACTGAGAACAGCTGAGCTTGAAGAATTACTTTGATAGATACAAATGGTGACTCAACTCCTTCGTAACATACTAATCTTTAGTGCTTCTTCTGGTATTTAAAAAAATTTATTATGAATTTATTTAAGTTACAAGGACATGGTGAGAAATGTCTTCAACTATATAAACAATACACCTGAAATACATACACCATGTAAGGAGGAGAAATGACCATCTACAATACTGTTAACACTTGAGTTTTCTTTTCGGCTCAACTCTCAGGGACTAATTTTTCATTCCCAGTTGTAAAATATTTAGTATATATAATGGAAACAGTAGAGGGGTGAGATTAAATAAGCAATGCAATGGCACAGACATGGTTATGCTAAAGATTAGACAAAGCATTGTGTATTTAGCCTCTGAGTAGGTGATACATTTAGATATACTGACAGCCCACCTTGAAAAGTGCTTATAGCTGCCATAAATATCTTAAAGTCTTGTATTCACAGCTAATTGTTAAAAAGCATACTTACAAAACCAAAACATTTTTATTATGCAAAATAAAACTTGTCTTTTACAGAATAAAACTTAACCTTTTTCATTTGCTAAATGAAAGAAATTGTCAGGGAATGAGTCCTGTTTCCTAAGTAAATGTTTCCTAAAGGCCTAAAGACGTATTCGTAAAGTCTGAGATATTTTCATACTCTTCTAAAAATAATTTTTAAAATCACAGATTCATACAATATACCTAAAATTGTCTATATTATATATCTGATCAAATATATAGTTCTCTTTCATGTTGAAGAAACAAGCTAATTGTTAACACGTATACAAATACCTATAGGTAAGTTGTACAATTGTATGAATTCTCAGTTTTTCAAAATCTATAGGTTTTCCTGTACTGTCTATGAATATTAGGAAAGGGACAGTTATTTTAACCATTCTTATACATGTGTATTTATAAGTTAGGCTTTTTGAACTTTTTTTTCATAATCTTTATCTTTTTCATGTATTTAATATTTTCCTGCTTTCAAACTTTATGTAGTCCACGGTTGGAATACCTGATCTACTCCAACCTCCTCTTTACAATATCCAAATAATCTTGTACTGAGTTGAAAAAAGGTCCAAAAGTGACATCTGGAACTTTGTTCTTCTAACATAGTCCTGATCTCAATATGTTTTGCCACTTACCCCTTTATTATCAATCCAATTCTCTGCTTAATTGCATTTTAGTTAATTGAATTCTTGTTACACCTTTATTTTTATTCTCCTATAATGAAAAGACCCATGTCCCCCAAAAGAACAACTACATATATCTTGACCTCTAAACATTATTTTCAAAATACTTTTGCATAAAGTAAAAAGACTTGCAAAAAATTTTATATAAGACCGTAATTCTTTATGTGTTACTCTCCACATATTTCCATATAGAGATGGCAGATGCAAAACAGGTGTTCAATAAATGCTTAATTGATTTATTCCATACTGTTTTCCATTCTTTAGTTTGTTCACATATTATTATTCTCTAAGAGTATCAATTCTTAAATTAAAAAAAAACTTTACTACCTTCTTATGGCAGTGAAATACTCTGTATGCTACTATGATGATACATGTCATTATAAATTTGCCCAAACCCATATGTACAACACCAAGAGTGAACCCTAATGCACTATGGACTCTGGGTGATGTGTCAATGTAGGTTCATCAGTTATAACAAATGCACCATTCTTGTGGGGGACAATCATAATGCGGGGGAGGACGTGCTATGTATGGAGGCAGGGGCATATGGGAAATCTTTGTACCTTCTGTTTGATTTTGCTGTGAACATAAAACTGCTCTAATAAATATAGTCTACTAAAAAAAGTCACTGTAGTCAAACTATTAGAAAATCAAATAATGTGATCAATACAACCATAAAAACCTTAAAATATAAATTCATAATTACCTAATTTCCTGTTTAAAGTTACTGGTTTTCCAAGGACATGAAAACCAACTACCTTTTTATCCACCAACAGACATTTTAAAAGTATTTTTTCAATATTATAAGAAATTGATTCTTAAGAATGACTTACCTGAGGGATAACAATATCTGCTAATGCCTTCGAAAGCCTATATAATTCCATTGTGTTTTCTAATTTCAAGGAACCATTATGCTGGACATCATATTTTATACAGTCATATATGTCAGGGATTTTACTAATATCATATCTTCCATTCTTTGTTTTAAAGTCTTTCTCTAACTTGGACCATCTACGTAGCATAAGCTCCAATGTTTCACTATGGTAAAGCTGAATATCTAAAACAACATAACATTTTTAGTTTATGCAACTTAAAAATCTGATTTAGAATATATATTAATATGTTAATAATTAGAAACTTTTTAAAGTGTCAAAAATACAACTGTATGAAGTTAGAGAGTTACTTTAGGCATACGCTACTAGCAACCATATATCTTTTAGACTTAAAGGGTTAGGAACTAGGCTTAGACTTTTTCCATATATTATAGACTTTAATAACAATAAGAAGAAAAAGAGCAACAATTTTAACAAAGCTCTTTTAAGCTCATATATTTTCAATTTTCAATACTGTTATTCTTATTAGACTCACATAACTAAGTGAATAGGCAGACTAGCAGAGGAACATTAGACATTAAAAATAGTCCAAATGATCCATTTTCTGCCAGAAAAAAACCCAAGATGCCAAAGTTGTCTGAGTTACTAACCAAGTAAGCTTTGGGGCCAGAGCCTAGATCACTTTCCTGTTGCTTGCTCCTTCTTATTACCCTGTCTACTCACTGCTTAACTATATAGCAATGCTGCATAATAAGATAATCAAATGAGAATATTTTATTTTCTCTTTCATGCTGTCATGGATAAAAACCACTATAACTTAGCCATTATTTTTTTGCTTGATATACATTAACTCATACTATACATAGCTCTCAAGAGAGGCTTGATTTCTTACAACAAGATTGGTGCATCATATATTAAATGCTTAATTGAATAGTAACTTTTATTTGTTCTATGCTCTAAGAAAAACATATTTACCTGATGATTTAGGATCTTCCATTCGATGTCTGATTTGAGAAGTCAAACTCTGAATTAAGGAATAAACTTTATCACAGGTCTTCACAGGGTTTTTAATTAAATGCATTGATTTGATAAGAGAAATGCTTCCAGATGGAGTAAGCTACAAATGAGTAAAGTATATATTTTATATCTGGTTATGCCTAATTGTCTAAGAGAACAATATATATATACAAAATTTTCCAGTAGCTGGAGAATAATTCCATAGCAGAAATTAAAATGACCACAAAATACAGTTGACCCTTGAACACCACAGGTTTGAACTGCAAAGGACCACATATATGCAGGGTTTTTCCCTAAAAGTTACACCAAAATGTACTGTTTCTCCTGCCTCCCCTTCCACCTCCTTCACCTCTTCCACCCTTGAGACAGCATGACTAACCCCTCCTCTTCCTCTTTCTTTTCAGCCTACTCAATGTGAAAATAAAGATGAAGACCTCTAAGATGATCTATTTCCCCTTAAGGCATAGTAAATATATTCTCTTCCTTATAATTTTCTTAATAACATTTTCTTTTCTCTAGCTCACTCTAGAATTTTCTTAATATTTTCTTTTCTCTAGTTCCCTCTGTTGTAAGACTAGAGCATATAATACATATACAAAATACTGGGGAACTTCCAGAAAGTATGTGGAAAAATTGAATTAAAAGATAAAAGTAAAAAACTTTATTTCTCAACCTAAGGTCTGTCAGGGTCAAGACACTTTTGTAAGCGATGATACCAGCCATTTAGTCTATTCCTAAAATATGGAGGATCCTGGGAATTTACCCACGTCAATGCAGACTTTTTACATTATTAACTGAAGAAAAATGAGTGCCCCTTAAATATTTTTTTAAGATTAGGAAACAAACAGAAGTCAGAAGGAGCCACATCAGGACGACAAGGTAGATTCCTAATGATCTCCCACTGAAACTCTTGCAAAACTGCCCTTGTCTGAGAGGAATAAGCAGGAGCATTGTCATGATGGAGGACTCTGTAGTGAAGATTTTGTGGGTGTTTTCTACTAATGCTTTGGCTAACTCTCTCAAAACAATCTCATAATAAGCAGATGTTATTGCTTTTTAGCACTCCAGAAAGTCAGCAAGCAAAATGCCTTGAGCGTCCCAAAAAACTATTGCCATGACCTCTGCTCTTGACCAGTCTGCTTCTGCTTTGACTGGACCAATTCCACTTCTTGGTAGCCATTACTTTGATTGTGCTTTATCTTCAGGGTCATCCTGGTAAAATCAGTTTCATCTTCTGTTACAATTCTTCAAAGAAATGCTTTGGGATCTTCATCCCACTTGTTTAAAATTTCCATTGAAAGCTCTGCTACTGTCTATAGCTGATCTGAGCACAATGGTTCTGGCACTCTAAGCAGAAAGTTTGCTCAACTTTAATTTTTCAGTCAGAATTGTGTAAGTTAAACCAACTGAGATGTCTATGGTACTGGCTATTGTTTCTGCTGTTAATTATTGGTCTTCTTCAATTAGGGCATGAACAAGATTAATTTTTTCCTTGCAAAATTGATGTGGATGGTCTGCCTTTGAGGGCTTCATCTTCAACATCATCTCGTCCCATCTTAAAACGAGTTATCCATTTGTATACTGCTGATTTCTTCGGGAAACTGTTCCTATAAACTTTTTGTAAAGTGTCAATGATTTCACCATTTTTTTCACTTAAGCTTCACCATAAATTTGCTGTTTGTTCTTGTTTCAATTTTAGCAGAATTCATGTTGCCCCTCGCAGGGGCTCTCTTCAAACTGATGTCTTACTCTTGTTAGTGCCTCAAACTAAATCCTGTTCAGACATGTCATAACAAGATAATACAAGATTATTTTAGTGTAAAAAAAAGTTGAAATTTGTGTATAGTTTTTTCATAATGAGCATTCATATATGTTCATTGTTCACATTATTGCTAAGGCTTCCAGTCAAAGGTAGGCTTAACTTGGTAGTTAAGTTTTTGCAGAGTCAAAAGTTATACACGAATTTTTTTACTGTGAGGGGGACTGGCACTTCCAACCCCAACATTGTCTAAAGGTGAACTGTATAGTAATGAGATCAAGGAGGAAGTAAAAGACTCAGAATTCATGTTAAAAAATATTAAACCTTAGCTGTCTTATCAATAAAGAAAATTTAGCAGCAACACTCTAACTTAATGGAATTTGATGACAATCTGCTGACTCTGTTAACATGTGTAAATATGGTTCTGACCACTTGACATATATTTACATGTAATAACTCTAGGCATCTATTATTATCTTTTCCCAGATGAGTGACTTACCTGAGGTTAAGCTACTTGCTTAAGATCAAACCACTAGGATGTAAAGGAGTAGGACTCAAATGCAGGTAGTCTGGCTACAGACTGGTGCTCTAAACCACTATCCTGTTATGCCTTTGTAATGAATTTGTAATGAATTTTTTTGAATAAAAGCCATCAATAAAAATATAGTTCCACATTCCAGTTTTGACATTTAGCTTGGCAAGTTATTTAACCACATTAAGTAAGTTTCTACAATATAAAAAATGTCAAGTGCAATTCTACTTCTGGTTATAATAAACTAGGTAGTTTGGACCAATATATCCACTGAAGGGAAGTAAAAATTCTGGGCAAAGAATATCTATATGTATGCTTTAAGGAATCTGTGAAATAACAAGGTGGTAAAGAATTATGGAAGCAAAACTCAAAGGTCAGTGATCCAGAAAGTGAGCCTAGAATTTAAGGCTGTTTCTCCACTGGAAACATTTATATTTATGAATATAATAAATGACTCCAGTCAAAAGAGTGCATAAAGGAAAATATACGGCCTAGGGTGCACATTTTGTAAAAGACAGAACATTAATAACTTAGTAAGTATTCACCTGGTGTTATTAATTTCGAGAATCAGAAAAATAGCAAAATAAAACTAGAGAGGTAGAAGAAATAAAATATTAAGCAATGAGAATTAATCAAATGGAAAATAAGCATATAATTCAGAGACCTAACAAATCTTAACAATGGTTCTTTGAAAGGACTAATAAACTAATCAACCATGGTGAAACTGATCAAGAAGAAAAGGAAAAAAGTATAATGTTATGAAAGAAAAAGGGAAATCTCTATAGATCCTACACAAATTACAAAGAAATTATGAACAAACTTCTAAAAAATATAATTTAATAATATTGACATAAACATAACTGAGAAGTACTAAACTATTCTGAATTCCATAATTAGAAACTTTCCCACAAAGAAAACACCCACAGGATTTACCATACTATTTACTAGTAAAGCTTACTAAAAATTTAATGAAATATTTGTACATATACTATTCTCCTCAAATAGGAAGCATTCCCTAACTAATTTTACAAGACTAGCATAATCCTGACATTGAAATAAGACACAACAAAAATAAAAAAGTAAAGGCCAATCTGACATGAACATAGATTCAAAATTCCTAACCAAAATTTCAGCAAACTAAAATCAGTGATATGAAAGAAAAAGATCATACATGGAAAAGCTGAGGATATTCTAGAACCAAGGTTAGTTTCACATTCAAAAAACTGTAAGATATAATAGATGAAAGAAAATATGATAAAATTCAGTACGTTTTTATAATGGAAACTCAGCCAAATAGAAACAATGAAATTTCCTTATTTTGAAGGGCAGCTATATAAAATATCTACAGAAAACTTTATATTTAATGTACAAGTGTTACTAGAAATGCTACTTTTATTTAATATTATTTTGAGGGTCCTACCTATGGAAAGCAAGAAAAAGAATTTTTAAAAAACAAAGATTGGAAAAGAAAAAAAGTATAGATGTGCAGTTAAAGAATGAAACAAATCTAGATAAATTATTAGAACTAATGAGTTCGACAAGGTTGATGCCTATAATCTCAATATTTTAAAACTAATTATATTTCTATATAGCAACAACAGAGAATAAAACTTTTAAAGAGGGCCCATTTATAATTGCACAATATCAATCACCTTAGCCTAAATCTAACAAAGATGCACAAGAACTCTGTGAAGTAAATTATAAAACATTATTGAAAGATATTAAAGAATATCTAAATAAATGAGCTACACTACATTCACAGATTGAAAGACTAGAGAAAAAAATGTAAATTTGCACAAACTACAGATATCATACAACCTAAATAAAAAAATCCCAACAGTATTTTTGACCAGCTTGTTTTAAAATTTATATGAAAATGCAAAAAAAAAAAAAAAAAAAAACACTTGAAGAAGGATCCATTTGGGGTGTTGGGAGGTATTATTCATTGGCACACGGATCAACAAACAGAATACAGGGTCCAGAAACAGATCACACATATATAATAAATATGGTACTTCTGAGTAATGGGAAAGAATAGTCTTTTCAGTATGTTCTGCTGGGACACCCAGATGTATATATAGTTGCAGGGGAAATAACAACCTTGACATTCTTAGCTCATAGCACACACAAAAGTCAATTTTATCTGATATACAGATAAATGTGAAGAGCAAAACAGTAAGTTTATAGAAGATATATATATCTTATGGCCTCTTCTCCGAAAAAGATATCTTAAACAATATATTAAAATGCATTGACCCTAAGGGGAAAAAAATGAACTTGGAAATCATGAAAAACTATAACTTTTGCTTATCAAAAGATATTATTGGCTGGGCATGGTGGCTCATGCCTGTAATTCCAAAGCCTTGGGATGTCAAGGCAGGAGGATCACTTGAGGCCAAGAGTTCGAGACTAGCCTGGGCAACACAGTGAGACCCAGTCTCTACAAAAATTTAAAAAGTTAGCTGAGCATGGTGGCGTGCACCTGTAGTCTCAGCTACTCAGGAGGCTGAGGCAGGAGAATCACTTGAGCCCAGGGGTTTCAGGCCACAGTGAGCTATGATCACACCACTGCACTCCCGCCTGGGTGACAGAGCAAGACATTGTCTCTACAAAACAAAAAAACAAAAAAAAAAAAAAGAAAACACATCATGACATCATTAAGGCTCAGAGTAGGTGGTGTTAACTTTATGTTATCTACATGTAACAAAGAACTCATATCCAGAATATATAAAGAACTTCTACCATCCAAGAAGAAAAACATAGACAATTCACAGAAAAAGGACAAGAGACTTGTCCTCATTCAAGAGGATATCTAAATGGTCAATAGACATTGAAGCCACAATAAAGTAAATTCTAGGTATATCCACCAGAATGACCAAAATGGAATCATCTGAGAATCCCAAGAATGGAGAATATGTGGAGCAATGACAACTATCATTGACCTCTGGTGGGAGTGTAAATTAGCTCAATAGCATTAGAAAACACCAAAGGCAGTGGCAACAAAAGCCAAAATTGACAAATGGGATCTAATTAAACTCAAGAGCTTCTGCACAGCAAAAGAAACTACCATCAGAGTGAACAGGCAACCTACAGAATGGGAGAAAAGTTTTACAATCTACTCATCTGACAAAGGGCTAATATCCAGAATCTACAAAGAACTCAAAGAAATTTACAAGAAAAAAACAAACAACCCCATCAAAAAGTGGGTGAAGGATATGAACAGACACTTCTCAAAAGAAGACATTTATGCAGCCAACAGACACATGGCTCATCATCACTGGCCATCAGAGAAATGCAAATCAAAACCACAATGAGATACCATCTCACACCAGTTAGAATGGCAATCATTAAAAAGTCAGGAAACAACAGGTGCTGGAGAGGATGTGGAGAAATAGGAACACTTTTACACTGTTGGTGGGACTGTAAACTAGTTCAACCATTGTGGAAGACAGTATGGCGATTCCTCAAGGATCTAGAACTAGAAATACCATTTGACCCAGCCATCCCATTACTGGGTATATACCCAAAGGATTATAAATCATGCTGCTGTAAAGACACATGCACACGTATGTTTATTGTGGCACCATTCACAATAACAAAGACTTGGAACCAATCCAAATGTCCATCAATGATAGACTAGATTAAGAAAATGTGGCACATATACACCATGGAATACTATGCAGCCATAAAAAATGATGAGTTAATGTCCTTTGTAGGGACATGGATGAAGCTGGAAACCATCATTCTCAGCAAACTATCGAAAGGACAAAAAACCAAACACCGCATGTTCTCACTCACAGGTGGGAACTGAACAATGAGAACACTTGGACACAGGAAGGGGAACATCATACACTGGGGCCTGTTGTGGGGGTGGGGGTTGGGGGGAGGGAAAGCATTAGGAGATATACCTAATGTAAATGACGAGTTAATGGGTGCAGCACACCAACATGGCACATGTATACATATGTAACAAATCTGCACGTCGTGCACATGTACCCTATAACTTAAAGTATAATTTAAAAAAAAAAAAGAATGAAAAGACAAAAAAGAAAAAAAAAACAGTTTGACATTACCTGCTAACATTGTAAATAAGTATACCATGGTCACAATAATTCCACTCCTACAATATACCCAAGAGAAACGTATGCTCATTGCACAGGTGCCATACCAGGATATTCATGGCAACTTTAATCCTAACAGTCCAAAACTCTAACAATAATAGAAAGCATATATAAATTGTAATATGTTCATAAAGTAGTACATGGATCAACAAACTATAGCCTGCAGGTCAAATGTGGCCTGTTACACAGGCCATGAGCTAAGAATGGTTTTTACATGCTTAAAAGGCAGTTAAAAGAAAACAAAAACAATATGCAACAGAGACCATATTTGGACTGCAAAGTCTAATTTTTTTAAATAAAATATTTACTATCTGGCCTTTTACAGAAAAGTTCTGCCAACCCTGAAATGGAATACAGCAAACACAGCAATGATTATTAACTAACTATGACCATTACTTAATATGGTTGAATTTCACAAATAAAATATTAAATAAAAGAAGCCAAATATAAAATAAAACATGTTCTATGAACCTTAAAAAATAGCCAAAGTAAATTAATACTGTAGAGCCATTATAGAAAACAGTATGAACATTGCTCAAAAAACTGAAGACAGAAAAACCATATGATCCAACAATCCCAATACTAGGTATACAGCTAAAGGAAATGAAATCGTATATCAAGGAGATATTTGCATTCCCATTTTTATTGTAACACTGTTCACAATAGATAAGATCTGGAATCAACCTGTCCAATAACAGATGAATGAATAAAGAAAGTGTAGTATATATACAAGATGAAGTATCATCATCTAGCCTTAAAAAAGAAGGAAATCCTATCATTAGCAACAACATGGATGAACCTAGAAGACACTATGTTAAGTGAAATAAGCCAGGCACAGAATGACAAATATGTATAATCTCACTTATATGTAGAATCTAAAAAAGTTAAACTTAGAGAAGCAGAGTAAAATGATGGCTACCAGAGGCTGGAAAAGGAAGGGGTTGGGAAGATGTTGGTCAAGGGATACACAATTTCAGTTGGACAGAAGGAATAAGTTCAGGAGCTCTATTGTACAACATGGTGATTATAGTAATAGCAATATGTTTTATCCTTGAAAATTGCTGAGAGTAGATTTTAAATGTTCTCATCACAAATAAATAAGGATGTGAGGTAATACATATGTTAATTAGCTTAAGTTAGCCATTTCACAATGCATATATATTTTAAAACATGTTGTGTCATAAACATATATAATTTTAATTTGCCAATTAAAATCAATAGATTTAAAGTTAGAAAAAAGCCAAAAATTAGACTACACTGGTTAGAGACTATACTTATTATTCAAGTAAGTATTCTGGATATGAAAAGAATATAAAAAGTCAGGACAGTAGTTTTTTTGAGGAGGTAGGGAATGGGTTGCGATTGAAAAGGGGCATACAGAAGCCAAAGTTGTTCCAATGTTCTATTTCTTTACCTGGAGGATGATAACATGTGTATTTGCTTTATAATACAATAAGCTCTACATGTATGTTTTATGCACTTATCACTTTTCTGTGTGTGTGTAATATTTCACAATATAAGAGTTTGCTAAGACCCACCTTTTCATAATCTTCAGCAGTAAAATCTCTGTCTTTCTGAAGTATTTCATGAAGCCTTGCCTTCACACGTTGCTGACAACTGCTCAGAGAGTCACTATCACTATCCAAAAGACCGTTCATATTTGCACTTTTCACCATTTGAACAAGAATGGGTGTAAGCTCTCCTTCCAAAGCTAAAAGCCCCTAAGCATATTAAATAAAGAAAACACGAATTTAAAAAATTAATACGTAAAATAATATTTTGTTACATACTGATTTTCATAAAGTATAAGTTAAGTTTATCATAAATAAACTTTATTAATACTACAGTTCATTATTGTCATTTTAGAGTTTTACTTGAAAGTTCCAAATACAGAATTTTTAAATATTCCTTGGTTAAAAAAATTTTGGTTTTTTTTTGAGACAAGGGTCTGACACTGTTGCCTGCGGTAGAGTGCAGCGGTGTGATTTTGGCTCATTGCAGCCTTGACCTCCTGGGCTCAGGTGATCCTCCCATCTCAGCCTCCTGAGCTGCTGGGACTACAGGTGTGAACCACTACACCTGGCTAATTTTTATTTTTTTAATTTTTTTGCAGAGACAGGTTTCGTCATGTTGCCCAGGCTTGTCTCAAACTCCTGGGCTCTAGTGATCTGACCACCTCAGCCTCCCAAAGTGCTAGGATTACAGGTGTAAGCCACTGCGCCCAGCCAAAAATGTTTTAAGATACAATATTAGATTAAAAACTCTAATAATTCTAAAAAAAAATTATTTATACCTTTGCAAAAGCAGCTGCAGTCATCTGGACTCGTCCTTCATCAGAGGCATATATTTTGAGGTCATGTCTGTAGGTGCTATGTAATCTAAGTAAACCACAACCAGGAAATCCTGCATAATCTCCTGAAAATAAATCCTCAAATCACTTCAGCTATATTTTCATTTCATTGTATTTCTATAAATGTTTAATAACATCACAAATGAGGATTTCAAAATACAATTTATGAAATTAGTCAAATTAAAGAAAACTCTAAGATTTACCTTGACCTCCAGGATACATACACCTGAAGGCTCTTCCAAGTTCTTCAGCCTGGACCCTGCCTGCAGGAGTTAATTCACCTCCCCATTTTAGAACCAAAAGTAAAGATGGTTCTTCTCTTCGGCTGTCTATGACACATATGAATGAATAAAACAAATGTTAAGTTTATTTCTTTAAACAGACTTAAGATTCATTTTTTTCTCTGTGCTCTCTTCTGCAGTGAAATATGGCCCATATGTAAGATATTTTCTTCCTTAAATGCTGTTGCATGTATGTTCCTTAATGCCGTTTGTAGGCAGTTGCTTCTGTAAGGAATACTCCCTTGCTATACCTGTTTAAATCTTACTGAAATTTGAAAATCTCTCTCATACTTTAGAAAAATGGCTCCCAATTTTCTTCAGGGATGTAATGTTTCTCCCTTGCCTGCTCTCATAGTAATTTTTTCATTGTACTTAATTTAGTTGTGCTATGTCTGCTGGATTAACAGCTCCTTGATGCCCGAATCCAGGTTTTATCTGCCTTGCTATCAAGCACCCTTTGCAGTGCTGTCCCATGAAAGAAAATACCTTAGTTGAAGTGAAGAAGATATATATATTTTTTTGTTTTTTTTTTTTGAGACAGAGTCTCGCTTGGTCGCCCTGGCTGGAGTGCAATGGCACGATCTTGGCTCTACAGGCGCCTGGCTAATTTTTGTATTTTTAGTAGAGACGGGGTTTCACCATGTTGGCCAGGCTGGTCTCGAAATCTTGACCTCAGGTGATCCACCCACCTCGGCCTCCTAAAGTGCTGGGATTAAGGCGTGAGCCACTGCGCCCGGCCAGATACATATGTTTTTAAGATTGGAAATCGGTGATTTGCATCATTTTTAGGAAGATGTGAGATGACAGAGCCTAACATTTATTCTAATTTAAATTTTATGCAATCTAATAAATTTTACGCAAACAAAAGGTATTCAAGAGCAGCTTTTTAAATTTGAAATTGTGGAATCTCTGCATGTTACACATCAGAGTATTTTCTTGAACAAAGAAAATACCATAAGTTAATGAGTTTCTGTACTTAATTTTGACCTACTCCTTTTCATGGTATTAAGATCTGTGTTGGGTTCTGAAAAAAAAAGTAATTCAAAAATAAGCATTATAAGCACTAAAAGAACTTAATAATCATTCTTTAAAGGTGAGAGGAAATCACCCCTTCCCCTGCAGCAAGTTAGCGGTTCTGTGAGCTTTGTCATGTAGACCAATATTAATTTATGGAAAGAAAGTTAGTTACCTAACTTTTTAAATTATTTGCTTATAGAATGTTTTTGATGATAAATACTAAGATATAGAAAATTAACCTGTATTACTATTAACCACAAAATGTGATAAGAGCAATATATCAAATGTTAAACTAAATATATAAAGATTATTATAAATATGTGTCTGCATTTAAGATAATCATTAATTTTTGCTACTATAAATAATACCACTATGAATATCCCTATAGATAATCTTTCCCTGAACATCTGATTACTTCTTTGGGTTAGATCCTGATAAGCAGAATTCAGGTCAAAGCATAAGTACATTTTCTGAAGTTTTTGATATATTGCCAAGTTACTTTTCAAAACACTGTGCCAATTTATACTTCTACTATAGACTGAAATCCTGTCTCAATGAATTCTCATCAGCACACTTTATTACCAGTTTAAAACAGAAACGAAGAAAACACTTTGCCAATATGATAGGCAAGACAGATTATTATTACTATCATTATTATTTTATTGGTCATCTGCATTTCTCTATGAAATGACTTCCCCAATCCCTACCCTTTTCTTTTGTAAGGTAAATGCATTTATGAATGTGGATACTGACTGCTCTTAGGAGACCAAACTTGTTTAAAGACTTACTCTGGTTTACTGGGTGGAAGAAAATACCCATTTATTTTAGAAACAGGTTAATTGTATATTTTTTCAAAGTCTTTTTGTACTTCTTGGCCTTTCTTCTTATATACTCTGCCCTCTACTATCAAAAGGTGATGTAAGGAGCCCATTAAATAACACTTAGTTATAAACAAATAAGTTTTCCGAAACAATCCCGCAGTTAAAAGGAATTCCTATGCAGTTTTCAGAACAATAAAATCTATCCTTTGTTTAAAGAATAGGTAATTTTAAAATTGTATCCTTTATTTAAAGAAAAGGAAGCACAGCTAAGATAATTCCACTTTATTTTTCCTCACCATGCCATTCCCTAAACTACTAAGCAAAAGATGGTCCAAAGGTAATCAACAGTGAATAACAAGTTACTACATATAAAACTACTGTATAAGCATTAAGAATAACATACCCTCCTCTTCACTAGATGTTTTAGGACAACCATGAGGGAGATAGGTCAACTGAACCTTACGATTTATTCCAGAAAAATGACCATACCTGAAAAATAAAATGATAAACAGAATAGAACATGTAGGGAAAAACTAATTCTCACATATTCATGCTCCCTTTTATTTGTAACCGCCTGTTTAATTCTTCGAAATATTCTATCAAAAAAAAATTGTACCATATATAATCATTCTAACCACATTAAAAACAAAAATGTTTTTCTAAAAATTACAGGCGTGGGTGCCATGGCTCAAGCCTGTAATCCCAGCACTTTGGGAGGCCGAGGTGAGTGGATGACTTGAGGTCAGGAGTTCGAGACCAGCCTGGCCAACATGGTGAAACTGTCTCCACTAAAAATACAAAAATTAGCCAGGCATGGTGGTGTGTGCCTGTGGTCCCAGATACTTGGGAGGCTGAGGCATGAGAACTGCTTGAACTTGGGAGGGGGAGAGGTTGCAGTGAGCTGAGATCACACCACTGACTCCAGCCTGGGTGACAGAATAAGACCCTGTCTCAAAAAAAAAAAAAAAAAAAAAAAAAAAAAAAAAAAAAAGACAACTCTGAAGAGATAAAGTACAGAAATATGTAAAAACACAGATGTATGTGTTTTAAGAAATAAAGGAAATAAGATTGTAAGAGATTAAAAATGTAAAGCTGTAACAGGAATATTGGTGGGTATCCATTTTACTTGATTAAGGCAAAATTCAAATTTTTTATATTTAAACTGCAATGAATCTATGGTCAAGTTAGCAATGTGGCCTTCATTCTAAGCAGTATTTCACAGAAGACACAAATTTGATGTCCTTGTTTAATCTTCTCACCAAAATTAAAACTAAAGCTAAAACCTTCAATACAGCAATCTATTTTTTTCACATTAGATTTTCCTTCATGTCTCAACTATAGTAACAAAGAGTAAAAAGATCAGACTGTGAAAGTAATTAAAATGGAAAATCACATACATAAAAAAGAAGAGCTATATGTAGTACCACAATTAAGCGTTTCAAAAAGATACTCACATCTCTAATACAGTCTTAAGTTGTTCAAGTTTTGGCTTGTTTTCTTCAATTTCAGAATCATTATTTTGCCCTAGCTCCATAAGAAGCTGTCGTGCAATATCTAGCACTTCCTATAAAATAAATTAATAAAAAATTGAATTTTTATGTAATTTCACCACTAAAAAATTTAAAATTAAACAAGAAAGCAAATACACTTGCCTGTAACTGTTTTGGTTTTTTGAGTTTTAATTTCCCTGATTTATATCCATCACACTTTTCAAAAAGATCAAAAAATCTTATAAAAAAGACAGAACACTGTTAGTCACTTGCAATAATTAACATTACCAATATATGTTTAAACTAACAAATAATAAATGATAAGCTATGGGACTAGAACTTGGGATCTAAGGATTTCAAGTACTGTGTTTCCTCTTTCACTGTACATGTTGCTGCTCAACTTTGATTGATAAAACTTAGTACTTTCCTAAATGATACCAAACTAATAATCACCATACTACTTTTCAAAGTTTTTTCACGGAAACCAAACATACAATTATAGTTCATAATATTATATATTTTCTGAAGTCATTGCATATACATTGAAAATTACTTGTGTCAACACATACTTAATGGCTCAGGGTTTTCAAATTTTATCATCTCCAAACCAAACACTGGATAGAAATAACAGAAACTTTCATTCTACTAATTTTCTTCTAAAAGGCTGAGGGATTACTCACTCTCAGAATGCAATACAAGAGAGTGATAAGCAAAGATTAAATAGAACACCTTTATGACAATAAATGAAAGCCAGGGCAGACTGATGATATTTATGAATATTGCCACAATAATTTTAGATGCTAATGAACATATTTTAAATGGATTTTGTACCCACCCACTGGTTTAAATATAAATGGCCAAGAGACAGTAGATAAAAGTTTTTCTATATGATGTATTAATCAAAAGAGTTGATCACTTATCAGAAATCTTAAAATTGTATCATGCATGTTAAATTATTCATCTGAAAACATACTTCTGATGTCTCACTTCCATTTTCATTTTTTGTTTTGGTGTTCGATCCCCATGACGTATAACAGCTATGACACATCTAAGTTCCATCCTAAAATGAAAAAATATATATGTTCTTAATTCTCTAAAAAAGATTTGTGTTGTATAATTCAGATTAATATGAACATTTAGTCATCTATTTAAAGCCATCTTTTACCACTTCAAGATCTTTCCCATGAAGAATAATACTTATAACAATCTAGTTTTAACTTTATGAAATAAAATTCAAAAAGAACTTAAGAAGCTGGGGGAGGGAGGTGATATTAAGCTATATAGTAGAATACAACCTTTTCTTCTCTAGAAATGGCTACATTAACTCTGGGATAAAAGTAGATGGACTACAATTTCTGAGCTTTCTTATATATCTGATCCATAGCATTAGGTCACTACAGACTGAGACTTCATTAAATCAAAATAAAACTTTACATGATGGTTGCTATATTTATATATTTGCTAAGTTTTGCCCATGTAAGGAGAACAAGTATTTACAACTCAAATTACTGGAAGATAAAATCATCTTAGAAGCATGCTAGAATTCAGAGGTATAATCTAGTGTGTGCTGAAGTGTGAACTGCAGAACATAACCCTGCAGGATTATCAATTGAGTTACCTGAAAAAAATTTTATTTAACACTTGCGTGTTAAATCAGTATGAAAAATGCTGATTAAAAACAAAATTAGTTCCCCCCATCATCAGTACATCTCAGGATATTTAACATGTTAATATAAATATCTAAGTTGTGAAAAAAAAGCATTCAGTCAACTGACATGAATTTAAAGGAATAATTTTCAGTAAGAGAATGTTATAAAACATTTTGGCAATACTGGTATAATTATGCAAGATATGACTTGAGAGAGCAAAAGTTGTAAGACCACTATGAACCTTTAAGTAACATTCCTATTGGTACCTTTTTTATTTTTATGGCTTGATTAAACAATTCTATAATTATCCAGGCATGTTTCAGTAGTTTATTTGTAACAATTAGTGGACCCTTATAAATACGTATAATCTACTCCTCTATCTTCAAGCTGAATCATATGAAATCATACACACTAAAGTGTCTAATCATCATTCAGAAATTTAATTTTTATCCTAATAGCACAGATGGCAAGGAAAACTCAATTTCTAAATGAAAATAATTCAGACTTACATAGTTCCAGATGTAGTTGGTACAATTGGGATATCTTCAGCTTCTAAGGGTATTGACCATGGAATATGAAATTGTGGAGCAAGTTCTCGCATTACAATATTTCTTCAAGACAAAAAAGAAAAGATTTAAAATTAGTACGTTTTAAGACAAAACTGGGTACTTAATGAGGATGAGAGAGAATCATAAGAGTTAAACTATCTAGTGATTACATCACATAAAAGATAACCCACAGAATCCATTCTGATCAAGAAAAAATAAAAATCAGCAGTTCCAAATTGATGTATTAGACACATCAATGGGATTTCACAAATTTGAGATTATTTACTTTAGTTTTAAAATATCAATCAACATTGGATTCAAAGAAATCACTACAATTACATCACATCTAACTACATACATTCTGAAATTCAAGATTGTCTCTTCTGTGTGGCTACTGATAAATTCTTATCACTTTATTGAACATCTATAATGCTACTCTAAATATTGTGTTCATCTTAACAAATCACTACTATACTAATAGGGTTAAAAATGGAAAAATGTTTACTTTTTGGCTTTGTTTAAATTTAGCATTTATTTATGCTAAAATTTAGTAAACTCTCCCTTACATCACTTTAAGGGTAAGTTTGTAAATCTTTGAAACATACTGTGGGTTAAATGTTCTTAATCTGAAAATCTGAAATCCAAAACACTTCTGGTCCCATGCATTTTGGATAAGGGATACTTAACCAGTATAAAAGCTAGCTCCAATTATCGAACATTTTTTAATGTAAGTTTCCTATGGATTTGTCATATATACCTGGAAATGTCTTAAAAATAGTTATTGCCTTGCTAGTCTTCTGAATCAAGGTATAAAGAAAACAGGTTGAAGAATATAAAAATGGCATTTCTACCTACAATAATTTTTTTACATTCACTTGATAATCTTATGAAAATATCATCAAGTAACATATGCTTGTAGAATGAATTGTCATGCAAAAGAGTCATGAATTCTAAATATTTCTATTTTACTCTGTTTATTTCATGAATGTTAATTTTGTCCATTAAGTAGAAGAAAACCTTTTCCACTATAACTACATGGCAAAAATTTGAGGAATAAAGTATTCTAACAAATAAACTTTTGACTAATAATCAGCATGTTATAGTATTTGTAAACATATGAAGTTAAAGGTTTTCATCTATACTGATCATAAATTAATCTGTCTTTGATAAGCCAAAGTATAATTCAGGATCTGGCATAGTCTCTGGGGGTATCATTTTATGAACACTGATCTTTACTCTAGAATGCTTAAAAACCCTGATCATTTAATGTTAACAGTTATTTGGTTTCTGAATAACTAGTATATGAAGGTAAAAAGAAAAATTTAAAAATTCTTACCCAAGTATTTTTGCACAGTCATCATAATACTTCATGGAATTTTTCACAAAACTGAAGCCATTGACATCACAGACATAGGACTGTCCATTGGCCCGTAACAAATCAAAGCCACAAACTGTTTGCTATTTAAAATAAGTTATAAACTTTAAGGTTTTATTTAAATTATTAAGATTCACAGTTTTCTAGTCCTATCAGAACATATCAAATTTTATAAATGCTTAAAAGTATATTACTATATAGTGGTTTACTTCATAATAAGAAATGAAAGAAATTACTTATTTATAACTTGAGTACTCTGAAAATACATTATAGAGGCTATATGATTATTTAAGTCTTTCATCATAAAGTAGATGTACAACAATAACGCATAAGGGGCTACAGAGGCCCAAAAATAATATATTTGATCACAAAGTTCTTCAATTAACATTTAATTTAAAAACAAAAGCAAAATTTTTAAAGGATCTGATAAAAAAAAATTGGCTCTAGCAGAAATTACACCATGTTAATAAAAAAAAAAAAAAAAAAAAAAAAGGAGGATGGACGTGGAGAATAGTTTTGAGGACATATTCCAGAGGAAATCTTGTGATCTGTTTTGTTTGGTTTTGAGAGGTAGTGTCGCTCTGTCACCCAGGCTGGAGTGCAGTGGCACAATGTTGGCTCACTGCAACCTCCACTTCCCAGGTTCAAGGAATTCTTGTGCCCCAGCCACCGCAGTAGCTGGGATTACAGGTGTGAGCCACCACAAGGCTAATTTTTGTATTTTTAGTATAGACAGGGTTTTGCTATGTTAGCTAGGCTGGTCTGGAGTTCTGGCCTCAAGTGATCCACCTACCTCAGCACCCCCAAAGTGCTGGGATTATGGGTGTGAGCCACCACGCCCAGTCGAAATCCTGTGATCTTTTAAACCCCTAATACCACATATTCGTGAACACCTGTAATAAATTTACTTTATCTGGGTGAAGAAAATGGCCAAAAGGCATGAATTTGCCACTCAGGCTCTAAGAACTTTCTGATCTACATTTTAAGTTCAATCATCAGGTATTAGTATAATGTGATTTTTTGTCACAGCTTTCAGAATCCTGGCATAATAAAAGGATTTCTATAAAGCTATTAAAACTTATTTACAGGCTAACATTCCTTCCATGAAAGACACTTCAAATTATTAAGGCACAAAATAATTATTTATTATTTAACAACCAGTAATATATACTAGTCTTTAAGATTTCAAGAAGGTAAAATTTTTATCCTTCATTAAAGGAAGGTTGTAGTACTTCTATTTAAATCTTTACTATACAGTAGTTAGGAAGAAACTTAACAATATAGATTGAGAGAATTAGTCAAATGTCAGAAGTAAAAAAGTTTTTTTCAAGAAATGGTTTTGGCCGGGTGCAGTGGCTCACACCTGTAATTCCAGCACTTTGGGAAGCCGAGGTGGGCAGATCACGAGGTCAGGAGTTTGAGATGAGCCTGGCCAACGTGGAGAAACCCCCTCTCTACTAAAAATACAAAAATTAGCCGGGCATGGTGGTGGGTGCCTGTAATCCCAGCTACTCTGGAGGCTGAGGCAGGAGAATCGCTTGAACCCGGGAGGCAGAGGTTGCAGTGAGCCAAGATCCTGCCACTGCACTCCAGCCTGGGTGACAGCGAGACTCCGTCTCAAAAAAAAAAAAAAGAAATGTTTTTATATTGTTTTCATGAACATAGACCACTGAGAACTGTTTTCATTCAACAAAAAAATCTTACCAATTCTATGAAAGTAACACTTAAAGCCAGTTTCAAAAAGTATGCTAGACAATAACCCTAAAACACTGATCAGCTGAGTCATTTCTGAATTTTTATTTTATTTTTAATTTCTGAATAAATTGACCAGGTTTTCTTTTATATAATACAAAAGAATATATTGGCACCACAAGAATCCCTTGAAAAGTACATGAACCATTCAGATGTATTAATTACTTTCTCGGTTTACTTCTCCAATTATAAGCACCAATAATGTCTTAGTCAAAAAAGAAAATTAGAATTTACCTTTATAAGGATCTATAGGCCTGTATAACATCTTACCTTAAAAGCAAGGCAGACTTTCCAAGCAATTAATTTCTCTCGTGCATTGAGAATAACAGGGTATCTTACTTCTTTTCCTTCACTGTCTCGTTCCACCTTGCCATCAAGTGCTGGAGATTTTCGAGCTTCAGCATGGGCATAATCTGGACCCACTGTATAAACCTTTCACAAATGTTTAATAAATGTATAAATATATATATGTATGTGTGTGTGTGTGTGTAACCAACAGACAACAAATACAATGAAAAAATTACTAAAAAATAGTTCAGAATCCAGGCTAGTAGACACATCTTTCTATTTTACATGCCCAAATTTTCAGTTCATTGGGAAAGGTTGTAAGTAATCATTATATAGCAAAATTGGTAAAGTGAAGTTTCATTCTCTATAGAAAACTATTATATTGAGTATTACGAGGGAATACTAGGATGTATACAATGTGATCGCTCTCCTCAAATTGTTTTAGTTTAACAAATGAGAGATGCAAATAACTATAAAACTTACAGGAAAAAAAAAACCTTCCAAAAGAACATCTTTAAAAGGGTGAGGGCATAATCTGAGTGCAGGTAAGAGAAGAAAAGTAAAGGAAAGAGGCATGAACAGCATGATGTATTCAGGTATCGGCAAGTTATCTGATGTAGTTTATACTGTAAGAAATGAGGTTTATAAGACAAAGAGAGGACAGACTGAAATATCTTGTATGGCAGGATTATGAATCTGGTTATTATCCTGTGGTCAATAAGGATCCACTAGAGAATTTTTAAGGATTCATACTCAGATTTATACTTTAGAAAACATTCTGGTTAGAGAGAGAATGGCTGAAGGTAAAGCGATTAAGACCTATTTGTCACCAACTAAAATGACAGACATGTTTTATATCACATCACAGTTGTCACAGATCTCAAAACCTCACTTACACTAATCACTGCTTGGAAACTGTGGTGGTTATTAGACCTTTATCCCTGGTATCTTATTATTTAATGCCCCTTTAAAGACATATTATGTGTAACACAAAGTTGGTTTTTAAATATTTTATTATATTTGAATAAAATTTGTCTCCATCATAATCTTACATGTTTAAAGCATTTAAAAACACTACTCTTAAAAAAGAGTCCATAGGCTTCAGACTGCTAAAGATGTTGTTGTTACAAAACATGAGGAATCCCTAATCAAAAAGAAAGAGATCCAGAATAAAGGTTAGATATAGCTAAAGATTAACTACTTTTTCTGATATCATTGGTAAACTTGAAATATAAAACTAAAATCTATTTTAATCAATCCTACCTTAACATCAGTACCATCTGTGGGCATAAACTCTTCATATATATATGAGCCTGTTTTTCGTACATTGCTTTCTGGAGAATAAACACTACTTCTACTGCCAATCTGAAAACAAAAGATGTCCATCGATATAAAAAAGCAAATTATTTCCCTCATTTTTATGATAAAATGACAAATAGTTTATTTACCATCTATTTCCATCTTAGACATTTTCAAATACATTTTTTAATCCACAAATATTTAACAAAACTTACTATATACTTGGCACTATAGTAGTCTCTATTGTTACCATAACTTATATATTAGAGAACATAGAAATACAATGAACATTAAGAATTATGTTCTTAAGATTCATCCAGGTTGCTGCATGTAACTCAAGCTTGTTCATTTTTACTACTCTAGAATTTTCCATTGTGTAAATACACCAGAATTTATCCATTCTCCTATCAATGTATGTTTAGGTTGTTTTCCAAGCTTTGGTGATTACAATAATGTTGCTTTCAACATTCTTATGTGTCCCAACGGCAAACATGTATGAGTGTTTCTAAGGTATATAATAAAAGTGGAACTGCTCATTAATAGAATGTGCTCATATGCAACTTGTGAAGATAATGAAAAATCTTTATCAACTATTTTAACAATGTAGGGTCTCATCAGCAATGTGTAAGTTTTCACTGTTCTACATCCTTGTTTACACTTGTTATTGTTAGGCTTCTTAATATCTGCTACTTTAATGGATGTTAAAATGGTATCTCACTGTGTTCTTAATTTGAATTGCCATCAATTTCTATATGTATATGCATTTTACATTCTGATACATTGCTAAATTATATTGTTAAGAGGCTACATTGCTTTGTATTTCTGCCAACAATGTTTGGTCTTGTGCTTATTTCTCAACTAGCTCAATATTTTTTATCTTTGTCAATCCAAAAAGTAATACAATGTCATTATATCTCAATTTAATTTGCATTTGAGTACAATTAAGTATACTTTCATGTACGTAAAGTTATTAGTGTTACTTTTTCTATGAGCTGTTATTTTTCTGGGCCATTATTCTAAAAGACTGCTACTGCTTAAGTGAATTTCTAGTTTGACAGATGTACAAAATGGGAGGGAAAAGAAAAGTCAAGTATCTTTCCTGGCATTCTGCAGGCAGAAATTCTGCTTAACAACATTAAATAACTAAAATGATGCCATGCTTTTCTAACAAAGTATATCAGTTTCATAAATTTACCTCTAAATGATACATTTTCAAGAGTTCAATATTTAACGGTAATTAAATGCTTGATTGCTTTTAATAATACACGACAATGTACAAAGAAGAGTATTCATACAAAAGTTACAAAGGTGTTACCTTTCTAAAGAGTCTTTGACTTCCACCACCAGCAGAAGTTGGGTAATAAATGTAAACATTGTGATCTTCTGCACTGACTGGCTTTTCTACAAATGGCTTTTGAAAAACTTCCCCATTTACTTCTACATGATCTTCCCCTTCAATCAGATTACATTCTATAAAACAAACACGATTGCAAGAAATATCACATATTCTTATTATATTATCAGGACACCACATTATTATCGAGGACTTTTTCACTAAAAGACCATAAAAGAAAACTTGGATAATGTACTTACTTGATTTTAATTATCCATGTTTATGTAAATAACATGTGCCAACATTTATGATACGTATGGCATTAAAAGCTATAGTTCTTCAAAATTTTACAGACTTACCATTTCACACTACCACACCACAGAATTCAAAGTTAGATGTGAAATTATTATATCAAGAAAGACTGAGAAGTAACTCAAGAATGCCACCATCTTCTGAAAACTGTGAGATTACTCATATCACAGATATCGTAAAACATGAAGTTATTTAAGTTAGAAAGTAGCTTATATGCAAAGTAAGCCAGCAATTCAATTAGAAAGTTAATTTTTTACCTCTAGACAAGAAAAGTTTCTTGTTTCAGATGATGATTACTTTATATCTTTTTTAAATGTTATTTTTAATCATCATGGGTACATAGTAGTTGTATATATTTTTGTGGTCCACGTGAAATTCTGATACAGGCATACAATGTGTAATAATCAAACTGGAATAGTTGGGGTATTCACCACCTCAAACATTTATCATTTCTTTGTGTTAGGAACATTCTAATTTCACTTTTAGTTATTTCAAAATATAAAATAAATTATTGTAAACTATAGTCACCCTATTGTGCTACCAAATACTGGATCTTATTTATTCTATCTGTGTTGCTATACTCACTAACTATCCTCACTTCATCCCCGTCATCCTTGCAACCCTTCCCTCCAGTAACAAGTATTCTATGCTCAAGCTCTAAGAGTTCATCTTTTTTTTAAGCTCCCACACGTGAAAACATGCAATCTTTCTTTCTTGCCTGGCTTATTTCACTTAACATAAGACCTCCAGTTCCATCCATGTTGTTGCAAATGACAGGATTTCATTATTTTTATAGCTGAATAATATACCATTATCTATAGGTACCACATTTTCTTTATCCATCCATTAATGGACCCTTAGGTTGTTTCCATACTGGCTATTCCAAGTGGTGCTGCAATAAACATGAGTGCAAATATCTCTTCAATATACTGATTTCCTCTTTTTTGGACATATACCCAGCAGTGGGATTGCAAGATCATATGGTAGCTCTATTTTTAGTTTTTTGAGGAACCTCCATTTTGTTCTCAATAGTGGCTTTACTAATTCACATTCCCACCAACAGTATTCCCTTTCTCCACATCCTCACAAACATTTCTTATTGCTTGTCTTCTTGATAAAAGCCATTTTAACTTGGATGAGTTGATATCTCATCACAGATTTGATTTGCATTTCTCTGATGATTGGTGACGTTGAGCATATTTTCATATACCTATTGGCCATTTGTATGTCTTCCTTTGAGAAAAATCTGTTCAAATCTTTTGCCCATATTTTAATTAGATTTTTTTTTTCCTATAGAGCTGTTTGAGCTTCTTATATATTCTGGTTATTAGTCCCTTGTCAAATGGGTAGTTTACAAATATCTTCTCCCATTCCGTGGACTGTCTCTTCACTGTATTGTTTCCTTTGCTGTGCAGAAGTTTTTTAGGTTGATATGATCCCATTGGTATATTTTTGCTTTGGTTGCCTGGGTTTCTGAGGTCTTACTCAAGAAATTTTTGCCCAGACCAGTATCCTGGAGTGTTTCTACAATGTTTTCTTTTAGTAGTTGCATAGCTTCAGGTCTTAGATTTAAGTATTTAATCCATTTTGATTATGTATATGGAGAGAGATAGGGGCTTAATTTGATTCTGGATATAGATATCAAGTTTTCCCAACACTACTTACTGAAGACACTGTCCTATCCCCAGTGGACATTCTGGTCAACTTTGTCGAAAATGAGTTAACTGCAAATGTGTATATTTTTTTCTGGATTCTGCATTCTGTTCCATTGGTCTATATTTTGATGCCAGTACCATCCTGTTTTGGTTACTATAGCTTAGCAGTACAACTTGAAGTCAAATAATGTGATTCCTCCAGTTTTGTTGTTTTTGCTCAGGCTGGCTATGGCTATTCTGAGTTTTTTGTGGTTCCATATAAATTTTAGTATTTTTTTTCTATTTCTGTGAAGAATGTCTTTGCTATTCTGACTGCATTGAATCTGTAGATGGCTTTGGGTAGTATGGCAATTTTAACAATACTGATTCTTTCAATCAATGAAAATGGAGTATTTTTCCATTTTTTTGTGTGTTCTCTTCAATTTTTTTCATCAGCATTTTATGGTTTTCATTGTAGAAGAGATCTTTCATTTCTTTAAGTGAATTCCGAGGTATTTAATTTATTTGTAGCTATTGTAAATGGGATTACTTTTTTTTTTTAGTTTCTTTTTCAGATTGTTTGCTGTTCGCATATAGAAATGCTATGGATTTTTGTAAGTTAATATTGTATCCTGCAACTTTACTGAACTTGTTCTAATAGTTTTGTGGTAAAGACTCTAGGATTTTCTAACTGTAAGATCATATCATCTATAAACAAGAATAATGTAACTCCTTTTTTTTCAATTTGGATGCCCTTTATTTCTTTCTCTTCCCTAATTTCTCTGGCTATAATTTCCAGTATTATGTTGAATAAAAGAGATGAAAGTAGACATCCTTGTCTTGTTCCAATTCTTAGAGGAAATATTTTCACCTTTTCCCTGTTCAGTATAATGTTAGCTGTGGGTTTGTCATATAGCGCTTTTATCACATAGAGGTAAGTTCATTCCATACCCAGTTTTTTGAGAGATTTTATCATGAAGGGATGTTTAATTTTATCAAATGCTTTTTCTCCATCAATTGAAATGATCATATGTAGAGAGTATAGAGTTGGATCTTATTTTTTAATCCATTTAGCAACTCTAAGTGTTTTGTTGCAAGAATTCAGCTCATTTGCATTCACGTTATTACTGATAGGTAAAGACTTGCTTCTGCTATTTTGGCATTTGTTTTCTGAGGTTTCCATTATTTTGTCCTCCCTTCCTTCCTTCCTGACCTATCTTCCTTTGTGGCAAAGTGATTTTCTGCCGGGGCATGATGGTCCCCAGCACTTCTGGAGTCTGAGACAGGAGGATCACATGAGCCAAGGAGTTTTGAAACCAGCCTGGGCTACACAGTGAGATCCTGTCTCTACAAAAAATAATTACTTGGGTCTGGTGGCTTGTGCTTGTAGTCCCAGCTACTCAGGAAGCTGAAGTGCGAGAATCACTTGGGAGTCGAGGCTACAGTGAAAAGTGATCACGCCACTTCACTCTAACATGGGTGAAGAGCAAGACCCTATCTCAAATACTACACATATGTAATTCTCTCTGGTAGTATGTTTTAATTTCTTTTTATTTTTTGTGTATCTGTTACAGGTTTTTGTTTTGTGATTACCATAAGGCTTACAAATAACATTTTATTACAATTATTTTAAATTGATGACAACTTAACTCTGATTACAAAGAAAATAAAAAGAAAATTTTAAAAACTCTACATTTTAACTCCATTTCCCCCCATCCATGTTTTGACTTTTTGTTGTCTCTATTTTTATGTTTCTATACTCGTAAAAAGTTGTTGTAGTTATTATTTCTGACAGGTTTGCCTTTTAGTCTTCTTATGAAATATATAAGAGGTTTGTACACCACAATGACAGTGTTAGAGTATTATGTATTTATCTGTGTACTTGCTATTACCAGTGAGTTTTACACATTCAGATGATTTCTTGAATTTTTTTTTTTTTTTTGAGACGGAGTCTTGCTCACTCGCCCAGGCTGGAGTGCAGTGGCGCCATCTTGGCTCACTGCAAGCTCCGCCTCCTGGGTTCATGCCATTCTCCTGCCTCAGCCTCCCGAGTAGCTGGGACTACAGGCGCCCGCCACCACACCCGGCTAATTTTTTTTGTATTTTTAGTAGAGACTGAGAGGTGACAGCGTGCTAGCAGTCCTCACAGCCCTCGCTCGCTCTTGGCGCCTCCTCTGCCTGGGCTTCCACTTTGGCGGCGCTTGAGGAGCCCTTCGTCCCGCCGCTGCACTGTGGGAGCCCCTTTCTGGGCTGGCCAAGGCTGGAGCCCACTCCCTCAGGTTGCAGGGAGATGTGGAGGGAGAGGCGCGAGCGGGAACTGGGGCTGCGGGGCGGTGCTTGCGGGCCAGCTGGAGTTCTGGGTGGGCGTGGGCTTGGGCTTGGCGGGCCCCGCACTCGGAGCAGCCGGCCAGCCTGGCCCTGGACAATGAGGGACTTAGCACCCGGGCCAGTGGCTGCGGAGGGTGTACTGGGTCCCCCGGCAGTGCCAGCCCACCGGCGCTGCGCTGGATTTCTCACCGAGCCTTAGCTGCCTTCCCGCAGGGCAGGGCTCGGGACCTGCAGCCTGCTATGCCTGAGCCTCCCACCCACTCCATGGGCTCCTGTGCGGCCCGAGCCTCCCCAACGAGCACCACCCCCTGCTCCACGGCGCCCAGTCCCATCGACCACCCAAGGGCTGAGGAGTGCGAGCACACGGCGCGTGACTGGCAGGCAGCTCCACCTGCAGCCCTGGTGCGGGATCCACTGGGTGAAGCCAGCTGGGCTCCTGAGTCTGGTGGGGAGGTGGAGAGTCCTTATGTCTAGCTCAGGGATTGTAAATACACCAATCAGCACCCTGTGTTTAGCTCAAGGTTTGTGAGTGCACCAATCTACACTCTGTATCTAGCTCTCTGGTGGGGCCTTGGAGAACCTTTATTTCTAGCTCAGGGATTGTAAATACTCCAATCGGCACTCTGTATCTAGCTCAAGGTTTGTAAACACACCAATCAGCACCCTGTGTTTAGCTCAAGGTTTGTGAATGCACCAATCGACACTCTGCATCTAGCTGCTCTGGTGGGGCCTTGGAGAACCTGTGTGTCGAAACTCTGTATCTAACTAATCTGATGGGGACGTGGAGAACCTTTGTATCTAGCTCAGGGATTGTAAACGCACCCATCAGTGCCCTGACAAAACAGGCCACTCGGCTCTACCAATCAGCAGGATGTGGGTGGGGCCAGATAAGAGAATAAAAGCAGGCTGCCCGAGCTGTAACACTCACCGCGAAGATCTGCAGCTTCACACCTGAGCCCAGCAAGACCAAGAGCCCACCGGGAGGAACGAACAACTCCAGACGCGCTACCTTAAGAGCTGTAACACTCACCGCGAAGGTCTGCAGCTTCACTCCTGAGCCAGCGAGACCACGAACCCACCAGAAGGAAGAAACTCCAAACACATCTGAACATCGGAAGGGACAGACTCCAGACGTGCCACCTTAAGAGCTGTAACACTCACCGCGAGGGTCTGCGGCTTCATTCTTGAAATTAGTGAGACCAAGAACCCACCAATTCCGGACACAAGACGGGGTTTCACCACGTTAGCTAGGATGGTCTCGATCTCCTGACCTCGTGATCCACCCACCTCGGCCTCCCAAAGTGTTGGGATTACAGACGTGAGCCACTGCACCCGGCCCAGATGATTTCTTATTTTTAACGTCTTTTTCTATCAGATTGATGAACTCCTTTTAGCATTTCCTGTAAAAGATCTGTAAGATCTTTTTCCTATCCTGTCCTATAAGGACAGAAAAATTCCATGATACTGGTAATTCATGAATCCCTCAGTTTCTGTTTAGTAAAGTATATTATGTCTTCATGTTTGAAGGATAATTTTTTTTTTTTTTTTTTTTTGAGACGGAGTCTCGTTCTGTCGCCCAGGCGGGAGTGCTGTGGCGCGATCTCCGCTCACTGCAAGCTCCGCCTTCCGGGTTCACGCCATTCTCCTGCCTCAGCCTCCCGAGTAGCTGGGACTACAGGCGCCCGCCACTGCGCCCGGCTAATTTTTTGTATTTTTAGTAGAGACGGGGTTTCACCGTGGTCTCGATCTCCTGACCTCGTGATCCGCCCGCCTCGGCCTCCCAAAGTGCTGGGATTACAGGCGTGAGCCACCGCGCCCGGCCTGAAGGATAATTTTGCTGAATAGAATATTCTAGGTTGGAAGTTTTGTTTTTCCTTCAACACTTTGAATGCCATCACACTCTCTCCTAGCCTATAAGCTTTCTGCTTAGATGTCAGCTGCCAGTTGTATCAGAGCTTCTTTACATGTTATATACATCTATTCTCTGGGTGCTTTAAGGATCTTTGTTTATCCTTGACCTTTGAGAGTTTAATTAATATATGCCTTGAGATAGTCTTATTTGGGTTAAATCTTCATATTCTTCTATGACCTATGCATATTCGTATCTTTCTTTAGGTTTGGAAAGTTCTGTTATTGCTTATTTCAATAAACTTTCTACCATGATCTATGTTCTCTTTAAGAGCACTAATTCTTGGATTTGTCCCTTTGAGGCTATTTTTAAGATTTTTTTTTTTTTTTTTAACATTTTCCCTTCCCCTTATTAACTACGTAGGTCCCAAAGTTCTTAAAGAAAAACGAAGAAAGGAGTGGGCTAAAAAGATGAAAAGTGCTACCTGGGAAGTTTGTTCAAGCTCCTCTCTCAGGTCTCTTTAGTCCTGTAAGTGTGTTTCATTCTTTTCCTCTCTTTCTCCTCTGGCTATGGATTTTCACATAGCCAGTTTTCAAGCTCACTAATTCTTCTACTTGATCCACTTTGCTGTTGAGAGGCTTTGATATATATTTCAGTTTGTCAACTGAATTTTTCAGTTCCAGAATTTTGGCTTGTTTTGAATTATTTCAATCTCCTTGTTAATTTCTCATGATACAATTCTGATTCCTTCTCCATGTTACACTGAAGTTCTTGAGCTTCCTCAGGACAGCTATTTTGAATTCTCTGTCTGAAAGGTCACATATCTCCATCACTCCAGGATTGGTAACTGGTACCTTATTTAGTTTGTTTGGTGAGGTCACATTTTTCTGGATGTTCTTGATGCTTGTAGACATTCACTGATGTCTGGGTATTTACAAGTTAGGTATTTATTTCAGTCTTCACCGTTTGGGCTTGTTTGTATCCATCCTTCTTGAGAAAGCTTTCCACATATTCAAAAAAGACTAAGTGTTATGATCTAAGCCTGAGGTCACTGCAGCTGTATTAGCACTAGGGGGCGCCCTAAGTCCAGGAATGCTACAAACTCTTGCTGACTCCTAGAGGCACCACCTTGGTGGACTAATTTTTTGGTTCTTATGAAGGTGCATTCTTGCATGGCTAGTTTATAATTTGGTGTTCCTGTGGGGAGTGGGACAATCACTGGAGGGTATATTTGGCCATCTTGTTCTGCCTCCCCCCTAGTTTTTAATAAAAGATGGTTTAAGGTATGATAAATTCATCAAAATTCCCCACAATACTAAGTGTGAACAGAAATGTTAACTCAAGACAAACACGTATTTTGCCTTGTGACTAAGTTAGGTATAGCTTCCATGCTATGTTTTAGATAACCAGAAAAAAAGGAGCAAACAGTGCTTTAAAATATTAATAAATACTTAGAAGTACTGTTGCCCCTTGTCATACGCGGTGACTGGTTCCAGGAACCCCCTCGTATACCAAAATCTTCACATACTCAAGTCCCACAGTTGGCTCTGCAGAATCCATGTAAATGAAAAGTTGGCTATCAGTATATGTGGGACCCACGAATTCCGTATTTTCAATTCATGTTTATTCCATGAATAAGCAGACCAGCACAGTTCAAACACATGCTGTTCCAGGGCCAACTGTATTTCCAAATTCTTGGCCAGTATTTAGTTTTTGGCATTGTAGCATGAAGTTTCTAATACTTAATTCAATAGTCATAGATAAATCACTTGTTCACCTTTAATCAATACACATTTACTTGTATGTAATTTCAAAATTCTAACTCATGATTCTTAGAGATATGTCAAAAGTAGGCCAAAGAAGAGAAGGATAAATAATTCCTAAATTATTAGGTAGCCTTTTAACTCAGTGTCACCTTTTAATTGAATATGTTTGTCTGTTTAGATTATTTTTTAAAATGGAATAGAATACTATGAATTCTTTAAATTCCTTCCAGTTAATTATTGTAAGAATGTGGCCCAAAAGTATGTCAAGTGGCAAAGGAAGCTTACCTAAAATCTCTTACTCTTACCTTTGGGATTATTTGGGTCACGGTTCAAAATAGCATAACGAGGAAGTAAAATACCTTCAGCTTGAAGAATACTATATACTTCTCTCCTGAAGAAAAAGGGAAACATCCTTATTGTTTTATTGCTCCATTTCACAATGAATATATTATTGTAGTTTTCTTAAAAGACATTATTGTTGTTCTATAACTAAAAAGGGTATATATCTCAACACTTTTTATTTTTTAAATAAACAAATGTCACTTCGAATATTCAAAAAAGGTATTCTGAGGAAATATTCAGCAATAAGAACACAAATTTATGCACAATTCTTTTCTAGCTTATTGAGAAACTAATTATTAAAACTGAGAACATAAATGTATTTTAAAAATGGCTGAATAAAGTTGATATTATCACAATGATAGAACATTACCTAAGCATTAAAAGCCTTATGCTTAAATAGTATTTAATGACATGGAGAAATGTTCACAGCATACTAGAGAAAAGTGATTCTAATTTGGTAAAATGTGATTGTTATGTATGTATTGTTTTCTATAGGAAAAAAATATGATAGATACAGTGACGATTAAATGGCTTTCGGTACGCTTTTACTTTTCAAACCATTTAAAACGAACATACATTTCTATAGCTATAGCTGTATATATAAAAACACATATATATGAATTAATATGTAAATGTAGAGAAAATGTTTTAAATTTTAGATATTAATAATGTTACTCTCTGGAAGAATAGAAAAAAATAAAGTGAAAAAACCATAAGGTCTCATATTTACAAAGCATTTTTCATACACATAAAATCTCATATTGTAATGGTAAAACAAGAAAATAGAATGCTGGTGAGATTATGAGAATAGCTATAGGAGTGAAACATTGATTGAATGAAATACATAAATACACTCATATTTTATAATTTATTAGAAATCCATGCTTTTTACCTGTTAAATGAATGCTAAGATATACAGTATAATATTTTTCAAAATAGGTATACTTTACCATTTAAAAAATCTAGTTATAGGCCGGGTGCGGTGGCTCACACCTATAATCCCAGCACTTTGGGAGGCCGAGGCAGGCGGATCACAAGGTCAGGAGATCGAGACCATCCTGGCTAACACGGTGAAACCCTGTCTCTACTAAAAATACAAAAAATTAGCTGGGCGTGGTGGCGGGCGCCTGTAATCCCAGCTACTCGGGAGGCTGAGGCAGGAGAATGGCGGGAACCCGGGAGGGGGAGCTTGCAGTGAGCTGAGATCCCGCCACTGCACTCCAGACTGGGCGACAGAGCCAGACTCCATCTCAAAAAAAAAAAAAAAAATCTAGTTATAATGAGTAAAGTCCTAATTTCATCATCAGTCCCATGACAGAAAAAGTGCTCATAAGTTTGAATGGTTTAGTAGGCTCTGGAAATTAAACAATCTCGGTTAAGTCTTTGTCCTACTACGTGGGGAACTTGTGACTTTGGGTAGATTAATCAATCTTCCTAATTATCAAGATTCCTCATCTGTAAAATTAGGTAATAAATAACTATTTCTGAGTATTATTTTGAAAGTACAATGAATTAATAATGCAAAAACACCTGATGCCATGTCAGTGTACAGTAGGTACTAAATTAATGTTATTTTTCCTTCCCTTAATTCAGCCAACTTCACCACTCACCTATCTTGTATGAGATACTGCATATTCAAGTCATTGATTACAAATGGATTCCTGAGTTTTGCATAGGCAACCGCTTTGTCCAGTGGAAATCCTAAGAACACATATTATTAACATATTCTGTATTATCTCAAGATAAGCATCTATACTTTATTAACTTGAATTGATGCCACCTCCCATAAAAGATTCATTTCATTAACACATAACACCCTTCTATAAAAGGTATGGAATATATACATAAACCTTGATTTAACTTATATATTAAATCTTATTTTTTCATAATTTGATTAAGGCACAACAAACCAGTGGTTATATAACCAAATTTGGAGCACTGACATGTGAGTGAAGGTCTGACTAGTCAGTCACCTGAAATAAGGTAAGATTCACCTCATACACAAAGAGAAATCTATATGTAAATAACATGGGTGTATCAGAATCACCTGGTGATTTTTAAAAAATGTATTCAACATCTCTTCTTTTCACTTAGATATTTTGATGCCTACACACATAAATTAGCTGATATTCAAAGACTTATGTGCCTTTAAAAACAGTGGGCCAGGCATGGGGGCACACGCCTATAATCCCAGCACTTTGGGAGGCCGAGGCAGGTGGATCACCTGAGGTCAGGAGTTCGAGACCAGCCTGGCCAACAGGGTGAAACCCCATCTCTACTAAAATTACAAAAAATTAGCCAGGTGTGGTGGCGCACACCTGTAATCCCAGATACTTAGGAGGCTGAAGCAGGAGAATCACTCAAATCCAGGAGGTGGAGGTTGCGGTGAGTGGAGATCGTGCCATTGTACTCCAGCCTGGGCAACAGAGCAAGACTCCATCTCAAAAAAAAAAAAAAAAAAAAAGCTACAGAAGCAAAACTTAATTCATATATGACATATATGCTCAAAATATATGAGCAGAATCATGCTATTGCTAGGTCAACATTAAAATATTAGAAATTAAGTCCCTAAAACTTGTAGACTGGTAAAAGTACTAATTACAATGAAAACAAATCAAATAGTAGATATAGTGAAGAACAGGTCCCCTCCCCCAAAATCTAAAAAATTTTAATGATTGTATTTTATTCTCTATATTGGCACTAATGCCAGGTGCAGTGGCTCTTGCCTGTCCCAGTACTTTGGGAGGCCGAGTTGGGAGGAGTGCTTGATGCCAGGAATTCAACACCAGCCTGGGCAACATAGCAAGATCCCATCTCTACAAAAAATTCAAAAGAATCAGCTGAGGGTAGTGGTGCAACCTGTAGTTCTATCCTTCAGGAGGCTGAGGTGGGAGGATCACTTGAGCCCAAGAGTTTGAGGTTACAGGGAGCTATGACTATACCACTGCACTCCAGCCTAGTTGACACAGCAAGACCCTGTCCTCCAGGGGGAAAAAAAAAATTGACACAAAGTCTCCAATTTTATCCATCAATACACATCATCAGTTGTATACCGTAACAGTTAAAGACATAAACCAGCGTTCAAATCCTGGTTCCATCTCTCACTAGCTATGTGACCTTGGGCAAATTTATTTAACGTCTCTAAGCCTCTGGTACCAGCACAAAAGAGTAGTATACCAGTCTTACCTAGTAGAGTTTTGAGGAATTAATAATAGTGTGGATATAAGGCACTAAGCACAGTACCTGGCATAGTAAGTGCTCAATAAATGTTACCTGTTATTATTCCTTAAGAGGCAATATTTTAATAAATATCTATGGAAAAGGATAAAAATCAGCAAGCATACATAACTTTAGTATTCAACTATGGAATACTAAGTATACCTGTGAAGAGACTATATTTTATAGTACTACCAGAATAGTTAAGAGAAAAAGTATTAAAACATGCTGAAATTAAAACAAAAAGCTGTGGCCAGTTAAATCAGATTTATTCCTAAACTCCTCTTAGTTTTTAAAATTTAAATACAGATACCTTATATCAAGAACCACTTAGCCACAAATTACAAATCCTGAAAGTTTTATAAAGACTCTCAGAATTCATCGCTTGTAAAGATGTCTCAATGTCTATGATTTGAAGCCTCCTTACAGAATTCAGCAAATAGAAAACACCTACACAGTTTCCTGCTTTTGTTTTTGTTAAAGAGAAACTTTTTCCCTACCAAGAGATGGTATGTGGAATATGACATTAGCTATAACACCCAGTTTTTACAGGCAAATATAACACTAATAGGAAGAACCATGTGAGGGTAAGGGAAGAATGCTTTACTCTCAAGGAGGAAGAAATTTTAAGGTTCTCTAAAATGAGCAGCCTGAGTCTTTGAAGATCAGTGTCTTGACTTCTCTATGAAATAATGAACATCAATTTAGGCTATGGTAGCAAAACCATGCTCCATCTTCTTCTTGCTGAAGTAAGACTTTAACATAGCTCAGGAGAACATATTTTGGTAACAAGTGATGATTAAATATGAATACATTTACAACTGAGAGCACATCTTTTCAATTAATAGTTCTTAGTGGGAAATTCACTTAATTCACAGATTCTTAGGCTATCAATTTTCAGATGTACCCTCAGCAATAATTTTGATTAGTGGAATTTACAATGACATAATACTTAAGCTGAAGTGATATTTCAGTTTGATTAATAAGATATAGCAAGGAATGTCTAAAAATCTCAAATTATTAAGTTCTTAAAAATAAAGTATGAATATGTATATGAAAAATGATAGATCTTGTTCTATAAAGCATAGAAAGGGGCTTAAAGTATTCAATAATTCAAGAACTTGTCCTAAGAAACTTAGAGATGCAAACAAAAATATGCAGTGAAAAAGATCACACAACCTTATTTTTAATAGTGAAAACTGGAAACTTTCCAAATGTTAGGATATTGGATAAATTTAAATATGTTATGGTATATCCACACAATGATATACTATGCCACCATTAAAAACCACATTATCTAAGAATGACATGGTAGGGGAAAAAAACTTCTTGATATAATAGTGAAAAAGGTTAAATATAAAATTACACATACACTATGACACTAAATTAAATGATAATACACATAGAAGACAAACACTGGAAAGAAATATATCACAATGTTAATATTACCTGTCCATGAAAGTGAGTTAATGTTTATTTTTCTGTTTTATCTCATAGTCTACAATTAATATGTATTAGTTTTATAAACAGAGAGGATAAAGGAGTTTCTCCCCCACTCCCCTTAATACCTTTAGAATGGAAAGAAATAAGACAATCACATAAAGGCCAGTTTTCCACTGGTTCATTCAAAATAACCTCCTCTTCAAATACTACTACTGTGATATATTTAAATAAGGAGATCCGTTCAAGAATTTCCTTCATTGGTTTGGATTTGGATTTCTTTGCCATGGAACATATTCCAACCACAATCTGCCTTTCTGGTGGCTAAAACAAAAATGAAACAAAAAATCGGGTTAACTTTACATGAACTCCAAAGTACAGCTATCTTCATTTGTTTTCCAAAAGTAGATAAGGCATGTGATTAATAAATAAAAGTGACACATTAACAAACAAAGGAATTTTTAAAAATTATATCATTGTTATAATAAACATTTAAAAAACAGTTTTCTACAAAAGTCTGGAAACAAATTTAAAAACAAAAACACTTTCAGAATAAATATGGTTGCTATTTTCAATGAAATTTCAAACTAAGAAAGTACCCCCTCTTTAACTACCTCTAGCATTTATTTATCCTCCTCACACCAGTAAAGTATAATAACAGTCAAAACCCATCCACTCTATGTAGAAAGATAAAGAATTCTCTTGCCTAAAGTAAGACATAGTCCTGACTACAAAGCTATAAGTATTAAACTATTATTGTAGTTTGCACTTGAATATTAGTTGGTCACTGATGACAACTTGGAAGAAAATTTTAAAGAAAGCCACACTGCTAACAGAGGTGTCAAGTCTCTTTGCCCCTCCTGTCTTCATAGTCAAAACTCCTACTCATTGGTGTTACTGATCTCTGGCATCCTCGTAACAGCTCAAAGGCCACAATTCAGCCTAAAACTTAAAAAGCAGGATATAGAAACTGATTTATGAGTAGCTCCTAGATTTATAAAATTACTCAAGATTCATTTGGTGATCTTTGCATTTAAGTGCTTGAGAGTTTTATCAAATATACAAAAGCTGTGTTGAGGTTCTCATTTCAATTTTTCTTTCTTGCATGATACTTTATATATTTCATACAACATTATAATCTAGGCTTGAAAGTGCTTTTCTGGGCTTTTTCTTAATATAACTAAAAATAAAATTGGATAACATCAGAATTAATTAATTAATTTTTTTTTTTGAGACAAAGTCTCGCTCTGTCGCCCAGGCTGGAGTGCAGTGGCGCAATCTCAGCTCACTGCAACCTCCGCCTCCCGGGTTCAAGCAATTCTCCTGCCTCAGCCTCCCAAGTAGCTGGGACTACAGGCATGCACCACCACACCCAGCTAATTTTTTTTTTCGTATTTTTAGTAGAGATGGGGTTTCATCGTGTTAGCCAGGATGGTCTCGATCTCCTGACCTCATGATCTGTCTGCTTCGGCCTCCCAAAGTGCTGGGATTACAGGCGTGAGCTACCACGCCCAGCCTAAATTGTTCTTTTTTTATGCCTAGAACAGTATTTCTGTATTGTCTCCTCAAACTCATGAAATGTAGAGTTCAAATTGTACTAGAGTTGATTGGTAAATCAAATAGATTATAAATGCTAACTCTCCTGGAATCTTCTGTATTTATCCCTCTGAACATCCACTTTTATATGCCCTTATTCAATGCTTTCCTGATCAAAAGTTTTGGTACAGTTCATTATAATGTTCCTAAAGTAGATTTCCCCAGACAACAAATGTACTCTAACCTAACATTTCACATTGCTTTACAATTTTTTTAAATGCTAATATATTGTCTTATTTATTATAAATCTATTTAATGAATATCTGCTCACTGGCTAAGATGAATGGGAACCATTCAAGTTTAAAATGTATAAATAAACTTACATTCTTAAGGCACAATCGCAGAGTTTCTCTGTTAGGTAAAACCTTAAAATCATGAAGATAATTTTTTAAACAGATCTGAGGTATTTTGTTAGGTTGAATGTCTAAAAAAACTATAGTCACATCTTTGAAGTCTTAAAAACAGGAGAGAAATCTTAAAAACAGGAGAATGATCTGGAATAAATAATTTTATAAATATAAAGCTATACATCAAATGAACTAAATCAAGCTTCTGTAAAGTGATAATAGTGCATCATACTATGCACTGAAGATTAGATATACAGAATTACCTGTCCTTAACAGGGAACACAGTAATAATAAAATAAATTGTGATACATGGAATAGAAGTACAGTTGGCCCTCCATATCCATGGGTTTTACATCCATGGATTCAATTAATCATGTATTGAAGATATTTGGGGGGAAAAAAAGCATCTGTACTGAACATATACAGACTATATTTCTTATTATTATTCCCTAAATGATACAGTATAACAACTATTTACACAGCATTTATATTGTATTAGATATAAGTAATTTAGGGATGATTTAAAACATGGGTAGATGCAGCTTACATGTAAATATCACATAATTTTATAAAAAGAACTTCAGCATCTGCAGATTTTGGTATCCACAGGGAGTCCTAGAACCAATCCCCCATGGATATTGAAGGACAACTGTATATACAGCAACGTAAAGACACAGTAATGAGGAAGAAGTATTCCAATCTGTGATGGGAAAAAGAGCAAAGAGAATGGAAAGAGTCAATGATGTGAAATCTGGGGAGGGTTTGGAAGAATGAAAAATAATTCACAAGGTATCCCAAAATAAGGTCATTTCAGAGAGGTAAAAGAGTACATACAATAGCAAAGACGCATGGTATGACAATAAATATGTGGAAATAAAAATTTTGATGTTACTAAAACATAGAGGGTAGAAAGAATGGGAGAGAGGTATGGATGTAGATATAGATGAGACATAAAAGCCTTTACATGTAAGAAGCCTGGCTTTGATCTGCTAGTGGTGTTCATACCATGTTCAGAAAAACTCTAGAAAAAGGGGACAAAGGTAGTAGAGGCTGAGTCAATAGTGCTTTCTAGTTTAAGTGAGCCAGAGACGCTCTGCTTTCATGTTTTACTTATAGGACTTCTAGATAAAACTTCAGATGAAGAAAAGTTTGAGCTGGTAAGAGAAGCCTGCCTGAAAATCTAGTTTTTCAGGGGCAGGAGGTAGCAAAGGTGCTCTGCGTTGAAGGTTTTAAATGAGTTAACAGTAGAGTTTGCATTTCAGATATGTGTAACTCCACTGTGAAAGATATTGTTAATATAAAAAGGGGCTTAAAGAGTCATCTAATCAATATTTTTGGTTTGTTTTTACTATTTTTACAAAATAGAACAGGTTTTTCTCTTAAAACTAAATTCTCTTTCCAATTAGAAATATATGAAAAACAAACACATACTGTAGGTCTGTATTTTAAATCAGTATTCACAGTAAAGCAATCTCTACTTAAAAAATTAAATGATGAGTAAGAAAAATATTGGTCTAATGTAACTATAGCAAAATGAGCATAATAAATATATATCATTCCTAAGATCCAGTATGGATAGAACATGATATCAGAAAGAGAACAAGTTTTAGACACACACACAAACACATAGATACTTTTTAGGTAGCCTACCCTTCTAGCCACTCAGTTTTCAGACTTCTGAAGTTAATAAATATGAGTATCTTCGGTTCAACCAGAACTCACATTGGTAACAGAAGCTTAATGAATCTATTTAAGTAATCCTTCTTCTTTTGTAACTTTAAAATTATTTCCTTCCACCTATCTTCAATTATTTGTTATGTATTTCTACATACAAGAAAGCTTTTGGATTTATGGCCCAGATTACTGTTTCTCTTTGCCACTTTTGTTACCTAACACTGAGTTACACTATGCGTATCACTGAAAGAAACTAAAATAGGCATCATTAAACAACATAAAGGTTTGACCCATAACTGTATTTATTGATTCATCATAGATTCAACAACATCAGTCATGAAACAAAATATACTTTTTCAGTTCAAAAATTTTCCAACAAAAAAAGACTAACAGTGATTAGTAAAAAGCCTATACTGTATTGGTCTTCTCTCGCCAAAGGAAAAACAAACAACTTACAGAATCATCTTCCTCCTCATCGTCTTCATCTGCATGGTGGAAGAAATGTCGATAATTTCCAGGATTTATTTCTGTATCTTCTGGTCCAACGAAGAATCTGGGGGCTTCACTCATTTTTATTTTATTTGATGTAGATATAATTGAAATGATTTATATTAAAACTGCCTCTAAGTAAATAGTATCAGAAGAAAGCATTCTCCATATATTAGCTGACGCACAGGTCTGTGACAGCTTGTTTCTGCTTATACAATCACTTGATATTATGATGACTGTTGGCAAATACTCTTTTGTTCTTAGATATCATTGCTTCATTGTTGATATCAAAGTTGTTGTTGCAATTCAAAATACAAAGACAGTGAAGTTACTGCTTTCTTGAGTTGATACAGCAATCTTCTTACCTAAAATGCAATGAAAAAACTAATTTTGGAGAGTGCACTCCAAAAACATTCATGTAAAAAATAATTTTTAATGACACTTGTAAAATCAGCCCAATAACTTGATGTATATTGTCAAAATGAAAATACATTTTCTCCCATAAGAAAATTACTTATAATAAAAGCAAAAAAATTAAGAAACTAAAACTGATCTTCAGTAATATACATCTTAGCAATTTGACAAACATATGAATTAACAAAAAGACTACACATTAAATTCCTCATCCCAAAATAGCTAAACTAATTAAGAGAAAATTACTCAAATTATAACAAAATTATATTAAAGCTAAATCTCTTAGCACATAGTTATGAAATATCTGAATGGAATGGAAAAGAACAGACAAATGGAATGCAGCTTTAAAAGCCACTGACAAATATTAATCTGAAATTACATTAAGTCAATTTGTAAAAGTTGTCTGTAAACAGTTTTTTTAGGGAACATAACAATTCTATATTCTGGTCTCATACATAAATGAACAAAAAAAGATTAGAGTCAGAACAAGATTTCATTTAACAGCAGCTCTTAAACATGTAGAAGTCAAAAACTCTTTAACAAATCTAATAAAATCTATGGATCTCCTCCCCAGAAAAAAAAAGTACATGTGCACTAAATTCTGCAAGAATTTTATGTGATTCACTGACATTCAAACTCTTCCACATAACCAGGCGTCCATGAGTATCAGTTAAAGAACTATCATAGCTGGACTCATTGGCTCACACCTGTAATCCCAGCTACTTGGGAGGCTAAGGTGGGAGGATGGCTTGAGCCAAATAGTTTGAGGCTGCAGGGAGCTATGACTGTGCCTCTACACTCCAGCTTGAATAACAGAGAAAGACTCTGTCTCAAATAAATAAATAAATAAATAAATAAATAAATAAATAAGAACTATAAGAGCAGTAGCATCTCAAAATATTCCTTACCATAGTTGTTTACATGTACTTGCTTCCTGGTCATATTAAAATTAATTATATACCAAGATGAAACTACATAACAAATGCTTCATTTGATTACTGGTAGTACAATAAATTACTTGATCAAATATTCTTAAAAGTCAAACAATATGCTAGGTAGAATTAAAAGCATAACTCCAAAAGTTCTATTCCTAAAGATCTAATTCCAGTATAACTTGGTGACTCCCCAGTAGACATTAAAATCAATTTGCCCAGTCAGCCTTCACTTTAACCATCTTTAAAATACAGCGTTACATTTAAAATAATTTGTAATTTAAAAATAAAAGCAGAAATAATTTACTTTATAAATCAATGCCTTTTGTTCTATTCCTCTGTACTGTTTAACATGTAAAAATGTTTACTGAAAAAAAAAACAACAACAACAGAAAGTTTCCAGTGGCTGTAAAACTTCATGTTGGTGGATAAGTTGATCTCAGTTCTGTTTCCTATCAAATGGCAAATATCTCTTGGTTTCTTTCAATTTTTTTACTCTTTCCATCTAAAAACAGCTCAAATATTTCGATAATGGAAGGGGAATGTTCTGGAGTCAGGTACATCTGTTTTAATCTGTCAGTGCTTAACTAGTGACTTGTGCTAGTTGCTATTAGTCTATAAAAAAGGGAGTATAGTAACACCCTGTAACCCTGTAAAGACTAAGTGAGATAGCATAAGTGCTTGGCGTATATTAAACACTCAATAAACCATAGTTTCCATGAACACTCCTGTAAACCAAACTCCCTACTGACTCTAACATGTAAATCTAAAAGAATGAATTGTTCATTATTTGTTGAAATGAATATAGTTATCCAACAAACACTATTTACTTATTATAGAAGGCATAGTATTAAGTGCTGGTTATATAAAGTCAAAGTAAACATGGCTCTTTTCCTTAAGGAGCTTTTAGTCTAGTAGGAAGATAGCCAAATAAATTGACATTTTCTGTTTTAGTGTGATAAACCACCAATAAAAAAGATAATAGAAACATGTAATAATGTAATAAATGTCTATCTACTTCAGAATGGCAATGATAGGAAATGCCAGGTCCAGTATGTCAATGCAATATATAGGTATGTACTTATATGTATACATACATGAATATGAGTGTGTATACACACATTTTATGACATTATTTTAAAACTGTATTGTACTTCCTTCTAGTTAAAGTGTTCTAACAAAGTGAGAACAATACTGTTTTAGAGGTAAAGCTGAAAATTAATTTTTTTTAGCCTTTTAGAGTATTCATTGGAAAAAGTCTGGAATACATACAAATAAAATTTAAAGAATCAGTTAATAAGTCCATGACACAATGGCAGAACTAATGGTTGTAGCTGTGCAGACCTATTGGGCTGTGTTTCCTACTATTCTGTGATGGTTAATACTGAGTGTCAACTTGATTGGATTGAAGGATGCAAAGTATTGATCATGGGTGTATCTGTGAGGGTGCTGCCAAAGGAGATAAACATTTGAGTCAGTGTTCCGGGAAAGGCAGACCCACCCTTAATCTGGGTGGGCACCATCTTATCAGCTGCCAGTGCAGCTAGAATATAAGGCAGACAGAAAAAAAAAAAAAAAACGTGAAAAGGCTAGATAGACTAGCTTAGCCTCCCAGCCTGCATCTTTCTCCTGTGCTGGTTGCTTCCTGCTCTTAAACATCAGACTCCCAGTTCTTCAGCTTTGGGACTCGGATTGGCTTCCATGCTCCTCAGCTTGCACATGGCCTATTGTGGGACCTTGTGATCGATCGTGTGACTTAATACTACTTAATAAACTCCCATTTGTAGCTATATCTATCCTATTAGTTCTGTCCCTCTAGAGAACCCTGACTAATACATAGTCTTTTCAATATAATTCTCCCACATTTTTGAAATACTTTACAAAATATGTGTGTAAGTAGAAATCAACTTTCGGGGAAAAAAAAGTATGTATCCAATAGATTTTTTTTTCCCAAGGGTATGAATTAATGACTGGTCTGTCCCCTTTTGTTAACTTATTCAAGTTCTGTTTAAGTCTGTAATGCTGTATGAAGTATATAGATATATGTCCCTCATTTGATTATGACCTTAGGTCTGAAACATGTCTCATTCATTCATTTGGTGAGGGACTAGGTAAATCAACAAATAAATACATGTTAGAAAGACCTCTTTAATAAGGTGACATTTAAATATAAATTTAATTTAAATGAGAAACCAACCATGGGGTTATATGGTGTGAACATTCCAGGTAAGAAACATCAAGTATAAAGCCTCTAAAGCAGAAGTATGCTTGGCATATTTCCCATGTTCATGAAAGAGTAAGGTGGAGCAGAGCAGGCAAGCAAAGGAAAAATGGTAAAAAATCATGTCAGATAAGTAGCTAAGATGCACACAAAGGACTGAGAAGCCATAGTAAGAATTTTCAATTTGTTAAATGTGATTGCACTGCATTTAGGGAAGCTGAGGCAGGCGGATCACTTGAGGCCAGGAGTTCAAGACCAGTCTGGCCAACATGGTGAAACCCCGTCTCTGCTAAAATATAAAAATTAGCCCGGCATGGTGGCATGCGCCTGTAATCCCAGCTACTCAGGAGGCTGGGGCAGGAGAATCACTTGAACCCTGGAGGTGGAGGTTGCAGTAAGCCGGGATTGCACCACTGCACTCCAGCCTGGGCAACAGAGTGAGACTCTGTCTCAAACAAACAAGAAAATAGAAGGAGATGAAATACAGACAAGTTATACAGACAGTTATTTTGAAGAGTTTATAAAAGATGGACAGAGGAATTGGACCTCTAAAGGACATAAAGTGAAGGAAGCCTTTCTTTTTTTTTCTGTTATTCCACTTTAGTATATGAGAGATACTTAGAGATGTCATATAAAAAAAAAAAAACTGAACAGGCTAGTGGTTAAGAGCATGGATTCAGGGGTTAAAATACCTGGGTTTAAAACCTGACTGACTCCAATTAGCTGATCTTGAGCAAGTGAGTTAACTTCTTATGGCCTCAATTTCCTCATCTGTAAATTGTACATAGCTCATAGGTCATTTTAATGATGTTATATGTAAGATAATATACTAAGAGTGCTTGTATCCCAACGTCTAGGCTATACTCCACATCACTTAAATCAAAATGATTGAGAGTAGAGTTCGGGTAATTTTAAGTCTTCCCAGGTAATTCCAATGTGTAGCCAAGTTTGAGAACCAGTTTTTGAAAACAAGTACTATAGGAAATTTCCTATAATAAAAAGGAGATAAAACCGATGAAGCAGAATTTTTGTCTTCTGGTGGTTGGCACATCTCAAGTATCCAATAGATACTCCTCTACAAAACTTGCCTTAACAATTTACAAGACCTTCTCCGAATCATTCGTTTTGACCTTTGGTCACATATAACCTTGTTATTTAACAGCTTGGGTTATGTATATCCCTCCACAACATAAATCTCAAGGGAAGGAACATTTATTAGGCACTGTTACCTAGTAAGTACCTTACTTGTAAATTCAGAGCCTCCCAACATGTTGTCTCACCATAAATGAATTGTAAGTATGCCAAGAAATTAATTGCCTCAGCCTTTAAGGCAGCTGTTATACCCTGGCCAGTTGCTTCCAGTAGCACTCTCTTCAGTTTCCCCAGGATACTGTACAAATACTACCATTTTCTAGGTATGCCTTAATATGAAAAAAGTTGGGAAGAAATTACTTACTACTTTGTGATTTAACAATCTCACAGCCATCCTGGAATTAGAAATATATTCTTCATTTTATAAATGTTTTATGTATGTAGATATGTGTCCATTTTGTCATTATAAATTAAGACTTGAGGTTCAGAAAGTTCAGGTAATTTGATCATCATCACAGAGCCAATAAGGGTTGCAAATGGAAGTCAAACCCAGGTCTGTTTAAACCAAAGGCCATTATACTAAAGAGCAAAAATGAGGACTCCACAGTCCTTATGACAGCATGGCAAATATAAATTCTCAGAAAACTAAAAATATAAAATAAATTCAAATACATTTCTGTCACCTAAGTAGGATATATGTCGTAGTACAAGAGGAGATTTTTTTTTTTTTTTTGAGATGGAGTCTCGCTCTGTCCCCAGGTTGGAGTGCAGTGGCACGATCTCGGCTCACTACAAGCTCCTCCTCCCGGGTTCACACCATTCTCCTGCCTCAGCCTCCCAAGTAGCTGGGACTACAGGCACCCACCACCACACTCAGCTAATTTTTTGTATTTTTAGTAGAGACGGAGTTTCACAGTGTTAGCCAGGATGGTTTCAATCTCCTGACCTCGTGATCCTCCCGCCTCGGCCTCCCAAAGTGCTGGGATTACAGGTGTGAGCCACCGCGCCCGGCCAAGATGAGATTTTATGAGCATCATAAGAGATGCAGGACATTCAAAATGGTTTGTATTATTTCACTTAAAGCGCTGATACTTGAACGAAGTACAGTTTATACATATAGCACTTCCATATTATTTAGCATTTTGATCAATGTTCAGTCATTAATTTCAACATATGCTAACTGTCTGGGCATAAAGATACATACATTATTCAAATATCAGTGTTGAACCTTACTTTATTTTTAGAATTCCTTCTATAGCAGTGGTCCCAAAATGGACTGGTTACATCAGAATTATCTGGTAGACTTGTAAAAACACAAGTTACTGGGCTTATCACAGATTAGGAATTCCTAAACAGTAATTCTTAACTAGAAAAACTGTATTTTTACAAATGGATGAGCAGCCAGGTTTGGGAATCTAACTGTACAAAAGACAAATATCCCTTAAACCTGATTTCTAAATCTGAAATGAGTGTTATGCTACTAAAAATGTCCACACTCAATGCAGTAGTTCTCAAACATTAGCATGCAACAGAATCACCTGTAGGGCTTGTTAATACTAATCTCAAAACTCTGGGGGTGGGGCCCAATATTTTGCCTTTCCAAAAGTTCCAAGGTGATGCTGATGTTGCTCGTCGTCCTGGAATCACACTATGAGAACAATTGCTCTAGACTCAAAACTGGGTTTGAAAACTTTTTCTGCAAGTTGCTCAGCTCTGTGTCCTTAGTCAAGTTATTGAACCTCTCTAGTCATCATCTGTAAAATGGGATTATGAATCTCATATATTGTTTTGACAATTGCAATACAGATGCCACAGCAAATAGCACATATTAAGCACTCAGTAAATGTTAGATGTTTAATATTTTGTTAAATGTTGTTATGACAGTTTTCTAGCAAATTTAATTGGCAAGGAACAAATATAAATAACTCAATTTAGAATGTATCTACTTACCTCTTGTCTAATGAAGCCACAGAAACTCCCGTTTGCCACTGCTGTTGTTGGAGACCTCTTTACACCTTTTCTAGTCTTACCACACTGCTTGAGACTATCATGAACACTACTGCCTGGGATAATCATCTCTTCCATACCTTTACTGGTCACGGCCAGAGCTACCTGATCCTCAAAATAACACCCTGGATCATCCATCAGTCCCACCTAGTATTCAGATCCCCCTTACCTGAACTTAATATTTCCAAGCCATCACTGTAGCCCTTTTCATGGGTTCCCTCAGGAGCCCAACTATAAACTAGTAAATCTCTGCTCTCAAAATCAGAGGAAATGGGAGCTCCTGCTCCTGCTGCTTAGCCTAAACGCAAACACATAACCAGTTTTCCTGAAATTCCAAAAGCATTTTCCAATGGAAACACTGTTATAAATGGTGTCTCCTTTCCACCAATAGTACATCCAGGTAATAGGGAATAAATAGGCTTCTGCAGGCTGGCAAAGGCAACCTGGCTCATTTATAAGATTACACAAAAAAAGCCTATTCCAAGTTCCACACAACCTTCTTGTTGATTTCTTTTTCCTTCTTCAAACGTTCATTTAATATCTTTTTGCTGAACCTGCATTTCCTTCTGCCTGGAATTCACTGCTCTCCTTGAAAGTTCCTATCCGCCATTCAAAAACCAACTGAAAGGTCTTCAGTGAAGGTTTTCCTGAGAACTATCACACTTCTGTTAGGCCCCAAATACACATAAAAACCCTCTCCCATCTTCTATGTTCCGCAGCATTTTGGATCTATCTTTTCACTTATCTGTTTCCATCAGGGTTGGGTTTTTTCCTCCCCAACTTTTTATTATGAAAAATTTCAAATATTCGGAAAAGTTGAAAGAACAGTTTGTTAATCATCTATATGCCCACCATTATACTCACAATTGCCAACATTTTGCCATATTTGCTATTTATACACACAGACACATACACACACATACACTTGCTGTACCATTTGAAAGTACTAGATATCAACACACTTCAACTCTAAGTACGTTAGTATGTATCTGCTAAAAATAAGAACACCTTCCTACATAACCACAATTCCTTTTCCACGTGAGAAAATTAATAGTCCATAACATTGTCTATATTGTGGTTGCATGGGAGCTTTTAAAGAATGAGGACCTAATCTATATATTCCCACTACTTAACTTGGTTCATAGCACTTATTTGGGTAATCAACAGATGTTCTACCAATTGTTCAGTTTAATACCCTCACAACAACTACTCTGAAAGTCATATGAATTTAACATTTAAAACAGCAACCTTTGATTTTAAAATTTTCTGCAAATCAGTTTAGTCATTTGCTTTAAATAAACCTGTGCTGCAGTAAGTACAGTATTCTGGGTTCTGCACTACTTAATTCTGCATCACAATGCTCCATAAAGACAGAGATCATGTCTAACTTTTGTCAGACATATAAGTAGGTACACCAAAATTTTTTAAATGAATGGATACTTTCAGACACTGAAAATGTTAGTGAAGAAATTGAAATCGAGGAAGAACAGGACAGGACAATAGAATACAGATTTTGAAGGCAGACAGATCTGGTTTTTAACACAGATTCAAACGTTTACTTATAACAAATGTTTAATAGAGCAAGTTGCTTGACTGTTCAAAGCCTCCATTTCTAACTCTGTAAAATGGTGATAATAATCTAACATACCTCCTGGAATTGTTGAGAGGAATAAATGACAAACTATGTAAAGCACTCGGCACACATAAGACTCAGTTAATGGCAACTATCGTTATTATTTTATCTATCTGAGACAAAAAAATTATCTATTTCATTTAAGAATTCTCAATAGCAAAACAAAATCCTGTCCCAGTGTAGAGCGAGGATTTTACGTGCTAAGGTCAGCTATGCTTCCCACTTCCACAGTTAAGCCTTCCAGCAAGACAACTACTAGCCAAAGGACACCAAGAGTCGCAATCTCCCAGGAAGTGGTCAAGAACCTCGTGAATGAGATCCAGGGATCATCACCCTGGCCCCTTCTTCTTCAAGGCGCAGAAGGCTGCAACGACCTCCAAATGACTAGGTGCGGCAGTGCCCTGCAGCCTCGGTCCCTACTATGAAAAGCTGCAACACATGAGGCTTTTGTTATTTTAAAGTGGGTGTGGGGTTGACAGAGAGAGGGATAAAGACTAAGGCAGAAAATTTTTTAAAAAGCCACCTCTACCCACAGCAGTCCCATAACTCGAGGCTAATCACTTCAGTGGAGCCAGGCACAGCGTGGGGTAGAAGCTCAGCGGTTCCCTTTTAGCTGATCTTCAATTTCTGGCGTCTCGAACCCAAGAAATGAAAAAGGGAAGCCATGGGGGAGCAGGAGGAGAAATCAAGGCGCGAAAGGACCCTCAAAGCTGTACTGTCACTCCACGCCCAGGCTGTCATTCTCTCCAGCACAAGCCCCTCGGTGGAGCATGTGTTTAGGGTCTGCAGAGCACAGGAGACAAAGCAGAAGCCCAGCAGCCGCCTCAACCCTGGCATGATCAGGTTCCGCATCTCCGGTTCTCCTCCGGTTTTGGGCCCTCACCTGCCACGAATGCGGTCGTCACGCGAGCAGTTGTGAGATGGTCAAGCCCATTCAGGTCTAGGTTACCCCCTTTCATCCCGGAGGCAGGGGTGAGGTGTTTGTCAAGAGACTTCAGTTGTAGGCGTGGACGTAGGCTACTTCCTTCAGTAACAGCTATAGGGCCACATAAGGGAACCTCAGGCTACTACACCTCAGGAATCTCCGTCACGCCTCTTCCCCGCCCTCCTCGGGTCTCACGCCGAAACCTCACCGGGCGGAACGATTTCCGGCAAGAGCCAAATGATCAGTCCTAACCTTTCTGACCGTGGTTCCAAGGTTCCCCAAAGGACTGCCCTCTAAAGGACCCGGGTAGTTCCGCTTCCGGCAGCGCGAGATAAATCACGAGAGGAAGCTTAAATCTGTCGTTTGAATTTAGGACCACCTCGGTGAGTGGTCGTTCTGGTGTGCTGTGTCATACCTACTGTTTTTTAAAGTGAGGCGTAACCCGACAGTAATTTCAAAACCATTCGCCTCGACCGGCCTAAGGAAGGGTTTAATTGAGTCTGTGGGGAGATTTTGCGCAAGCGCCTTTGAGATAGGAGGGCCTTGGGCGTTGCGATGTCCCGCGCTAGCTGAGCAGAAAGGGCGAGTGCTGTTTCGGGCCTGGGGAGGTGCCTACTGGGTGTAATTGAGTTTTACCAAACGGTCATTTTCCTGCTGATTCTGAGTGTGGTTGGACCTTGCCCTTAAGATTCCGTTAACGAGTCGCCCAAAGCTTAGGAAATGCTCCCTCACAGCGTTTGAGACTAAGCACTTTTGGCCGGCGTTGAAGAATTCTCCCCATTACTTTGATCAGTCATTTAATCAGAAATTTTGCCCCAAATTTAAATACGTGGCGGGGAGAAACGTGAGGTCAAGAGGGAATCCTGTCACGTAGTTTTAAAAGAAAAATGTCCACTTTATCTCAGTGTAGGTTTTTCTTAAATGGGCATTTCTGAACCAAAGTAGATACTTTTTAAAGTGGAAATGCATTTATCCCATGTGGCTTCATGTGAATGCATATGGCGATGAAGGCATTTTTTTGTTCAATGAATTTGTACTCTGAAGTGAACCAGATTACAGAGAAGTGTATTTAAATTTACAGGTCCTTGACGTTGCATAAAATTGTGCGTGTCCATTTTTTGGAGCTTAAAATAGAATAATTCAAATGTCAGAATTCCGATCCAAGTTAACATGTTGATTGAAAATTGCAGATTTTAAGATGGAACCAGCGGGTATTATAACCTTTTAGGGGCTTAAATTGGTGGCTTTGTTTTTAACCCTTGGTGAAACAGTTAAGTCCTAATCTTGACATAATACCTAACTGCCTTACTTTATTGAACACAAAATTATTAAAGGAATTAAGCAATGAGTTGATTTTATTTGCTTTTATGGAGGGGACAAAGTGTATAAAGCTTAACCAAATGTGACCCTGACATTCCTCTTGCAAAACTACAAGTTGTAATCAATCACTTTCATTTTTTCTTATTCCTACATGTTTAAGTACATTAAGTAATGATTTTAAGAGAAATTCTTGAAAATATGAGCATATCCAAAGAAGTCCCAGGACAGTCTTTCTTTATGTAGTAGAAACCACTTAATCCCCCTTGTAAATGATACCTTTACTTAGCAATCAGAGTATAAGAAGATATTTATATTTGTCTCGAATATTACAGTTTCAAGCCATTTTCTCATATGTATGGGCTTTGAAAAAAAAAAAACAACTTTCATTTACGTTACTTTTGTATATGAATACCAATTATTAGCAGTAAAACTTTTAACTACTTCAAAGGCTATGCTTTTCGTGAACTGAGTTTTCTTTCTTACGCATTTTCTATTTCTCCTTGTCATCTGTCTCTCTACCTCCAGAACCAGCAGTTTGTGAACTGCATTAGACTGTTATATCGTTATAAAAGGATACAATTCGTGAGTCTTCTGATTATTTTCTTCTTAGCACTGAAGCTTTATAAACATTGCTATAAAACATTAACACCATTAATGAAAGGAAAGAGATTTTAAAATATTTTTTCATGTAGGTGAAGATTTTGGGAAAAGAAAGGGTTTTATGTTACTTTAAACAGCCTGATATGGATGATAATACTTAGATATGATAATAATTATACATTACCATATACAAAGGACTTTTAATCATCCTCGTAATTGCAAAAAAGGGATAGATATTATGTCCTTTTCCAAACATAGATACTAAGGCTTAAGTCTATACCTTCTTAGACACAGTTTACTTATAGTGCCATGTATGTGAAAGTGAACTGTAATGTTTTCAAAAGTGAAATAATTTACCTCTGGAATATTTGCTATAATTTTTAATTCTCCTTTCAGGAAATGCAGGTAATTCTTTATTCATTCACAAATAGTTGAGTGTCCACTGTGTTCTGAACATTATGTTAAACAATGTAAACATAAAAAATTAATAAACTCTTTCCATTCCTCATTTATAATCTAAATTATTGATTACAAAAATCACTTTATAATTTGTGTAACAGAGGCCTGAACCAAGTATTATAAAAGCTAAGGATAACAAGTAATTGACTTACTGGTATAGCAGGGGGGAAAAGCGTGAAATTTGAAGTAAGAGACACCAAGTTAAAAGTGTCAGCGCATGTACTCACTTTATTACCTTGAGTAAATTGGACAATCTCTGAACCTCCATTTTCCTACCTGTAAAATGGATATAAAACTAATACCTACTTCATGAAGTACTGTGAGGATTATCATAGTAAAATACTGCATAACTATTTGCAGCTGTAGTCGTGAGTCACTTAGCAATGGAATAAATTCTGAGAAATGCTTTGTTAGGCAGTTTCAGCATTGCACGAATACAGACTCTACCTACATGAACCTAGATGATATGTGTGTGTGTGTGTGTGTATATTTTTTTCTTCATATAGAGAACCAAATGTCCCTGCACATTATTGGGTATCATTTATTTCTCCTACTTGATCTGCAGTGCTAATATCAAATGACCTATATCAGGTTCTATATATGCTCTGCTATCATCTTACGGGACCAATAGGCAGTCCATCCTTGACCAAAACATTCTTATGCAGTGCAATTGCGTTGGCATTGTTTTTAAAATTTTTAATTTTTTAAAATTATTTCCTCTTCCTATACTTTTGGCTTTTCCAGATGTCATATAAACAGAAATATAAAATATATAGCCATTTGTGTCTGGCTTATTTCACTTAGCATAATGATTTTGAGATTTATTCATATTGTTAGGTCTATTTATAGTTTGTTCCTTATCAATCCTTAATAGTATTCCAGTATGTGGATCTACTGTAATTTGTTTATCCATTCACCAGTTGATGAACATTTGTTTTCAGGTTTTGGCTGATATGAATAAAACTTCTAAAAACATACACTTACAGGTTTTTAGGTGTACATATTTTCTTTTGGGTTAGTATCTAAGATTGGTATTGCTGGACCATATGGTAAATTGATGTTTAACTTTATAAGAAATTGCCAAACTGTTTTCCAACATGTTTACATCATTTTCTATTATCACCAGTAAGAGCATCCTTGGTAGTACCTAGCATTGTTAGGTTTTGTTTTATTTTTGTTGTTGTTAGTGTGTAGTCATATCTTATGGTAGTTTTAGTTTACATTTTTTATTATCTATTGATGTTGAGCATTTTTTCATGTGTTTATTTGCTAATCATATCTCTTTAGTGAAGTGTATTTCCAGGTTTTAAATTGGGTTGTTTGCTTTCTTGTTAAGCTTCGAGAGTTCTTTATAAATTCTAGAAAAAGTTATTTATCATATGTATGTATTGCAGATATTTTATCCCAGTGTTATTTCTCTTTTTTTAGCAGTTCTTTAAGGAATAAAAATTTTAATTTTTTCTTTATGCATAGCTGCTTTTTCTTTGCTGTCTGGGAAGCCATTACCCAACCTGAGCTCACAAAGATTTTTGTTGTTGTCTTCGAGAAGTTGTATAGTTTTAAGTTGTACATTTAGATCTGTGAGCCATCATGAATTAATTTTTACATATCATTTGAGGTATGAGTTGAGGTTCATCTTTTTTCAAAGGATGTTTAATTGTTACAGCATTTGTTGAAAAGATTATCCTTTCTTCATTGAATTACCTTGGCACCTTTGTTGAAAATCAGTTTACTATAACTGAGTGGCTATTTCTGTCACTATTCTGTTCGATAGATTTAAGGCTGTCATTTTGCCATTATAACACAGTCTTGATTACCATAGTAGTATAGAAAGTCCTGAAACCAAATAATGTGAAATTCTTCAACTATATTCATTTCTCAAAGTTGTTGTAATTATTCTGAGTCCTTTAGCTTTCCATATCAATTTTAGAATCAGCCTGTCAGTTTCTGCAAAAGAGCTTGAGGGTTCCTGATTGGGACTGCATTGAATCTATAGATCAATTTGGAGAAAATTGGCATTTTGTCCCACTTTTTCTCAGAGGTAGAGTGGGAGTTACTCCAGCTTTCTGCATTCTAGTCAGAAGCCTATATGGGAATGTTTAGTGGCATTTCAGAAAGAAATAATTTTCTTCCATGGTTATATTCACTATAATATCTTTATTGGAAGAGATCACAGGACGAATCCCTCTATTTGTGAATTGGATGTCATCCCCTGCTGCCATCTCAGGACATCATACCATAAGTTTTTTCTCCTTTGTTTTCAGTGGTCTTTCTAGAAGCCCTTCCATTAGCATTAAACTTTTTGGGTTACTCCCTTGTCGAAAGCAAAACAATCTTGTTCAAAAAAAAAATTGTTTTAATTGTAGTAAATCACACATAACATGAAATTTACCATCTTAACCATTTTTAAGTGTGCAGTTCAGTGGCTTTAAGTACATTCACATTTGTTTTACAACTATTACCACCATCCATCCCAAGAACTCTTTTCATTTTGTGTAACTGAAACTCTTGACCAGTTAAATAATAACTCTTACATTCTCTCCTCCTCACCCCCTGTTCTATGCAACCATCATTATTCTTTCTGTCTGTATGTATTTGACTACTCTGACTACCTCATATAGGTGGAATCTTACAGTATTTATCTTTTTGTGACAGGTTCATTTCACTAAGCTTAATGTCCTCAAGATTCATCCATGTGGTAACGTGTGTTAGAATCTCCTTCCCTTTAAAGGTGTGTGAATATATACACCGTATTTTGTTTATCCATTCAGCCATTGATGGACACTTGAGTTGCTTCCATCATTTGGCTGTTGTGGGTGATGTGGCTATGAACATGACTGTCAAAACTTTTAACCCCACTAGAATGTAAACTCAATGAAGGTCAAGAGAATCTACATCTTGTTTATTATCCTGTCTCCAACGTTGTAACTGGCACATAGCAGTTACTCAGTCACATTTTTTAGATCAATGAATGAACCTTATATCTGTCTCTAGCAACTATCTTGTAGCTCCTTGCCTTTATAGCTAAGCCCAAGTTTCTAAATCCACTTTCTGAATTTCCATTCATTCCTTGTGTCATTTCAGTCTGGTTGCCAACTGCCCTGCTATACTGTAACTATACTGTATACTGTTGCCAAAACCACTAGCTACATTATGGTTCTTATATCACTTAGCCTCTCTGTGTACTTCTAAGAAGTCTGTATTTCCCAGACTTCTATTACCAGAACCTCTTCTGGCTTTTTTCCTGTTTCTCTGGCTAGTCTCATGTCCCTAAAGATTTACAATATATTTGGGAGAGAGACATATAAACTAATATATTCAATAGAGTGTTTCAGATTTTATGATAAAGGTTGACACATATTACTGTGAATGTACCAATGAGGGTGTGCACAATTCTCCCTGAGATTGGGGATGTGGTCAGAAAGGATTCATGGATGAATGAACTCATTAATGTGAACGTTGAAAGATAAGGATATGTTCACTGCACTTCCTACTGTGTACACTTTCCATCTGATCCTTCTTCCATTGCCTTAACTTCACCTACTTTTTACATGCCGAGTTCATCCATGAAGAATAGAACCTGCTTAATATTGTCATCTTTCTCCCTAAGCCAGAGCTTCAGACAGAAGTGATCCCAGATTCTTCTTTGTGTTTACTCCACACATCTAGTCAGTTACAGTTCTTATATAATGTATCTATCCATTTATACTGACACTGCTTTGGCTCAGAATTTCCTCATTTCTTGCTTTAATTATACAGTAGCTTCCTAGCTGACTGGTACAGGTATTCCTGTCTCTACCCCAATCTCTATTCCATATTGGTGCACAATACACTTTATAGAATAGAAATCTAATCTTGTAACTCCAACTCATTCTTAAAATTTTAAGTTATTCCAGGTTGGAGTGGTTAGAAGACACTCTGCAGGAAATTACACCTAGCCAGAGTTTTGAAATATGATGAGGGGCTGGAGAAATAGCAATAAAAGTTCATTCCAGGCAAAAATATCAATGAAAAGGTGTGAGCACACTGCATGGGATGGTTGAAGAACTGTGGTTATGTTTTGAATTGAGAATGCCAAGAGAAAAAGATGGAGAGATTGATAAAAACCATATCTTATAAAGCCTTGTATACTGGCAGAGGTATTTAGATATCATTAGTGCCATGGTCTTAATGGTTGTATTCTCCCAAAATTCATATGTTGAAATCCTAACCACCAAGGTGATGGTATTAAGAGGTTGGACCTTGGGGCTGGGCGCGGTGGCTCACACCTGTAAGCCCAGCACTTTGGGAGGCTAAGGTGGGTGGATCACTTGAGGTCAGGAGTTCGAGACCAGCCTGGCCAACATCGTGAAACCTCATCTCTACTAAAAATATAAAAATTAGCTGGGCATGGTGGCATGCACCCGTAGTCCCAGTTACTCGAGAGGCTGAGGAACAAAATTTGCTTGAGCCTGGGAGGCAGAGGTTGCAGTAAGCTGAGATCATGCCACTGCACTCCAGCCTGGGCGACAGAGCGCAACTCTGTCTCAAAAAAAAAAAAAAAAAAGAGGTGGAACTTTGAGGAGGTGACTTGATCATAGGTCAGAGCTCTCATTAATGGGATTAGTGCCTGTATTTTAAAGAGTCTGAGAGAAACCCCTTTCCCCTTCCCTCATGTGAAGTTACAGTGAGAAGACAGCTGCCTATAAGAAAGTGAACCCTCAGTAGACACTAAATTTGCTGGCATCTTGATCTTGTATTTCCTAGCCTCCAGAACTGTGAGAAAGAAATTTCTGTTTATAAGCCATCCAGTTTATGGTATATTTGTTATAGCCGCCCAAGTGGACTAAAACAATCAGGAATGGCAAAAGATGTATTTCGAGTTAAGTGAATATTTTGATAAGATTTGTGTTTTAGTGTGACCTCTGTGACTGCAGTGAGGACAGGGACCATATTAGAGACAGAGGAGGCAAGGTCAGATAGAAGGTGAGTGTGAGCTAAGGCAGTGGCAATGGAATAAAGTTCAAGGTTCTACCTCATCTACAATCAGTGCTTTTCCTCCTTTTCCAGGTGAATCTGGGTCTCTACACATCTGTTTTGATAGTACTCTTTGCATACATCTGTTAAAACACCACTCTAAACTGTATAAATGCTGATTTCCTCCTCTTTTCCTCTCATTTATACCATAAGCTCCGTGAGGACAGGGATTTCATTTTATTTAACTTTGTATTAGTATCATCTAGTATATATAAGGGTTTAAGAGCTCAGTAACTGAATGAGCAAATTCAAGGTTATATGGATGAACAGGCAAAAAACTATTAAAAAGGGTAAAGCATGGAAGTTCTACAGTAGGCACAAAGAAGATTAGGAGAGGTCAAGATCACTTTAGATTCAGAGATCATGGAACACTTGCTTCATTGAGATGCTAGAGCTTGATTTTGAAAGATGGGTAAGGCTTAATCAGGTGGAAGGATATACCATTTAGGGGAAAATGATGTAAACCAAGGTATAGAGAATGGTTGGGGATATGGCCATGGGTATAGAAAGGAAAGTAGTGAGAGAAGAAGCTGTATTATGTTCTGCCAGGTTGTAGAGGGTAGGCTAAATAGTCTAGACCTTAGCCACTAAGTGGAAGATAATGCCCAGAGGCAGTCTCATGGTGTCCACTCTGTCAAGTAAATCATTTGTAAGATAAAAATATGCTAGGGATAGTCTAAATTAAAGTTTCAAGGTGACTATGTCAAATAACTACACCTTTAAGTCTTAGTTCTGTTGAGCCAAGACAACTCACCCATATAAAAATGAAAATAATACACTTGTGAAAGCATTTGTGAAATATGAAAATCTGTAGGAAATAGATGGTTTTTATGTCTTCTCCCAATGATGTTTATGTCCCTCTCCCTAACATAGATATATGTTAGTCTTCTCCCACTACTTTGATGAGAAAAAAACAAACCAAAAACCTTAAAGAGCTCAGTCTCCAAAGATTTTTGTAGTGCTTTCCTTTTCTCCTTGTCCCTTGTACTATAGGTTTACTCTGAGGAGAGCAAATTTCTCTATTTCGATCTACTTTCAATTATTCAAAAGTTAAAGATTTCAAAGCAGAGAAGTTAATTTCAGTAAATAGACCTTTTCTGAGAAGTTTTTGTATATTTATTATAAATAGGAAAACCAACAGTGTCCTAATGGCACGTTAACTTAATATACTGAAGACTTCATCTTACATTAGATAGAAAAATTTTCTGGTCTCTCCAGGAGGTAAATGGGTAGGGGGAGGAAGACAAGAGATGGTAGGAACTTGGAACCAAGAGGTTTTTAAATATAAAAGCAAAATACGGAAGCTACTGTGGATTATGCAGACTCACATTTTTTTTCCAATGGCTGGTTTGTTTTCTACCAGTTCTGGTTACCCACATCCCTCTGTGTTTTGGGGCCTGTACTTCCTCTAAGGTGTGAGAGTTTGGTCTTTTCCTTCTGTGGGCTTTTACAGGCCTGAAAAAGCTCCTCCCCTTTTCTTTTTAAGGTCCTTCAGGAGTTTTTGCAACCTTTACTGGTCTCTAAAAGGAAGGAAATACACAATTTTTATCTTCCTTTTATAAACCTCGTCTTCCTACAGATACCATCCTCCCAACTGGCTAGTATGGGATATTTCTAGATTTTCCTTTGGATTGCTTAGACGATTTGTGACATTGATAGTTCCAAAAACTATTAAGGGAAAACTATAACAGGAGGTTATATGTAGTATATTATTAATTTTACAGTATGTATAGTCTATATATTGATTTCATCTAAACTGAGAAGGGACAGGTTTCTGTCCCTTAGACTTGAAAGAATGTGTTATCATTGTAGTATAGAGATGAAAATAGAGGACACAAAGAAAAAATGATTTTGGTTTCTTTTTTTTTTAAGAGTTGAGGACGATTAATGCAGAGCTAGAATGATAGGCAGGCAAATGGATGGGTAGACAAACAGGTTCTATATTCCCAACTTGAAACGACACAAGGCTTCATGAATTGAAAATTGATTAGGAAGTAAAAGTTTGCCATGGAGTCCTGGCAGAGGAGAGAGTGTAGTGAGGATGACATGGAAAGTAAAGGCATCAGGAGGTCTTATGTGGCAGATTGGAGGGCAGTAGGGTGCCACTAGTGTTTCACCACAGATGGTTTGAAAAGCACTGACCTGGAGCGACATGAAACTTGGTAACAATAGAAGTGGCTACAGGACCAGAACAGAGTATACGCATGGTAAAACTTCTTGATACCTTTACTGTTTCCATTTAGTGGCTATTATGACTATAAAATATCTATGAACATTTTTGTACACATATTTTGATAGTCATAGACTAATTTCACTGGAATATAAAATTAGAATTGCCAAACCTTTAGGGTAAATTTGTGCTCAGCTTTAGAAGAAACTCAGTTTTCCTAGGTGGTTGCAACATTTTATCCTCCCACAATGTATGAGAGTTCCAGTTGCTGCCTGTCTTCACCAACACTTGGTGTTGTCTTTGGTTTTTAATTTTAGCCTGTTCAGTAGTGTGTAATTCTAAGTCATCGTGGTTTTATTTGCATTGCCCTGTGGAATAATGATGTTGAGCACATTTTCACGTGCTTATTGACCATTGGATATTCTCTTTTATGAAGTGCTGTGTAGAAATTTCCCCCCATTTTTTGAATTGGGTTTTTGTCCTTTTCTTTTTGATTTTTAGAAGTTCCTTGCATACACTGGGTCTGAGTCCTTTGTTAGATATATGTATTACAGATATCTTCTCCCAATGCGTGTCCTATGTTTTCACTTTCTTAATGGTGTCTTTCATGAATACACATTTTTACTTTGATAAAGCCCTATTGTTAATTTTTTTTTCTTTTAAGGATAGTGTTTTTTTTTTGTGTCTTATTTAAGAAATCTTTGCTTAGCCTAAGATTTGAAAGATCTTTTCCTATGTTTTCTTCCAGAATCATTGTTATTTATCTTTCACATTTAAGTTTATGATTTATCTGGAATTAATTTTTGTGTAAGATGTGAGGTAGGTAGTTAAGGTTCATTTTTTCCCCTAATACAGTTATCTAATTGTCCAACATTATTTATTGAAAAGACCACCTCTTTCCTCATTGTGTTGATATCTTCATTGTAAACGTATTGACTTTACATGTGTGGATGTAATTCTGTACTCCTTGTTCAATTACAGTGATGTATTTGTCTGTCCTTATGCCAATTGGCTTGTCTTATTTACTTTATTTGTATAAAAAGTCTTAAATCTCATCCATTCATCTTTGAGATGATTCAGAAACTGTGATAGGCTGCATTTGTTTGGTTTGGGATGCAGCCATCTATTAGAAGATGAAAAAAATCATGTATTTAATAATCAATTGGAAGTGAATTAAACTTAGAACAAACTGATTGTCTTATAATACTTTATAGAGATAATTAACCTGTTTTTTAGGTTATGATGGGACTGTGTTAACATTTCAGAACCTTTTCTTTTAAATTGACATATACTTTATGTTAACCTAAGGTAAGAAATGTACTGTTACTCTCTCTGGAAGTTAAAAGTAGATCAGAAAGACGGTTTTACATTTGCAAAGAGCTGTGTCATAGGGAAAGTGAATTGGTAAGCTGTTTAAGCCATGACAATAGGCACAGTCTGTTTCTGCTTTGTTCCAGCATTCTCTTTCCAGTAAATACTCTTAGTCTCATCCCTAGATCTTCCAGTGGTCAGTAAACATCTTTTTTTAAATGTAATTTCAAAATTGTAAGATTTATGTCAGAATCCTAGCAGGAAACAGAAGACATTCTGGTGGGATTTTAAAGAAAATTTAATGGAGCTCCTTTCTATAGACAGACAGTAGCAAAGTAAACAACATGGCACCTGGAGACTAGCAAAAGCAAAAATAGTTACCACCTTAGGGCTGAGGTGACAAGAAGAAGAAATAACCATGAATATATTTAGAAATAATATAAAGCTATATTTCTTCTCTTATAACTTATTTATTTAAATGTCACATGACAGGATCCTCCTGTGTTACCATCCTGTGAATGTAACATTTCAGTTGATAGCAATGAAATTTTAAGCAAAACTTTTTGAAGTGTACTGGTTCATTTCCTTTTTTCTCAGTATGTGGAAAATTTTCAGCATTTCTTATCAAATGGAAAGAGACAAGATAATTTGTCATGGGGTATATCAAAAATAGCATTTGAGTATTTTTGTTCATATACATCGCTGTTCCTTTCCTGTACTGCAATTATCTCCCTCACAAATAAATTCTGGGAATTCTCGGTTCATATGTAAATAGAAATATGACAGAAGTCTTAACTGAAATAGCAATTCAGTTAGCTTAAAATTTAAGTTATCTTTTTAAATACCTTTTACCTAGGTTCACAATGGTCCGTAGTGGAAAAAATGGTGACCTTCATCTTAAACAGATTGCATATTACAAACGAACTGGTGAATATCATTCAACTACACTGCCAAGTGAGAGAAGTGGCATAAGAAGAGCAGCAAAAAAATTTGTCTTCAAAGGTAAAATTAATGTTCAAATTTTGATTATTGAGTTGTAGATTCTTCCCCACATTCTTCCTTGTGGAAGTTTGGGAATTTCTGTAGTAGTTGGTTGTTGCTAAACAATTACCAGTTGAATTGATGATGCCACTCAATCAAAAGCAAAATAAAAATTACACTCAAGCTAACTGAAGGCCAATAAGCGTGAAAAGGGTTGTTTAAATTATAGACAGAATATGATACCATGAAAGAAAACAAAACATTTTTCTAAATTAACAACTTCTGCTTTTACCCTCTCGTGGTCTCTAATGGTGCACTTTCCAGCACTGTTGCCAATTTCAATGAGGAACTTTTTTGATGCTTAATATGAAAATGTTGACAAAGTTAACTGGTTTGTTTACTAAAATGAAAACTGGAAGGAATTAACTATATTTCTGTGATCATGTCCCCTTGAACCCCACCACTGCCATTAAATATTCTCAGGATCACATTCATTTTAGGACCCTTGGATCTTCCTGAATGGATTAAATATTTGAAAGGCAGTGGGATATTTATCTTGGAAGGTCATGATAATTTTTGCCTCTTTTTCCCCTTATAAAGGGGAAGAGAAGTTTGGGATGAGATAAACAACAAGTAGTCACCAGATAATTGAATGAATGTTTGTGTTACAAATGGGAATTTTGCCTCTTAGGCTTACCCCAAAACAGGTTAATAAAACTCTAGGATAATAAATAAATGTCTGCTTGCATCTCCCTGTGTATATCCCTACCAATAACTCCCTTATACTTAAGATTAGGCAGACCTATTACCTCTTAAACTAAAGTGAGGATTCTTTCATTCATATATTTGATAATTTATGTAACAAATGTTAACTGGGTTTCTGCTGTGTGCCAGTCACATTCTAAGCCTTGGAGATACATTGATGAATAACATAGATAAGGTTCCTGCTCTTAGGTTGCTTATCTTCTAATTCTAAAAAATAAGGAGTGTTCCACTCATCAGTTGGCTTACTCATATTAGTAGCTGAATGGTGTATTTTGGAGTTTGAATTGCTAGCCCATTCACATTGGAAAGGTAGATGGTGATTCGCTTCATACCCTGGTTACTTCCTAGCTGCAGATTCTTCTCAGGTGTCCTCCTAAGGAAACAGAGAATTGTCTTGAGGATTACAGTTTTTTCCACTTGCCCGCTTCACCATCCCTACCTTCTCAAATATAGAAGAAGCTGAGAGAGCTGTTTGCTTGCAAAAATACAGTGATGATAAAACATTATTTTAGAAAATTCTGTTCCAGGAAGTTGTTTTTCTGTACATAATTTATTTGCTAATCTATGCCATTTTTAGGAGGTGCCTGCAAAATCTTCCTACTTTGAGTACTCCCAGAGAGAGATAATTTCATATTTCCGTACTTATTACGTGCTTTGGTGAACAAGCTTGCTCTACTTATATTGATAGCTACAGAATTATAGCAGCTACTGCCCTTCCTAAGTATCTAGTAAGTGTAACAGCTAAGAACCTTTGTGTTGTAGCATCATTAAAAATAAATATTCTGTTTTAAATGCAGTAAGATTTTACAAAACAAAACAAAAACCTTCATGGTTTAAAGAGAAGGCTATGATTCTCTTAAAACTACGTAGATCTCTAAAAATTGCAATTCTATCTTTTGGTATCATTTATTCCAGAAAAAAAGCTGTTTTATGTTGGAAAAGACAGAAAACAAAATCGTTTGGTAATTGTTTCAGAAGAGGAAAAAAAGAAAGTCTTAAGAGAATGCCATGAAAATGACAGTGGAGCTCATCATGGTATATCCAGGACCCTCACTCTGGTAGAATCCAATTATTATTGGACATCTGTGACCAATGATGTCAAACAGTGGGTATGGCTTATGTATTTAGAGTATTATGAATAATGTCTTTCTGATAGATACTTAAAATTTATTATTTCTCCAGATTTATTCTGGGTATCACCTCTCATTAAGTATTTTTGGCAATCACTTAAAGGGAGTTGTATTTCCCTTCACAGTTATTTTAAATCACTTAAGTATAATTTGAACAGGAAAGAAGCATTATTTAAACACTTGAAAATACCATATTTAAATAAGAGATTATTTAAAAAATCAGATTTGTATCATTGAACTTTTTTGTGTAGGCAGAATTTAAATGGAGCTGGAATTCATTTGACTAAATCATTACTTCTTCAATGGCAGTCATACAAGGTTTTCTTAAGGGGAGAATATGTTCATAGTAAGTCAAGCCCAGTATGTGCTCTTATCTTTTGTGCCTGTTCCATTTTGAGGTAGAATGTCATACATGACAGAAACCCAAAACCAAATATAACCAAAATCAAATTTTGAGGATAATGAAATAAGTCTGAGTTTTGTAACTTTATGACCCATTGGGACCTTCAACTTCTAGTAGAAAATTCACCTATAGGAATTTTGGGGTTCTTGCTGGAAGTCAGCTGATTCTACTCTTTCCAGTGTACTGTATGTCAAATGGTAGGAATTCCTTGGTATATCTGTGAGATCTCCTTAATAATTGTAGTAGTACATCAAAAAGAGTGGCATTTCAAGCATAAAGAATTAAACCAAAATTTCATAAGTATAATTTGTGAGTTATCAGTTTGTGGGTCTATTCAGGTATTCCAAAGACCTTCATAATTTATATATTTTTCCTGCTGTGCATTTTTTACAAACATTCAGTGAAATCTTTGTCAAATTGTTATCACTGGAGAATGAATATGATTTTTGGAAATAATCAGAAGTTATTTGTGATAAAATCCAACAAATAAGTTTAAATTGGAAAGTGAAAATTTTGATCAAAAGTAACTGTGACTATAATGGGATTAAATGGCTTTTAAATTTTTCTTCAGAAGCTAGTTTGAAAGTAGTTTCTAGAGTGGAATTCCAGAGATACATTGAGAAATGGCACCCATCCATAAATTGATCAGTTGATCTTGTCTCACCTCACTCAAATGAAAGCTGCAGGACAGCATGGGTTTTGTGTATGTTTATTCTTTTCCCACGATTGAGAGAAATTGCTCCATCTATACATTTTATATGAATGAAATTATATTTCAATAAATATGGTTGGAATAGATTAATGAATAAGCTTCTTAATGTGATAACTTTAGAAGGAAACATTTTATGTATATAGAAATTATTGTAAATTTACATACTGATTTAATAGGAAACTTAAGATCTTTTTAAGTATTTAATAAATATTTATTGAATGTGAACCAGATTTATGTTCCATGTGAATAAGACCCAATAAGATGGTCATTTGGTAGTATAGTCTTCCCTCAGTATATGCAAGGGATTGGTTCCAGCACCACACTCCTGTCACCAAATCTACTCATACCGAAGTCCTGCAGTCAGCCCTGTGAAACTCACATATACAAGAAGTCAGCTTTCTGTATACTTGAGTTTCTCATCCCTCCCTATCAATAGAGTACTTTTTATTTGTGTTTAGTTAAAAAAAAAAAGCCATGTATAAGCTGACCTTCACAGTCCAAACCCATGTTGTTTGAGGGTCAGCTGTAGTGGCTACTACAGTTGTTTGTTGTTGTTTTATTTGTTTGTTATTCTAAATAGGTTTAATCCAGTGATTCTCAGTCCAGAAGTTTCTCCTTCAAAACACAAAGTATACCTATTAACCATTTTAAAATTCAGATTTATAAGACTGCTTTTATATTGTGTTGAGTGTTAACATTTGTATGTGTTTTCTTTATTGTGTGCCTGTTGTAGGTATATGCTTGTCAGCATTGCCAAGTGGCAAAAAATACAGTTATTGTAGCACCGAAACAGCACCTTCTCAAGGTGGAAAATCCATGGAGTTTAGTTACTGTTGATCTGATGGGGCCTTTTCATACAAGCAACAGAAGTCATGTATATGCTATAATCATGACAGATTTGTTCACCAAATGGATTGTGATTTTGCCTCTATGTGATGTTTCAGCATCAGAAGTTTCTAAAGCTATTATCAATATATTTTTCTTATATGGACCTCCTCAGAAAATAATAATGGACCAAAGAGATGAATTCATTCAACAGGTAAGACAAATAAACTACTTAGGTCTGGGAGCATATCTTACTTCTTTTCAGTGTCCAGAACCAGTGCCCTCTGCATTATATTACAGAGTGCTTAATAAGTTCAGATAAATTTCTGTAGGTATAGAGGTATGATATTAAATACTACAAGGATAGTTGTACTGGAAATTAGGAGATTAGGATTTTAATACTTACTGTGGGTTATTGTAAACCTATCTTCAGATATCCTCAAATTAAAATGAGGAGGTTGGACCAAATAATCTTTATTTACTTCTAGATTAAAAACCCATGATTGGTTGGGCCTGGCTCATGCCTATAATCCCAACAGTTTAGGAGGCTGAGGTGGGTGGATCACTTGAGCTCAGGAGTTCGAGACCACCTGGGCAATAGGGCGAAACTCCATCTCTACAAAAAATACAAAATTTAACTGGGCATGGTGGTGGGCGCCTGTAATCACAGCTACTCGGGAGGCTGTGGCAGGAGAATCACTTGAACCTGGGAGGTAGAGGTTGCAGTGAGCCAAGATTGCACCACTGCACTCCAGCCTGAGCGACAGAGCGAGACTCCATCTCGAAAAGAAAAAAAAATTAGCCAGGTGTGGTGGCACACACCTGTGGTCCCAGCTACTCGGGAGGTTGAGATAGGAGGATCACTTGAGCCCGGGAGGCGGAGGTTACAATGAACTGAGATTGTGCCACTGCACTTCAATCTGGGCAACAGAGTGAGACCTTGTCTCAAAAAATAACAATAATAATAATAACACTATGATTGACAGGTAAAGGGAGACTTAAATAAATGGAAGAATACATTTTCTTCATGAATAAGAATAGTCAGTATTGAAAGGTACTTTCTCCCTTGCTCTGGCCTTTTCCCAGTTAAAATTAACCTGAAAGGATAAGCAGGGGAGAATATATATGAAAACTTTTTATAAGAAATACAACAACTGCTAGACTTAAGGCATATGTTAAAACTTTTTGTAATTGACAGGGTATATGTTTAAGAAAAATCAGAGATAGCCAGACTTGGTTGAAAGCATCTTTGATGGCTCAGTCCAAAAGAAATACCTAAAGTTAATATGTATTAACTAGTAGATAGGACATGTGCCATGGCACCCCAGGATTATTCCCAGTTTCCATAATTCTCTAGGAGGACTCAGCATATAGTCATACTCATGGCTAAGATTTATTCAGCAAAGAGAAAAGACACATTGGGAGAACCAGGTACAAGTTTCCAAGATCTCCTTCCCCAGTGGAGTTACACAGGACGTGTTTAATTCCTTTAGCAGAGTTGTGACAACATAAGGAAGCTCACTAGAGTCTCAGTGCCTAGGGTTTTTACTGGGCGCTGGTCACATAAGCACCTTCTACCTGGCATGTACAAAAATTCCAGACTCTCAGAAGGAAAGATTGTGTTTGGTCTTATAACCAAAATCTAAGCTCCTAGACATTAGCCAAGGTCCAACCTTGTAAGCATGCCTTTCAAAGAACAGCAGTCACAGATCTGCTTTGTTAATATGTTAAAATTAACTGTCAGGTTAACTCTTTTCTTCACAGGTCCATCCAAACAACTTAATAAGTATTTATGTTCTAACCACTTAGTAGCAATTTAAAATACTCATAAATTGAAAGAAAATATATTTTTGTTCCATTCTTTTCTTTTTTTTTGAGACGGGGTCTCATTCTGTCACCCAGCCTGGAGTGCTGTGGCACCGTCTTGGCTCACTGCAACCTCCACTTTCCAGGCTCAAGTGATACCCCCACCTTAGCCTTCTGGCTAATTTTTGTACCTTTTTTCTTTTAGAGACAGGTTTCACCATGTTGCCCAGGCTGGTTTTGAACTCCTGAACTCACATGATCCACCTGCCTCGACCTCCCAGAGTGCTGGAATTACTGGCGTGAGCTACCGCACCCAGCCCTTTCATTTCATTCTTAACCATAATTACTTGCTAATGGGTAATGTGTACCTGTTGACCACTGCTTAACTTCTCAGACCTTGGGATCATATTGTACACTGCCACCCTCATTTCCTGTTTCACACTGATTTTTACATAGTAACTGCTTTTTATCACAGCATTCGATGAAGAAAACAGTTCTGTAAAGATATGATGTCATCAAACAAATTGTAACCTGATCTAATGTTGAAACTGAACTACCTTAAACTGGTAGTTTTCATGGTGTCAAACAGATGTTAAGGGGGCAACTTGGCACAAAGTTTGGTAACAATGGTTTAAATGATAAAGCTAGTGTCACAAATGTGTCTAGTAGAGGAGGATCATGTAATTAATTAACAGGTAACAATTTGCTAATTGTTTAAAATTATATCTGTAATATGATTTTAGAATCCAATACCAAAAGTATTTTCAGGTAAATTAAAAGAATTTTAATTTTTAAAGTAGAAACAGAAAAAAATATATTTGACATTTAATCTCTAGAAATGGAGGTCACATTCTAAACCTAGGAATAGTGGTATAAACTTCAATGGAAAAACATTAAATTTGGCTGCATAATAATAGGAGATTTATGTGGTAAAGTAATCAACATATAAAAGCCAATCTTGCAAATAAAGCAAGATAATTTTGTAAATGAAGGCAAGGTAGTCTTGCCTGCCTTGATTGACATAGCAGTGGTCTGAGCAATGGAGTACGTAAAGGCCATCCAGTTTGGGGGAAGGCTATTGGAACTTCTATTTATATTTTTTAAATCCCAAAAATAAGAAATGAAGCTTTATTAATAATGTATACGATTGATAATAGCATTCTGACTCAATCAACAAGACATGTATGTCACACATGCTATGTGAAGGTATCCTGAAAGAAAAGTGAGAATCCACATGTTTCCTCACCCATACTTTTGCTTTCAGCAGTTGAATGAAAGTATGGATATCATCTAGCATTCACCACACTACTCACAAAATGGCCAGGGAGCTTAGATTTTTGCAGTGAAAGCAGATAATACTAAAAGGCAAACACCCATCATCAACCACAAGAAAGTGATAGCGCCGGCACGTCTATTTAACTTCCAGCTCTTTGTTAGACACATCAATGAGATGAATACAAATATTAACTACAATAGTCCCCATTTATCTGCAGTTTTACTTTCTGAGGTTTCAGTTCCTATAGTCAACTGCAGTCCAAACATATTAAATACAAAATTTCAGAAATAAATGATTTAAAAGTTTTTTAATTGCACACCATTCTGCGTATAGTGATAAAATCTCATGCTGTCCTGCTCTGTCCAACTGGGACGTGAATCATCTCTTTGTCTAGCATATCTTCATTGTATATGCTACTCTCTCCCCATCATTAGTCACTTCATAGCTGTCTTGGTTATCAGATCAAATGTAGTGGTTAGTAGTGTGTATCCAAGTTACCCTTATTTTATTTAAGAATGCCCCCAAAGTGCAAGAGTAGTGATGTTGGCATATTGTTAATCGTCCTATTTTATTTTTAGTTGTTAACCTCTTACTGTGCCTAATTTAAAAATTAATCTCTATCATAGGTATGTATGTATAGGGGAAAACATAGTATAAATAGGGTTAGGTACTACCTGCAGTATCAAACATTCACTAGGGGCCTTGAAACATATTCTCTGAAGGTAAAGGGAGACTATAGTTATCAGATCTGATAGGAAATTAGGCATCAAAATTCAAAATTATCAAGAATACTCTTTGAAATATCAGTTCACTTCCACTTTTATTGATGGAGAGCCTTACCCTAAGTGCATATAATGTTTCAAGGTATTTGCTAATGATAATATGAAGCCATTATGATTAGCTAGCAGTTTTTCCAGTCGTGTTTAAAGTCATTTGATAACCAAACCAGGACTTTGAAAATTTTTCTAAAGGTAACAATAGGGCCAAGCATGGTGGCTCATACCTCAGCTTTTTGGGAGGCTGAGGTGAGAGGATAACTTGAGACCAGGAGTTCAAGACCAGCCCATGCAATACAACAAGACTCCGTCTCTACAAAAAAAAAAAAAATTTTTAATTAACTGGACGTGGTGTTGCACACTCATAGTCCCAGCAACTCAGGAGGCTAACGTGTAAGGATTGCTTAAGCCCAGGAGGTGAAGGCTGTAGTGAGCTATGGTTGCACCACTGCATTCCAGTTTGGGCAACAGTGAGACCCTGTCTCAAAAAAATAATAATAATAATAATAATAGGCTGTGCTCAGTGGCTCATGCCTGTTGTAATCCTACCAGCCAGATTGCTTGAGCCTAGGAGATCGAGACTAGCCTAAGCAACATGGTGAAATGCCATCTCTACAAAAAATGCAACAATTAGCCAGGAGTGGTAGGGCACACCTGTAGTCCAGCTACTTGGGAGGCTGAGATGGGAAGATCGCTTGAGCCCAGGAGGTTGAGATTGCAGTGAGCCAAGATCATGCACTCTAGCCTGGGTAACAGACTGAGACCCTGTCTCAAAAAAAAAAAATAAAAAATAAAGGGTAACAATAAATATTTGCAGGCCTATTTTGTGAGATTGCTTAAACAAAAAACCAAAAAAGCGACATATGATTGGGAAAACTTGTTCTTTTTGCTGTGATTAAAATGGCTTCACTATTACACAGAAAGCATAACGATGACAGTACAAAATGAACTCTTTTGTCAGCAAATACTGATGCAGAAAACACTGCTAAATATTATAACATAATACACAATGTGGGAGGTTTATTGTATAGTTGAATAAAAATACAGATGTTTCTAATGGCTTAGCTTAGAGTATTTGCTAAATTGTTCCAATAAAATGCACAAAGAACTTTTTGTAAACCTCTGAAGGAAAGAGAACAAACATATTCAGTAGGAAAATTAATTTTTTTAAATGTCTTACAGAAAACTAAAATTGTAAGAACTGACGGAATATCTGGTTTGATGGTTGGGGGGCTGACAGAGTAAGGATGTCAAGATACCATTTCACAAATGGATTCCCTGGATCATTCCTAGGCAAGCTTTTGAAACAAAGAAGTTAAAGCCTTTTTCAAGGGTCATTTCAAACCATTAATCAAGACTCAGATTGAAGCTGACCCAAATGACACCTATTCTTTGGGATTTCTTTCTAATTTTGAATTAAAAATAGTCACCCTGAATTAGTATGTATATCAGCTAGGAAGTGTATTCAATCCAAGTAACAGACTTCCTTTCCCTATCTCAATATATTAATATATATTGTATATATATTATCCCAATATATATTGGGAGTGATTGAGAGTCACTCCTATTGTATTCACAACGTGGCTGCTGGAGCACATGCCACAATGCCTACATTTCAGTCAGAAAGAAGGGAGAGAGTGTTGGGCAAACAAAGCTAGTACCAGCTGAGTTTGCCTAACAACTTTTACTTACAACTTTTTGGCTAGAATTATGTCACATGACCACCCCTACCTGCAAGGGAGTTTGGGAAATGTAGTTTTCTTTTTATTGCTTTCCCCTCTTGTATTAACTTTGCCTATTTAGTTATTCTGATACTACTCGTCTGAAATATTCTTTTTTAAAAAGACAAATTTATGAGCCAAAGGTTTACTCAACTAAAAATAATAAGGAAAAAAAAAGTCTGAAAGGTGAGGTAGGAAAAAAATATTATTTTATATTTAATGGGTTTACTGTTAAAAGTTTTGTAAACTCATTTTAAGTGCTACACATAATATAGTAACACCAATAATAGTAGTTATAAGTTAAAAGTTATAAAATGCTTATTGCCAATAACTGTTTTACATGCTTTTTAAACATTAACTTATGACCTAGTGGGTTGTTTTTGAGACACTGTCTACTGAATTAAAAAGTTACTTGAGGGCCGGGTACAGTGGCTCATGCCTGTAATCTCAAAACTTTGAAAGACTGAGGTGCATGGATTGCTTGAGTCCAGGAGTTTGAGACCAGCCTGGGCAACATGGTGAAACTCCATCTGTACAAAATATTTAAAAATTAGGTGGGCATGGTGACACATGCCTGTAGTCCAAGCTGCTAGGCAGGCTGAGGTGAGAGGATCGCTTGAACCCAGGTAGTGCAGGCTGCCCTCCAGCCTGTGCGACAGAGCAAGACCCTGTCTCCCACCGCCCCCCACCAAAAAAAAGAAAAAAATTAAACTCAAAGTTAACGTTAAGTTCTGTTCTTCCATTTCCTTGTTGTATGTGTGTATTTGGCAAGGCACTTAATCTCTCAAAGCTTCAGTATCTTACCTTTAAAATGAAATTAATAATACCTCAAAAACTTGTAAGGTTTAATGACAATAATGTAAAGTGTCTAGTGTGATGGGACCAGTGTGTAGTAAAGACTCAATAAATGGCAATCACTATTTTATACATAAAATTTTACATATTTTATGTATGTGTTCATATAGAATGTTATGGTCAATAAAAAAGCAAGATTCAGCCAGGCGCAGTGGCTCATGCCTGTAATCCCAGCACTTTGGGAGGCCAAGGCAGGTGGATCACAAGGTCAGGAGTTCAAGACTAGCCTGGCCAATATGGTGAAACCCCGTCTCTACTAGAAATACGAAAATTAGCCGGGTGTGGTGGCGCACACCTGTAGTCCCAGCTACTCAGGAAGCCGAGGCAGAAGAATTGCTTGAACCTGGGAGGCAGAGGTTGCAGTGAGCCGAGATTTTGCCACTGCACTCCAGCCTGGGTGACTGAGCAAGACTCCATCTCAAAAAAATAAATAGATAAATAAAAGGCAAGATTCTAATTCTTTTGAAGCTTTTTTTTAAGTCAATGGAAAAATAAAACACAAATTTTAAAAAGCCACCTTTGTTTTATATATTTTTCAGATCAATATTGAACTGTACAGATTGTTTGGCATAAAGCAAATTGTAATTTCTCACACCTCTGGAACTGTTAACCCAACGGAAAGTACACCTAACACAATCAAAGCATTTCTCTCCAAACACTGTGCTGACCACCCAAACAATTGGGATGATCACCTATCAGCTGTTTCATTTGCCTTCAATGTAACTCACTTGGTATGTGCCTTTTTATAATTCTGTACTTCTGAGTTATGACTATTTCTTGGCCAGATAAATGTTTTATTACAAAATTGACGTTTATTTTCTTTAAAATAGGAACCTACTAAAAATACACCATATTTTCAAATGTTTAGTCGAAATCCTTATATGCCTGAGACTTCAGATAGTCTTCATGAAGTGGATGGTGATAATACAAGTATGTTTGCCAAAATTCTAGATGCAATTAAAGAAGCTGATAAAATAATGGAGAATAAGACAACTTCACTGGGCCAGGTGATTCTATTCAATAGAAAAACTGTAATCTAAAACTTTATAAAAGTTATATTTATTTTTAAAATTTCAGCATATACATGTGTGCATGCACACACACACACATACTTACTTGCCATAATTTTTTATCTATCAGATTTTTCTTGTCTTGATTAAATAGTTGGTTTACTAGCTATGAAATGCTGAGAGGCAATAATGAGAAAGCTATGGATTTTGGAATCAAGTAGAGCTGGATTCAAATCTGTAGTCTTAACTGCTTTTGAGTTGTTTGACTTCGGCAAATTACTTAACCTATCTTAGTTTACCTTCTATATAAAGTAGGAGCTAATAATACTGACTTTGAAATGTTTTAAGAATTAAATAGAATTCATACCTACCTTTTAGTAGCATCTCAAGTACCATTTTGTTACAATATTCTCATTATTTGCATTTACCTTCAAGATATTATAGCTCTTTCATCTCTTTGTTCTTTTTCTTTTTACACTTGTAGATGGAGAACAACAATTTGGATGAACTAAATAAAAGCAAGATCATTGTTAAAAAGAAACCCAAACAATTAAATCCATTTCATTTAAAAGTGGGTCATGAAGTTTTAAGACAAAGGAAAAATTGGTGGAAGGATGGTCGTTTTCAGTCTGAATGGGTTGGTCCTTGTGTCATAGACTATATTACAGAAAGTGGATGTGCTGTCCTGAGAGACAACACTGGGGTTAGACTGAAAAGACCTATCAAAATGTCCCACCTTAAGCCCTACATAAGAGAATCCAGTGAACAAGGTAAATATCTGTCACTTCTCTACATTTTTATTGCTTTAGGTAAGGAGAATAGTTAAAAATAACAGAAACCTTTCTCCCCTCTTTTGTTAGGTTTTCTTTTCCCTTCTTCATAAAATTTGTTACAGTTTTAGCTATCCCAGGTAGTCTGTTTTATTACAGTGTCTCTTCTGGAACTGTCAGGCCTGTGAGATTTTTTTTTTGAGACAGAGTTTCCCTCTTTCTGCCCAAGCTGGAGTGCAATGGCGCGATCTTGGCTCACTGCAACCTCTGCCTCCCGGGTTCAAGCAATTCTGCCTCAGCCTCCCGAGTAGCTGGGACTACAGGTGGATACCACCATGCCCAGCTAATTTTTTGTATTTTTAGTAGAAACGGGGTTTCACCATGTTAGCTAGGCTGGTCTTGAACTCCTGACCTCCCGTGACCTGCCCGCCTTGACTTCCCAAAGTGCTTGGATTACAGGCATGAAACAGGGTGCCTGGGCATTTTTATTTTTATTTCTAGTATGTTTTTCATAGTTTATGTGGGAGATACTGAACTTGTTTTCCTCTGAAGGAAAGATAACATCTTAACATCATCTCTGTTTTTGCTTTCTCAATGTTTTGTTTGTTTGTTTGTTTGAGACAGAGTCTCATTCTGTCCCCCAGGCTGGAGTGTAGTTGTGTAATCTCAGCTCACTGCAACTTCTGCTTCCTGGGTTCAAGCAATTCTTGTGCCTCAGCCTCCCAAGTAGCTGGGATTATAGGCACATGCCACCATGCCCAGCTAATTTTTTTGTATTTTTGGTAGAGATGAGGTTTCACCATGTTGGCCAGGCTGGTTTTGAACTCTTGGCCTCTAGGGATTTGCCTGCCTTGGCCTCCCAAAGTGCTGGGATTGCGTGCATGTGCCATTGCACCTGGCCTTACAAATGTATTAGTCACTTCGTGCCTCTTTTTGGCATGAAAAACAGCAACTGTGATCATTAATGCCAAAAACAAACATACTGTCCAGAATCTAGTTGTGAGATAAATATTAGGGTACTTTAAAAATGACATTAATTTTTAATATTGCTTTATAGTTAGGTCATGGTTGGGGGCCAGGTGTGGGTGCAGAGTGGGGAATCCTCAGAATGCTATAAGGTGCTGTAAGAAGAGGTGACAGCACTCTAAACAAGTTATATTTGCCCCTAAATTTGACTCATTCTGAACAGTCAAGATACCCTAGTAAAGTGATGTTTTTGCCATGGCTTTTAGATTATGTTCCCCACTTTATCAAGGCTTTTATTTTGTCCTAATGTGTCTGCTTCCTAGATCTTCTCTGAGGTGGATAACTGAGAGAGAGTTAATGAGTAACTTAGCCAGGTGAAACATTAATATTATTTGGATATAAGTAACATTTAATGGAAAATATATTTATAACAATATAAACAAGTTATATGACAGGCTTTAGCAAATATTAATAACAAAAAGAGTAACAACAACAAATAACCTACACTTACCCTATGCCTTTTCTTGAGTTCTAAAGCCCATGTGGGCTGCTTAGTAATGATAGCTCAACTCTGCTTCTAATCTGGGTTACAACACTCATGTTAAAACCTCTTAGTACCTTTCCTTCTTGTGACAGACCGAGTTGTTTAGTCAGTAAACTTATCTTGAACTACATTCTAATCCTGAAAACTCACAAGTGCTTTCGTTCTCTTTGTTAGAAGATAAAAGCTTGCATTGTTTGTACCTCTTCTCAGTTCTGAGCTACCTTTAATGATCTCTCTCTTCTGCAAGTTAAGTAGGGAAAAAAAAGGTTATACAAGTATATGTTGTTCTAGCTTCTTTAGCATGATTTTCCCCTTAATCTTTGACATTCATGATTTGCTCTCTTCTAAAGTGTTAAGCTTCTTTAATACAAAATTTAATTTAAAATTTTGCTAAACCAGGATCTATCAACATTTTGTAATTTGTTCTTGTCAAAGAGTTTCTCAGAAAAGAAGTCAAATATTGTGCTTCTTCTGAACATTCAGAACTCAGTATTTCAGAACTCATCTTCTCTGTTTGAGAACAGTCTCTAAACAGAGGCAGTATAATATTTGCCTCATACTTGAATTCTTTGCACAAGATTCTTCCAGTAATATAAGGACAAATAATATTGCAATATGACTACTGGTGTATGCATAAGGAATTTAAGACTAATTAGATGAGTCTGTTTTAGTTTTTCTTGTTAACTAAAGGAACTACTGATCTGGCCATCCTAGAATCTGGTTCTTATTGCTTGATCCTTTTTTTACATTTTTCTCATTTGTAGAAATTAAAAGTAAATGTGATTTCTGCCATCTTTTTCCTCAATATTACATACTTTCTTGAAAATCTTTTCCATGATTTTCTTGAAAATCACCTCACAAGTTGATTTGAAAGAGTCCTTGAGCTGAATTAAAGCAAACAAAATGATTTTGACTAATCATTGAAGTTTTTATTTGACATAAATTTTGACATGCTATAGCCAAAAGAACTATAAATTTATTTGTCCACATTTGTCATTGCTGCTCTTTGCTAGCCTTGAAATTTCATAGCTCTGTTAAAAACTCACTGTCTAAAGTAGATATACTTCTATTGCCAACTTCTTATCCATTCTTATCTAGAACTAAATGTAGAGTGAGCACATTCAGTACTAGGTATACAATATTTTTCATTGCTATTTTAAGCAGGCCTGTTTGTTTTTTTGTCTAGTTCATTGCCAAGCGCTTTTTCAGACTATTTAGACCAAGAAATCTTAAAATACCATAGTGTCTTTTTGTAATCATAATGCTCCTCTTTGAAAGGAAAAAATAATCTGACATAGATTTTGCACAGTTTTGAATTTATTTTGTTTGTGATAGATTTGGATCTGCCTCACCCAAGGTTTTAGCCTGATTTCCCTTCACAGTTGAAAGCCCCATTTGTGAAACCATTTTCATTATTGTATAAGTTTCCTCTTGTTGCTGTAACAAATTACTACAGATTTAATGGTTTAAAACAACACACATTTATTATATTACAATTCTGAAGGTTAGAAGTTCAACATAGATCTTACTGGGCTAAAATCAAGGTATTGGCACTGTTGTGTTCCTGTCTGGAAGCTCTAGAAAATAATCCATTTTCTTGTCTTTTCCAGCTTCTAGAGGTTACCTTCATTTCTTGGCTTGTGGTCCCTCTATCTTCAAAGCCAACAATAGTGGGTTGAGTCCTTCTTACATCACCTTACTCCAACCTCCTCTTCTGCCTCCCTCTTCTATATTTGAGGACCCTTGACCTTGGCCCTGCCCAAAAAGTCCAGGATAATCCCCCTATTTTAAGGTCATCTGATTAGCAACCTTAATTCCATCACTACCTAAATTCTCCTTCACCATGTAAGATTACATATTCACAGGATCCAAGGAGTAGTATGTTGACATCTTTAGGGGCCTATTATGCTGCCTACCACAATTATGGTCTGCATTCATGAAACAAAGCAAAGCACAGTCCCTATAGTGTCAAGACCATGATCTTGACGTTAATATAGTTTATGCAGAGAGCCTTTTTTTGGCCTCTTAGTTATATCTTTTTTTTTTCTTTCTCTTTTTTCCTTTTTTTTTTTTTTTTTTTTTTTTGAGACAGGTTCTTACATGGTTGCCCGTGCTGGAGTGCAGTTGCACAATAATAGCTCACTGCAGCCTTGACTTCCTGGGCTCAAGCAATCTTCCCACATCAGCCTCCCAAGTAGCTTGGAATGTAGGCATGCATCACCATGCCTGGCTGAGTTTTTCGTTTTTTATAGAGACAGGGTCTTACTATGTTGCCCAGGTTGGTCTCAAACTCCTGGACTCAAGCAGTCCTCTCACCTAGACCTCCCAAGTGTTGGAATTACAAGTGTGAGCCATTGTGCCCGTCCAGTTATATAATTTCTTAACCAATAGTTACTCAGTTATCTGTTGACAGTATTAGTTATTATAATGACAGTGATTTAGTATCAAGTTATAGTTATTATTTTATCTTGAGAAAGGATATACTAGTATGGCAGCACATTCTAATAGTTTGAGGATTATCAAACCATATATAGGATTAGTTTAGTCACTTCTCTTTAAAATAAGAAAATTAAGTAGTCTGAAACCTTTATCTTTTTTTTTCTGATTGAAGAAATACATTAATCTAAATCAGACTTTTTTGAAGCTGTAATTTGTATTTATTTTTCTCAGGGAAATTTAAAAATTGATTTTTTAATTATTATTTTTATTCCTTAAAACAACATTAAGGCTGGGCACAGTGGCTTATGCCTGTAATCCCAGCATTTTGAGAGGCCGAGGTAGGATTGCCTGAGCTCAGGAGTTCGAGACCAGCATGGGCAACATAGTGAAACCCCGTCCCTACAAAAATTAGCCGGGCATGGTGATACGCACCTTTAGTTTTAGCTACTTAGCGGGCTGAGGCAGAGGATCACTTGAGCCCGGGAGACTGAGCTGCAATGAGCCAACATTGCACCGCTGCACTCCAGCCTGAGTGACAGAGTGAGACCCCATCTTTTTTTTTTTTTGAGATGGAGTTCAACTATTATCACACAGGCTGGAGTGCAATGGTGTGATCTTGGCTGCCTGCAACCTCCGCCTCCTGGGTTCAAGCAATTCTCCTACCTCGGCCTCCTGAGTAGCTGGGATTACAGGCGCCCACCTCCACACCCAGCTAATATTTGTATTTTTAGTAGAGACGGGGTTTCACCATGTTGGCCAGGCTGGTCTCAAACTCCTGACATCAAGTGATCCACCCGCCTTGGCCTCCCAAAGTACTGGGATTACAGGCGTGAGCCACCATGCCTGGCTGAGACCCCTGGGATTATAGGCGTGAGCCACCATGCCTGGCTGAGACCCCATCTCTTTAAAAAAAAAACCTACATTAGAAATGGATATCAAAACTGCTGATTAATACCTTCCTGAAATGTCTTGAAAATATTTTAATTTCAAAGAAACTAAAGACTTATTCAGTCTTGTCAAAACCAAAATGATGCTTTCATCAAACAGATGTCATAATCATAACTAAATTAATGGAATGAGAAAAGATAAATACTTAGTGAAATGTACTGTGTAATGTAGCTGACTAGAAAAGACCTTTAATATGATATGTTTGCTTACTCCCCGCCTCTGTTTTGAGGGCAGAAAGTTTAATCATATTCTTTTCTGTATCCCTAACTCATGATTGTTTTAGATTAGTGTTGTCCAATAGATGAATAATAATACAAGAGCTATGTAATTTAAAATTTTCTAATAGCCACATTTTGAAAAGTACAGAAATAAATGAAAATAACCTTAATAATATATTTTATATAATCCAGTGTATCCAAAATATTACTTGTTCAACATGTAAGGCCACAAGAGTCTCTTTTCTGATCTCTTTACTGAAATTAAAGAGCATTTCTCTTAGCTCCAGTAGATTTAGACCATAGTAGGAGTTGAAACATATTTGACCTTTGCAAATGAATGAGAATTTTTTTTGTAAACAAACAGGCCTTTGACATATTCAGAGTGGTTTTCTATGTGTATAAAGTGATTTATGTAGAATTTGCTGTGTGTAGTCCTTGTTCTCTACAGTTTTATTACAATAAGTTACTTTAAAGGTTAACTTTTTTTAGAAGAAAAAGAGTGTGTGTGTGTGTGTGTGTGTGTGTTCGTGTGTGACTTATTTTACTTACATACAGAAGCTCTCTTAAAATCAAGTGAGGTTGGTATGTCCATTTGTTTCTAACCAGTGTAACTAGGAGGTACTCAAGTTCAAGGTCTCTGAATCCATTTCAGCAAATTAAAATGAAAATTTCTAAGAGCTTTACATCTAGGCATATTTTTCCCTATTGACATATGTTTACTAGACATATTTTTCTAAAGTAGTCCTACTTCATCTGTATGAAAAAACTTTTACAGACAGAAAACCTCCTTCATTAATCCTCTGAAAGAGTCTTTGGGCATTTCTTAAATGCCTATGGTAACTGCCATCACTGATAACTTTGTAGGAATGTACAGGCCTTGAACCTATGGAATTCTCCATGACTTAGTAGAAAATTTCATCAGCAACATGTTTACCCTATCTAACCTTTTAATGTTCTCTTATAAACTACCGCCTAGCCTTCTCTCGTATTAACAGTAGGGTAGTTGCAAACTTTGATGTTAAACCTCTAGCAACACATTCTGAAAGTGTTTCAATGTTATTGATCATGTTTTCTTCCCTCTTGCTGCTATTGGGTATAACACATCTCATGTGTTGCATGATTTTCGTTGTTGTTGTTGAGACAGAGTCTCGCTCTGTCACCTAGGCTGGAGTGCAATGGTGCGATCTCGCCTTACTGCAACCTCCACCTCCTGGGTTCAAGCAATTCTCTCACCTAAGCCTCCCCAGTAGCTGGGATTACAGGCACATGCCACCATGCCTGACTAATTTATGTATTTTTAGTAGAGATGGGGTTTCACCGTGTTAGCCAGGTTGGTCTCGAACTCCTAACCTTAAGTGATCTGCCCGCATTGGTTTCCCAAAGTGCTGGCATTACAGGCATGAGCCACTGCCTGGCTGCATGATTTTTATTTTATTTTATTTTTTTTTGTCTTTCAGAATTATGGGAGAATAAATGGCCATACAAGCCCAAGCCCACTTATGCCATCTTTTGGTAGAGAGAATAGCTTTGTGTGATCTGTTAAAGTTTATAAATTGAAAGTTGTTAAATGCATGAATTTCTGGGGTTGAAATAGGTTCAGTGAGCTATTTGTAATAATGTTATGAGGGTGAGTACAGTAGGATTGATTTTCAAAATATACTACCAAATTCATCTGTTCTGAGACACTTCCATTGGTCTCTAATCTAAATAGGCAATTAATCTTCCTTTTGCTTTTTTGGTCTTAAAATTTGAGGGCTCCTTAACCCATTAACATCTTCAGGAGACCAACCTAGGCAACACAATTAGCCAGGCATAGTGACATGTGTCTATGGTCCCAGCTATTTGGGAGGCTGAGGTGGGAGGATCACTTGAGCCCAGAAGGTCAAGGATGCAGTCAGCTGTTATCACGCCATTGCACTCCAGCCTGGGTGACAGAGCAAGACCATGAATGAATGAATGAGTGAATGAATGAATGAATGAATGAATGAAAAATAAGTAAATAAAGATAAATAAATATATCTATATCTATATTCTGATGTTTTGGGGGAACATTTAGAAAGAGAAGGTAGGGATCCAGGAAGTTAATCAGCTTTGGTAAAAGAGTTTCTTATTGTAATGAATTCAAATATCAGAAAGGGAGGAATCCTTTTATACATATTAGTCTGTGTATAGAAGATTTGCCATCAGTTTAACATTCATTTTAAACATTTTTTTCTTGATGGTGATGATAAATTTGCTCAACATACAATAAAACACTGACCAGGAAGACTCCCTGTCAGTACTTCAGTATGGCTTAGGTAGACCTTAAAAGTTCCTAAGAATTTTGGTATCAAATTAGATTTAAATAAGCTAAGCTTTTTAAGCTACTCCATGGCAGCCTGCCTTCTTACACATTATCACATAAGCCTCAGTTGGCATGTTGTTTTTAACTTCATACTGTAACAATTTGATGATATTATCTTTCCAATATGGGTTTTATAAAGATTGGAAGATTATCTCAAGTTGTAAATGCAAGGATTTAATAATTCTATTTGTTAAAATAATTATATGACCCTATTAATTCACCCAGAAATGCTTTACAGAAGCATATTAAGGATAACATTATCAAAAATAGTTTTATAATTTTTTTTTTAAGACAGGGTTTTGCTCTGTCACCCATGCTGGAGTGCAGTGGTGCCATCATGGCTCACTGCAACCTCAATCTCCCAGGCTCAAGTGATCCTTCCATCTCAGCCTCCTAAGTAGCTAGGACCATAGACACCCTTAACCACACCTTGCTAATTGTTTGTATTTTTTGTAGAGAAGGGGTTTCGCCATGTTGGCCAAGCTGATCTTGAACTCCTGGGCTTAAGCAATCTACCGGCTTTGGCTTTCCAAAGTGCTGAGATTACAGGCATGAGGCACTGTGCACAGCCTTATTATTTTATTTTTAATCTATACCATAATTCTCACTCCTTCTATCCCGTTGTCCGCATATATACATATCTACCAAAGACAGGTTGAGGGAACAGGAAAATGGCTGTTTTAAAATCCTTGACCTTTCCTGCATTGTTTATGTATGAACTGTCAAATTTATATGTCATTTTTTTATTCTTTGACATTCATATTTAGTAGACAGTATAACTCCCTAGAAGTTAATCTTGATAGTTAATTTTTATTACTTGGGATTTTGTTCCTCACTTAAAATTGTTTAATTAAAAAATATGTTTAATTATAATTCTAAAAGTCAAATGTATGATTTTTCTTTTTTCAGAAAGTCTTTATCTCTTGCAAGGTTCAGTAGTGGCAGATCATGACTACATTGGATTGCCTGAAATTCCGATTGGAGCATATCAAGCAAATATTCTGGTGGAAGATGCAACTATTGGTATAGTCGATAATGAATTACTGACATCAAGCAAGGATCGTGAACTATTAGAATATAGAAATACGAAAATCTCTCCATTGATAGACGATCATAGTTCTCTTGAAAAGCAGACTTTCAGTCTGTTGGACTCTTCAAACCAGGTTCTTGAATACTTAAGTTAGTAAATACCAAAATTTATTTAAATTGTTTGTTTAGAATATAAATTCTTAATGATATCTTATTCATTAAAAACGTTGTATAGAAGAAGTATCTTGACACATTCTTAATGACTATATTCTGAAGGTTTATTTTATAGTTCTTATCTAAAATTATGCCACATTTGAATATCAGTATACGTACATATGAAGGCAAAGGAAGCATGTAATATATAGAATTCACTTTTTCTTCTAAAAAGAGAACAGGCAAAGCACCCCTACTTCTTGGGAAATAAATTCCAGCCCAAATCTCTCAAACCTTTGTATGGTTTTGGCACCGTTTCTAAGTTTTAAATTTTCTGAAATTCTCTACCATTTAAACAGTAAGTTTGAACTACCTTGAATGGAATTGATAAATACTGAATCAACTGTAACAATGAATGAAATGAAGCTTCTTTCTGTTTCATTAGAACTTCTAAAAACAAGATTGTATGAAAAAATATAGGGTTATTTAATAGGCTTTCACAGAATATTGGTAATTTCAAATTATCTAATTGGTTAGATAGGGTCAGGATTAGGGTCTGAAACTATGTATTGGTTGGGAAACAATTTGTTTATTTTCATACTATATATTAAAGATAAAACCATCGACCAGGCATGGTGGCCCACACCTGTAATCCCAGCGCTTTGGGAAGCCAAGGCAGGATGATCACTTGACCCCAGGAGTTCGAGACCAGCCTGGGCAACACAGGGAGACCCTATCTCTACAGAAAAATGTTTAAAAATTAGCCAGGTGTGGTGGCACATGCCTGCGGTCCCAGCTACTCAGGAGGCTGAAGTAGGAGCATTGCTTGACCCCAGGAGGTCGAGGCTGCAGTGAGCCGCGCTCATGCCACAGCTCTCCAGCCTGGGCGACAGGGCAAGACCTGTCTCAACAACAACAACAAAAGTATCCGTTAAGAATTTTTTCTGCAATCATAAAATCATAAAATAACCAGTATCAAAGATTTTAAACTGTAATTTCTATGATATTCATAAATATAAAATAAATATTGTTCAATAAATATTTATTCTAAAGCACTATGAAAAGAACTGTGGGAAAAGTAAAAGATGAGTCAAACGTGTACCTCATTCTTATAAAGGACTTACTGTCTGGTAGGTAATAAACTATGTAAGCCATGTACAGCACAAGTTAAGGCATGCTAAATTGCAGAAGACAGGTGTAGATAATGTACTTAGGGAGGCAAAAAGAGAGAAGTTGTTTTTACATAGGAAATTTGTGTTTATCCTTATGGAAGAAGGATCATTTAAGCTTGACCTTGAAGAATGTATAGGATTTGGTAAATGGATACAAAAGAATTAGGGGAGAAGTAATACACAGAAATGGAAAAGTATTGTAATGATTCATAAAAAGGCAGGGCTTCTTGTTGTCTACACTGCCTCGGGTATAAAGTGAAGAAGCAAGATAATGAGGGATAAAGCTGAAAAGGTAAGTAGGAAACCTTATGGAGAGCTTTGAATACTATTAAGGATTGATATGTGCCCCTCCCAAAATTTGTGTTGAAGTCTTAACCCCCACCACCTCAAAATGTGACCTTATTTGGAAATGAGGTTGTTGCAAGTGTAATTAGTTGAGATCATATTTCAATAGGGTGGGCTCTAATACAGTATTACTGGTGTTCTGATAAAAGGGGAAAATTTGAACACAGACTCAAGGAGAATGCCATGTGAAGATAAAGGCAGAGTTTAAGATTATGTTTCTATATGCCAAGAAATGACAGAGATTGCCAGAAAACTACCAGAAGTTAGGGGAGAGGCATTGAATACATTTTTCCTCATTCCTCAGAAGACCAACCCTGTCAATACCTTATCTCAGACTTTTGCCTCCAGAACTGTGAGACAATAAAATTCTATTGTTTCAGCCATCCAGTTTGTGGGACTTTGTTACAGTAGCTCTAGCAATAATACAAATGCCTGGCTAAATTATTTCTTTTCTGAGAGCAAAAACTTTGTATAGGAAACTGTCATAATCAGAACTGTGTTTTTGGAAGTTTAATCTGGCAACTAGTAAAGAACAGATTAGAAGAGGAGAAAACAAGGCATGGAGATTAGTTGAGAGGACTTCGCAGTGATGACGAATACTAAAAACCTAAACTGGGCCTGTAGCATTGGTAATGAATGGAGTCTGTCTTAAGATCAGTACAGAATATCGCACATATTATATTTCACAACCATACTGAACAGTGATGTGATATCAAAGATGGAGACCTGGAGTATTCTGATTACTCATTTAAGAAGAAAGATTATGTTTAATATAGGCTAAAGGAAAAGTGTTTAGGGTAGGGTGTGAATCTAGGACCTCATCTTATACCACAGACCAAATAAATTTCAAACAGAATTCCAGGAAGAAAAAAACAAAACTTTTTTTAAAAAAGCGTAATTGTATCAAACAGTGCTACCTATCCTGCTTTCCTCAGAAGAGCAAAGTTTAGAAAAGAGTCATATTAGAATATCTTTTTGGTAAATATAAGTGACTTTTTCTTAGCTCAAATGAAGTAACTTCTTTTTAATGATTATCTGACTCAAAATCAGCCTCTTTTCCCCCCATTTCAAGAAGGTGATTAGTATTCAGAGTCATTTTAAAATAACCAACTCTAAACATATTTTTTTTAATTTTTGCTTCTCCTAAGTAGTTTCTCATTAAACAGACTTTTATCCTGTGTTTATTAGTCATGTTAGGCTAGATTATTCTGTGTCTGCAAACCACTTCCAAAATCTTAGTAATTTAACAAAGCTTTATTTCTTGGACACCCCACATATTTCTCTTAGTTCATCAAGGGCTTGTCTGCATTTTCATCACCACTGCTGGATGTGGGGCCATGGTTCCCCATCTCTGGAATAACAGCTCACCATGACAAGGGAAGGAAAACATGAACTGAGCATTAGATCTCAAAAGTTGCTGCAAAGTTATGCACATCTTTTCTACAAAGGTGAAACATAGCTACACAGTGCTAATTGGTATGGGGTTTCTTTTTGTGGTGACAACAGTGTTCTAAACTTACTAGCGATGGTTTCATAACTTTGAATATACTAAAATCTACTGAAATGTACAATTTAAAATGGTGCTCCAGGTAGGCATCCACAGTTCCAGGCTCCAGGACAGTCCCTGTGGTTCAGGGTCCAGGTCTTCCCCAGTAGACCTCAGAGGGCAGGCTGGCCCCTGAGGACCCAAGCATCAGGCCAGCCCCCCATGAGGACCCCACTAGATTGCCCACCATGAACCTCTAGACTGGCAGACTGGTGAAGGGCTTTCTCTGCCAAAGCCAGTCTATGAAGACTGGAAGAGGTGCCTATTTTTTTTAATGTGCAGGTAGCAACACAGACTGCAAGAATCCTGAATAATCAGGGAAACATGATGCCACCAGAAGAACAACAACAAAAAAGCACCAGTAAATGACCATAAATAAATCGCCATCTAAAAACTGCCTGAGAAAGAATTCAACACAATTATCTAAAACAAGCCAAATGAGCTACAAGAGGGCACAGACAACTAACCAAAATCAGGAAATTTACATGAAGAAAATGAGAAGTTTAACAAAAAGAGAGAAAACATATTTAAAATTAAACTTTAGAACTCAAAAACACAGTAACTGCACTGACAAATTCAACAAAGAACTTCAAGAGCATACTTGATCAAGCAAAATAAAGAATCAACAAGCCGAAAGACAGAGCCTTTGAAATTACCTTGTTAGAGGAAACAAAAGTGAAGAAAGCCTATGGGCCTTTGAGACACCATCAAGTAAACAAAAATGTTCATTATGGGAATTCTAGAAGAAGCAGAGACAGAGAAAAAGGAAGAAAGCTTTTTAAAAGAGATAAAGACAGAAAACTTTCCAAATCTGGAGACGGAAGTGAACATCCTTATCTAGGAATCCCAAGGAACACCACATAGAAGAAGTATAAAGAAATCTTCACTGAAACATAATCAAGTTCTCAAACTTATAAAGCAGCAACAGAAAAGCAACATTACATGCAAAAGAACCTTCATAAAACTATCACCAGATACCTTGCAGACCAGGAGAGTGGAATGAGATATTTAGCCAAAGAAACTCAACCAAGAATACTATACCCAACAAAGCTGTCCTTCATAAATGTAGAAGAGACAAAAACTTGCCCAGAAAAAAAGCTGTGGGAATTTGACACACTAGACCTGTCTCACAGAAAATTCTAATGGGAGTTCTTCAAGTTGAAATAAAAGATGCTAGCTAACAACATGAAAACATATGAAAGTATTAAACTTACTGTAAAGGTAGGAACATAGTCAAATTCAGAATACTGTAATGGTGGTGTGTAAATTGCTTATAACTCTAGTATGAAAGTTAAAAGACAAAAATATTTCTTAAACTAGCTACAATAATGTGTTAATGGCTACACATTATCTAAAGATGTGATATTAATAACAAAACGTGGGGAGAGAAGAAATTTTAAAAGTGTAGTTTTTGTATGTAATCAGAATTAAGTTGTTATCAGGTTAACATAGACTGATATAACTATAAGATGTTTCAGATGTGCATCATGGTAACCACAAAGGAAAAACCTGTAGTAGATACACAAAAAGGATAAAGAGAAAGGAGTCACAGTATACCGCCGCAAGACATTGTTATATCACAAAGGAAGACAGAAAGAGGAAGAGAGGGAAAAGGACCTACAAAACAGTGAAAACAATGAACAAAATAACAGTAGCACATCCATAGCTATCAGCAGTTACTTTAAATGCATTAAATTCTTCCATCAAAATACAGAGTGACTGAATAGATTAAGAAAAACAAACTCTAACTATATGGTGACTAGAGGAGACTTCAGATTAAGGATGCACATAGACTAAAAGTGACAGGATGGAAAAATATATTCCATGCAAATGGTAATCAAAGGAGAGCACAATGGCTACACTTACATCACACAAAATAGACTTTAAGTCCAAAGCTTTCACAAAAGACGAGGTTATTATATAATGATAAAGGGGTTAATTCATCAGGAAGATACTGCAATTGCAAATATATATACACCCAACATTGGAGCACCTAAATATATAAAGCAAATAGTAACAGAATTAATGAAGAAATAGCAATACAGTAATAGTTGGAAACTTTAATGCCCTACTTTCGCTAATGGATAGATCATCCAGGCAGAAAATCAACATGGAAACAGCAGACTTGAACAGCAGTATAGACCAATTGGATCTAACAGATATATGCAGAACATTCCTATTCATTAGTAGCAGAATACACATTCCTTTGACGTAAGTACAGGACAGTCTCCAGGATAGGTCATGTTAAGCCACAAAACAAGTGTTAATGAATTTAGGAATATATTAAAAGTATATCAAGTATCTTTTTTGACTCAAGTGGTATGAAACTAGAAATCCAAAATGGGGAAGACTGAAAAATTTGCAAGTATGTAGAAATTAACATAACTCCTGAACAACCAGTGGGTCAAAAAAGAACTCAATACTGAAATGTAAAAATATCTTGAGACAAAAGGGAAACAAAATAACCAGACCTTATGAGAGAGACCAAAAGCAGTTCTAAGAGAGTAGGTTATAGCATTTTTTTTAAAAAGAAATGACCTGACTCTACATCTCAAGGACTAGAAAAAGAACTTAAGCACAAAGCAGAAAAAAGGAGATAAATGACAGAGCAGAAATAAGCAAAATAGAGACTAGAAAAATAGTAAATGTCAATGAAATGAAGAGTTAGTGTTTAGAAAACATAAACAAAATTGATAAGCCCTTAGTGAGACGTAAGAAAAAAGAGAAAAGACTCAAAATTATAAATGTGAGAATAAATATGATCACTGATATCAGCAAAATAGAAAGGAGCATAAGACTCTACTGTGAAAAATTATATGCCAACAAATCGGATAACCTAGAAGAAATTGATAAATTCCTGGGAATATACAAACCATCAAGATTGAATCATGAAGAAATAGAAAACCTGAACAAAGCAATATAACAAGTAAAGATATTGAATCAGTAATCAAAAACCCAGCAAACAAAAGACCAAAACCTGATGGTTCCACTGGGGAATTCTACCAAACATTTAATGACGAATTAACACCAGTCTTTCTCAAACTCTTCCAAAAAATTGAAAAGGAAAAAACATTTCCATACTCATTGTGCAAAACTACTGTTACCCTGATACCAAAGCTAGATAAGGAAACTACAAGGAAAGAAAATTATAGGCCAATATTCCTGATGAACATAGATGCAAGTATTCACAACAAAATACTAGCAAATTGAGTCCAATAATACATTAAAAGGTTTACATACCATGAACAAATGGAAGTTATCCCTGATGTGCAAAGATGTCTCAATATACACAAATTAATCAGTGTGATAGAATTGAATAGAATTGAAGGATAAAGTTATATGGTCATCTCAATCAATGCAGAAAGAGCATTTGACATAAATATTTTTTCATGAGCATTTGACATAAATATTTTTTCATGATAACATCTCTCAACAAATTAGGTATAGAAAGAATGTACCTCAACATAATAAAGGTCATGTATGATAAGCCAAAGCTAATATCATACTCAGTGGTGAAAATCTGAAAGCTTTTAAAGACAATGGTGCCCACCCTCATGACTGCTATTCAATACAGTACCATTGTTTCTCCATATCTGCAGGTTTTACATCCATGGATTCAACCAATCATAGATGAAAAATATTTAAACAAAATAACATACAATAAAAAATACAAAAATACCTATTTAACATTTAGTTATAAGTAATCTAAAAATTAAACTATAGAGGAGGATATGCATAGGTATTTCCAAATACTGTACCATGTTATATAAGAGACTTGAACATCCACAGATTTTTGTTATCCTTGAGGGGTCCTGAAGCCAATCTCCTGCTGATTCCAAGGGACAACTGTATTAGAAGTCTTAGCTAGAGCAGTTAGGCAAGAAAAAGAAAAAGGCATCCAAATCAGAATGGAAGAAGTAAAATTATTTGTTTGCAGATGACATGATCTCATATATAGAAAATCCTAAAGACCCACCAAAAGCTGTTTGAACTAATAAACTTAATACAGTTACAGGATACAAACTCAGTGTACAAAAATCATTATTGTTTCTATACACTAACAACCATCTGAAAAAGAAATCAAGGAAGTCCCATTTACAATAATGCAAAAAAATACTTTGGAGGTGAAAGTTCTGTATACTGAAATCTATAAAACATTGAAGAAAGAAATTGAAGAATATGCAAATGAAAAAATATCCCATGTTCATGGATTGGAAGAATTAATGTTTAAAAGTTCATACAACACAAAGTGCTGTATAGATTCAGTGCAGTCCCTATCAAAATTTCAACAACATTTTTCACAGAAATATGAAAAACAATTCTAAAATTTGAGTGGGACCAAAAAGAATGAATAGTCAAATCAGTCTTGAGCAAAAAGAACATAACTGGGATTAGTGAGGCCAAGATGGCCGACTAGAAGCAGCAGCAATTGGAGGCTCTCATTGAAAAGAACCAAAATAGCGTCCGAATCCTGCAATGGCAAATAAGATCCAGGTTCTGTCATCAGGACTGACTAGGTGGCTGGCACGACCCATGGAGATGAAGGAAGATCTGTGTAGTGTGACGGCCCACCTGAGAGCCACATGGGGCAGGGGAGCCCTCATCCACAGCCAAGGAAGGCAGTGAGTGAGCATGCTACCAAGCCTGGTGAACCATCCTTTTTCCACGGAACTGTACAGCACCACCAGGACCTTGGGTTCCAACCACAGAGCCATGCAGATTCTCAAAAACCACTCAGCTAGAATCTGCCTGTGCCTGCTGAGTTCCTGAGGGGAGGGACAGCTATTGCCACTTCTGTGGCTGCCTGCGGTCTAAGCCATCTGAGCTCCTTGGGGAAGGGATGGCAGCCAACACTGCAGCTGCTAGCTACCTAACACACTAAGCTCTTTGTGGGGAAGGGCAGCAGCTATCACTATAGCTCTGGGCTGCACTTTTACCCTGCTGGATCCAGGGAGGCTGGATGGCTGGACCCAAGAGGTATCCCCACAGCCCAGCACACCGGTTGTGGCAGACCACGGCCAGATTGCCTCTTCAGGCCAGACCCTGATACATCCCTCCTCCTTGGGCAGGACTTGCCTGCAGGAACTCCAACAACTCCAGCCCAGGGCTCACAGACAGAACTCTGACCTCCGTGGGCCTGAGCCCCTAGTGGAAGGGGTGACCATAATCTCCATGGACCAACAGACTTAGTCTTTCCTCCTGCTAGCTTTGAGGAATCCAGGCAGCCCAGACGAGTGGGTATTCCCTCAGCACAGCACACCCCATCCACTAAGGACAGCCAAATTGCTTTGTTAAATGGATCCTGCTTCCTGTGCCACCCAACTGGTTGAGACCACCCCAACAGGGGTTGTCAGACACCCTATAAAGGAGCATTCCTACTGGCATCAGGTAAGTGACCCTCAAGGTCTGAGATCCCAGAAGAAGGAGCAGGCACCCATCTTTGCTGTTCTCCAGCCTCCTTGAGTGACATCTCCAGGCATGGAAGCAAAACAGATGACTAAGGCCTGAAGTGAGCCACCAGCAAACTGCAGCAGGCCTACAGAAAAGGGACCTGACTATTGAAAAAAAAAAAAAAAGCAACAACAGCATGAACAAAAAATGTCCCCACAAAAACCTCATCCAAGGGTCAGCAGCCTCAAAGATAGAAACTAGACAAATTCATGAAGATGAGAAAGGATCAATGAAAAAAACACTGAAAACCCAAAAGACCAGAGTGCCTGTTTTCCAAATAATTGCAACACCTCCCCAACAAGGGTGCAGTACTGGATGGAGAATGAGATGGATGAATTGACAGAAGTAGACTTCAGAAGGTGGGCAAGAACAAACTTTGCTGAGGTAAAGGCTCATGTTCTAACCCAATGCAAAGAAGCTAAGAACCTTGATGAAAGGCTACAGGAGATGCTAACTAGAATAACCAGTTTAGAGAGGAACATAAATGACCTGATGGAGCTGAAAAATAAAGCATGAGAACTTTGTGAAGCATACACAATATCAATATCCAAGTTGATCAAGCAGAAGAAAGAATATTAGAGATTGAAGACCATCTTGCTGAAATAAGGGAGACAGCCAAGATTAGAGGAAAAGAATGAAAAGGAACGAACACAACCTCTGAGAAATATGGGACTATGTAAAAAGACTGAACTTATGACTGATTGGAATACCTGAAAGAGATGGGGAGAGGGGAACCAAGTTGGATAACACACTTAAGGATTTTATCCAGGAGAACTTCCCCAAACTAGCAAGACAGGCCAACATTCAAATTTAGGAAATACAGAGAACCCCACTAAGATATTCCATGAGAAGATCAACCCCAAGACACGTAATCATCAGATTCTCCAAGGTCGAAATGAAGGAAAAATGTTATGGCAGCCAGAGAGAAAGGTGAGGTCACCTACAAAGGGAAGCTCATCAGACTAATAGAAGGCAGATCTCTTAGCAGAAATTCAACAAGCCAGAAGAGAGTGGGAACCAATATTCAACATTCTTAAAAGAATTTTCAGCCCAGAATTTCATATCTGGCTAAACTAAGCATCATAAGCAAAGTAGAAATAAAATCCTTTTCAGAGAAGCAAATGCTGAGGGAATTCATCACCACCAGACCTGCCTTGCAAGAGCTCCTGAAGGAAGCCCTAAATATGGAAAGGAAAAACCAGTACAAGTCACTGCAAAAACACACAAAATATAAAGACCAATGACACGATGAAGAAGCTGCATCAACTAGTGTGTAAAATAACCAGCTAGCCTCATGATGACAGGATCAAATTCACACATAACAATATTAACCTTAAATGTAAATGGACTAAATGCCCCAATTAAAAGACACAGACTGGCAAATTGGATAGAGTCAAGACTCATCAGTGTGCTGCATTCAAGAGATCCATCTCACATGCAAAGACACACATAGGCTCAAAATAAAGTGACGGAGGAAAATTTACCAAGCAAAATAGCAAAATAGCAGGGGTTGCAATCCTAGTCTCTGACAAAACAGACTTTAAACCAACAAAGATTTAAAAAAAGACGAAGAAGAGCATTAACATAATGGTAAAGGGATCAATTCAACAAGAAGATATATATATATGCACCCAATACAGGAACACCCAGATTCATAAAATAAGTTCTTAGAGACCTACAAAGAGATTTAGACTTCCACGCAATAATAGTGTGAGATATTAACACCACACTGTCAATATTAGACCAATGAGAGAGAAAATTAACAAGGATATTCAGGACTTGTACTTAGCTCTGGATCAAGTGGACCTAATATATATCTACGGAACTCTCCACCTCCAAACAACAAAATATACATTCTTCTCAGTGCCACATGGCACTTATTATAAAATCGACCATATATTTGGAAGTAAAACACTCCTCAGCAAATGCAAAAGAACTGAAATAATAACAGTCTCTCAGACCACAATGCAATCAAATTGGAACTCAGGATTAAGAAACTCCCTGAAAACCACAAAACTACATGGAAATTGGACAACCTGCTCCTGAATGACTCCTGGGTAAATAATGAAATTAAGGCAGACATCAAGAAGTTCTTTGAAACCAATGAGAACAAAGAGACAATGTACTAGAATCACTGAGCTGTAGCTAAAGCAGTATTAAGGGGGAAATGTATAGCACTAAATGCCCACGTCAGCTAGAAAGATCTCAGGTCAACACCATAACATCACAAAAGACCTAGAGAAGCAAGAGCAAACAAGTCCAGAGCTAACAGAAGACTAGAAATAACTAAGATCAGAATGGAACTGGAGGAGATAGAGAAACAACTCTTCAAAAAAATAAATGAATCCAGGAGTGGTTTATTTTTTTGGAAAAATTAACAAAATGGAACACTAGCTAGATAGTAAAGAAGAAAAGAAAGAAGAATCAAACAGACACAATAAAAAATGATAAAGGGGATATCATCACTGACCCCACAGAAATACAAACTACCATAAAATATACTATGAACACTCCTGTGCAAATAAACTAGAAAATCTAGAAGAAATGGATAAATTCCTGGATACATACACCCTCCCAAGACTAAACCAGGAAGAAGTCAAATCCCTGAATCGGCAAATACCAAGTTCCAAAATTGAGGCAGTAATAAATAGCTTACCAACCAAACAAAGCCCAGGACCAGACAGATTTACAACCAAATTCTACCAGAGATACAAAGAGGAGCTGGTACCGTTGCTTCTGAAACTATTCCAAACAATTGAAAAGGAGGGACTCCTTCCTAACTCATTTTATGAGGCCAGCATCATCCTGATACCAAAACCTGGCAGAGACACTACAAAAAAGAAAACTTCAGGCCAATATCCCTGATGAACATCCATGTGAAAATCCTCGATAATATACTGGCAAACTGTATCCAGCAGCACATCAAAAGGTTATCCACCATGATCAAGTTGGTTTTATCCTTGGGATGCAAGGCCGGTTCAACATACGCACATCAGTAAATGTAACCCATCACATAAACAGAACCAATGACAAAAACCACAAGATTATCTCAATAGATGCAGAAAAGGCCTTTGAGAAAATTCAACATCCCTTCATGTTAAAAACTCTATAAATCAGGTATTGATGGAACATATCTCAAAATAATAAGAGCTATTTATGACAAACCCACAGCCAATATCATACTGAACAGGCAAAAGCAGAATATTCCCTTTGAAGACTGGCACAGGGCTTTGAAGACCGGCACAAGACAAGGATGCCCTCTCATCACTCCTATTCAACATAGTTTTGGAACTTCTGACCAGAGCAGTCAAGCAAGAGAAAGACAGAAACGGTATTCAAATAGGAAGAGAGAAAGTCAAATTGTCTCCGTCTGCAGACAAGATGATCCTATATGTAGAAAACCCCCTCATTTCAGCTGATAAGCAATTTCAGCAAAGTGTCAGATACAAAATCAGTGTGCAAAATTCACAAGCATTTCTATACATTAACAATACACAAGCAGAGAGCCATATCATGAGTGAACTCCCATTCACAGTTGCTACAAAAAGAATAAAATATCTAGGAATACAGCTAACAAGGGTTGTTGTATTAGTCTTTTCACACTGCTGGTAAAGACATACCCAAGACTGGGCAATTTACTAAAGAGGTTCATTGGACTTAACAGTTTCATGTGGCTGGGGAGGTTTCACAATCATGGCGGATGGCAAGGAGGAGCAAGTCACATCTTACATGGATGGCAGCAGACAAAAGGAGAGCTTATGCAGGACATCTCCCATTTCTAAAACCATCAGATCTCGTGAGACCCATTCACTATCATGAGAACAGCATGGGAGAGACCCACCCCATAATTCAATCATCTCCCACTGTGTCCCTCCCACAACACGTGGGAATTACGGGAGATACAAGATGACATTTGGGTGGGGACACAGAACCAGACAATATTATTCCCTCTCATATCTCATATCTCCACATTTCAAAACCAATCATGTCTTCCCAACAGTCACCCAAAGTCTCAGCTCATTTTGACATTAACCGAAATGTCCACAGTCCAAAGTTTCATCTGAGACAAGGCAAGTCCCTCTGCCTATGAGCCTGTAATATGAAAAGCAAGTTAGTTACTTGCTAGATACAATGGGGGTAGAGGCATTGGATAAATACAGCCTCTCCAAATGGGAGAAATTGGCCAAAACAAAGGGACTACAGGCCCCATGCAAGTCCAATATCCAGCAGGGCAGTTAAAGCTCCAAAATGATCTCTTGACTCCATGTCTCACATCCAAGTCACACTGATGCAATAGGTAGGTTCCCATATTCTTTGGCACCTCCACCCCTGTGGCTTTGCAGGGTATAGCCTCTCTCCCAGTTGCTTTCACAGGCTGGCATTGAATGTCTTTGGCTTTTTCAGGCACACGGTGCAAGCTCTCCATGGATCTACCAGTCTGGGGTCTGGAGGATGGTGGCCCTCTTCTCACTGCTCCACTAGGTGCTCCCCCAGTAAGGACTCTGCACGGCATCTCTGACCCCACATTTCCCTTCTGCACTGCCGTAGCAGAGGTTCTCCATGAGGGCCCCACCCCTGCAGCAAACTTCTTCCTGGGCATCCAGGCATTTTCATAAATCTTCTGAAATCTAGGCAGAGGTTCCCAAACCTCAATTCTTGACATCTGTGCACTTACAGATTCAATACTGTGTAGAAGCTGATAAGAATTGGGGCTTCCACCCTCTGAAGCAACAGCCTGAGCTGTACCCTGGCCCCTTTCTTCCATGGCTGGAGCAGCTAGAACACAGTGTACCAAGTCCCTAGGCTGCACAGAGCAGGGGGGGTCCTGGACCTGGCCCACAAAACCATCTTTTCCCCCTAGGCCTCTGGGCCTGTGATGGGAGGGGCTGCTGTGAAGACCTCTGAAATGCCCTGAAGACATTTTCCCTATTGTCTTCAGAATTAACATTCAGCTCCTCATTACTTTTGCAGATTTCTGCAGCCAGCTTGAATTTTGCCTCAGAAAATGGGATTTTCTTTTCTATTGCATTGTCTGGCTGCAAATTTTCCAAAGTTTTATGCTGTGTTTCACTTTCAAAACTGAATCCTTTTAACAGCACCCAAGTCACCTCTTGAATGTTTTGCTGCTTAGAAATTTCTTCTGCCAGATCCTAAATCATCTGCCTCCAGTTCCAAGTTCCACAAGTCTCCTGGGCAGGGGCAAAATGCCACCAGTCTCTTTGATGAAACATTACAAGAGTTACCTTTGCTCCAGTTCCCAACAAGTTCCTTATCTCCATCTGAGACCACCTCAGCCTGGACCTTATTGTTCATATCACTATCAGCATTTTTGTCAAAGCCATTCAGAAGTCTTTAGGAAGTTCCAAACTTTCCCACATTTTCCTGTCTTCTTCTGAGCCCTCCAGACTGTTCCAACCTCTGCCTGTTACCCAGTTCCAATGTTGCTTCCATATTTTCAGGTATCTTTTCAGCAATGCCTTACTCTACTAGTACCAATTTACTTCATTAGTCTGTTTTCACGCTGCTGATAAAGACATACTCCAGACTGGGCAATTTACAAAACAAAGAGGTTTACTGGATTTACCGTTCCACGTGGCTGGGGAGGCCTCACAATCTTGGTGGAAGGCAAGGAGGAGCAAGTCACATCTTACATGGATGGCAGCAGGCAAAAAGAGAGCTTGTGCAGGGCAACTCCCATTTTAAAACGCATCAGATCCTGTGAGACCCATTCAGTACCACAAGAACAGCATGGGAGAGACTCACAGCCATCATTCAATCATCTCCCACCAGGTCCCTCCCACAGCATGTGTGAATTATGGGAGCTACAAGATGAGATTTGGCTGGAGACACAGAGCCAAACCATATCAGACATGAAGGACCTTTGCAAGGAGAACTACAAACCACTGCTAAAGCAAAAAGAGAGGACACAAACAAATGGAAAAACATTTCATCCTCATGGACAGGAAGAATCAATATCGTGAAAATGGCCATACTGCCCAAAGTAATTTACAGATTCAGTGCTATTCCCATCAAACTACCATTGACATTCTTCACAAAATTAGAAAAAAAAAAACTACTTTCAAATTTATATGGAACCAAAAAAGAGCCCATATAGCCAAGACAATCCTAAGCAGAAAGAACAAAGCTGGAGGCATCACACTACCTGACTTCTAACTACACTAAAAGGCTACAGTAACCAAAACAGCATGGTACTGGTACCAACACAGACATGTAGGCCAATGGAACAGAATAGAGACCTCAGAAATAAGGCCACACATCTACAACGATCTGATTTTCAACAAACCAGACAAAAACAAGCAATGGGGAAAAGAGTCCCTATTTAGTAAATGGTGCTGAGAAAACTGGCTGGCCATATGCAGAAAACTGAAACTGGACCCCTTCCTTACACCTTATACAAAAATTAACTCAGGATGGATCTAAGACTTAAATGTGAAACCCAAAACCATAAAAACCCTAGAAGAAAACGTAGGCAATACCATTCAGGACATAGGCATGGGCTAAGATTTTACGATGAAATTGCCAAAAGCAGTTACAACAAAAACTAAAATTGACAAATGGGATCTAATTAATCTAAAGCGCCTCTGCACAGCAAAAGAAACTATCATCAGAGTAAACAGGCAGCCTACAGAATGGGTGAAAATTTTGGCAATCTTCCCATCCAACAAAGGTCTAATATCCAAAATTTACAAGGAACTCAAAGAAATTTACAAGAAAAAGACAAACAACCCATCAAAAAGTGGGCAAAGGATATGAGCAGATGCTTCTCAAAAGAAGACATTGATGTGGCCAACAGACGTGAAAAAAGCTTAACATCACTGGTTGTTAGAGAAATGCAAATCAAAACCACAATGAGATAACGTGGTGTATATATACCACATTTTATTTATCCAGTCTGTCACTGATGGGCATCTGGGTTGGTTCCATGTCTTTGCTATTTTGAATAGTGCTGCAATATGTGTGCATTTATCTTTATAATAGAATGATTTATATTCCTTTGGGTATATACCCAGTAATGGGATTGCTGGGTCAAATGGTATTTCTGGTTCTGTGATATGTATGCATACAAAGGAATATTTTTTCAGCCTTATATGTAAAATCTAAAATACTATGCAGCCATAAAAAGGAATGAGATGATGTCCTTTGCAGGGACATGAATGAAGCTGGAAGCCATCATACTCAGCAAACTAACACAGGAACAGAAAACCAAACACTGCATGTTCTCACTCATAAGTGGGAGTTGAACGCTGAGAACACATGGACACAAGGAGAACAACACACACCAGGGCCTGTCAGAAGGGTGGCTGGTGAGGGAAGGGAGAGCATCAGGACAAATAGCTGATGCATATGGGGCTTAAAACATAGGTGACGGGTTGATAGGTGCAGCAAACCATCATGGCAGATGTATACCTATGTGACAGACCTGCACATTGTGCACATGTATCCCAGAACTTAAAGTAAAAAAAAAATTAAATTAAAAAATAAAAGAACAAAGCTGGAGGCATTATACTACTTGACTTCAAAATACTGGCATAAAAAGAAACATACAGATCAATGGAACATAATAGAAAGCCAAGAAATCTATGCATTTATGGTATATCTTTGACAAAGTTTGCAAGGACACACAATGGGAAAAACACACTTTCTTCCATAAATGGTGCTATTAAAACTGGATATCCACATCCAAAAGAATGAAACTGAACCTATACCTCACACCATATACAGAAATCAGCTCAAAATGGATTAAAGCCTTAAATCTAGGGCCTGAAACTGTGAAACAATTAGAAGAAAACAGGGGAAATACTTCTTAACAATAGTCTTGATAATTATTTTTGTACATTATCTCAAAATGAACACAGGCATCGAGAGCAAAAATAGACAAAGATTGCATCAAACTAAAAGCTTCTGCACAGCAATGAAAACAATATGGAATGGGTGAAAATATTTGCAAATCTTGCATCTGTTAAGGGGTTAATATCCAAAATTTCTAAGGAACTCTGTTCAATGGCAAGAAAACTAATAACCAGATTTAAAAATGGGCAAAGGGCTTGAATATACATTTTTTCAGACAAGACATAGAAATGGCCAACAGATGCATGAAAAAATGTTCCAACATTGCTAATCATCAGAAAAATACAGTTTAAAACCAAAATGACGTATAGTTTTACACCTGTTAGAATGGCTGTTGTCAAAAAGATAGCAATCTCTGGTGAGGATTTAAAGACAAGGGAACCCATGTACATTTTTGGTGGCAGGGCGCAATGGTATAGTCATTATAAAATACCCTATGGACGCTCCTCAAAAAATTAAAAAACTAACATATGACCCACAATTTCCTTCAAAGGTACTGAAATAGGTATGTTGAAGGGATATCTACACTTCCATGGTCATTGCATCATTATTCACAATAGCCATGATATGGATCAACCTAAATGTCCACTAATGGAGGTATGGATAAAGAAAATGTGATATGTATGCATACAAAGGAATATTTTTTTCAGCCTTATATGTAAAATCTAAAAATGTTGAACTCAGAAGCAGAGAGTAGAATGGTGGTTCCCAGGGGTTGGGAGTGAGAGGAATGGGGAGGTATTAGTCAAAGAATACAAAGTTTCTGTCAGAATGAATAAATTCTAGAGAGCTAATGTACAGCATGGTGGCCATAGTTAATAATACTTTATTGTACATTTGAAATTTGATAAGAAAGTAGATCTTACGTGTTCCCACCACACAACCCACACAAAAGTTAATTATGTGAGGTGATGGATATGTTAATTAGCCTGATTATAATTACTTCACAATGTATACATACATTAAAATATCACAGTGTACATTCTGAATATTTATAATTTTTATTAATCAGTTTTACCTCAAAGCTGGGAAATACAGAAAGAGAAGTTATGAAATAAAATAATTCTAGATTCAACAGCAATTTATATGAGAAATAATAAAACAGCCATAGAAACTACTTTATGGTTATCTCAATTACTATTTATCCTAACAGCATTACATCCAGACCATTGATGATATTTATTTATGTCACTCCTGAATATTTTTATGAACTTTTTAAAAGTGAGCTTTATGGTAGATGAATTATGGCTTATAAAGCTGTTAGAGTCTAAACCACAGATTGGAAAAAATTAACTAGCCATACAGCCACCCTAATACCAAAGACAGGTAGGTAAGTGCAGCCCTACCATATTCCTGGAAGGAGAAGCAGAATATTAGTTGATAGCTTTAATAGCTGTCACACTCATCTTTTTCGTTTTCTTTTTTCTTTTTTTTTTTTGCAAATTCTGTTATAGGCAATTTATTATCAAAGTTCGTTTTACTTTTATTCCCTGATAAATAGCCAATATATGCCATTCAAAGAAATCGCTGATTTTATTACTGAAATTTCAGAATTCTAATGCAGAGATTCCAAATACAATTTTTACATTAACAAATATGCAGAGAAAACACTCAGAGATTTGTTGTTGTTGTTGTTCTCGTTTTTTGTTTTTTGAGATGGAGTTTCACTCTTGTCACCCAGGCTGGAGTGCAATGGCGTGTTCTCGGCTCACTGCAACCTCTGCCTCTGGGTTCAAGCAATTCTTTTGCCTCAGCTGGGATTACAGGCGCCTGCCACCACACCTAGCTAATTTTTTTGTATTTTTAGTAGAGACAGGGTTTCGCCATGTTGGCCTGGCTGGTCTCCGACTCCTGACCTCAGGTGATCCGCCTGCCTTGGCCTCCCAAAGTGCTGGGATTACAGATGTGAGCCACTGTGCCCAGCTGAGATTTTTATACATACAGTCTTTAGCTCTAATGTTTATGTTTGCAGTGCCCTGTCAAGAGTAAAAATGGAGGTTCACATACTGTATACCTGAATATTTAGGAGGTTTAAATCAAGCTAAGAAACTTTTCCTACCTCAGCAAATATACCTAAGGTTCCTAGGATTCTTGGACTCCTTAGAGCCCCACACTAGTGAATGGCAACTTAGGGAGAACTGGTCTCTGTCTCAATCCTGTTCCTTCCCAAGGATAAGTGACCCCAGCTTCTGTAGAGGTGCCCCTTGACCAGCCCAGGCCTTTTAGAATAAGCTTTCTCAATTGTTCATCCACCCTCTGTAGACAGACCAGGAAGGAGCTGAAAGAGGTTCTCCAGGTGAAGAAGAGTATATCTCAGGGCCCTGAGATCTTACCCAGCAGGGAGTGGCATGAGCTACAGGAGGATACAGCCTAGTTTTCAAGAAAAGGGTCCAGAATGGGATCCCTCTTGCCTGGATTTAAGGGAATTTTTCTGTAAGTATGTAACAAAATTTTGACCAAAAAAATCTAGAAATGTCTTTATGAGGTTTTGTATGACACCTTGTGGTACTGTTCAAAGCATTATATAGAAGGAAATGGAGATGCTGAACTATAGTAAATGAAGATTCTATTTTGAATGAGAATAATTTCCTTGTTTAAAAAGTTATTTTAAAATATGATTACCATTTCAAGTATAAAATCTTATTATATTACCATTAAAAAGAGTAACTCACTAAGATTTATAAAAGAAAACATATTACATTTTTAAACTATGCAATTCATTTATACATTCAAAGAAGATACACATTAAATGCCTACTATGTTCCAGATACTGGCACTGAGATTATATCAATTACAAATAAAAATTTCTGCCCTCCTAGAACTTATATTCTAGTAGAATAATGAAAAAGTGACCAGTAATTCTTAGGAATACATTTCTTCACCTACATCTAATCTGAAAATTTTACTTGTAGACTTTTGCACAGACATTTATTGGGATCCCTATCTTAAGCCGTAAAAAGCGTAAGTATTCCATTCTGCTGATTTTTGACTGCTCAGAAAGCTGTAACAGAATATTTTGCTCAAATGTCTAAAAGTGACTGAGTCACTTCCAGTTTTGGAGTTTCTAATCATTATAATTAATAAAAACCAAAATGTGCATTAAAAAAAGTAGTTTCAAACTTTTGTTTTATACAAATGCATTTATTATTGAGGGAGAAATGTTAGCTTTATGCATTGTTAATATTAAGCAGGGAAAGATTAGTTAAGTGCCATTAAATTAATAAGTATTTAAATTGGTAGCTTAACCAGAGCTTGAGGCCTGGGCCAGATGATTCTTCTACTTCTAATCTGTCGGTGTCCTCCTCACCCCTTCCCTTACTTGCTACCCCTATTAATGCTTCTTCCTTTGTTTCCCCAAGCACATTTTGTTTGTTAGTTAAAGAATATTAGGCCCAAGGGATTTCCCTTATCTGAGCACCTCATTGTCTAAACTTTGAAGGGATTTGTCAGAAGCAGACAGAGGAGAGCAAATTATTTGGCGTGGTTAGTAGCTGGAGGAGATCACATGTCAACTTCTCCCCTACATCCCCTCTAAGCTTCTATTAGTTCCGAGAGAAGAGGCCCCAGGTGTTGAAATGGAGAATGCGGAAAAGGCTAAAGAGTAGGGAGTCTGGATTCTCTTCACTTCTTCAGTAACACTTTCATATAGTGGTGGAGGGAAAAATACTAAATGGAATGGTTCCCTTCCTCCAAAATCATGTTTTCTGATTGCACAGTAATATATAACTTACACTCTCTGGGTTTCTGGGCAGTATTTTATCCTGCATTTTTTATATGTCCATTTAGAATTTCATCCTTATAAATATATACATATATTATTAATTTTTCAATTTTATGTGATGAATAAACAGTAATAAAATAATCATAGGGATGGTTTATGTGACTTGCTCACAGCTTGAAGCAAATCAGTGGCAAATCTGCCTAGGCTTTAAGAATAGAACTTAAGAGTCAGTCTTCCGTTAATCTGTACTGATCACAAATACGTTAAAAATCACAAATTTTGGCCAGGCACAGTGGCTCATTCCTGTAATCTTGGCACTTTGAGAGGCCAAGACAGGCAGATTACCTGAGCCCAGGAATTCGAGACCAGCCTGAGCAATGTGGCGAAACCCTATCTCTACGAAAAAGACAAAAAATTACCTGGGCATGGTGGCATGAGACTGTGGTCACAGCTACCTAGAGGCTGAGACGAGAGAATCACCTGAGTCCAGGAGGCTGAGGCTGCAGTGAGCTGTGATCGTGCCACTGCATTCCAGCTTGGGCAACAGAGTGAGACCCTGTCTCAAACAAAAAACAAATGAAAATCCCTGATTTTACTTGAGGTAGTTACAAAAGGGGTAATGTTTTTTAAAAATATATAATGTGAAAAAGGTATAATATCCTGAATATATAAAGAACTATGACTCAATACACAAAAAATAACTCAAGCCCTTTATTAGATATTCCCCCCAAAAAAGATGTACAAATGGTTGATAATCACATGAAAAGATGTTCAACATGATTAGTCATCAGGGAAATGCAAGTCAAAACCACTATGAGATACCACTTCACACCTACTAGAATGGCTATCATATCCTACAAAAAAAAAAAAAAGAAATATGACAAGTATTGCCTAGGATTGAAATCACCTTTATAGAATTGTAAGTGATGAGAGAAAACTGCATGACTCTGTTTTGCTTCTATCCTCACAGGTTAAATTGGTTTTTGCTTATTCTAGCACAGAGGCCAAGATAACCATGAGTGGAATTAGTTTGGTAGTTACACTTTGAGGCAAGGAAAAATGACTCCCTTCCTTGTTCAGAGATTGAAGCTGCATTCACGAGGCAAGGTTAGAATTATGATAGGAGCTTGAACTTTGCTAAAGAGTAAGCATAAACAATGACCTGCCATTGCTTAGCTTGCTTTGCTATAAGTTGCTTACTGCCCCAGAGTCACTTAACCAGAGGTTGCAAGATTTGTAACTTCCCCAACTACTCACATAGATAACATCACTATTGTGAAACTTAATTAACTGGTCTTTGAGGTATTCTTCAGATTTAGCATTTTGGCAGACCAAGAGACACCACCTAGTCCTGAGACTCTCTCCTGAGAACTGACTCAGCTGCACAAAGACAGCCCTGTCTCAATAACCCTGTGATTTCTTCCCCACCCAACCAATTATCTGAGTTCCTCAGCCCCCTACTTGTCAAAGCACCCTCAAAAACCCTAGCCTCGGCCAGGCACGGTGGCTCACCCCTGTAATCTCAGCACTTTGGGAGGCCGAGGCGGGCAGATCATGAGGTCAGGAGTTCAAGACCAGCCTGGCCAATATTGTGAAACCCCATCTCTACTAAAAATACAAAAATTAGCTGGGCGTGGTGGCATCCATCTGTAGTCCCAGCTACTCGGGAAGCTGAGGCAGAAGAATTGCTTGAACCTAGGAGGTGGAGGTTGCAGTGAGTCAAGATCATGCCACTGCACACCAGCTTGGGCAACAGAGCGAGACTTCACCTCAAAAAAAAAAAAAAAACCAAAAAAAAAAAAAAAAACCCCAAAAAACCCTAGCCCTCTAGCCTCTGAATTCTCAGCAGGGGCAGATTTGAGAATTATCTCATATTCTTCCATTTGGTTGGCCCTACGATAATTAAATTCTTTCTTTGCTCCAATACCTACTGTCCTCAGTACACTGGCTTTTCTAGGCAGTGGGCAAGATGAACCCATCGGGCTGTTACAGGATATGGAGAAATTGGAAACTCTCATGACTGATAGGAATTTAAAGTGGTGTGACAGCTATGGAAAACACTGCCAATTCCTCAAAAAGTTAAACAATTACCATATGATCCTGTAGTTCCGCTCCTAGATATGTATCCAAAGGAATTGAAAGTAGGGACTCAAACAGATATTTTTATGCCAATATTTATTGCATCATTATTCACAATAGCCAAAAGGTGGAAACAATTCAAGGATCCATCAATAGACGAATGGATTAACAAAATGTAGCATATACATACAATGAAAGATTATGCAACTATAGAAAGGAATGAAGTTGTGATACATGATACAACATGGATGAGCCTTGGAGATATTATGCTAAGTGAATAATAAATAAAAAGATATTGTATGATTCCGCTTATATAAAATATCTATAATAGGCAAATTTTTATAGACAAAAGTAGATTAGCAGTAATCAGGGGCAGAGGGAAAGGGAAGTGGGGAGTTAATCTTTAATGCATAAAGATTACAAAGTTTCTCTTTGAAGTAATGAAAAAGTTTTGGAAATAGATACTGGTGATGTTTGCATAATATTGTGAATGCAATTATGTCACAGAATTATATACTTTAAATGGTCAAAATGGTAAATTTTATGGTATGTATATTTTTACCACAATTTTAAAAAATTAATAATATAAGTACCCCAAACCATTGAATTGTGAGTGGATGAATCGGGTGGCATGTGAATTATATCTCAATAAAACTGCTTAAAAATTTTTGTAGGATGCAACTAAAACTGCTCAGAGAAAAATTTATGTATTTTGTGCTTATATTGGTTAAAAATAAAGGTCAAGAAGTAATGAGCAAAGCATCCAATTTAATATGGTACAAAAAGAACAAGTGAATAAGCCAAAAGAAAGATTTGAAATCACAAAGATAATAGAAATTAATAGAATAGAAAATAAACATACACGCCAGGCACAGTGGCTCACACTTGCAATCCCAGCACTGTGGGAGGCTAAGGCAGGCGGATCACCTGAGGTCAGGAGTTCAAGACCAGCCTGGCCGACATGGCGAAATCCCATCTCTACTAAAAATACAAAAAATTAGCTGGGCGTGGTGGAATGCACCTGTAGTCCCGGTTACTCAGACAGGCTGAGGCAGGAGAATTGTTTGAACCTGGGAGGCAGAGGTTGCAGTGAGCCGAGATCACACCACTGCACTCCAGCCTAGGTGACAGAGTGAGACTCCGTCTAAAAAAAAAAAAGAAAAAGAACAAGAGAAAAAAGAAAAGAAAAGAAAAGAAACATACAATGATGAGGTGAACTAGAGCCAAAATTTGGTTTTTAAAGACACAAATGAATTGACACAAAACTCGCAAAACTAATAAAAATAAAAATAAAGAGACAATCCTACAGAATTTATAAATAAGCAATATTGTGATGCAAAAAGTGTTATAACCACACATGATGCAGATACTTATAGAGGATATTACAACTTTATTCTAATAAACCTTAATAAAATTGATGAATTTTAGAAAAATTTCACTTACCAAAGAGGTTTAAGAAGAAATAATGTCAGATGATTTTACCAAACATTTATAACAAGATTTAAGAAGTATGTAATTTTAACTTTATGCAAATTATTCATAGTGTAGAAATGAAACATTTCTTAATTCATGTTATGAGGGTGGTGTAAACTTGATATCAAAATATGGAAATGACAGAATGAGGAAGGAAAATAACCGGTTTTTCTCTTGGGAACACAAATACAAAGATGCAAACAGAACAATATGCATTATAACCAAATTGAGCTGATTCCCAAAATGTCAGATTGATTTAATGTTAGAAAAGATATATACAATTAATGACTACATTTTTAAAGAGACCTGGCAAGAGAGAGATGAAGTACACAAATGGTTATAACTGAAGAGAATTTAAGGAACTGTTCAAAAGGAACAAACCAAGGATGGTAACTAGCAATAGCCAGAAACCTCTACACCTGAAGGAGGAAATACCAAGTGAGAGATAGAGTTATGGCAGAGAGTCTAACCATCCCAAAACAATAACAAGTTGTAACTGTGAAAATTAAAAATTACTGTCAAACCCGTGACCAATGGCATACCACCCTCCCATCTTCTACTATTGCCTCATTAGTCAGCGATCATGGGAAGCCAGAGCAAGGGGGCTTGGAAACACAGGCAGCCAAAAAAATCAGCCTCCTAGGGAACAGAGCAGAAAAGGACAGAGAATTAATTTGAGGTGGGTAAACTGAGAATAACTAGTAAAACTATATGTGTTCATATATATACAATTATCTCCTTGGCAAAAGTTTTCTGCAAAGAGCTAAACTAGGTAGTAAATATTTTCTGCTTTTGGGGCTATACACTCTTGGAAATACAAACTTCTGCCATTTTAGGATGAAAGCAGCCATATACTCAATAAATGAGTCTATTTTCCAATACAATTTTATTTACAAAAATACATAGTGGAGCTGGATTTGGCTTGTGGGGTAGTAGTTTGTGGACCCCTAATCTAGTAAAGGAGAAAAAGTATTTGCTGAACATTACTATTCATTGGAAATTTTTTTAAAAACTATAGTACACAATGGAGAATTCATTGAAAACATATTTTTAAAGGTAATGACAACTTACAACTGTTTTGGTACTGGAGCCTCTATTCAGCATATTAAGGCAAGAAAAAGGAAAAATCATTAGGATTAGAAAGAAAATTGGCCTTATTTGTTATAGGAATAATTGTTCACATAAAGAATTCCTATAAATATAAATAAGCTAATATTAAAATGGTCAAAAGTGTTGACTAGGTACCTCATAGAAAAGCCAAATTGCTCATGCATTTATCTGTTGTTTTGTTTTTTAAATTTATTATTATTATTATTATTGCCTCTATATACCTACCTGAGACTGGGTAATTTATAAAGGAAAGAGGTTTAATTGACTCATAGTTCTGCATGGCTTGGGAGGCCTCAGGAAACTTAAAACCATGGCAGAAGGGGAGCAAACATGTCCTTCTTGACATGATGGCAGGAAAGAGAAGTGAGCAAAAGGGGGAAGAGCCCCTTATAAAACCATTAGATCTTGTGAGAATTTACCCACTATCAAGAGAACAGCAGCATGGGGGTAATCATTCCCATGATTTAATTATCTCCCACTGGGTCCCTCCAATGACATGTGGAGACTATGGGAACTACAGTTCAAGATGAGATTTAGGTGGGGACACAACTAAACAATATCACCTACTTTATCCTGAATTCTGCACCAGGATCCTAGCCTCTGTGGAATACATCAGGAGGGTTCCAATACCCTCTGACTTCCAGTTGGGTTTGGCCAATGGCGATTCCCATTGATGTTTTAGCAGAAGATCAGGCAGGAGGAGAATGAAGTTGAGATAGTTCTTCTCCTTGTTTCCTTACTCCTTCTGCCTGTTTCTTTCAAATAAAAGTCCCTGCTCTACAAGTCTCTGTTCTGGGTTTTCCAGTAATTTCTCCCTCCACTCAGCCTTTTAGACCTGGAGGTGAAAACAGCTCTATGGCTGATATCCCTGGTTTCTCCTATACTACATGCACATCTTTGCATTTAGTCCCTTTGATTATCTTAATTTGTCATTTGTTGCCTGTTGGCATACAGGCAATAATAATATTTTTAAATGCCCAATCTCATTAGGAGCCAGAACATAGAAATAAAATAATTATTAGAGATCATTTAAAACCTACTAGGTTGGCAATAATAAAAGTATTAGAAAGGTTGTAGAGCAGACAGTACAATCATACAATACTGGTAAGTGTGTAAATTGATAGCACTATTTAAAAAACAATTTCACATTATACAGTAAAATCAAAGATGCACAAATCTATCTCTACTCCAGGAATTTTGCACAAGAAGTTATCTTCAAGAATGTTTATAGCAGGATTTTTTTGTACTAGCAAAACATTGACAACAACCTAGATAAGCAACAATGGACTAGATAACTTGTCATATATTCATATGATAAAGTAGTGATAGCAGTGAAATGAATAAATTACAGCTGCCAAAGGGAAGCATTAATGAATTCAGGAGCACAATGGAGAGCAGAAAACTAACTTACAGAAGAGGGTGATGTGTGAAAGTTTTGAAGAAAATGAAGGGAGGAGCCATGTGTATACCTGGGGGAAGAACATTTCAGGGGGAAGAAACAGCAAGTTTAAAGATGCTGAAGTGTTTCTGGGTCTGGTATTTTTGACCAAAAGCATGGGGCCCAGCAAACTTAGAACGGAGTAAGAGGGAGTATGATAGGAATCAGAGAGGAAAGGGGATAGAGTAAATTGTTTCAAGCCTCATAGGCCATTGTATGGGCTCTGTTTTCAGTCTGAGTAAAATGGAAACCATCTGGAGGTACTTGAGAAGAGTGATGTGATTGATCTGCTCCATGTTTTAAGGAAATCAGTCTAGCAGCTGGGAAGGGAACAGACTGATAAAAGGCAATGGAGCACTAGTTAGAAGGCTGTTGCTAATAATTCAGGTAAGAGATGATGATGGCATCAATACCAATGGAAGTGATGAGAAATAGTTAGTATCTGTTACATTTTGAAGCTAGATTATACAGAATTTGCTAACATATTGGATGTAGGGATTTAGAGGAAGAGAAGCATCTATGATTACTCCAAACATTTTTGACTTACATAACTAGAAGGGTGGAGTTGCTGATAACTAAGTTGAGGAAGACTGGGAGAAGCAGGTTTGAGGAGGAAAAGGGGAGTTCAGTTCTTAACATTGAGTTTGAGATGCTTATTACACATCTAAGTGCATCTGTTGAATAGTCATTTGGATATAGGATCTGGACTTCAGGAGTTAGGAATTCAGCATTCATTTATGCACAGTTTAAAACTCTGAAAAAAAGAAAGACCCACTGCAAAAGCAAAAACAAAACAAAAAAACAAATAAAAAAACCCCTTGAGTTAATATGTGTCCCTTTAGGGAGGCTAAGACATTTTCTTGGCTACAAAGATCTGCACTTGTCCTTCATCTGCCACATTTGTGGTTAATAATTGCTAGGTAGTGATTTAAAGTTTCTCGTGATTTATTATACATACTAAATGGCATTATTTACATTCCTTGGCAGAACAAAGAGAGGCTCAAGTACGTTTCCTAACTTTATGAATGATGGCAGTGGAGCATTCTGCTTCCTGCCCCTTTCTGATGGATATAGCTGATGCTAACACATTAAAGGGACCACAGATAAAGCAGACAAGTTCTCAAGAATCTCATTGTCATCTCGCAGTGAAAACTGAATGTGGTAGAACAGGTCTCTGCAGTAACTTGTTTGCAATCACATATTACTTTGTCTTTTCCAATGAACTTACAACCCAGTGTAATTTATATAGAATATGTCAAGTTGGTCAAATATCACTTTTCTATTTTCACCTTAATTTGCAATTTGAAAACTGGAGAGAAGAGAACTTTTTTCTTCAGAATAAGAATCACAAGTTATTTGGAATATTTTCTATTCCACCCCACAAAGGAGGTTATTAGCCTTTAATTCTAAATCTTTCTTTGATTTCCTGGAGTGAATAATATTAATAGAACTTAAAAATCTTAGCATTGCATGTAATTTTTACTAAGACACCTGAATTATCAAGGTCATTGAGACACAGGGCTTTGCTGAAGCAATATGTCATTTCAGTTCACTCCAAGCAGAGGAAGTTGTGTTTGGTTCTAGTAGAGGATATGAGTGTTATTCCAACTGTAATGAATGACTGGAAGATCATATGTGTCACTGGGGAATACCGTGAGCATTTAAGACAGCAAAGCAGCAGAAAATAGGATGTTTTCTGATCTCTACTCACTCATAATTTAGCTCTTTCTATGGCTAGATTCACATCTTTCCCCTCTGGGAGGCCTTCTGTCCTTTCTTTAGGTTTTTAATCTCAAAGACTGCGGCTCCCTGAGCTGAGAAAGTTAAGGTTTGGAGCAGGGTTATCCTTGGCAAGGAGCAGCACCAGGCAGGGAAATTATACATGGACAGACTTCCACACACAACACAACAAAAGCTTTGCCATGTCTGTGGGCCTCTCCCTAAGCAGAGAAGTCAGTGTTGAGGGACACCTTCAGGAAGGTGGTAGAGCTGACCTAAGCAGGATATATACAGTGTGTTTTAACAGATATGAAACTAGGGAATTACCTTAGTGAGACCCTACATAGTAGTAGGAATAGTTCAGTATTTGGACGAGCCATGACTCAATTGTGGAAGCCATGAATGCATTTCCGTATGGCCTTACTGTGGCAGGGAGTTATCAGGCCTTTGGGACAGACAATTATTTACCTGAAGATGATAGCACAGTTGTGTTTTGTTTTTACAAAATGCTTTATTGAGGTGTAATTCACATTCCATAAAATTAACTCATCTAAAGTGAAAAGTCAGTGGTTTGTAGTATTCACAGAGTTATGAAAGAATTACCACAATCTAATTTTAGGACATTTTCTCACCTCAAAAAGAAATCCCATACCCATTAGCAGCCTCTCACCATCCACTTCAGCCCTAAGAAACACCAATATATTTTCTGTCTCTACAGACATTGCATCTATTGGCCCTTTCATATAAATGGAATCATACAATCTGTGGCCCTGGAGTCATTCTGAACCTATTCCAGTCCTGGGAGCTGCCTGATTTGCAAATTGTTCTTTGCTCAATTACACTGCTAAATTTAATTTGTCTAAGATTTTTCTTTTAACAGGTTGTATCAGAAGTGGGATTCAAAGTAGAGGTTCCAGTGACTGCCAGGAGCTTCAAGTGACCAAATGAGCTAACTTCTGGACCCATTGCATCCATTGCTCTCACACAACCACTGAAGATTGTGGGTAAGTTTTCTCTCTAATTCCAAATCTCCATGGATGTGTGTTTTAAGCTATCTCACTTTGAGCAAATTTTTGACCTGGACTGAGTTTGCAAGTTGTGACAGAAACTCAACTAGGTCCATGATCAAATTAGATCCGATAACTAACTAGATTGAATCCAGTTAGAAGCTTCAGATGTCTGGGTCAGACAGAAATTGTCATTAAATGACAATTACTGCAGGAGGGACAGACTTCAGCTTTCAGAAATTCACAGGGAATTTATGTTCTTTTTTTTTTTTGTACACTGAAGTAGGAAACAGTTATTGGCAAAGTTATTAGAACCAAAGCCAAGATTCTGTGAAAATGGGATTCTTAATTTCTGAAGAACTGAGTACTCCACCTTTCTGGCTGCACTTACCTTTTACATGGACTGTATAAATATTAGACCCCCAAAACAACAAATGCTTACAAAAATGACAAAATCATACCAAAGATAATTTAAAATTATGGTAAACATTCTAAGTGAACAACACTACATTTTAAGAAATGCATTTAAAAATGAAGCCTCCCGAATTAGGCTTACTCAGGGATGTCTATTGATATGCAGAAGCTTCTAAGAAGATTTCAAAATTTCTCTTGCCTCTTTTAGAAGAGACTTTACAAAAAAAGCAAATAAAAAGCTTAAATGGTTCATTGATAGGGAAAGTTGTGTCTGATAACCTTTTGGTTTAGTTATGTTACTGGAAAGTGGTCCTGATTCGGACCTCAGAGAGAGTTCTTGGATCTCAAATAAGAAAGAATTCAGAGTGAGTCCACAGTGCAAAGTGAAAGCAAGTTTATTAAGAAAGTAAAGGAATAAAGAATGGCTGGCTACTCCATGGGCAGAGCAGCAGCATGGGCTGCTGGTTGCCTATTTTTATGATTTTTTTAAAATTATGTGTGATATGGTTTGGCTGTGTCCCCACCCAAATCTCATCTTGAATTCTCGTGTGTTGTGGAAGGGACCTGGTGGGAGGAGATTGAATCATGCGAGCAGGTCTTTTCCATGGTGTTCTTGTGATGGTGGGTGAGTCTCACGAGATCTGATGGTTTTGTAAGAAGGGGTTTCTCTGCACAAGCTCTCTGTTTGCCTGCTGCCATCTGTAAGATGTGACTTGCTCCTCCTTGCCTTCCACCATGATTGTGAGGCTTCCCCAGCCATGTGGAACTATAAGTCCCTTAAACCTCCTTCTTTTGTAAATTGCCTAGTCTCGGGTATGTCTTTATCAGCAGCATGGAAATGTGCTAAACAAGGGGTAGATTATTCATGAGTTTTCCAGGAAAGGGATGGGCAATTCCTGGAGCTGTGGGTTCCTCCCTTTTTTTAGACCATATAGGGTAACTTTCTGACATTGCCATGACATTTGTAAACCGTTGTGGTGCTGGTGGGAGTGTAGCAGTGAGGACAACCAGAGATCACTCTCATTGCCATCTTGGTTTTGGTAGGTTTTAGCCAGCTTCTTTACTGCAACCTGTTTTATCAACAAGGTCTTTATGACCTGTATCTTGTGTCAACCTCCTCCTATCTCATCTTGTGACTAAGAATGACTCAACCTCTTGGGAATGCAGCCTAGTAGTTCTCAGCTTCATTTTACCCAGCCCCCATTCAAGATGGTGTAGCTCTCGTTCAGATGTCTCTGACAAGTTACTCTTACTCCCTGAAGGTGAAACGAGAACTGCATAAAATATAAAAAGGTGGTCCATCAGGTAAAGTAGGCTTACTTCTTTTTCTGAGATATCCATGCTTTAGTCCAGGCATAGAGAATGCTTTTTTTTTGTTCTAGTCTTTAATGTGCTCTACCTTGAACTCAGTAAGACCACCTATTAAACTAATTCGATTTCCGAAATACTTTTGTGTCAGTTAGCTGGCTATTTTGAAACCCTCTTGTAAAATAAATTTACAACAATATAGGAAATCTCCATTTGTAAGGGTATCTCCTTCATTCACTGGGAAGAGAGACTGAGTCATTAGAAACTCTCACAATGGAAAAGACATTGGTTTAAATTTATATAATAAACTTTACTCTGTTTAAGGTGCTTTTCCAGTGTCTTCGCTGGTCCTGTGCCTTACACCCTCCTTCTTTGCTTTGGGCAAATTTAGGCCACAAGTAGAAAGCTGTTGGGGGAAAGATGAATGGGGCCTTAAAAAAAGAATGGGTGATGGTTTGTGAAAAAGTCCATCTGGGTGTGATGAAGTCTCCTCTCCAGCAGTAAAAGTTGATCTTTCCTGGTTGCTGGAACTCCCAAGGGAGAAGATGATTGACAACTGAGCTCCTGTGGAAAATGTCTTTAGGAAAATGTTCTTGAGTTCCTGTCTTTAGGCTGGTCACAGAGGCTCGTGCCTGTAATCCTAGCACTTTGGGAGGCCAAGGCAGGTGGATTGCCTGAGCTCAGGAGTTCAAGACCACCCCGGGCAGCATGGTGAAATCCCGTCTCTATGAAAAATACAAAAATTAGCCAGGCGTGGTAGCAGGTGCGTATAATCTCAGCTACTCGGGAGGCTTGAACCCTGGAGACAGAGGTTGCAGTGAGCTGAGATTGTGCCACTGCACTCCAGCCTGAGTGACAGAGTGAGACTCTGTCTCCAAAAACAAAACAAAACAAAAAAACAGAAATTCTGTCTTTAGACAGATAAGAAGAATTCATAAAACCTCACTGATTACATATTGGTAACAATAATATACTAAAGCAACATATTTTCAAGTGATATTTTCTGAACTCTTTCAATGTCTGCTTTGTTCAATGAGAAATTCAAGCATAATTGTTAAGAATGAGTAAACTAGGTTAACATAAACAGCACAAAAATATGTAAATAAACGTCATAGTTTCAAAAATTTTTTCCAGCAATTTAAAACCTTAAAGTTCAAGGAGAACTACAAACCACTGCTCAATGAAATAAAAGAGGATACAAACAAATGGAAGAACATTCCATGCTCATGGATAAGAAGAATCAATATTGTGAAAATGGCCATACTGCCCAAGGTAATTTATAGATTCAATGTCATCCCCATCAAGCTACCAACGACTTTCTTCACAGAATTGGAAAGAACTACTTTAAAGTTCATATGGAACCAAAAAAGACCCCGCATCGCCAAGTCGATCCTAAGCCGAAAGAACAAAGCTGGAGGCATCACACTACCTGACTTCAAACTATACTACAAGGCTACAGTAACCAAAACAGCATGGTACTGTTACCGAAACAGAGATACAGACCAATGGAACAGAACGGAGCCCTCAGATGTAATACCACACATCTACAACTATCTGATCTTTGACAAACCTGACAAAAACAAGAAATGGGGAAAGAATTCCCTATTTAACATATGGTGCTGGGAAAACTGGCTAGCCATATGTAGAAAGCTGACACTGGATCCCTTCCTTACACCTTATACAAAAATCAATTCAAGATGGATTAAAGACTTAAATGTTAGACCTAAAACCATAAAAACCCTAGAAGAAAACCTAGGCAATACCATTCAGTACATAGGCATGGGCAAGGACTTCGTGTCTAAAACACCAAAAGCAATGGCAACAAAAGCCAAAATGGACAAATGGGATCTAATGAAACTAAAGAGCTTCTGCACAACAAAAGAAACTACCATCAGAGTGAACAGGCAACCTACAGAATGGGAGAAAAGTTTTGCAATCTACTCATCTGACAAAGGGCTAATATCCAGAATCTACAAAGAACTCAAACAAATTTACAAGAAAAAAACCAAACAACCCCATCAACAAATGGGCAAAGAATATGAACAGACACTTCTCAAAAGAAGACATTTATGCAGCCAAAAAACACATGAAAAAATGCTCATCCTCACTGACCATCAGAGAAATGCAAATCCAAACCACAATGAGATACCATCTCACACCAGTTAGAATGGCGATCATTTAAAAAGTCAGGAAACAACAGGTGCTGGAGAGGATATGGAGAAAGAGGAACACTTTTACACTGTTGGTGGGACTGTAAACTAGTTCAACCATTGTGGAAGACAGTGTGGCGATTCCTCAGGGATCTAGAACTAGAAATACCATTTGACCCAGCCATCCCATTACTGGGTATATACCCAAAGGACTATAAATCATGCTGCTATAAAGACACATGCACATGTATGTTTATAGCCGCACTATTCACAATAGCAAAGACTTGGAACCAACCCAAATGTCCAACAATGATAGACTGGATTAAGAAAATGTGGCACATATACACCATGGAATACTATGCAGCCATAAAAAATGATGAGTTCATGTCCTTTGTAGGGACATGGATGAAGCTGGAAACCATCATTCTCAGCAAACTATTGCAAGGACAAAAAACCAAACACTGCATGTTCTCACTCATAGGTGGGAACTGAACAATGAGAACACCTGGACACAGGAAGGGGAACATCACACAGCGGGGCCTGTTGTGGAGGTGGGGGTTGGGGGGAGGGATAGCATTTGGAGATATACCTAATGTTAAATGACGAGTTACTGGGTGCAGCACACCAACATGACACATGTATACATATGTAACTAACCTGCACGTTGTGCACATGTACGCTAGAACTTAAAGTATAATAAAAATATATATAAATAAAATAAAATAAAACCTTAAAGTTAAGTCCTCATAATAAATCTGAGTCATTTCTAAATTAAAATATGGAAACATTTATTATTAATCATAAGTTTAAGTTTATGTACTTCAATATCTTGTTTTTGTATAATACAGAGAAACTAAATATATTTGGATCTGTTAATAAATATAAAAAATTGAGGAAATAGAGATTTCTAAAAACTATAAAATGATTTTCATCTATAACTACTAAAATGAAATAAGATAATTCAAAACTACTTACAACCTAGGTTTTTCACTGGAAATTGAAGTTACTAAGAGCTAAAATTTTAATTAATGTAGGTAATTAAAACTACTAATAATAAGTGAAACAATTCTGTATGCAAAGCGTACAAAAAACACCATATTTTTTGGTGAGAATGGTAATAATAAGGAAAGCATGAAAATGTAATTTTTGTTTAAAAAAAGTGATTTTTATCTAGTTTAGAGGTTATTTAAAGGTTGTTTCAAAACGGAGGAACAAAGAAAGAAATGATATAGACAAAATTGAATGGATACAAAAACTTTTTTAAAAAAGAAAGAAAAAGAGTAAAAGAAAATCTTGTATGGTTAAACTAAGATTGAATGAATTAATTAGGGTTAATATCAAGAGTACACTAATACAAAACTAAAATTTGGTTTCCTCTTTTAAACAATATTTTTGTGTATTATTAATAAGAAAGAGTAACTTTTTTTTTACCCTTCGAGTAAACAAAAAAATAGTAATAATAATAATAATAACAATAGGGGGCAGAGAGGAGATAGGAACAGATTTTTTGTGTCTCATGCTGTCTTTATTAGGTCTTTTGATTATTTAGAAAACGGAGTCTCCTCTCTCAAAGAGTAATGGTTTTTGATTTTTAAAATGTTTTAATTATCACCTTGGCAAAATGAATAACTATTATTTTACAGTGACTTGTAATCCTATTTTGATCAAGTGTTTTGAACTTTTGACATATTTGATAGGCTTTCTAAAATCAAATTTCAAAATGAAAATTAATTCTTTTTGACTTAAAACTGACTTTGGGATGTTCCAGAGGGCCCTTGAAGCATATGAAAGAGAAAATAAATAGACATATTTGATACGTTAAATTATCTGAGAAGCATTGTCAGATAAGAAATGATGCCTAATCTTCTGAGTTATATTTTTCTAGATATGTTATTAATGTGTTCCAATATTATATTGAATTTCTAAAACTCTGATATGTCTTTGTATGTGCTATCAGTTATAATTATGGTTATTATGTTAAATTATTGTAGGCCACAGAAATAGTCAAATTTTCTTATGAATTGTGTCATTAACCATGACCATTTTAAGCCTTTATTGACCACAGTTAAATGCTTAATTCTGATGCTTTTTCTGAAACCTCTTTGTAAGCAAGTATAATCCTAATGTGTTGTATCTTCAAGGAGGTTCATGGAAAGAATGGAAAGGACATTAACAAGTACAGGTTTCTGGGAATTCTTACCCAGTCAATGCTATTGAAATGGGTAAGAATTCCCAGAACTCCAGTGAAGAGACTAGCTTATAAAACTGTTAACCCAAGAAGGACAATAATTAATTGAATACTGAGAAAATACTTTGGTAGATTTCCTTTTTTTTTTTTTTTATTATACTTTAAGTTTTAGGGTACATGTGCACATTGTGCAGGTTAGTTACATATGTATACATGTGTCATGCTGGTGCGCTGCACCCACTAACTCGTCATCTAGCATTAGGTATATGTCCCAATGCTATCCCTCCCCCCTCCCCCCACCCCACCACAGTCCCCAGAATGTGATATTCCCCTTCCTGTGTCCATGTGATCTCATTGTTCAATTCCCACCTATGAGTGAGAATATGCGGTGTTTGGTTTTTTGTTCTTGCGATAGTTTACGGAGAATGATGATTTCCAATCTCATCCATGTCCCTACAAAGGACATGAACTCATCATTTTTTATGGCTGCATAGTATTCCATGGTGTATATGTGCCACATTTTCTTAATCCAGTCTATCATTGTTGGACATTTGGGTTGGTTCCAAGTCTTTGCTATTGTGAATAGTGCCGCAATAAACATACGTGTGCATGTGTCTTTATAGCAGCGTGATTTATAGTCCTTTGGGTATATACCCAGTAATGGGATGGCTGGGTCAAATGGTATTTCTAGTTCTAGATCCCTGAGGAATCACCACACTGACTTCCACAATGATTGAACTAGTTTACAGTCCCACCAACACTGTAAAAGTGTTCCTATTTCTCCACATCCTCTCCAGCACCTGTTGTTTCCTGACTTTTTAATGATCGCCATTCTAACTGGTGTGAGATGGTATCTCATTGTGGTTTGGATTTGCATTTCTCTGATGGCCAGTGATGATGAGCATTTTTTCATGTGTTTTTTGGCTGCATAAATGTTTTCTTTTGAGAAGTGTCTGTTCATGTCCTTTGCCCACTTTTTGATGGGGTTGTTTGTTTTTTTCTTGTAAATTTGTTTGAGTTCATTGTAGATTCTGGATATTAGCCCTTTGTCAGATGAGTAGGTTGCGAAAATTTTCTCCCATTTTGTAGGTTGCCTGTTCACTCTGATGGTAGTTTCTTTTGCTGTGCAGAAGCTCTTTAGTTTCATTAGATCCCATTTGTCCATTTTGGCTTTTGTTGCCATTTCTTTTGGTGTTTTGGACATGAAGTCCTTGCCCATGCCTATGTCCTGAATGGTAATGCCTAGGTTTTCTTCCAGAGTTTTTATGGTTTTACGTCTAACATTTAAGTCTTTAATCCATCTTGAATTGATTTTTGTATAAGGTGTAAGGAAGGGATCCAGTTTCAGCTTTCTCCATATGGCTAGCCAGTTTTCCCAGCACCATTTATTAAATAGGGAATCCTTTCCCCATTTCTTGTTTTTCTCAGGTTTGTCAAAGATCAGATAGTTGTAGATATGCGGCGTTATTTCTGAGGGCTCTGTTCTGTTCCATTGATCTATATCTCTGTTTTGGTACCAGTACCATGCTGTTTTGGTTACTGTAGCCTTGTAGTATAGTTTGAAGTCAGGTAGTGTGATGCCTCCAGCTTTGTTCTTTTGGCTTAGGATTGACTTGGCGATGCGGGCTGTTTCTTGGTTCCATATGAACTTTAAAGTATTTTTTTCCAATTCTGTGAAGAAAGGCATTGGTAGCTTGATGGGGATGACATTGAATCTGTATATTACCTTGGGCAGTAGGGCCATTTTCACGATATTGATTCTTCCTACCCATGAGCATGGAATGTTCTTCCATTTATTTGTATCCTCTTTTATTTCCTTGAGCAGTGGTTTGTAGTTCTCCTTGAAGAAGTCCTTCACATCCCTTGTAAGTTGGATTCCTAGCTATTTTATTCTCTTTGAAGCAATTGTGAATGGGAGTTCACTCATGATTTGGCTCTCTGTTTGTCTGTTGTTGGTGTATAAGAATGCTTGTGATTTTTGTACATTGATTTTGTATCCTGAGACTTTGCTGAAGTTGCTTATCAGCTTAAGGAGATTTGGGGCTGAGACAATGGGGTTTTCCAGATATACAATCATGTCATCTGCAAACAGGGACAATTTGACTTCCTCTTTTCCTAATTGAATACCCTTTATTTCCTTCTCCTGCCTAATTGCCCTGGCCAGAACTTCCAACACTATGTTGAATAGGAGTGGTGAGAGAGGGCATCCCTGTCTTGTGCCAGTTTTCAAAGGGAATGCTTCCAGTTTTTGCCCATTCAGTATGATATTGGCTGTGGGTTTGTCATAGATAGCTCTTATTATTTTGAAATAGGTCCCATCAATACCTAATTTATTGAGAGTTTTTAGCATGAAGGGTTGTTGAATTTTGTCAAAGGCTTTTTCTGCATCTATTGAGATAATCATGTGGTTTTTGTCTTTGGCTCTGTTTATATGCTGGATTACATTTATTGATTTGCGTATATTGAACCAGCCTTGCATCCCAGGGATGAAGCCCACTCGATCATGGTGGATAAGCTTTTTGATGTGCTGCTGGATTCGTTTTGCCAGAATTTTATGAGGATTTTTGCATCAATGTTCATCAAGGATATTGTTCTAAAATTCTCTTTTTTGGTTGTGTCTCTGCCAGGCTTTGGTATCAGAATGATGCTGGCCTCATAAAATGAGTTAGGGAGGATTCCCTCTTTTTCTATTGATTGGAATAGTTTCAGAAGGAATGGTACCAGTTCCTCCTTATACCTCTGGTAGAATTCGGCTGTGAATCCATCTGGTCCTGGACTCTTTTTGGTTGGTAAACTATTGATTATTGCCACAATTTCAGGTCCTGTTATTGGTCTATTCAGAGATTCAACTTCTTCCTGGTTTAGTCTTGGGAGAGTGTATGTGTCAAGGAATTTATCCATTTCTTCTAGATTTTCTAGTTTATTTGTGTAGGGGTGTTTGTAGTATTCTCTGATGGTAGTTTGTATTTCTGTGGGATCGGTGGTGATATCCCCTTTATCATTTTTTATTGTGTCTATTTGATTCATCTCTCTTTCTTTCTTTATTAGTCTTCCTAGCAGTCTATCAATTTTGTTGATCCTTTCAAAAAACCAGCTCCTGGATTCATTAATTTTTTGAAGGGTTTTTTGTGTCTCTATTTCCTTCAGTTCTGCTCTGATTTTAGTTATTTCTTGCCTTCTGCTAGCTTTTGAATGTGTTTGCTCTTGCTTTTCTAGTTCTTTTAATTGTGATGTTAGGGTGTCAATTTTGGATCTTTCCTGCTTTCTCTTGTGGGCATTTAGTGCTATAAATTTCCCTCTACACACTGCTTTGAATGCATCCCAGAGATTCTGGTATGTTGTGTGTTTGTTCTCGTTGGTTTCAAAGAACATCTTTATTTCTGCCTTCGTTTCGTTATTTATCCAGTAGTCATTCAGGAGCAGGTTGTTCAGTTTCCATGTAGTTGAGCGGTTTTGAGTGAGATTCTTAATCCTGAGTTCTAGTTTGATTGCACTGTGGTCTGAGAGATAGTTTGTTATAATGTCTGTTCTTTTACATTTGCTGAGGAGAGCTTTACTTCCAAGTATGTGGTCGATTTTGGAATAGGTGTGGTGTGGTGTTGAAAAAAATGTATATTCTGTTGATTTGGGGTGGAGAGTTCTGTAGATGTTTATTAGGTCTGCTTGGTGCAGAGCTGAGTTCAATTCCTGGGTATCCTTGTTGACTTTCTGTCTCGTTGATCTGTCTAATATTGACAGTGGGGTGTTAAAGTCCCCCATTATTAATGTGTGGGAGTCTAAGTCTCTTTGTAGGTCACTCAGGACTTGCTTTATGAATCTGGGTGCTCCTGTATTGGGTGCATATATATTTAGGATAGTTAGCTCTTCTTGTTGAATTGATCCCTTTACCATTATGTAATGGCCTTCTTTGTCTCTTTTGATCTTTGTTGGTTTAAAGTCTGTTTTATCAGAGACTAGGATTGCAACCCCTGCCTTTTTTTGTTTTCCATTTGCTTGGTAGATCTTCCTCCATCCCTTTATTTTGAGCCTATGTGTGTCTCTGCACGTGAGATGGGTTTCCTGAATATGGCACACTGATGGGTCTTGACTCTTTATCCAATTTGCCAGTCTGTGTCTTTTAATTGGAGCATTTAGTCCATTTACATTTAAAGTTAATATTGTTATGTGTGAATTTGATCCTGTCATTATGATGTTAGCTGGTGATTTTGCTCGTTAGTTGATGCAGTTTCTTCCTAGTCTCGATGGTCTTTATATTTTGGCATGATTTTGCAGCGGCTGGTACCGGTTGTTCCTTTCCATGTTTAGTGCTTCCTTCAGGAGCTCTTTTAGGGCAGGCCTGGTGGTGACAAAATCTCTCAGCATTTGCTTGTCTGTAAAGTATTTTATTTCTCCTTCACTTATGAAGCTTAGTTTGGCTGGATATGAAATTCTGGGTTTAAAATTCTTTTCTTTAAGAATGTTGAATATTGGCCCCCACTCTCTTCTGGCTTGTAGGGTTTCTGCCGAGAGATCCGCTGTTAGTCTGATGGGCTTCCCTTTGAGGGTAACCCGACCTTTCTCTCTGGCTGCCCTTAACATTTTTTCCTTTATTTCAACTTTGGTGAATCTGACAATTATGTGTCTTAGAGTTGCTCTTCTCGAGGAGTATCTCTGTGGCGTTCTCTGTATTTCCTGAATCTGAATGTTGGCCTGCCTTGCTAGATTGGGGAAGTTCTCCTGGATAATATCCTGCAGAGTGTTTTCCAACTTGGTTCCATTCTCCCCATCACTTTCAGGTACACCAATCAGACGTAGATTTGGTCTTTTCACATAGTCCCATATTTCTTGGAGGCTTTGCTCATTTCTTTTTATTCTTTTTTCTCTAAACTTCCCTTCTCGCTTCATTTCATTTATTTCATCTTCCATTGCTGATACCCTTCCTTCCAGTTGATCACATTGGCTCCTGAGGCTTCTGTGTTCTTCACGTAGTTCTCGAGCCTTGGTTTTCATCTCCATCAGCTCCTTTAAGCACTTCTCTGTATTGGTTATTCTAGTTATACATTCTTGTAAATTTTTTTCAAAGTTTTCAACTTCCTTGCCTTTGGTTTGAATGTCCTCCCGTAGCTCAGAGTAATTTGATCGTCTGAAGCCTTCTTCTCTCAGCTCGTCAAAGTCATTCTCCATCCAGCTTTGTTCCATTGGTGGTGAGGAACTGCGTTCCTTTGGAGGAGGAGAGGCACTCTGCGTTTTAGAGTTTCCAGTTTTTCTGTTCTGTTTTTTCCCCATCTTTGTGGTTTTATCTATTTTTGGCCTTTGATGATGGTGATGTACAGATGGGTTTTTGGTGTGGATGTCCTTTCTGTTTGTTAGTTTTCCTTCTAACATACAGGACCCTCAGCTGCAGGTCTGTTGGAATACCCTGCCGTGTGAGGTGTCAGTGTGTCCCTGCTGGGGGTGCCTCCCAGTTAGGCTGCTCAGGGGTCAGGGGTCAGGGACCCACTTGAGGAGGCAGTCTGCTGGTTCTCAGATCTCCAGCTGCGTGCTGGGAGAACCACTGCTCTCTTCAAAGCTGTCAGACAGGGACATTTAAGTCTGCAGAGGTTACTGCTGTCTTTTTGTTTGTCTGTGCCCTGCCCCGAGAGGTGGAGCCTACAGAGGCAAGCAGGCCTCCTTGAGCTGTGGTGGGCTCCACCTAGTTCGAGCTTCCTGGCTGCTTTGTTTACCTAAGCAAGCCTGGGCAATGGCGGGCGCCCCTCCCCCAGCCTGGCTGCCGCCTTGCAGTTTGATCTCAGACTGCTGTGCTAGCATCAGCGAGACTCCGTGGGCGTAGGACCCTCTGAGCCAGGTGCGGGATATAATCTCGTGGTGTGCAGTTTTTTAAGCAGGTCCGAAAAGCGCAATATTTCGGTGGGAGTGACCAGATTTTCCACGTGCGTCCATCACCCCTTTCTTTGACTCGGAAAGGGAACTCCCTGACCCCTTGCGCTTCCCAAGTGAGGCAATGCCTCGCCCTGCTTGGGCTCGCGCACGGTGCGTGCACCCACTGACCCACGCCCACTGTCTGGCACTCCCTAGTGAGATGAACCCGGTACCTCAGATGAAAATGCAGAAATCACCCGTCTTCTGCGTTGCTCACGCTGGGAGCTGTAGACAGGAGCTGTTCCTATTTGGCCATCTTCGTGTTTGTCCGGTAGATTTTCATGCTACATCATCTAGAACTGAATTTGTTAAGATATGCAATTTGAATGAACTCCATGATCCAAGTCAGATTACCTATAATAACTCATTTAATAAACAGTGCTATGCACCTGAATTGGAGAAATAAAATTTGTACTTAAGAGGATATAAGTCCAATGTTAAATGTAGACTCATGGAGAGCCTGGATGAACACCTGGTCCTTGCTGACTCTTTAAAGCTTCCATTATTAAAAGCTCTGCACTCTATGCCTCATCATGGAAGAGATAAAATGGCCCAAATTATGAAAAAAATATTGGTGTATTGACTGCCCTAAAATTTCTAAAATGATTTATGACCAATGTTTGGTTTCTCAAACCCACAGTCCTGGGAAGACAGTCAAACTTCAGGTACATTTCTGCTACCCGATGAGCCATTTGAACATTTATAAGAGGATTTCATTCAATTGCTATTTTCAGTGCTCATTTTCTGGTTGTATAGAAGCTTTCCTCTACAGGAAGGCTGATGTTACAACAGTAGCTAGAAGATTATTAGAATATTTGTTTTCTTTACGGGGCATTCTTGGAGAAATCTCCTGTGATAGAGCTACTCACTTCACCGGGCAAGTTGTAAAACATTTAAATATATTACAAATACAATAGCATTTGTCAAAGCTAAGTGAATCTACTGGATTGCCTTTGTCAAGGTGTTGCGAATTAGTGACGATCAGATCCATTTCCAGTGGAAAATGTATTAAAATCAAGCTGACTTTTTATGAAATAGTGACTGGAACGTCTATGACCCTAAAAATAGCACATCGTATATCTCCTGCTCCTAAACTCTGACATGACTAAATGCTGCAAGACTTCAGTGTTTTTTATCCAAGTGTATTTTCATGGGTAGAGGAAGTTTTCATAATCCACTGACTGCAGACAATCAAACCCTTTTCAATCTAGAATCCAGAGAGTCTGTATCTTCTGGAAATGACATCAGAGAAAGACTGCCCTTGTGACCCACATTGCAGCAAAACTTTGGGACCTTAAACTTGGGTCCACATTTCATAACTCAAACAGACCCCTCAAGACTCTTGGAACTATATACCCATTGGAGACCTTAACATAAACATAACAAGGTAAGTTTCTCCCAGGATGCAGATGGCATCCTAGATGTGGACAGCTTTTCCAAGATCACAAATCAAGACTTCCCTGTCATCATGAAACTCTTACTTTTCTTAGTTGTGTTGTGTTTTGTTTTGTTTTGTTTTACTTATGCCTACCTCTTTCACTTGGCAGAATAATGCTGGAAGTAAAATTTCACAATCAATAGCTTTTGTGGGCAACTTGATGGGGTATTGAATTTGCCTTGCTAAACTCAGATCTTTACATAACCTAAAGGATCCTTTGGTTAACCCATTGGGTAACTTTGGCAACATCCCAACATAACTTGTTCAAATTGTACTAGTGGTAAGATTTCTAGTCCACTTGTTCTCACTTTAACTCAATAATGAAATGCAAGAACCAGAACCAATGAGCATATCACAAGATAGACTTGCACCAAAAGCCTAAATGGAGTTTATTACAAATTGACTTATGTGCCAGGGACTTTTATGCTTTTTTAGCCTGTAATAACTCCACCCCAGACTCTGTTGAGAAACAGCTAACTTCACCATTGCAGGTAATGTATCACTGAAAATAAAACCAGAAAAGGGGCTTTGTGTGCACCCATGGGGTATACTTTTATTTGTGGTGCATTTTACAGTGAATCTTATACATGGGCAAACATATGTCTTGATATATGGAAAACAAAGGGACAAAGTGGGCCAGGAATTTTATTTTTTATTTTCATTTTTTGAGATGTGGTCTTGTTCTGTCACCCAGGCTGGGGTGCAGGGCATGATCATGGTTCACCACAGCCTTCACCTCCCAGATTCAAGCAATCTTCTTGCATCAGCCTCCCAATTAGCTGGGACTACAGGTGTGCACCACCATGCCTGAATTTTTAAATATTTTTCTGTAGAGACGGTGTCTCCCTATGTTGCTCAGGCTGATCTCAAACTCCTCGACTTAAGTGATCCTCCTGCCTTGCCTCCCAAAGTGCTGAGATTACAGGCATGAGCCACCATGCCTGGCCTGGGCTTGGAATTTTAATGATACATTTCTTGTTCCTTAATCATTCAGAAACAAAACATTTGTTTGCTCTTGTTAGCCTACATCTTAACTTAAAGAGAATATTACCGGAAGGCTTATACCCTTCTGAATGGGCATACTTTGTTAAGTCCCTTTAATCTATGGCTTGGAGTAAATATAAATGAGGCAAGGATTAAAAATTTATCCCACATATAGACTCTGTAGCAGATTCTACAGCAAAGACTATAATTGCACAACAGACTTTTAAAATTTATCTTGCTAACATTGTGCTAGATAATAGAATTGCTCTAGATTACCTACTGGCTAAACAGAAAGGAATCTGTACAGTTGCTGACACTTCTTTTTGCACACAGGGATGAATACATTAGATGTTATAGACTCAGTCACAGGGAATTAACAAACAGGCTGCTTGGTTAAAACAAGTAGACTCTTCATCTGGCCCATTCTTTGATTTATTTGATTTTAGTTGGTTTGGTTCATGGAGACCCTGGCTAAGGAACATACTCCCAACTCTTGGTGCTATCCTTCTGATAGTCTTAATAGTAGTCTCATTGGTCTGCTGTATTCTCTTAAGTTTTAAATATATGCATGTAACCATATGTAGATCATCCAATGGTCTGTCAGACTGGAACAATTAAAACTCAAAAAATTTATGATCATGAGGACACCATCACCTATTAATGATGTGCTGAGACAGAAAACCCAAAATGATGGTAACTGAGAGTAATGGTGATGCCCTAAGTTTTGGTCACACTTTCACCTTAGTGAGAAACTGACCAAAAGGGGCAAATTATTAAACAAAATCATAGCAGGCCATTATTTTGGATTGAGCTCCTGCACTAAGTCCCAAGAGACCAGACTAAACCAAAATGAAGTCACTCATGCTAAGTGCCATATAATTAAACTGGAAATTTAAGGAAAGCGATAGATCCCAAAACAGATCATTTTTTTTCTCTTGAAAATGGGATATTCCAGTACAATAAGAAAGTAGCCTCTGCTCCAACCCTTACAAAAAAGTAAGCCGAAGTAACTTTATGTCAACCAACTTGTATTTCTATTGTTCTGTTTCGTTGTTCCCACCTTACAAAACCTACTGTTCTGCTATTTCCTAGTAGAATTTGAGACCAAATAAGTCCATCTACAATGTTGATAGAGAGTGATGTCAATGCTTAAAATTTTGATCAAACTCTTAAAATTGAGAGATTGACCAAAAGGGGGAATTGTTAAATTAAGTTTGGCCAAAATCTGCTCATGCATATTTTAGATTTTGCCTGAAGGTTTCTCTGTGCATCGTGGACTCTAACCTAACTTGATGTATAAACCAACTGTAACCTATTCTTGTAACAAGTAGCCAAGTCCCAGCCAATCACAGCAGCTGAACTTCAGTCATCCATAGGCAGCTAACTGTTCAAACCAGGTTCAAATAAGGCAAACATTCAGACCATTTGGCAGCCCTGGAATCACTCTGAACCTATTCTGGTTCTGAGGGCTACCCAATTTGCCAATCATCCTTTTCCCAATTAAACTCTGTTAAATTTAATTTTTCTGAAGGTTTTCTTTTAACAAAACAGCCAAAACCTAGGCCCCTAGGATCAAGTAACATTTTATCACTAAACATTCTTTTTAATTATGATGTGGAACAAAAGCCCTCACCAGAAGCCAAGGTCATCCCCGTGAACTTTCCAGCCTGAAGAACCATGACCTAAATAAACCTTTTTTCTTTACAAATTGCACAGTCTCAGATTTTCTGTTACAGTGACGCTAAACAGACCAAGACACCATTCTTTCTATTCAGTTCCCACTGCCAGCCTCCAAGGTTACTTTACCTCAAAATTTTATTCAGTGGCCTTCCTGACTCCAGTTTATTTTCAGTCACCTTTCCAATGGAGCCTTCTGTCCACTACCAGTTCACTTCCTTAATATTTTTGTTATGTCACTACCCATTTGAAGACAACATGTAACTATCCCTATTTCTTATCACATGAACAAACAAACACAAACAAAACCTGATATCACAAAGTTTACTCTACTCTGGGCCTGCCAAATAGTGGAACACTATTTCTCAAAATATTCTATTCCCTTTATCAGAACACTGTTCCACGGGTTTACTATGTTCATGTTCATTTATGCCTCTGTTCTTTACTCATCGCCATCACCTGGAGTTTCTACTGTATCTTTTTTACCATTCCACTTCATATCTTTCTTGTTTTTAGAAGCTCAGTTCTAATCCTATCTACCTCAGTAAATCTTACCTGATATATTAGTGTGTTCTTGCATTGATATAAAGTAATACCCAAGACTGGGTAATTTAGAAAGAAAAGAGGTTTACTTGGCTCACAGTTCTGCAGGCTGTACAGGAAGCACAGTGGCTTCTGCTGTTGGGGAGACCTCAGGAAGCTTTTACTTATGGCAGAAGGCAAAGGCGGAGCAGGAATCTTACATGGTGGGAGGAGGAGCAAGAGAGAGAGTTGAGGGGTGGTGAGGTGCTGCATACTTTTTAACAAGCAGATATCACAAGAACTCTATCACAAGAACAGCACCAAGGGGATGGTGCTAAACCATTCATGAAGGAACCGCTCCCATGATCCAATCACCTCCCACGAGGCCCCACCTTCAGCATTGGGGATTATAATTTGACATGAGATTTAGATGGGGACACAGATCCAAACCATATCACCTAACAATTCCAATCATCGTAATTTTCATTTTTCTGTTCAAATTAATTACTCTCTGTACTGTATAATGTATACTGTTATAAATGGTTCTCTACTCGTTTCTTATTTGCTAGTCATTTCTTTTCAATAAGGCTGTAATTTTTTTAAGGGCAAGAACCATGTTTTACTTATAATTCTGTACGTTACATAGAGCTCATCACAGGGTAGGCTGTGAATGAATATTCATTGCCTAGATGACTGGTTTATTAGTTTAATCAAGAGATAATGCAACCAACTTAGGTCAACATAAATTTAGCCAGGAAGCTAATTAGACAGAAGACTATACAGTAATAGATCACCATTTAACCTTTTTGACAGTCACTGGGTTTTAAAAATATTCCTCCTATTTTTAATACGCAAACCCAGCACACTTTAATTATTTTCTTTTTGGTGTGTTAATAGTGACTCTTTTGGTGAAGAGAATACAGATACTGTCAGCATCTGTGTGACACCTGAGTTGCAGATATTTTAAAATATTTGGATGCTTGGCATAATGTAGACATAAAAACTGAAAGACTGGCAGTATTTTAAATTATTCTACTTGAAGACGGCCATCATCCACTAAATAACACCTATTTTTGAATGCGCAAATCCACACAAATGTTTTATTAAGTTTACCACCAGATGTCAGTCATTCACTGCAATGGTAATAACTACCCTGAAGAACTCTTTATGAAAAATCTATGTATGTGGATATCTCCCTCATCTTTCCTTCCCTCACCGACTCTTCCACTCCTTCTTTCTATGACTGTCAGTCTGTTTATTAATCAATTGTCAATTGATTATCTATTTATTTATGTATTTATAATCCACATATCTATTCTAATCTATCTAAATAATGAAAAGTATATACTAGGTATTTTGAGAAAATAACATCATAAAACATCTAAGTATTTACATATACAATATGAAAGTGACACTAAAATATTTTATACACTGTGATCTGGAATTCAGGCTCTTTTCAGCCCAGTAACTTTGAGACCAATGCAATACTATGCAGCCTTTTTTCAGGACATACTTTCACTTCTCACTTAGAATCTTTGTTTTTTGAAACTTTTATTGGATTCTTATTACTCTGGAATTAAATTCTTACTGGAAGAGCATCAATGACATAATAAGAAAATTATACAATATTTGATTTTTAGATAGGTACTAGGGTGATTTAAAAAGCTAATTTACTACTAAAGAACTATGCAAAGAAAGTTCTCCACTACCAACTTCTACCTACAACTTTTGTTTAAAATTTTTTCTGTTTTCTTGAACATTAACATACACCTTCTGTGATTCCTCATTCTGAACTTTGTCAAATATCTGACTTTACATCCATCACTGAACTTAATGAAGTGAATTTATGCTTTATTTTCCCTTTAGATTGTGAGATACTTGAGGTCAGGGAGCTTAGCAGATATCCATCAATAAACAAATGTTATTTTCTAAACATGAACTGTGGCCGGTCTGTAGTGGATTGTCTGTTACCTACTCAGCAACCGTTTTCTTTTTTCCTACCCAAATTTTGTTTAAGTGGCTAGCACTTCTCCATGGGTAGAGCCATGGGCCATTCTTTGCTATGGATTAGCTCAGAAATGGCCACACAATGCATGTGACCGAAACTGTCTTAGAGGCTTCAAGGAAAAGTTTCCTCTCTTGAAATAGTGAGCTGCAAGGACTAATGGGTAAGTTATTGCATATCTGTTGTCATTTCTGAGAAAGAAAATACTAGTGTTCTTGTGTTTCTGAATCCTTTTGGGGATTGATACAGATTTGGGGTGCATAGGGGAGTCTCTCTCTTTAAATTTTTATAGATATCAACTAGAGACATTTTTATATCACATAGAAAGAACATTCTAGAGAATAAAGCCAACACTGAGGAAAACAGAGCTGTGGGCTGGAGATACAGATAAAGACATAGAGAGAGACAGACACACACACAAGCACACAAAGAGAGAGAGAGAGAGAGATTAAAATTAAATATAAAATTAAAAACTTCCCTTTGAAAGACAAGGCTGAGAGAATGAAAAGGTAGTCCACATACTAAGAAAACATATTTGCAAATCATATGTCTGATAAAGAGCTTTTATCCAGTATTTATATAGAACAATACTCCATTTCCTAGGAATTCAGACTAACTTGAGATTTTATTTCAAGTATAATTTGTTCTTTTCTTTGTTCTGTTCAGTAAAGAAAACACTTTTTTACTTTTACTAACAGCTCTCAGCATATTAACATGTATGAAAAAAACAAGTATGTAAAATGCAGTTACATTCCAATTCCTTCTCATGGTTTTGAAATATTTCTAGTTTTATCAGCCTGGCTTTCCAGCCCATCCACTACTGCTCCCCTAAACTAGCCTGAGTGTTATGGAATATAGCCCTGTTGTTAATCCCCTACTATAACAAGCATTTTCCGATAAACCTCCTCTGCTTACTCAAATACTATCTTTTTTTTTTTTTTTTTTTTTTTTTTTTTTTTTGAGACGGAGTCTCGCTCTGTCGCCCAGGCTGGAGTGCAGTGGCGGGATCTCGGCTCACTGCAAGCTCCGCCTCCCTGCAAGCTCCGCCTCCCGGGTTCACGCCATTCTCCTGCCTCAGCCTCCCAAGTAGCTGGGACTACAGGCGCCCGCCACTACGCCTGGCTAATTTTTTTTTTTTTTTGTATTTTTAGTAGAGACGGGGTTTCACCGTTTTAGCCGGGATGGTCTCGATCTCCTGACCTCGTGATCCGCCCGCCTCGGCCTCCCAAAGTGCTGGGATTACAGGCGTGAGCCACCGCGCCCGGCCTCAAATACTATCTTTTTTATGAAGCCTTTCTGCTCTTCAATAACAATTTGATAGCATTTTACTTGTTTTCTTCTTATGCCTTAAAATCTAATTAGTTATATGCTATTTTAGCTACCTTACTAGATTACAGACATTTAAGGGATCTGTGCTTTTTTCATCTTTGTATTTTGCAGATAAACTTAATTAATGCCTGTTGAATGAATCCTTCACCTTTCAATTTATTTATTTATTTTTTCATTTATTTATTTATTTATTTATTTATTTATTTATTATTATTATACTTTAAGTTTTAGGGTACATGTGCACAATGTGCAGGTTAGTTACATATGTATACATGTGCCATGCTGGTGTTGGGTTACCTGGGTACCATATTTTATCACAGATGTGAGAATTGTGGTTTTGTTTTTAAGGAGGGATCTCTTTCTTTCAAATGGAGGCCAAACAGGTCTCAGAACAAGACTCTAGAAATTTAGAACTCCAGAAGATTTCTAAGAATTCTATGACTTCTGGGAAATACAGTACAAGAGAAAATAAACTCTGAAAATTCAAAGTGCCAGAAACTAAATTAACCTAAAGAGGCATTGGGATTAGTGTAACTAGATTAGTTAATTCTTTTCTTTGAGCCTCATTAAAAAAAAAAAAAAATCTATTAATGTATGACTGAGATGCCCAGCCAGGGACTACATTTTAGTTTTGTTCTTCTTTACAAAAAAAAAAAAGCCATTAGAATATAAATCTCAATACAGGTAGGTTATTGCCCTTTAACACTGTATCCTAAGAACTTAGTTTTTGTTTGTGAAACTTTCAGCAGTGTTTGCTAAATGACAAACAGGTGTCAGAAATCACCTTTGAATCATGGAAGGAAGTGCCTCTGGCTAGGTAGGGTTGAGTACTTGAGACTCACTAGAGTATCTTTGGGAAAGGGATACAGAACAAAAATGGCCAGCCCATCTCTAGTAAAGGAGGACTGATGTAACTCTGGGTTTTGAGGTTTAAGAGCAGAAGCTCCTGACCCCTAGTATGGATTATATGAAGGAAAAGCAGGTGGTGGTTTTGTGTCCATGAAGCACAGATATGAGAATCAGCCCTGACCCAGGACTCCTGAGCCTGTGTGTGAACTAAAAGAACCTAGCACTAAAAAGATCGGCCCTTAGAAAGCACGTACAGCACTCAGGGAGGGCGGTCTGAATTACGGCAGCTAGCAGGGGAGCATGTTTTTTTAGGACTGGTATATTAATAGATAACAATCTTCATCAGTGACATCATGAGGCAGCAAGAAGCAATTGCAGCATGGTTGCCTTACACTTGAATATGCCCTTGTTGCATCTGGAAATCTACTGCTGATTCTATCCATGCCTTTTGAAGGGACATAGGTTTTGTCTTTGTTTTCTTGGTTTTTGTTGTTGTTGTTTTTAACAATTCCAGAGGAGGGAAAAGATGGGGAAGCCAACCAATGAAAGGTGATAATTGACTTTCTGCCAATAAGCGAGGTAAGGACTTGAGTAATTAAGTAGGAAAACAAGATATTCGACCATATTTATACCGTGAATTTTGGGTGCATGTCATATTGCTTACAAATAAAATGAGGAAATTGTTTTATGCACCTGAATGAATGCTGCCAAATTCTCTTAGGGTGGGAGAGTAAGAGTCTCAGTCATTTACAGAAGAATGCCAGCAATTAAGTAAAGATGAAATGATGGAGTTAGAAAATCATTATTTGAGAACTCCCTCAAAATTATGGATTCAGAAAATGGTTGAATACCTAAAACTATTGGGTAAAATGTCGTTAGGGAACACGATACTCATATGGTCTCAGAGTGTTTTCTCTCAGATTACTTTCTAAAGACAAAGTGGAAGTGGAACATGTACAATGAAGAGATTTAGTGGACACAATCTTACTGAAGTGACCACATTTGGTATCATCAATAATGGGGGGAAAACGACATTATGTGCCTCCAATATGAAGCAGTGGAAAGTAGGAAATGTCACAATTATGAGGCAACAGCCGTATGAATCTAGACAGGGAGACATTGTGCTAGACAACTGACTTGGACTCTTCAAAAATGTCCATGTTTTGGAAGGAAAAAATGATACAGAATTACTTTAGGTCAAAGGAGACAAAAGAGATATAAGCAGATGCATTGTATGAATCTTAATTGGATCCTGGATCAAAAATCAAAAGCTCCAAAGGACTTTATGGGGACATTGAGGGTTTCCATATGAGCTACATATTGGTTGATAATAAAGAATGTGTTAAGTTTACTGAGTGTAGTAATGGTTTCGTGGTTATGTAGGAGAATGTCCTAGTTCTTGGGCAATACATATGGAAGTATTTAGGGTGAAGGTTATGATGTATGCAGCTTCCACCCCAAGTTCCTCCTGTTGTCTTTATTTAAACAGTTTTTTTCTAGCTTTAAGGTATAATCTGAATACAAAAATTGCACATAATGCAACTTATTTTCAAATGGTTCAGCGAAAGTAAACAAACTAGTGTGTATGTACACATATGTGTGTGTATCTATGAGAGAGAGAATGAAAATATGGCAAAATGTTAAGCACTATAAATTTAAGTGAGGAATATATGGGTGTTCACTGTAAGTCTTCAATAATTCTGTAGCTTTAAAATTTTCAAAGTAAAAAGTGGAGACAACAGAACACCGTAATTTGCTTGCATGTTTGTTTCACAATAAGTAGTATTCACTGAACATCAAATTTTGGTTCTTGATCACTTTGTCTCTTTTTTTGACTGGATGTTTCTATCAACCTTTTTCTGGGTAGATATCATAGTATAAAGATAGCTTTTAAGCCTCAAATCTCTACTCTTGGACGTGTATGTATTTTTTGGTTTTCATTGTTATTTTAACAAAACAAAGTTTAACATTTCTTCTTGTATTCAATATTGTTTGTGGGACCCCTTGAGGCTATCTTCATAAATACATTAGTATAGACTTAATTATAAAATGTCTCTTTTTAATGTAATAATTTAAACATTACACAAATAGCTATTACATTAAACCCCATTATCTGAGAAATATTATGGTTAAGTGTTAAGGTCCAATATAACAGTAATGAATATCCACTCTTTTTTCTTCCATAGAATCTGCTCTTATTCAACTAGCAATAGTATCCTATGTTTCCTTGGGGAAAACCAATCTTTCTGAATCATCAATGTAGTTACTGTGGAACGTGACTGTGTCCCTGGCTCCATGGAGGCTTGGCTAATCCAGCATCACATTTTCCCTGGCCCCAGTGACTGGTTCTGGGGTTGGCACATTGCTGTAGTTTGGATATGGTTTGTTCTGACCTAATTTCATATTGAAATTTGATCCCCAAGTTCAGAAGTGGGACCTAATAGGAAGTGTTTGGGTTATGGGGGCAGATCGCCCATGAACAGATTAATGCCCTCTTTTGGGGTGAGTTCTCACTCTATTAGCTCCCTCCAGAGCCTGTTGTTAAAAGAAGACTGACACCTTCTCCTCTCTCTCTTGCTTCCTTATTCCCCATATGATTGCTGCATATGCTGGCTCTCCTTCACCCTCCACAGTGAGCAGAAGCAGCCTGAGACCCTCACCAAACGCAGATGCCAGTTCCATGCTTCTTGTATAGCCTGCTGAGCCATGAGACATATATACCTCTTTCCTTTATAAATTACCCAGCCTCAGGTATTATTTTATAATAACACAAAATTGACTAAGATACACACGAACCAAATCAGGCCAGTTAGTGTATTGGAACTCTTTGGAAAGAGAAACCATATATGTCAGAGTAAATGCTGGTAGCATCTAAACCTAGAACTGTTGGCTGCCACCTTTATTACTGATGGCAGCCGTGGCCGGTCTAGGAGCAGGCTGCCATGATGCTGGCTGCCATGGGGGAGGCGGAGTCAGGACTGCATGCTCCCTGGAACACAGGAGCCAGGAACAAGCAGAAGCCCCGCCCCCTTCCAAGTTGGAGGGGGCTGTAACCACCCAGCCGTAGCTGTGGACCTAGACATCTCTGCACTGTTGGGGACCTAGGAAGCCCTTCTTGCCCCCACAGGCTTAGAAATACCTGCTTTCACTGCCTGGCCTTTCCCTGCTCCTGGCACCCACTGCAATTTTGGAGCAAAGATGAGGCCAAGCTCAGGTGCTGTCATGACCTGGCTGGGTGTGTGCATGCTAGGAGCAGTGCTGACATGCCAGCCCCCTGCCACTCTGGCCCCCTCTGGATTTTGGGTGCTAATGAGCACAGGAGGGAGGCTGGGAGGTTGCTGAGGATGGCTTGGCACAAGCCTGCAGGTGCTCCGGGCACAAACAGTTTGGGTGAACAGCAGGTTGATGGCGGAGGGAGGCAGACAGGCTTCTGGGCAGAAAGGGGCAGGTCCCTGGTGAAGCTCCACCTTCAGGCCTGGGATGGCATGAAGCCTGAGGCCCAGAGTGCCAGTTCCGTGGACCAGAGTGAGAACTTATGGTGCTTTATCTGACTTGCCCGTGGCTGCCCATGGACCAATCAACATGTACTTCCTCTCCTCCAAAGCCCAGAAAAACCCTGGACTCAGCTGTACTAGGGCGTCAGGATGACCTTCCTGCAGAGAGGAACTACCCACTGTGGGTCTCCTCTCAGCTGAGTTGAGCAGACATTGGGAGGACATGCCTGCAGAGAGGAGCTACCCACTGTGGGTCTCCTCTCAGCTGAGAGCTGAGCAGATGTCAGGATGACCTCCCTGCAGAGAGGAGCTCACCCACTCCAGGTCGCCCCTCCACTGAGAGCTGAACTCATTGGGATGAACTGCCTGCAGAAAGGAGTTACCCACTTTGGGTCTCCTGAGAGCTGTACTCTTGCTCAATAAAGCACATCTTCACCTTACTCACCCTCCAGATGGCCACATACCTCATTCTTCTCAGACATGAGACAAGAACTCGGGACCTGCCTAATGGTAGAACTGAAGAGTGGTAACACAAACAGAGCTGAAACATGCCCCTTGCTTACCACGTTGTGGGTGACAAGAAGGAGAGAAGAGAGAAGGAGGGATGAGCTGTAGCCCTTCAGGGAGCCCAGACCTAGGAGCACCCGAGCCAGGGTGTTGACACCCTCTTTGGGGCTCTGCAGTTCCTGGCCTCTCCAAGCTTCTGGGCCCCACTGCGTTCCCCAGTGCCCACAGTGGAAGCCATTTGTGGTATGCCTGGTGCAGCTGCAGCCTTGCAGGGAGCCAGTACCTGTGCCAGCACTGAGAGCTACCTGCCCTGCTACAGCCAGCATACCTGGCAGTGCGCAGTGGCCGGACCCCATACTCGCTCACTCATGCACCCCTTGCTGCTCTGTGCCTGGCTTGCCCTTGGCAGGCATGGGATCCGGGCTGGATCCTCTGACATTACCACATATGTGGAGAGTCTGAATGAAGGTAAACCCTATATAGAAGCAAGCCAAACTGAGAGGGAAGCCAAATCCTGTTTGTTTCATCTGAGTCTCTGGATCTAGCCATGCCTGGGCTTTTCAGTTATATGAATCAAACAATAATATTTTTTATTGATAAATTGTTATTTTCCTCATTTATTATATAGTAATTCTTAATAACAAGAATTTATAACAAGAACATGTTTAGTTCTTAAACCTGTTTGAATTTGTTTGTGATTACTAAAGAAGCCTAAGACAATGGTATGTAAAATAATCAAATCTAGAACTCAAAATTTCAGATCTTTTCTGACCTTAACCCAGTGTTCTTTGCAAACTCAAAAGAATGGCTAAGACTGGGCCATTCTATTGAATAGTGCTGTCTCCTTATCTGGAAGTATAAGTGAGTTGTAAGAACCAGTGCAATTGTGTTGTTCTAGCTACATGCATGGTTGACACTCTTCCAATTACAGAGGACAAGTTAATTACCAAATAAACAAAGCAGAGAATCACAACTACAGGGAGTTTTCATCATGAGAAATCTCCTGCTGAGAAGGTAAAATTATTAGGCAAAGGAGTACGAGGCTAGAACTAGCATCAGAAAGGACTCAACTTACCCATCAGTTTTCTAGACAATATATGTATATTTTGAAGGCATGAAGAATTATATAATATTCTTTTTTTTTAAGTCAACAAATCTTTATTAAACACCTGCAGTTACTGGAAGAAGGCCATGATGCTGGACACACTGTCAAAGTCTATCTTCTCCACAGGGTTCTTGGGCTTAATGTTCTCTTCCTGGCTACAGATGAAGATCTGCTGGGACTCATCAGCCCTCCAGGTGTATTTTCTCATCCACACCTTCAGCTGGCTGTCCGACAGATACCCAGGCATCTCGGCCAGCAGCCAGTGGTCGATGTGCTGGTAAGTGATACCCACGACAGGGCAGATACACATTCGGACAGAGTCTTCAAAGCCAGTTATACCTTCCAAGAGGTCCACGTTTTCATCCAGGGCTTCCCAGAAGGCCTGAAAGAGGCTGGTCTCCAGCAGGTCCTTGAGATACAAAATCTGTCAGATGGCCACTCTTCTTGATGTGCCTGGCCAATCATGCACTTACACGGGGTGAAGTTGGTATGTGGCAGGTTGGTGAGGGCCTTCAGCTGGATCTGGGCAGTGTCCGTGGTCTGAAAAAACACTGGGTTGGACTGGTACAGCTTCAGGACAACTGGGTTGGCTTCCAGATCATAGGCAGTGTCCTTGGCCTGCATCTCCACGTAGCACTCCAGGGTGGCCAGCTTCTCAGGATTGTTCCTGTTGATACCCTGGAGCAACATGCCCACATTGGCTCTCATCTGCTCAAATATCACCATGACTGCTGTCACCTTCCACAATGAGGGCTGGAAGCTAACACCAGACTGGCACGGTGTCCTCAAATACAGCATTCTTATATGACTTATTCATTTTAAGGGAGTTTGTATAAAATGCATTTTTGTTCAAAAACAAAAAGAGTTCTATTGTCATACTTGTTTTTTATAAGCTCCTATTTTGTATTATATCTTGGTATATCTGAATAAGAGCACTTTTTTTAAACCAGGTTTTCATTGGTAAATCCTTTCTGTATGATAGTACAGTGTATACTCAATTTTGAAACCCAGAAAAATTCACGTCCTTTTTTTATATCAGTACTTTGGATATGTGATAGACATCTTTGTGTTTTGGTGTTTCAAAATTTTTAAGGCTATGAACAGGAATCATATTTACCATCATCAATGATTAAGTTCTTTTAATTAAATCATGATACTATAAAAACACTCCAAATAGATTTGCTTATTCTAGCCTTTAGATGTGATTCAAAAATAAAAAGGAGGCCTCTAGGGAGGCCACTAGTGGCCTTTCTATGCACCTAAGTTATTTCCCTAGTGGAATAAAGAGCATCAGGGGACTAAAGGAAGAAGCTGCTGCTAAGTTCTGGCCCTGAAGATAATTTGCATATGGGATTTTTCATGAATTGAGTTTGAGGCACTGGGGTTGATGACTTCTAGGCCTAACCATCACTCTACAGAGACCACATCTTTGAGAATATTAACTTCCTGTGCCTAAGAATGTTTTAAAGTTCAGCTACTCTCTGTAGCACTATGTTTCTTGGAGATGAACCATGGAACACCTGAATTCAAATCACCAGGAATGCTTCTTAAAAATGTAGATTTCTAGGACCCACCCAGTGCAGTGAATCAGAAACTATGGGAAAGGGACCAAATTAGTACTTCTAAAATAAGTACTCACAGTTGATTCTTACCCACATTAAAGTTTGAGACGTATTGCTACAGGCTACATCAACTTTGAGCTACATGTAGGTGACAGTCTGGGAAACAAGCACTAATACAGATTCTATGGATTTAATTGTCATTCAGTTTCCTAAATATTTGATTTTATATAACATCTGGATGAGAGTTAAAAGATGCACGGTAATTTTGAAAAATAATATGCTGATTTAATAAACTAAAGAGGAAAGCTTAGAACAAAAGATTTTATGCAAATGATAATTCAGGGCCAATTCAGTGAATGACAAGCTATTCTTTTAACTCTCCCAAATCAAATTTTCAAGGTACTTTAATAGAAGAAAAAATGAAAGCACAGCTGTTTCCCTTTGCTTTTTTAATAAGTCATTTATGCCCATTTTAATTATCCAATTTAACACATTCAACAATTAAGGCATTCAGATTTTGGTGCTAACAGTCATATCAAAACACCTCAGATCCTGTCTTCCCCCTCCAAACATCTGTAAACTATAATTTATGTGAAAATATAGCTATCCACTTATTGTAACTGGCAAGATAGAATAGCTATTCTCGAAGACAATGGTTTTCAACTGTGACTGCACAATAGAAACACCTGGACAAATTTAAAAACATGAACCATACCTGTATTCCATTGTAAGCCAACTAAATAAAGATCACTGGAAAGAGTGAGTGCCCAACAATTTTTTTCTTAAATTCTCCAGGCGATTCTACTGTGGCCAGGCCTAGGATTCACTCCTCTGGGACATTTCTCAGGCAGTGCATTCTCTGACTCGATAAATGAAGTTCAGCCAAGAATAATCAGTGGAAAGATTGCCTGAAGTCAATGTCATTCATTACTTTCCAGGCTACCATCTTTAATTAACCCAGGTTGGCAGAATAAAGGTGGAGTGCTAGGACAGGATTGTAATGCCCTAGCAGACTTACCGTTTCCAAATTTCCCTTCTGTACTCTCATGTACTTTATGATTAGTCAATTATATCTGTATTATTCCAACTACTATGATGCCGGAAAAACAGGTTGGCATTTTTGAAAAAGAGTTTTAGATTCCTATCATTTTAAAATGGAAAATTATCTGGTTCTTACTAACTTGCATTGACGAATTACGAAAAAGACGTTTTAAAACTAATCTGCAATCACTGTAAAAGATGAATATATTCCTATGGATACATGGAAATTGTATTTTATTTTAGAGAAAGGATCTCACTCTGTAGCCTAGGCTGGAGTACAGTGGATTGATCATAGCTCACTGCAGCCTTGAATTTCTGGGCTCAAACAATCCTTCTGCTTGGCCTCCCACAATCCTTCTGCTTGGCCTCCCAAAGTCCTGGAAGTATAGGCTTGAGCCACTGTACCTGCCCTGAAATTATTTTTTAAAAGGAAAACTATTATTAGTGATCCCTACTGATGGATCATTTGCATATGTAATTTGAGACACAGGTATCCACTTAGCTGTGATTACCTTTTATTAAAGTATTTATCCTCTGATTGATATATAGGCAAAAACCCTCTTTGGATTTTAGAAGAGCCTGACTTTACAAATTTATGTAAACTCAGGCTGGTTTTTAATTTATATTGGCTAAAGTATCTTCTAAATTTTGTACAATACACACATTTCTTTTAGTTGAAGACATCGAGTAAGTTTCACTAATATTTGTGGGTTTGTGTAATTATTATAAAAGTTGTATGTAAAATCTGCAAATACGCAAAAACTGGAAAATACACTGACAGCTAATGCTCTGAAAACACTTTATTACACAAATTACATTCAGATTCTGAAAATAGTGTTCTAACAGTGTAACCATCTAAAAATAAGACATCCCAAAAACACACCAACTGAAGAAAATTTAAAAAAGAATTTAAATAGAGACTTTTTTATTTCCTTCATTGCAATATAATGTTAGTGATTTTAAAAAAATAGGAGATTTAGCAGCTTTGTCGTCATGTAGCACAAAGTTTCTCTTTACTGCCACAGGCTAAGAATGCTGAACAGGAAAGGCACCAAAGAAAGACACTGGCAATGAAAGTGCTATTGGGAAAATACTGTGTTCAAGCAAAGAATGGGGTTATTTACATCCACCAAAAAGTCTCAAAAGTGTAAATGGGCAAATCTTCCATTGTTAGATTAGAATTATGATGGAAAAAGAGGACGGTTTCTCTAGTCTATGTTCATATAAAGACAATGGCACTGTTATGAACTTTTAGGAAACTCCTCAACTAGAAACAGAAGCCAACTTAACCAAAACGAAGTAAATAAAGTGTGTACAGTCCCACACAGACTAGTACAGTTTACAATTAAATACACAGAACTTTAAACGTGCTAAAGGGAAAGGAATCTGACATTCTGGGTAAATCTTACTCAATCTAAATCAAAGCTTGGTTTTCAGGAGGAGGAAGGTGCGAGCGCAGGCAGAGGTGCTGAATACTCCTCTTCTGATTCACTTCCATCATCCTCTTTCTCTTGGTCACTGCCCTCAGTGCTAAGCCGGTCAAACCCTTTTCGACTGTAGCCCTTACGGCTTGCAAAGAAATTACCAAGGTTTAAGCCTCCACTTCCCTTTCCTGAAAAAAAGCAAACAATAACAGAATTGGGTAAAGTTTGCAGCAATGTCTGTTACCTTGTAAATTCTTAAATGATAAAGTCAGAAGGTGGGGATGGGAAAGGGGAGATTATTTTATTTAAAAATAAAATAGAAAAACAGACAGAGACGTATCCTACAGAGCCATATAGATGCTACTATTAAAGAAGAAAAACAAAAGCTCCCAAGTATTATGTATTTCTGCAGGAATATTTCATATTCACTTTCACCTCCTGCTTTTCTCTAGCTCTCTATCCAGAACTAGCCTCCCTGGAGCAGCTCCTCATTTCAATGACTTTAAGAAAAGGTCATCTTTACTATGACAAACATTGACATGCCAACAGGAGTGACAGAAAATTTGCTGAAGACAAATGAAGCCAGGTAAAAGGCAGGGGAAGAGAATTAGATAATGCAGAATGGGAAAAATAAAACTGGGAAATCTGCTGCCAGACCCATGCACTTCAGTTTAGTTTATGGTGTGCATTCTGTATTTACTCTGGGAGATGCTAAGCTGCATACAAGGTGCTTTATCTTCAGAGACAAAATATGAAATATCTCCTTGCTTTTTAAAAGACATGTGCTTGTTGACTTTGAACCAAACATGAAGGGTTCTAAAAGGTCATAGGCATACCTCTAAATCTTCCCAGTACTCTTCCTGAACTCGTCTCGAGTTTGTGTTCAGAATCTGCTAAAAAAAGATGGCACATTTCAAAATGAGTCCCAGTCATCTTTCTCAACCCATGCACTCAACTTCCAACTTAAAATAGGAACTGGTAAATGATAAAGCAAGGCCTGGCTCTTGTCTGTATGCAATTCTAATTTTTAAGAAAGGCGGTATATTTCTGAGACATACATAAAGGGCCCAAGCTGGGTTTGACTCCTGCCCGTGTCTCTTACTGGCTGTGCAGTCTTGATAAATTACTTCTCTGAGCTTCAGTTTTCTCCTCTGACAAAAGAAAGGTCAAGGAGAATCCCTGTCTGTAAGGCTGAGATCAGACACTGCATGTGACACATTTAGAACACTACCTATAGATATACAGTAAATGCTCAATAAATCATAGCTATTTTTTTAATCAGGAAATGTTATTAATAATTTATAAAATTTTTCCATCTTTGGTTATGACAATTTAGGGATATTTGCCTTCAGCTTTACTCTTTCTACTGACAGTACGTATCTTGCTTGAGAAAGCTTTGGATCCATGTATATCGTTTCTTCTTTATGTAAGACATAAGTGAAGGGAAAGCACATGACACCCTGAGTATTTTCCAAGCATAGTAGGTGACCTAAATGTTCCCAACAGGACTGCCTATCTCCATAAAGGACAGACTCTCTTTCCTTATGGGGAGACAGAACTCCCAATGGGTTTCATTTTTTCCCTTGCTGTGTCTCTCCCTGTACTATTTCCCAGGCTTCATCACTCCCTCAAGGGCTATGGTCAGGAAAGTCAGGCCTGGGGTTGTCCTGTTAGGTCTTTAACCAGGACTGAAGTCAGCATCATGGAAAAAGATAGCGCAGATGAGAGGAAAGGGAGAAGACAGTGATGTGGAAAGAAATAGGCAAGAAGGGAAGAAGAATCTGGTAAGACTGTTAGAAAGCCAACAAATTAGATTGTAAGTTCTGCAAGGACATTCCTTAGTTTTGTATCCCCATGTGCCTAGCACAGTGTCTGATATGGAGTCAATACATAATAAGGAATGATGAATAAATGGAAGGTCCATTAGGGTTTTTAATAACCTTAGACTGGATAAGATCTATCAAGAACAAATTCAGAAAAAAAGTGAGAAGCTGATCTACTACTACTACATATGAAACTGCAATTTTTCTAAGTAAAACACGGTCAAATAATGGCAATTTTCTAGGGTTCTACCTGGGTCTCTACCTTCCTAACACATTCCTGTAAAGTCAGCATCATGTAACAGTGCTGTGTCACATGTGCTTAACAACAAACAGGAGAGACCAAATCTTCCTTATTCCCTAGCCACTGCTTCTGCCAGATTGGGTTGGTTACCACAATTCCTGCCACCTTCCCCTAGGCCCCACTGTTCCTACTACTCTGTGTATTTATCACTGCACTTACCACCCTCTACTATAACTTTTTTGTTTCATGTCTCTTTCATATGTTATCTATTCTGTGAGCTCGGTTGATTTATTCATTCATTCTTTCAACAACAATTTATTAAACCACTAGTATCAGAAACTATTATTTGTGCTGGGGACATATCAGTACTCAAGATATGGATTCTTGCTCTTTTGAAGCATCTATATAACACCATGAAGACAATGACTATGTTTATTTCTCTTTGCCCCTACTTATGACAGTTCCAGATCTGTAACATGGACTTAATAGAAATCCTTTTTGGGAAGAGTTAACTATATTTTTATAGAGATTTATTGATGGCACATGAAAAGCAAAATAAAGTCTAATAAAAATTCCCTTTTACAACATATTAAACTGAATTTTCTGTTTTCTGTTTCCATGCCTTTTTCTGTGTCAGGGCTTTGCCAAGGGCACTGAATCCCTGCCATGGCTGCCTTGACCTGAAATAGGATCAGATGCTGTTTCTTGATCAAATGCTCCCCCTCTCCCTGATCCATGGATTTCTTCCCACACACAGCTATAGACTTGCTCTAGGACCTGGGGACCCAGCCAAGGGACTGCTACTGAGCGGTAAGAAACATGAATTGGGTTGTTTATTTATTTAGATGTCCTAAAATAAACTCAGCTCTTGGATCCTATATTGTGATAATGATTTCATAAAATACTAACTCTGGTATTGGACTCTGCCTTGTTCAGTTATGGAAGGCTGATGAGCTAAATTATGACTATTCAAAAACTATCAAATGGTTTGTTATAGAATTAATTTTTCTTGAAAACTAAGGTTTAAGACAAGTGTTTTTTATAACTTCTTATGCCTTTTGTTACTTTATTACCAATGATTATTCATCATAACCATTGGTGGTATTGAGTACTTCCTAGGTTCCAGGTATCCTGATAAATGCTTATGTACATTATTTCATCTTTGTACAACCTTGTAAGGTAACTATTTTATCCCCACTTTTTTATGAGAAAACTGGTCTGGAGAGATTAAGTAACTTGCCCATGGTCATGTAGCTAGGAGCCTAATGGGAGAAAAACACAACCTGAAAAACTGACCCAGGTACTTTGAGGACTGGGCCTCTTCCTAACAGCAGGTATCTCCTCCTCTGATCCTTCAGCTAATTTATACTGACTCTACTACCTACAATTTCGTATGGACTCATTAATTGGACTTAAGCCAATTGCTAAAAGATAGTATTAAAGGTTATATTTTAATCTAACTATCCAAATTTCAGAGTCTCCAGATACTATTTTGTACTGTGATATTAACTAGGGGCAATATTTGGAACATAGACAATAATGTCAAAAATGGTAGAGAGCATTAAAAACAAAAAAACAAATACAGTGAAAAAAATCCCAATCAAACTCCTGAGGATAATTAGGCCAAACACTCTTTCAAAGGCAGGTTCCAAGTTCACGGGGCTCATTTTACTTGCCTCCAAAGGCCCTTGATTTTTTCCACCGAATAAATATGGCAATGGCCAGCAGGACAACCACCGGAATAACCAGAAGGGTTGTAATGAGAACAACAGGCACTCCCGAGCCTGGCTCTTTGATCAGTTTCTGTTTCTCTTGCATCTTCTGCAATTCTGAGGAGGTGGGTTTGTTCTCCATTTTGGTTTCAACAACTGCCTCGGCTTCTTCAGGGAAAGAAGAGTTCACAATATTCAACTGACTCAAAGATTTCAAAACCCCCTTACCCACCCCTACCCAGTCAAATCAATAACTGTTCACAAAGAACTTGTTGACTCCAGTGTACAGGGGTTTCATGTTTTAATACCTGAATCTACCAAACTGGCAGCAGGCATTGTGATTAGTTATTTCCACTGAATGGTTTTTCACCTTCAAATTAGTTTTCTTTTGTTCTACTTTTAATATGCTCTTTAGCTATAATTCCACAGAATATATATCCTTTTGTATTTTTCCAAAGGTAAAATTAATAAGACAGTACTGTGTAGGGGAAAGAACTGGTGTGCATACTGGAATCAAACAAACCTGGGTACAAATCCCAATTCTCCTATATACTAGCCGTATAACTTTGGGCAAGTTACTTAAATTATCTGGGCCACAGTAACTTCATCTATAAAACTGTAATAATAGGACCTCCTTCATAAAACTGTTGGGTGTAAATGTCTGTCATAAAAAATGTATATAATAAGTGTTTGTTTCCTTGTATCTTTAGTTTAAAAATATTTTTCATGTTCAATTAATTTTTGGTATTTCACATGGACAGCTGCACACATTAATGCTAGGATTACAAAAGAAAAAAGGAACTATGTGCTTTTCAGGCTCTTTTATATTGTTTTCAGCAAAATGTGAGTACAGACAGATGAACTGTATATCCTTTTGTTACTGATGAAAAGAACAACTATTATAATAACTAAAACTATTCTGTAACATTGGCAGGTACTGGGTAGGTATCAAGCCTAAAGTACTGTTTGGGAAATTGATGCAATGAAACTATATAAGCTGCTGCAGTGATCTTAATAACTAATGATATGAAAATGAGGTTGAGCCTTGAGACATCCTTGCCCTACAAGAAGCACATATGTGTATTTGTATAGAAACTCTAGTGTACAAAGACTAGTAAGAATTTGCCCAGACTAAAAGTTACAACCACATTTGCAGGAAGACTCACAGGTCATACATTTCTGAAATTTCGACTTCTTGGAATGCCCTTCTGCCCTACGATACAGAATGCATTGTAAAGCCTCAAGAAGATTTTGACAAAATGGTAGGGATAACACAATCAGGAAAATCTTTGGTTAATGTTTAGTAGGTATAGATTCAGCTTAGTAGTTTACTGGATACTCCTCCAAATAAATGTTTCCCAAATCATTTAAGATGCTGTCAACATAATTTATAATACAAACAGATGGTAGGTTCCAACTCTTTGCTTCAACGTTCTGAGCCAGCCTCTTTGACAGTCTCAGTGATATCTATTGAGTACTTACACCATTGTCAGGCATCGTTTCCTTTAATCATCACACCAAGCTCATGAGTAGGCACTATTATTATCATCACCATTTTGTAGATGACCTCATAGTCCTCCTTTCCTTCCCTGTACTATGGCTAAAGGGAGACCATCCTTTGTTTTCTTTTGTCCACTCAAGTGACTCTTGAAACTTGAAAGGGAGGGAAGGAAAGGAGTGGTTCATAGACCTAGAAATGGTTCAAATATAACTTTTCTATGTCTAGTTTCTGAGGGGAATACAGATGTGATTTCTATTCTTTCTGACCACTCATTTGTCTTTTTTTTTTTTTTGGTTGCTATAGGAAAGATATACAAAATTGCTCTATATTTAAGCTTATTCTATATTTAAATAAGAAAATTGCAATAAATAGATCATGGGAGTAAAAAACACAGGCCAAAGATGTAGGTTGGCATTTAAGAACTTGTTTCTTTTGGAAGAAGGATTTGTTCTTGTTTGAAGGTGGGTATTACCAGAGTAGTTACTGCCTGTCATTTAGTAAGTTTATATGCACCTAATATACAATGGGTATACTAGGTCATATCTAGTTTCATGGATAAGGCAGAACCAGAATTGGGCAACATTAAATGGAAGGAACTGTGGATGATACAGGTGAAAGACTAAAAGAATCAGTTTAGCATTCACAGAAAGTAATGAGAATGAGGCAATGAACTTACTAAGATATAATACATACACAGCACTTTAGAAATTCTTGATTTTCACATCACTTCTGATATTTTGAGTGTTATCTACTAAAAATACTTAAACAGTCCAACTTTTGGAACTGGCTGAAATATATTTAAGATTTAAAAGATGCTCTACATTTTTAAAAAGGAGGCTAAAAATTTAAAATGTTCCATTCTAAAGAAAATAAACAATATTGCTACTCTTCACAAGAGCATTTGTATGTGGGGTAAAATGCCTAAAACAATAGTTATAACTTAAGAGTCTAAGAATTCCACTGAAAGCCTGAAGAATAATCCAAATTCTGCCACTTTCACTCTTTATCCTAAATTCTTTTATTAAAAATCCCAGTAATTTGGAGCATCTATGATGAATGAAGAGTGAAGAAGCTCTAAGATTAGCCAGAACACTAGGTTTCTGGAAAACAGGAGGCACCTAGAATGACCATTCTTTTGTCATATAAAATGCCAGGTGTATTCTGGGTAGAATGAACATGCCTTAAAATCTTATAAGAGTGCAAGCCCTTGTAGCATCTCTATAGATATTTGGAAATAAACAAATTTTCTAAAAGCTGATGTATGACAGTTTTTCTTCTTCTTTAAAGCAATGCGTTTAGAAATGGAGGTTAGCTACATTCCTGTGTGAGTGCACATATACATGTATGTACAAATCTGTCTCCCCCTAACAGAAGAGAAGTCTAGAGACCACTTGGAATTGGAATAACTTGGACAGGAAGGGAAGGACATTCTTAATACAGCAATTGTATCCCAGTTCATCACAGACAGAACTGAAGGCTGAAGGCAAATGGCATACTAGGAAGTAACTGGTTACGGGACATGAAAAGTGCATATATCACCAATGAGATCATTCTTTTTTTTTTTAATGTGTTTCCTTACAATGTGTTGCTTACCATAAGGCCTAAAAAGCTAACTGCACTAAAGAGGTTTTTTTATTTTTTAAAAGTTTTATTGAAAGTGATTGGCCATTATCATCTTTTATTTGGGGGGGTGGGCTTGGGGGTGAGAGCTATGCTTTGGTGAGATATTGCTATACCTGTTTTATCTCTAGTAACTTTATTAGAAAGTTTAATCCTTTTCATCAGTTTTTTTTTATCATCTGAAATTATCTTATCCTTACAACTTCCTTAGAACACTGGTTCTGAAACCTTTTTAATAATAATTAGTTATATGACCATTCATAGTAGGGATAAGTGTTATCAAAGGCAACTCAAATTTGGGGATTAAAAATTAACATGTAACTACAAGGCTATTAAGTCTGAAATTGTGTTTTCCCTTCTCTTTTATAAAGGGTGGTTTGAATTAAGTTTCAAGATATTGATAAAACATAAGATCTAGAGATCCAGCATGATTTACATTCCCTTTGTAATAAGAACATAATCTTAAAGGTTTAATGAGAGCCATATGGGTTCAAGGAAGAAGAGACAACTTCATTTGAGTTTGGGTTAACTATTAAAACTGGACTGTCAAGGCAAGACATTTCAATAAAATTTACTGTTTGAACTGCTGGGTTTGACCACAAACCACTTCCACAAAGTCGGAAGGTTTCTGACCAATTGGACTCAGTGGTGTGCACACAGGAGAGAGGAAATGGCCTATATGACAGCATTATTCATCCATCATTGACCGGCTAAGATGAGGTCAGTATGGCTAAGCTGTTTTCACCAGGCCAACCAGTACCACCTAGAATTTTTTGGTGAGATCTATTTAAACAGAAATGAGTTGAGACTATTTTAAAATTCTAGAGGTTTCAGAGTAAACTATAACCATTCCCAACCTGCAGTTCTTGGGAGAATTTATAGTGAATGAATTGGTGGTATCAGTCTCTCCTCAGCAGTATAGCAATAGTGGTTAAGAGTGCAGGCTTTGGTACCAAATAGATTTTGGTTTAAAGCTTGACTCTAAAATGTACTATCTTAGTAGGAATTCTGATCCTCAATTTCCTCATATGTAAAATGGGGATAATAGCAGTTATTACATGGTTGGCATAAGGATTAAATGTAATAATTTCTGTATAGCCCATTGTTTCTGCTCTGTAAGTGATAGCTACTATTAACAACATGATCTTTCCCAACGTCTTTATTCCAGGGCAAACAGAACTTACCAATAATTATATATATAGCAAAGACATAAAACTAGGGGGACAGGAACCTTCTTTAGTATATGAGTGTGATATGAATGCCACTTAGTAGTGTCACTTGGATCTCTACAAATGCCAAACAATTGCTATTTATTTTATAATATTTTATTACCCCTTGAGCTGGCTATATTTTCTTATCTGTCTGCATAAAATCCTTAAACTCCCCCTTGCTGTTGCTGCTTTTCATTTCTTTTCCAGCTGCTTTGATGAGAAAAGAAAACAAGTAAGCCTAGGTTTGTGTCTGAATGTCTAGGTGAATCATTTGTAAAGCAACTAATAATGGAATCCCCTTGCTACTTAAATATTAGGTAACATGAGCAACTCATAGCGAGTCCTTAACTGGAAATGACATGTCAAAACCCTGCAGATGCTAGAATGTACAAACATAAACTGATCCTAGGAAAGAGACAAAATAAGTTGACAGGGACTCCATATGAACCCAGTGGTTGCTTACCAATAGCTAAATCCCATTTCCTTAGTCCTGATATTATATACCAGTGATATACTTATTTGTATATGTGTTTATGTATGTAAATTTCCCCCTCTCTCCTTATAAGGCTATAAGGTCAGGTGCAGTCTCATTTCCCTTAGACCTGCTATAGTGCTTTACACACAAAAGGCCCTCAGTAAATCGTGGAAGCTGAATGGTACTACGATAGAAGCTAAAGAAACAGCTAATCTTTCCATACCATTATAGCACTGACCCACCAAAGATATTTTTCACTCCTTTATATTAGGGCCTATTAAGAAAAGGTTTTTCCAATATGCCAAATCATATTTTTTTACTTGCCTGGGGTTAATGTACTCCCCAAAGTGGCTGACTTTTTTTCTTCTCGGAATATCTCTGGCTCACTAGTTACAAAGTTTTTGTATCCTCAATCACTTTCTATCACTTGAAATCAGTAATTTGAGCTCATTATGACTGCTCCATTTATCAAAAAAAAAGGGAAGTGGCAACATACAGGTTTAAAGGCTCAGTACATAGCAGAAGTCACTGATAATTTACCAGATTATATTTTTAGCCTGGTAATTTTTTAAGTTGCAATCAAGGGCCATAAAAGAATTCAACACAGCCAGACTTTGGTTTTATAGTAATAAGAGGAATCTGACCAACCTTTGATTTCCTGGACCTCAATGCCAGCCTTTTTAACTGATCGATGTTCCAATTCTGTAACAACACAACAAGGAGAGAGAAAAGTCAGAATCTCCAAAAAGAACATTTGAAAATTTAACTTTGATATTAATTTTACTCAGTAGAAAATATTTCCTTAATTCATCAAATGCATTATTATATTAGGAAAGAGTTCAATACAAACCACTAATTAGGTGGTCCATGAATCCTGGATAAAATCTCCTAGGGAAAGCTAAAATATTTCTAAGGACTTCATATTTACAATGAGTTATTTCTTGTAGAGTTCATAATATTGTATTATTTCTGAAAGACCAAGCAGATCTGCCTTCATGTGGACAATATCTTAGACTGATTACTAGTTCTGACATGTTGGGTTAGCAGTCTTCTAGTTGATGTTAATGGATTTGACCAGTTAACTACAAGGATGCAAATAAATGAGACACCGATTTAGTGTTCAGTGGCAGTCTTACTGTTCCAGATATACTGTTTTCCAGATTTACTGCACTCTGCGCTATGCAGAGGGCTTCTCTATTTTGAAGCTGAATGCCATATCGCTGTGCTTTTCCATCAGGAGATGTACCAAAGTCACTTGGGAGGACTTTCTAAAATACACATAATATTATTCCTCTTCTTTCTGTAGATCTTGAGTGGGGACTGGCCATGTGTATTGTAACAGTCCCCCCCCGTAGGTAAATCTGACATGCATCTTCTGAGTTTCAAACCACTAGGGTGGTATAAAGCAGGGGTCCCCAAATCCCGGGCCATGGCCTGTTAGGAACTGGAACGCACAGCAGGAGGTGAGTGGCAGGTGAGTGTAACCACCTGAGCTCTGCCTCCTGTCAGATCAGTGGTGTCATTAGATTCTCATAGGAGCCTGAACCCTTTTGTGAACTGCGCATGCAAGGGATCTAGGTTGCGTGCTCCTTGTGGAATAGTTTTATCCTGAAACCATTCCCTCTGCCCATGGTCTGTGGAAAAATTGTCTTCCATGAAACTGGTCCCTTAATGCCAAAAAGGCTGGGGATCACGGTATACAGGGCCTCAGATTGAAATATTAATGAGTTCAGGAATCATGTTCCTATCCATAAAATTAAGATATTGGTTAGATTTTCTTCTGAAGTCTTCTCCATCTTTCAAAGTATTTTTGCATTTGTTTTTGTTCTGAAAATCCACACTTTAGTCATGCAGTTGGGGGTTATCCATCTATCTTTGCCTTATTGTCTGACCCTGCCTTCTGGATCCTCTTTGACAATTCGGGTGGTGAGAGAGCCACATTTGCAAGGGAAATGTGAAGCTACTGCTGGAGTGGCATAGTCCATGGGCATCTCTGCTCACTCAACCCTAACTTGGTTCTTTTTACACAACTGCAAACGTTATCCAAAGGATAGTTCTGACTACAAAAGTTACCAAATTAATTGAGATCCAAGCCCTATATCGTATCTGATTATGTGTTTGGACTCCTGATTTTACTTTCCATTGCTGTAATTTGTTTTCTTGCCTTTTTATAATTTATGTTTTTCCTTTTATAATTAATATTTTTCTTCATCAAGTTTACATATTGTTTTTTTGTCCTTTATCTAAAACTACCTGTTGAAGCTCCTGATACCTCAAATTTATCATCCCCAATTATTTTCCTTACTCTCACCTTCTGCTATTTGGGCCCTGCCATGTTTTAAAAGTATTTCTGGACATTGAAGTTGTTTGTGTCCTATCAAGCATTTGGTACACTTCAATTTAAAAAATTTATTTGTTTTAGCATATTAGGGGTTAAAAGTTAGTCTGCTTTTTAGAGATGAAAATGATGTCCAAATTCCAATTAGAAAACTCCAAAACTAGTTGGCAGGATCCTGATGGAGCAAATCTATACTTAGACAACATTTTGAGTTACATGAAAATATAGCAATTCAGTTATTTGGGAAAGCTGAAGTCCAAGCAGAAAATTCAAAGTGCTTCTTCTTTGAATATTTCCAAATATTCATATTTGGGATAATATGTCTCAAACGGATGCTGGTATCTCTAGATGCTCAGCAGCTACTGAGAGCTAAAGGGCCATATGGGGAATGAGGCTTTATGGAAAGAAGTCAGCCCCTCTGCTTTGCCAAAGCCCCCTCTCTCCTTCTGGAACTAAGCTGGAATTAATGTTGACTTTTAATGTAACAGACAGTACTTCAGGCATCAAGAATTTCCTGTGGAAACAAGGGGATAAGTGCCAGCAAAAAAATCGTTTCTTTCCACTTAATGGACACCAAATAGGTCTTTTAACAACTGCTTTATACTTTGATTCCTACTCTCATCAGTAAAAAGATAAGGAAATGCAAATGTTTTTGTTTCATATGCTTTTAAGCAATCAAACTGAGGGAAAATGTGAACAATAATACTGTGAAAACCATACTCTCAGTCAAGGTGAACTTCCACACGGTGTTGGTATGAGCATCTCCAATGTACACAGTCCCATCTTCAGATGCAACAATATCATGAGGCATATCAAAGTGCTGCCAAAATAAGAAGCTACACATTAGAGTGGTGAGCCTTTACTTGAATCCTTCATGAAAAGACAGAAAAACAAAGCAAAGCCCACAACAAAACAACAAAACATATTACTCAAACCAAAGCAAAATATTTCCTATTGAAGCAACCCTAGGCTGAAGGGAGTCATTCATTCATTCATTCATTGGGTACTGACTCTTCCAGGCATAATTCTAAACATTGGGAAATGCTAAGGAACCCCCACTACTGACTTTCAATTCTTTTAAGTGTGAAAATTTACAGGTATATTATTTTTTACAATACTGTTTACTTGGTGTTGCATTATCTGTCTAGTTATTTATATTGGTTTTTGCCTACATGTTTCTTCTACCTTTTAATAACTATCAAATTTGCTTTTTTAAATTTGTACAAGTAAAAAAGTCTAGGTATTAATTTTTATTATTCCCATCAAGCTATCATGTGCTACCTTAAAAACTATTTGTATATTATTGATAAGAAAAATCATTTCAGAGATTTGGGACATTTAATTTTTTGAAATGTACACTAAGAGATACGTAGCAATGTGGGGTTTTATACTCTTGAAGTCTTATGTTTGTGATGTTTTCAGTCAGCAAAGGAAAGAAATTGAGTGTTACCTCCAAGTACTTCCTGGGCTTTTGTCCCTACTTCAGATGCTCTGTATTTTAATATATCTTTCTCTATTTCAAATCATTGTCATCTCCATTATGAGGACACAAGAGACAGGGGAGATCCTTTTGTGACTTTCTTTTGGGGATCACCAAACTAGTTCTTGGAAGAGAAGCCTTAAATTATTGTGCTGCTGACATTTCCATTGTCTCTGGAAGCCTCCAAAGGTGCCCTGGGTCTGGCAGTTGGCAGGATATAGATAACATCTTTCACCTTTAAGGCCAGAAGGCCTGCCTGGATACACAGTTATCAAAAATATGACTAGTGAGTATCCAGACCATGGGCTTATCAGCCAGCATCTGCCTAACCCTGATGTGCTGATTTCAAAGGGTACTAATGAGACAAACTACTGTTCCTAGCTCAGTTTAGGCGGGGCAGAAGAATACATGCTCTGGAGATACTATCGTACTTTAGAAATCATCAAGTTTATCACACTGAAAAGAAAAATGAGATAGCCATGCCAAGGAGGCTCATTTTTTTTCATACTTTCAAATAAGCTGTGACAAATATGTAGAGGAAAACACAGAGCCAGAAATCAAAATGCTGCCTTGCTGAAATCCTGCGGGCTTGTCATTAAATGTTCATCTTTTTTGGGAGGTTCAGTTAATGGATGGCAAAAGACTACCAAATGATAGGCCACTCCTGTTCTATACCGTAATATGTTCTTAGAAATTTCTTTGTAAAACATATGGTTGTAGAATACTTCATATTTTCTGATAGGAAAAATATAATGATGGGGGAATAAAGGTGAGGAGGGAATGTGTAAACTATTCACTGGCTAAGAACTTTGCTTTAAATAAATCACAATATGTCATAAATTCAAGGCAACAACAATAATAAACCTTTATTAGTGGCTCTCAAGTGAGAGAGCCACTAATCTGTATTTATAGCAGAACCTTGGTCCCACTGATCCATGAAGCCAAGGGTTCTGCTAGAAATACAGTACTTTGGGGCCACTATAGGAACTCAGGGGGAGGCGTGGTAGATGGGACTCTGTCTTCTTGCTCATTATGAAGACTCATTATGTCTTCTTGCAGTCAGAAGAACTCAGTTGTAATCTTTTCAATGAACTGTTCTAGTGCTTTGTGTCATTTGAAACAAAATTATGTGGTTAAATTTTAGGACCAAGCTTTAGTATTTTTAGAGCTACACAGACATAAAGATCTTCTAATCTAGCCTTTGCAGACTCTTCTTTTGAGGTACCCCCAGCAAAATAAAATCAACATGACAGAAGCATGATAATATCTTCACCAGGCATCTGGTGACAAAGCCTGGAGCAAACTGCCTTCAAAATCTTGTATTTTATTTTAAAAACTCGTAAGGAAATTCGTGTTCTACTCCATAGCATAACAATGTTTGCTTCAACATAGTAAGTTTAAATGTACTTAATATTAAGTAAAACAGTTCTTCTAAGTTGCACAATGTTTATGTTGTGGCTTAATATAGCCCTTGGCATACCAATGTGTACTTCAGGAATGAAAAGGTTAAGCAGCACATTTCAAAGTCAGAAAGACCTAGGTTTGAGATCCACATATGCTACTCCATGTAGCTTGAACAAGTAATTTAACTTAAGTGAACTTTTCAGCTCAAGTATTGTCATTTTAATCATCACTGTGAAGGTTGGAAAAATGACATAAATCTGGGCTCACTTTTTTTTCTTTTGGTATGGAAGGATGGGGATCATTCTCTTTCTTTTCCATATGAGCTGCCACACAGAAGACGACAAAAAATATGCCTGTCCGAAGGGTGTGTATAAAAGCAGATAATGAGGGACCACAAGTCTGTCCTTTGATTACAGGGGGAATGACTTGGGGAATGACAATGTGTATTTTTCTCTCACAGCTTTTTGATAGCATTTGATAGAACCATTTTCTTTATTGTCCTACTGTCTAAGCTTCCCTGCACAGACATAAAAACAGAGTCCCTACATTCAGATGGAAACATCTCTAAAGAATGTAATAGTAGAAGATGGAGAACTGAAATGTAAGAGGAGATAAGGAGTGGGTATGCACAAACAGAAGCACAACCCCCTTATGTAAAACTTGACCTTCATCGTGAAGAGGAATCTCTTTTTACACAGGAGTCAACAGACCATATTATTTCCTTCACCCAAAATTAATCTTTGTGATAATAATCTATTTAATGAAAATTCTGAGAGATTTATAAACTGATTTCAGTTTACTGTGTCAACACAGAATATATTTATATGTTTTGGTGTAATATCAAGTCTTGTTTACTGAAAGGAAAAGCAAACTTCATCTTGGAGTGAGACTCTTTTCAAGTTTGCTGAATTGACCCACATATTGTGACTCATTCTTTGCCTAACATCTGATGAAAGCACAATGCTTTGGAAATTTTAATTGAGAACTCTTCAGATTTTTATGACGTTAAGGCTCATTTAGCCTCTTGCTTAGCACTTAGTTTTTATTTCTAGATGCATATTTAAATTAAAAGTTAATATCCTGGTTGACACAGTACATTATCATTAAAAGAATGAGCAAGGCAAACACTCCACTAATACAAAGCAAAGAACTGAAAGTTAAGCATCTCACTTCCTTTACCAACAGATATGAGGAAGTTAGTTCAAAGGGGCACAACAATGAAGACTGGATAATCAATAAGGATCTGAAACACTATGGAATAAAATATTTATTATCAGTGTAATGAATTTCTTTCTGCAGGGTTGCTATGCTTTGAGATTTCATTGCCTATTGCTTTTCTGGTGAAATATTTCTAGAAAAATCTTATTTGTTTATATAAATAGAAACCTAAAGAAAGGAATGTATACTGGAATCTTTAGTTTAGATTCATTTTGGTTATATTCAGATCCTGTTACTATGGCTTAAAGCTCCAGTGAACAAAAGGCTGTGTCTCTTTCACCCTTTTACCCTTATTCACCTTTATACCCTTAGTACCTAGCATAATGCCTGATACAGAGTAAGTATTTAATGCATATCTCTGGAATAAAATTTGATAAACACCAGACTAGCTGTCAGTATTAGACTAATTTCTATTAATAAAACATTGAAGCATTTTACTTTTACCACCGTTACTCAACATAGTACTGGAAGTCTTAGCTAGAGCAATCAGACAAGAAAAAGAAATAAAGGACATCAAATTGGAAAGGAAGAAATCAAATTATCCTTGTTTGCAGATTATATAATCTGATATTTGGAAAATCCTAAAGACTCTACCAAAAAAACTATTAGAAGTGATAAATTCAGTAAAGTTGCAGGATACAAAATCAACATAAAATATCAGTAGCATTTTTATATGCCAATGTGAACAATCTGAAAAAGAAATAGAAAATGTAATCCTATTTACAATAGCCAAAAATATTTTTAAGTACCTAGGAATTAACCAAAGAAGTGAAAGATCTCTACAATGAAAACTATAAAATGCTGATGAAAAAAACTGAAGAGGACACACACAAGAAGGGAAGATACTCCATGTTCATGGATTGGAAGAATCAGTATTGTTAAAATATCCATATACCCAAAGCAATCTGCAGATTCAATGCAATCACTATCCAAATATCAATATTCTTCACAGTAATGAAAAAAATTCTAAAATTTATATGAAATCACAAAAGACCCAGAATAGTCAAAACTAACCTGAGCAAAAAGAACAAAACTGGAGGAGTCATATTACCTGACTTCAAATTATACTACAGAGCTATGTAACCAAAACAGCATGGTACTGCCATAAAAACAGACACATAGACCAATGGAATCGCATAGAGAACCCAGACAAAAATCCACACACCTACAGTGAACTCATTTTTTTTTTTTTTTTTGAGGCAGAGTCTTGCTCTGTCCCCCAGGCTGGAGTGCAGTGGCACGATCTTCGCTCACTGCAAGCTCTGCCTCCCGGGTTCACGCCATTCTCCTGCCTCAGCCTCCAGAGTAGCTGGGACTACAGGCGCCCACCACTATGCCTGGCTAATTTTTTTTGTATTTTTAATAGAGACAGGGTTTCACCGTGTTAGCCAGGATGGTCTCGATCTCCTGACCTCATGATCTGCCCGTCTCAGCCTGCCAAAGTGCTGGGATTACAGGCGTGAGCCACCGCGCCTGGCCCAGTGAACTCATTTTTCACAAAGTTTCCAAGAACATACACTGGGGAAAGAACAGTCTTTTCAATAAATGGTGGTGGGAAAACTGGATATCCACATGCAGACGAATGATACTTGATCCCTATCTCTCACTTTACACAAAAATCAAGTCAAAATGGATTAAAGGCTTAAATCTAAGACCTCAAACTGTGAAGTTACCACAAGAAAACATTGGGGAAACACTTCAGGACATCTGTCTGGGCAAAATTGTTTTGAGTAATACCCCACAAGCACAGGCAACCAATGCAAAAATCAACAAATGGGATCGCATCAAGTTAAAAAGTGTCTGCACAGCAAAGGAAACAATCAACCACGTGAAGAGACAACCCACAGAATGAGGAAAAAAAATTGCAAACTACCCATCTAACAAGGGATTAACAACCACAATATATAAGGAGCTCAAACAACTCTATAGTAAAAAATCTAATAATCCAATTTAAAAAATGGGCAAAAGATTTGAATAGACATTTTTCAAAAGAAGACATACAAATGGCAAACAGACATATGGAAAAGTGCTCAACATCATTGATCATCAGAGAAATGCAAATCGAAACTACAATAAGATATCATCTAACACCAGTTAAAATGACTTTCATCCAAAAGTCAGGTGATAACAAATGCTGATGAGGATGTGGAGAAAAGGGAACCCTTGTATACTGTTGGTGGGAATGTAAATTAGTAAAACTATATAGAACAGTTTGGAGGTTCCTTAAAAAACTAAAAGTAGAGCTATCATACAAGCCAGAAATCCCATTGCTGGTTATATGCCAAAAAGAAAGGAAATTAGTATATCAAAGAGCTAAATAAACTCCCACGTTTGTTGCAGCACTGTTCACAATAGCCAAGATTTGGAAGCAACCTAAGAGTCCATCAACAGATAAATGGATAAAGAAAATGTGGTACATATACACAATGGAGTATTATTCAGCCACAAAAAGAATAAGACTCTGTCATTTGCAATAACATGGATGGAACTGGAGATCATTATAGATGAAATAAGCCAGGCACAGAAAGACAAACATGACATGTTCTCAATTATTTGTGGGATCTAAAAATCAAAACAATTGAACTCATAGATGTATGGTACAGAAGGATGGTTACCAGAGCCTGGGAAGGGTATGGGACAGAGAGAGAGAGTGTGTGTGTGTGTGTGTGTGTGAGTGTGTGTTTGTGTGTGTGTGTATGTGTGTGTGGCGGGGGGTTAGGTGGCGGTGGTTAATCAGGATGATGGTTATTCATTCTGATTTAAAAAAATCAAAATAAACAACAAATATTTTTATTTTGCAGGTTTTACTTGCCACATGGCTTGAGTATAGATAAAGATGGGAATTATTGGGTCACAGACGTGGCTCTCCATCAGGTAGTCTTCCTTTTGGTAATATTCAAATTAGAAGCTAACAGAGTTATGCTTTTGAAGAGCTCTGGAGTTGTAAGGGTTTTTTGTTTGTTTGTTTTTTCTTCTGTCACCCAGTAAGTTATAACAAGAAAATAGAGATTTAAAAAAATCAGAATGAATAAGACCTAGTATTTGATAGCACAACAGTGTGACTATACTGAATAATAATTTAATTGTACATTTTAATATAACTGAAAGAGTAAATTGGATTGTTGTAACACAAAGGATAAATGCTTGAGGGGATGGATACCCAATTTTCTATGATGTGATTATTATTATTTTAGCACATTGCATACCTGTGCTAAAATATCTCATGTACCCCATAAATATAAACATGTACTGTGTAACCACAAAAATTAAAAATTAAAATTTAATTAAAAATATAATATTGAGGCATTTTAAAGTTTTTTAAATTAGCAAATCTGGTATCTTAAAAATAACATAACATTATAAGTGTCAAGATATAAACTTGGTTCAGTAGCTGATGATAGTTGTATTTTGATCCAATTAAAACCAATGAATCTTTACATGTTTTGAAGAATAACACTTATTTGTAGCATTTTAGCAGGCTGAATTTTCTAAATTTCATATACTCCAAGCACATTCATACAGTGTAGAGAACATTCTGATCACTCTGGCAATCATACTGCAGAGTAAGTACACTGAGAAGACAGAAGGGCCATGGGCACACTGAACACAGTTGCTGTGTTTATAAAAAGCACGTTAGAATAAACAGTGGGAAAACACTTTTGAAGCCAAAAGTAGCTTTTAGTTTCTTAACCAAATCTTTAGAACTTGAATAAATTCCAGGAAGTGCTATTTTCAAGTCTTGTTGCTTAGCACAGTCATAGCAATAAAGAAAGCAAACAAGATGTCTGTTGGGTCTAAGAGAACTTTAAGAGTACACTTAACATGTTGTGATGTTTTCTCTACTTGGATGAAACCAGAAAGCGACTGATTTATTTTTTGTATTCTAACTATAGTGAATTTAAAAACCTGCCATCATATGCAGGTGCAGTTCTACTAAGAACCTTAGAACTGCACACGTGCTAATTTGCATCTGAAGAAATTGATCTAGGAATAGACAAAGACATTTATTCTAAATAAAATATAAAATAAAAAATAAAATAGAACACTCCCATCAACCTTGCTAAGAAAGTTATCACATCTTCTTAAAAGTTTTTCTAAAGCTATTCAAGTACAGATTGAATGCCAAGATTTATATTTTAGTCTTCTTCTCATGAAAATTGAAACCTAGACAATGTGTGTAAATACCTTGCGCACTGGCTTGAAGATGTCTATAATTTCCCCATTGGAAAAGTTCATCACAAATCCTTGTACAGGTTCTTGGTCCCCAAAATGAGGCTTCCCATTCACTGCAAAGAGCAAGCCTGCAACAGCAAATCCAGTTAACCTTTCTTTAAAATATGGGTAAGAATGGACTTCTAATATATCCATGTATATTATGCAAAGAATAAATTTAGGGTCAACCTGGTCCCTACAATTGGCAACAAAAGTAGAATATAAAATACTTAGTGTCTCCTCCTGAGTAACCAGATCAGTGGCAAACTGGTTAGAGGACTAACCTCCTTGTGACAGGAAAATCGGGAACTGAAATGTGTGGTCCACTTGGAAAACCAGTAGAAATCAGAAATACATAGATATTGATATATAGATATAATACACATATATAGCTATTACAGGCATCCTAAATAGGAATTGGGGAAAGTCAGGTTATTTAGGCCAATAATTTTGGAGTCTCAGATCTTTTAAAAAATAAGTAATATTTGCCATAGCTACATGGAGAATCCAAGAGAAAATCAAAGAAAATAAGTGAAGTTACAGTCTATATAGAACAATCTGATTTTAAACAACTAGAATTTGAAAATGTGAGATGTATATTTCAGATTATCAAAGACATATTTTCCTTAATTAAAAAAGACCATCTTTTTAATTTTCACACCATGAATACTTTTTGTAGTAAAATTATATTTCTTAACACAATACTGTTTATTCAGAACAATGAAAATGGTGATGTTTACGTTAAATAAACAATTCAGATGATTGAACCACTACATTTTCAAAGAATTAAAACATAATAAATTATACACAATGCTAAGCCACCATTGAAGATATTTTCATCATTCTTGAAGGATTATAGTTTTCTAGGATGTACTATAAAAAACACTATAAACATCAATTACTATTGTGCAAAATTATAGAGAAAATTATCTTTTGCTTAGATTCTGTTCTTAACCATATTCCTTCTCAACTGATAATTTTCTTCTTATATTTAATTTATTTTTGTTTATTATGAACTTGATCACCCTCTTAATTAAGTAAAGGGTCCTGACAAATTTTTCTTTAAATGTGCGGCAAACCAACCTAAAGAATGATAGTTGTGAGAACCTCTTATTACTTTTTCTTTATTCCTTGAGGAAGCCAAATTTGCTCTCTATCAATCACCTGAGTCCCTTGATTTTATGTCCTAAATAATTTGGGGGGCTGCTTGGTCCAGATAGTAGCCATATGCAACTTATAAGAAACATAAATATTACAGTAATACCTATAAATAGTCAATGCTGCTTTAATACAGGTATAGATGTTTTTATTAAAATATGTTGTGCCCTTTAATTGTGAATTTTTCAAAAATTCCTCGTTATTGATCTCATTTCACTTCATTGTGAAAAGAGCATATTTTAAATGTTTTCACCATAAAACATAAGTATGTGAGGTGATGGGTTTGCTAATTAGCCTTACTTAGTCATTCCACATTGTAAACATACATCAAAATATCACATTGTACTCTACAAATATATACAATTACTATGTCAATTACAATTTAAAAAAATTGTAATTGTATGTAAATTTCAGAAATTAAATATATTTTCATTATTTAAAGAAAATATGGTAAGTTGTTTTGTAATATAAGTTATATGTATTTTATTAGTCTGAATTATTTTTCAGATTTTCTTAGAGTCAAGAAAATCTATTTTGAAAATGAGAAAAAAGTTCAAGATTTTATTGATTATTTATCCTGGTATTTAGGCATAAGCCACACTTATTTTTACATATTTTATCTTTAAAAAAATTGGTCACTACTGTTTTTAAAAATGTGAAATGAGTATTTTGAATACTGATTTTATCAGACATATACCATTTGTCGATGTGTGAAGACAAATATTAATTATTTAATACTGGAGCAGATGATCATAATTAAGATAAAATGAAAATCAATGTTTGGGAACATTTTTAACCCCTTACAAACAGGTGTTAAATCCTTTGAGTTCTTCATTGTTTCTGTACAATGAATAGTGGTACCTTAATCAAAACTGAGTTAGAACACACTAACAGTTGTAAGATACTTTTAAGATGTGAAATATATAGCAAAGAAAATTTATAAAAAGAGCACATTAAGATAACACAATTTTTAAGGATAGAGTACAGTAGGACAGAAGACAACAAACATATTAAGATGAAATACCTGGTATATATGAAATTGCAAATACATTTCTTCCAAATGATGAATGCTTAATCTCTCTCACAAATTCTTTGGTGTCAGTTTTAAAACACTGGATCCGACCATTTTCCCGGTCTGCCACACATAATTGGCCCAAAAGAGGCACAAGAGCCAAGCTGTGAGGAACAGTGAACTGGCCTGGCAGAGGACTGCTCCCTGAAGACTCTGCAGAACAAAAAAAAGCCTTAGATACACAATGTTAAAAATCACCCAAAGTTTGACTCTCTAGTATGTTTCTAAATTCATGATAGTAAACCATTAAATGCCTGGAGCCAGGGGAAAGATAAGGTAAAGCAGTTTATAAGATTATTTTATAATGTCTTTTATCCACAAATACATTACAGATTTTCTCCCTATTTGGATAGTTGTTTGGTGGATACATTATTTTCCTTACAAGACGTGTGTGTGTGTGTGTGTGTGTGTGTGTGTATGTATATGTGTGTGTGTGTGTGTGTGAGAGACAAGCTAACTGGATGCATACAATGACCCAGGTTACAATGACCCTGTAGGGGACAATTACAGCTTAAAGAATGTGAGTGTTGGCCAATATTTAGTTCCCAGTGATACTGGCTAAGAATTACAACTGGAGATTAAGAGTCTTATTGGGTACCTTCTCCCCACTGTGTGATGAACTTTCCACTTGGTGAAAACTGCACAATCCTGCTGTTGCAGTAACCATCTGATACATAAATGGCTCCAGTGCCTGGATCCACAGCCACATCAGTGGGTTGACAGAAGTGATTCTGGTCACTGCCTGGTTGCATGCTCCTTCCCAGGATTAATACAGGGCCTTCTTTATTGTTTGGATCCAGTTTGAACACCTTTTTAAAAAGGAACAAAAGCCTTACCTACTTTTCATGGTTATTAGTGACTTACACCCACATGACTAAGACCACTTTCACAAGCAATTGGAGTAGAAGCTCCCAGAGACTTATTTAAAAGAAGGTATTAATACTTGTTAGAACTGAACGGGATCCTAGAAATCATCTGGTCTGGTTCCTTCATTTGATAATAAAGCCTATGAAGATTAAATGATTTGCTCAAGGTCACGCGGTTAATTAGTAGTGAATGGAGACTAGTACATGGATACCCAGTTCTGTCCACCCTGATGTTTCCTTTTTGTCTTTCCTTAGATAATACTACAATGCACTCCAGATAATACATGAGCAATAAATGTTTACTGAGATGATGTTTTCCAAGTTATTTGCCACCTATTCATGAAAAGCATATTACGCTTGATATAACTTCTTTTAAAAATAACACAAATTTCACTTTTTATATATAAATATACATTTACTAGAGGCCTAGCCTCAATTTATAGAAGATTAAGGTAGTTTAAGAAAAAAACATAAAAAAATAAGTAAAAAAATAGAAATAAGACTTAGGCCCAGACACGATGGCCACACCTGTTAATTACAGCACTTTGCAAGGCTGAGGTAGGTGGATTGCATGAGTCCAGGAATTCAAGACCAGCCTGGGCAACCTGGCAAAATCCCATCTCTACAAAAAATTTAAAAAAATTAGCCAAGTATGCTGGTGTGTGACTGTGGTCCCAGCTACTTGGGAGGCTAAGGTGGGAGGATCACCTCAGCCTGGGAGGTGGAGGCTGTAGTGAGCCAAGATCGTGCCACTGCATTCCAGCCTGAGGGACAGAGTGAGACCCTGTCTCAAACAACAACAACAACAGCAACAACAACAACAACAACAACAACAAGTTAGGAACAGAGGAAATAAAGGCAAATACAGACAGTTAAGAAAATGGTTGGGAGGGCCCATGTAGTTATTTGAGTGAAGCTTCATATCTGGTCCAAGGGACAAATGTGACTTCATCATTTACATACTAGCTTTCCCTAGCATTGAGTTCTAAGAGAAATATTTCAGATGTGGATTGTTATGGACTGAATGTTTGTGCCTCAAATCCAAATTCACATGTTGAAATCCTAACCCCCAATATGATGGTAATATGAAGCAGGGCCTTTGGGAGGTAATCAGGACAAAAGGGTAGAGTTCTCATGAATGGGATTAGTGCCATAAGAAGAGATAACAGAGATTACTGTCACTCTTATCTCTCTGGCCATGCAAGGATACTATGAGAAATTAGCAGCCTATAACCCAGAAGAGGGCCCTCACTAGAACTCAACCATGCTGGCACCCTGTTCTTGAATTCCAGACTCCAGACCTGTGAGAAACAAATTTCTGTTGTGTATAAGCCACCCAGACTATAGTACTTTGTTATAACATGCTGAACTAAGACATGGCTGCTCTATTTTCTTGTTATAACTTACTGGGTGACAGAAGAAAAAACAAACAAACAAAAAACCCATACAACTCCAGAGCTCTTCAAAAGCATAACTCTGTTAGCTTCTAATTTGAATATTACCAAAAGGAAGACTACCTGATGGAGAGCCACGTCTGTGACCCAATAATTCCCATCTTTATCTATACTCAAGCCATGTGGCAAGTAAAACCTGCAAAATAAAAATATTTGTGTTAATTACACATTTACTCTCAAGGCATATGTGACAGAAATTTTTCTAATTAATCTGTAAAGACAATGCAAAGTTATAAATTGATAAATGTATACTTGCATTATTATAGAAAAGAACAAAATGAATAGTTAATAAAAACTGTTATAATGAGATCTCCTTGTGACAAACCTTAGGTAGTATTTAATAGTATTAAAATTTATAAATTAAGCCTACATATAAATTACAAATGTTTATTATAAAGTATGGTATATTAGAGAAAACAGTATCAGTTTAAAAACAGGTTCTGAGGTCATAAGTGTTAACATCTTACAAATATGTATAAAACTGACTTAAGAAACATAAATGGATTGATATAGTTTGCGGTTAAAACATGTTGCAAGGAAATGTAATGTGTTAATATAAACTATTAGACATATAACTCAAAGGCTTTAAAGAGTGCCTATTAAAGACAGTAAAACCCACAGCACATAACCTCCAGCCAACATGGGCTGTGAATATCTAAGCAAAGTGAAATAGTGAGCTAGATAAACATTAGAGAAGGTTAATCTGGCAAATCAATCTTAATGATCTAGGTAAGGAACCTGGACTGAGCTAACAGACACATGGACAATACATTGAGGTGGTTTGGTCCAATGATATCCGACAATCCAATAGCTCTGTTAGCTTCTAATCTTAGTGTAGTGTTGACAATACAGATTTTTTTTCATAAGCCATAACTGTAACACTCTGATTTTGACTAATTAGCTGAACTAGATCCCTGTTTTGACAACTGAATGTGAGGATTATGATTTGCTTTCAAACAGATACTCCACCGATGGCCAAGTTGATTTAGCAGTAGTTTTTCTGCCTTCCCCTTAATTCCTTTCTGGAATGAGGGTGCTTCTGGTGAATAAATAGAGCACCAATGAAACAGGTTCAAACATTTCACCCCTGACACACAATCTTGAGAATGCTGTTAAAAAATTCTAAGCATCATTATTATCATCTCCCAAGCAGCTGCACTCAAAACGGTGGCTATCCACCTTGCGAAGAAGCTAGCTTTCCCTGTGCTTAAGCAGATGGAGAAGGGTATAATTCCTGAAGCTGTCAAGTTACAATGGTTCAGGAGATCTGTAAGCAAGTGCCTCCCTCACTTCTTTCAATGACCATAAATATCAGTCAACTTTTTTTTTTTTTTGGCTGCCAAGTGCCATCTCGAAATAAGACTAAATAATGAGCAGTTTTCAAAGCCAAATTACATACGCATGATAAGGAATGCTAAAAATGACATTTGTTTAGTATTCACTTTGAGACGGAAAAAGAGAAGCTCTTTTACTTAATGGTGATTACTTGATGAGTTTGGTTGTCCTGAAGAATTTTTCTGCTGAAGAATTTTTTTGGATCATTAGATCTGGCTGAGCAGCAACTCACTTAATCAAGTATGTAAGATATATATTACATATGTAATATGTAACAAGCTTGACTACATATTAAAATCACCTGGGAACTTAAGATTATTAGCCCCACTCTATACAGAATCTAAATCTAATTTTTTAAAGGACAAATTGACAAATTTTAATTGTATACATTTATGGGGTACAATGTGATGTTATGACATATGTATACAATGTGGAGAGATTAAATCAAGCTAATGAACATATCCATCACCTCAAATACCTAACATTTTTGAGGTGAGAACATTCCAAATATACTCATTTAGCAATTATGAAATAGGCAAGGACCTGAACAGACAGTTCTCAGAAGAAAACATACAAATGGCAAACAGATAAGTGAATCTAAATATTTTGAAGCTTCCCAGATGATTCTAATATTCAGTCAAGATTTAGAAACACCTATGTAGAAAATGAAAGATGGGATGGCCCAGTTAGTTTTCTGCTTTCTCAAGTGCAGTTATACAAAACACTCGAATTTCAAGACTCTATGATACACTTTATACTCAATATATGTAGTACAAGTCTTAACAACATAAGTCATTTAACTCACAGATTTTTTCCACTGGACTGGAGTACTGCAGCATTATTTGGATCTATGACAAGAATAGTGTCTTCTTCAATTGGTCCGAGTCCTATTTGCTGGTAAACAAACTTGCTGTCAAACGAGCTAAACAAAAAGCATTAAATAGGACATGAAACAATCATAAATTCCAATGAAATTGAGAAATGCAGACCATTCACATAAATACAAAATCAAAAGAGCTCAAATGTATTTGACTTCACTCTTTGTCTGCCACATTTCAGTCATTTGGATTATAATATACCCCATTAACCTGTAGAACCATGCTACTCAGGGTGGTCAGTGGAACGGAAGCATTGGCATTGCTGGGAAATGCAGTTTCAGACCTACTGGACCTGAATCTGCATTTTCACAAGACCCTTGGGTGGTTCCTATGCTCACTGGGGTTTGAGAAACATTGATCAAGAACTCTTAATGTACCTGAAAAATTTCAAAAGCTCTTCAAAAGAGTATGCAGTCATTCAATAGACATTTTCTTTCATATTGCAAAAGAAAATATGACTTATTTTAACTTTGTCATTAATTATAATAATAGCTGGAAGAGCAGTGATCAAAATGTTCGTTATTATACTTTAGGTACAACATGCATATACATATTATAGAGATATAAAAGAGGATGTTCAAAGTATTTAAAAGTTACAAAACCGAATCTATCCTCGAGACAAAAATATGCTTAGAGGCATAAAACTTACCAAATAACAGCTATTCTATAACTACAAAATGAACAACTATGCAATAATTAATTAAAAAACTTAAATATGACAATTTCTGCTTTTAAACTCAGTACCTTTTAGATTATTATAAAATATTATGGACATATATTCATATATATATACTTTCAAAATTATATTTCCATTTAAATTGTTAGTAATATAATTTCTTAAATTCACAATTATCACAGACATGGTACTTATTTCATTTTCTGTTTGGGAAGTTATATGTCAACAGGGATGAATGACAAAGATAAGCTCTTCTAATCTAAGCTTCTGTAATATAGAAGTAAATGTATGAAACAACAAGAAACCAAGTTATCTTCTCAAAAAAGGATTGGATCAGTACATAGTTGAGGGGGGTGTGTGTGTATGTGTGTGTGTGGGTGTGTATGTGTGTGTGTTTATAAATATACATATCAAGTCAATAAATGACTTATGAATATTTCTGTAAAACAGAATTGCCTTTATAGCATCAGGCAAGATTGTGAAAAAAGTATTAATATTTTGTAGTGCAACTGGTTAAGCAAAAGAAGAATCTGAATAACATTAAATATTTGCTATTATATATTTGCAATTTGGGAAGGTAACAGACTGCTTGGATCTGTCATGAATCCATTCATCAGTTGGCTGCCATATTTATGGAACTTATGTAGAGTCTCAGTACTCTACATAAATAGGAGAACAAAAAAAAATTCTTAAATTATATTCTTTGGCCATTAAAAAATACACCACACAATTATCTGAGCTACTTGACTGTTACAGTCTTTTGGGTATAGTTTTCCTGAAAGACAACAATAAGTCCCTGAAGTAGTTCTTATTAATGATGCATTCAATTGAACACAAAATATTGATTCAGCTTTGTCAATCTAAAACTTCAGTAATACTCTTTATATATGCTATTATATGCAGTTAAAAACCACACAGTGGTATCTAGAAAAAAATAAATTTATGAAATGGAAGTATCATCATTAACAAAACAGATTTCATAAGATATTTATGGGGTCATTATCAACTGAAATGTGAAATTTTATTAGATAGGAACCAATGTAAGAATACTCATAGTATTATTAAATTATGGGAAAATGGTAAAGGGAAAATATGAAGTCACTCTTGCTAGTATGAAACACCAAATAATTTATCCTATATCTGAAAGTTTATTTTCAATATGAATTTATTTACTAAAAACATCATAACTATTCCTCTGAAAAACATAGGTACTGGATTCAACCATTAATAATCTTTTATTTTTCCAAGGTGACTATAATAATGACTAACAAGTTCAGCACATCTGAGACTCAGTATATTGTAACCTTCACATTCATATGTAATAGGTTAAAGTTTCTTCATTCACTATCTCTTTTTAAGGTTTGATATGGTTTGGCTGTGTCCCCACCCAAATTGTGTGGTGTATTTTTTAATGGCCAAAGAATATAATTTAATAATTTTTTTTTGTTCTCCTATTTATGTAGAGTACTGAGACTTTACATAAGTTCCATAAATTCAAGTCTTATTTTGAATTGTAGTTTCCATAATCCCCACATGTCATGGGAGGGACTTGGTGGAAAGTAATTGAATCATGGGGTGGTTACCCCCTTTCTGCTGTTCTCATGATAGTGAGTTCTCATGAGATCTGATAGTTTTATAAGGAGCTTTTCCCCCTTTTGCTTGGCACTTCTCCTTCTTGCCATCATGTGAAGAAGGACGTGTTTGCTTCCCCTTCTGAAGCAATCTGCCTGATTGTAAGTTTCCTGAGGCTCCTCCAGCCATGCTGAACTGTAAGTCAATTAAACTTCTTTCCTTTATAAATTACCCAATCTTGGGTATGTCTTTATTAGCAGTGTGAGAAGGAACTAATACAGGAAATTGGTACCAGAAATAGGGTGCTGCCATAAAGATACACAAAAATGTGGAAGTGACTTTGGAACTGGGTAATAGGCAGAAGTTAGAACAATTTGGAGGGCTCAGAAGAAGACAGGAAGATGTCAGAAAGTTTGTAACTTTCTAGAGCCTTGTTGAATGGCTTTGACAAAAATGCTGATAGTGATATGAACAATGAAGTCCAGGCTGGCATGGTCTCAGATGGAGATGATAAGCTTGCTAGGAACTGGAATAAAGGTCTTGCTATGTTTTAGCAAACAGACTGTTGGCATTTTGCCCCTGCCCTAGAGATCTGTGGAACTTTGAACTGAAGAGAGATGATTTAGGTGGAAGATGATCTGGTGGAAGAAATGTCTAAGCAGCAAAGCATTCAAGGTGTAACTTGAGTGCTCATAAGAGCATTCAGTTTTATTAATTCACAAAGATATGGTTTGAATTGGAACGTATGTTTAAAAGGGAAGCAGAGCATAAAGGTTTGGAAAATTTGCAGCCTGATGATGTGATAGAAAAGAAAAACCCATTTTCTGAGGAGATATTCAAGCCAGCTGCAGAAATTTGCATAAGTAACGAGGAGCCAAAAGTTACTTGTCAAAACAATAGGGAAAATGTCTCCAGGGCATATGAGAGGTCTTCACAGCAGCCCCTTCCATCACAGACCCAGTGGCCCAGGAGGAAAAAATGGTTTGGCTAGGCCTAGGGCCTTGCTGCTCTGTGCAGCCTCAGGACTTGGTGCCTTGTGTCCTAGGACTTGGCTAAAAGAGGCCAAGGTATAGCTTGGGCCTTGGCTTCAGAGGGTGCAAGCCCCAAGCCTTGGCAGCTTCCATTTGGTGTTGAGCCTGTGGGTGCACAGAAGTCAAGAACTGAGGTTTGGGAACCTCTGCCTAGATTTCAGAAGATGTGTGGAAATGCCTGGAGGTCCAGGAAGAAGTTTTCTGCAGGGGAGGAACCCTCACTAAGAACCTCTGCTAGGGCAGTATGAAAGTGAAATGTGGGGTGAGAGCCCCCACGAAGAGTCTCCACTGGTGCACTGCCTAGTGGAGCTGTGAGAAGAGGGCCACCATTCTCCAGACCTTGGAATGTTAGATCCACCCACGGCTTGCACCATGTGCCTGGAAAGGCAACAGACACTCAATGCCAACTGTGAAAGCAGCTGAGAGGAGGTCTGTACACTGCTCAGCCACAGGGATGGAGCTGCCCAAGGCTGTGGGAGCCCACCTCTTGCATCACTGTGACCTGGATGTGAGACATGCAGTCAAAGGATATCATTTTGGAGCTCTAAGATTTGACTGCCCCGCTGGATTCTGGACTTGGATGGGGCCTGTAGCCTCTTCATTTTGGCTGAATTCTCCCATTTGGGAGGGACCTGGTAGAAAGTAATTGAATCATGGGGGTGGTTACCCCATGCTGCTGTTTTCTGATAGTCAGCAGGTTCTCATGCGATCTGGTGGTTTTATAAAGGGCTTTTCCCACTTCTGCTCAGCACTTCTTCCTGCCATCATGTGAAGGACGTTTTTGCTTCCCCTTCTACCTGATTGTAAGTTTCCTGAGGCTTCACCAGCCATGCTGAACTGAGTCAATTAAACCTCTTTCCTTTATAAATTACCCAGTCTCAAGTATGTCTTTATTAGCAGCATGAGAAGGAACTAATGCAAGGTTTAAGTCTCACATTCCTCATTATTCAGAAACATTTCAGTGCTTTGTAAAGGCACAATGGCAATCTAAATAATGTGAAAATTATGCTTCTGCTATTAAGAGTTAAAACCTTTCCCCCTCTTTTTTTAATGGAAATTTTAGTTAAGATAATTGTAGATGCATATTCAGTTGTAAGAAATAAAAACAATTCTGTGTGCACTTTACCCAGTTTCTCCATTTTGCAAAACTATATATAACATCACTACATATAATAAAACTATATATAATATTTTCATTTATTCTTAGTTTATTTCCTTGGAATATACTAGTACATTACTTTTCTACCCCATCCCGACCTGTGGAATATGAAAAGTTACTGATTCATAATTCCAATTCATAATTCTTGCCAAGTGCTATCTACTTTATATGTAGATTGTGAGTTCTGACTCACCACTGACAGCTAATAATAGTGGCAGTCCAAATGCCTATTATATATCCTCGTATTAGACCTCAGCACACATAATTCCACATCTTCCCCTCTCTGCAGAATGACAAAACATTAGGGAAACCTGATATATTTACTTGCCCCCATGGTTTCTCCAAGAATGGGATGCAGTATTTCTGTAAGATAACTGCCCCTTTGATCTGTCTTGTCATTCATGTAAATATTCACCATCATTCCTAAATCTCTGGTCATATTATTTTAGGAAATAGCACTCCTACAATTTATTGATGAGGAGAAAGTAAAAAGGTTTCCCTCCCTCTCCAGGAGCATACACTGAACTTCTGTAACTTAAAGCATTTCTTATAGGTCCAGATTATTTCTCTAGATGCTCAAATATTTCAAAGTGTAAACTATAGGTTAAATTACTCACTGACAGCCATGTAAGATTAGAGTCTCAGAGTCACAGACCTGAAATGCTGGGCTTGGCTTCCAAGAAAACAAGCTGCATTAAGGAGTAAATATAAATAACAGACCCACAGTCCTTGTGCCAGTCAGGTCAAATGGAAATGTTGCAGTTGATAAGTAGGTAAGTGAAAAACATCCTCTATCAATGGCATTGTTCTGCACTGCACACAAATGTAGAAAAAAATGTGTCAAGTAATTGATATTGTGCTGCCACAAACACTGTTTCTGTATGGACATTTATATTCATAATATAGAACTTTCAAGTTTCCAGTGGTGGCAGCAAATAGTAAAATTAACTAATTTGAGGATCATCTAATTCTATTTCATTATCCACTTTTTGGTGTTGTAATAGAAAATTTTGACATAGCAAATGAAGGAATGAGAAGAAAAATAGCAAATGAAGGAATGGGAAGAAAAATAAGGAACAAACAAAATAAGACAGAGTAAGTAAATCAGAGTAATTTTTTTTTTTGAGACAGGGTCTCTGTTGCTCAGGTTGGAGTGCAGTGGCATGATCACGGCTCATGGGAGCCTCAACCTACCAGACTCATGTGATCCTCCCATCTCAGCCTCATGAGTGTAGCTGGGACCACAGGTGCACACCACCATGCCTAGATAATTTATTTTTTGTTGAGATGGGGGTCTCCCTATATTGACCAGGCTGATCTTGAACTTCTGGGCTCAAGCAATTCTCCCAACTCCACCTCCCAAAGTTCAGATATTTACAATTAAAAGTTGGATCCTTAAAAAAAATTGTCTTGCAACATATCAAGATATCTTTCCCAGTATCTTGTTACAATGTAACAACTAATTATCTGGGTCTTTTTAGGTTTCGTTTGCTATCACAAATTACACTCATGTCATCTATATGTATAAAGGGCATTTTATGTTTGCTTAAGACTAGCTACTTTTCCATAGCTTTATGATTATTATTCATATTATTACTATACTTTCACTGTTAAGAATATCAGTGATAACACAAATTCTAGAATTTACTGATTAGAGAATCTGTTCATTTAACTACCACCCCTCAAAAACAAAGTAAAAAATGACACAAAGCTAACAAAACATAACAAAATCCAAAGATAAAACACTCTACTTATATATACAGCTCATTTAAATGTAGTAATTTACTTCCATAATGTAAATAACAAATAAGAAAAACCCAGAATTCTTAGGAAGAATGTAGCTTTAAAGGAATTAATCACTACATAATAGGCCTGACCAGTTCATTTAAAATCATTGTGATGTTTTTTAACAGACGTCTATATGTTTAAACTGGCAGCATCAAGGGACATTCATTTACTCAGATGATTGGTTGACCAGTCCTAATCCTTTCACTTGGGATGGCTGGAGCTTCACGGAACTAACAGCTGGTCCCTGACGGTTACATGGGGCAAATAATAAAATAAATTGACATCTTTTCTCAAATGAGAAAATCACAGTCCCCCTCCAAACACACATGTTAAACTTGCTAAGTAAGTAGTTTATAAACTCTTGTAATTCAAAGAAAGGTAACCCTTGAACAGTTCACAAATGGCTGTCAGATTATAGAGCTGGATACACCGTTGCTATAGCAAACTGCTTATTTAGTTTTCTAAAGCAGCTACTCCACATTATTTGCTGCAGAGAGGTCTTTATTTCAACTACATTTAACTTTTTACAGGCTATAATAATACCCTGAACATTTCACACAGTGCCTGGAGCACTTTTGATTTTTCTTTGTTTCTCTGGAAAAGCACTCAGTTGAAAAGACTGAACTGTGGCCTATGGGCTGGAATTCATCAGTTCTTTATTTTAGCAGTTTGAATTCTCCATTAATGATTTTTCACATTAGCAGCTAATCAAACAGTTTAGATAAGGCTGGGAAGAAATGCTTTGCTATATTCACACACACAAAAGAGCTAGAGTAAGGAGAAAATAAAATTCTATGCCATGAATCAAAATTAAGGGAATTCAAATTAAATAACAGCAACTGAAGGAAGATATGAAATATAATATAATTATATAAATTAAGAAGCTAGAGAAATAACTGTAGGTTTTCATGCAAGAATATAAGTGAAAATGTAACCTCAATGTTAGAAAAGCAAAGATATACAAAGGCCAGAGACTCTCGATGGAATATAACTTAATATTATGTTAAAAACACTTACTTCTGAAAATAGACACATTGTAAAAAGTCCCTGTGAGGCAGGAAAAGAGATGGGCAGACAAAAAAAATTCAGTATGACTATTTAGTGCCATTTTAGGCCTAGAACTATAAATACCACAAATAGATAGGAAGAGAAAAAAGAACTAGGTATCATACATCCAGGCTCTGGATTCTATTCAGTCAATAAGGCCACTGGGGACAAGTGACTTAACAAGGTGCATTTTGTTACTTAACAGTATGAGATAATTATTAAAGCCCTCACTTTTTAGGCAAGCAACTGAGAATCAGGGAGTTCAAACGTCTTGATGCAAGTCTCAAAAACAGGAAATGGTAACCAAGATTCAAATCCAGGCCTCCTATCTTCAAAAAAACGTGATTTTCTCTTACTAGGATTGACCTGACTGAATTGGTAAATCTCCCACCAGTTATCAAATTCAATGTGTACTGTAGAAGAGATGGAAGAACAGTCATATAACCAAGAAGAACTAGAGAAAATAGCATAAAACTGGAAGAAAAAGGCTCCGGTAAAGTGTGAAATTGCGATATGAGAAAGATAGAACACTGAAACATTCTTTTTTGTAGAACCCCTTATAGTTTTCCCTCAGACATGATGGTACAAAGGTAACAGACACTTTTGAGTTCTGTTCTCCAGGGCCAGTTAAACCCTAAGGTAGGAAAGAAATCGCAGAAGTTGAAGCATAACCCAGGCAGATATCTTAACTGAGGCTCCAGAAAACTAGCGAAGCAAATCTTGAACTGATTTTTCTACAAGTTAGGAAGCAGACAGATTTCTAAAACAATAGATCTTGGCAAAAGTCCATAAAGTATTGATAAAGAGATGGTTTGTGAGCTATCTGGGGGGAGGAGGGAAGAAGATTCCTAGAAGACTATGAGTTCTCTACAAACGAAACTTGCAAAACCAACCATTCAGCTATTCAAATTTTATAAACATCATCTATGAAGATATAAAAGGCATGCTTATCAAAGAGACCTAATACAAAGCTGGGAGAACTAACACAAAGTCTCTGGCTAATTAAGATTAAAATAATGTCTGTAAATTGAAACAATGCTAAATGTAATAAAGTGGAACATAATTGGAATAAAGCCCTGAATTCAATATTTTTAAAACACTGCATAAGCATAAACTTCCAGTAAAAATATCAGCACAATTTTTGACACATATTTGGAGATTTTCATAGATTACAAATTCTACATAAGGCAACACAGTGATGTAACTGCTAAAAAAAGGGAATACAATTCTCTTATACTAACAGATGTGTAGCATACACATCAAGGGAACTAATTGTAACACTGATCAAATAATATGTGAGGTACTATGACCACTTCTAGGCGAAACACTTAAAGGGGAGAGAGACCAAAATTCCTTCAGTTGAAATAAATCATGTCAGCATAAGATTGCTTGAGAGCTTGGAGAATATTCAGTTTGCAAAAGATAAGGCTTTCTTCAAATATGCAAATAATTGACATGGATAAATGGGAATAAATTAATCCTGTATTACTAAAAGGTGAAGTAACAGGACTCAGATTTAGGTAAAATAATGAAGAACTTTATAACATCTAGATGGGTCCCATAATTGGAAAGCATGTCTCATATCTAGGGAGTTTCTTAGCATTGAAAAAATTCAAACACTGGATGATGGTTGAAGTTGCTGTAGAAGAGATGTATACATTAGGTGGGAGGCTGGAGATAAGCTCTTTGATGGACACTTGCTGTTTTGGGAGTACATGTTTATTGTTGCATTTTGTGATAATGAAACCTTACCTTTTTCTAGTTGACCCAACATTTTGAGCTCCACTGTCAGCCCATTGCTTCAGATAATGTTGACTCTACTCCCACATTTCATGAGCAGAACAAAAGACACAGGCTAAGCCACAGACTCAATTTTATTCCTCTGCCCAAAATAACTGGTTTAACGTGCAATGAGACATGATCTAGGTCAGACGAAGGAATGCTATAAAGACTAATTTTAGTGAGTTTATGTTGACTTATCAGGCATATAGACTATCTCTTCTGTGACATTAGGATGACAATGTGAATTGAACCTGCAAATGGAGAGGAGCAACAGAATGAATCAAAGACTGGAAATGGAGCCACCCCACAGAAAAATGAGCTGTAAAACAGATCCTGATGATGTAATTGGGCTACTATATTCCTTGAAGTTTTCACTTATACAAACTAATTTTATCTTTTCCTAAGTTAGTTTGTATTGAGTTTTCTCTCTTATTTGTAACAGAAAGAATCTGAAGTTATACTAATTCCAAGATCCCTTCCAACTCCAAGAGAAGAAATGATAAATGAAATAAGAAATACAACTTCTAACATCTATAAGTTAGGGGCAAGACCCATAGTTAAGTTAAGTGGGTATACGATGTGAGTTCTGCATAGTACACCCCAACCATAGCTCAGGTACATGAAAGAAAGGCCAAGAAACACTTTGAGTGGGGTGGCGATTTTAAGACAGAAACTCAGGAACAGTTATTACTGAGGCAAAAGCTACCCAGTTCCTGCTGGGAAGCATTTAAACTTTAAAGAGCTCTAGCTGCCATGCTGCCCTAACACCAGGGCAGACAAGAGACTCTTTAAAGTTTCATTACACCCTGCTGGCAATAGGCATTTCTTATTTCAGCTAGAAGAGAAGCGATATTGAAGTAAGGGAGAAAAATGGAAATCATATTGAGAAAGGGAGTGACTATCATCTTTCAGGTCAGAGGTTTATCATCATTATAATTTTGGTTGCTATGTATATTTAGTGTGTTTAAGTCAAAGAATAAGGGCTGATCAGGGTTACCAGGTGGGAATGAAGAATAATGGTACTTATAAAGACAGCTGATGCAATGATATTAAAGAACCTTTGGGTACTGAGTATTAATTAGGAATTATTATTAAATCCAAGTACTGTCTGATATTTAAAGAATGATCACATCTTACGAACTATGGGATATAATGTGCTTCAATTTGATTTAGAATATGCCCTGGTCTTATAGAACCTACAATTCTGTGAACCTCAGAAATATCAGAATGGGAAAGATTTCAAGGAAAATTAATACAGGATTTGTCACCATCCAACAGTAGTAACAAGAAGAATGGAGTTTCCAACTAATTTATAATTTGTATTGTCCCTCACCTGTACATCATAAATTCCACAGGAAGGTACTTTTTCTTTGTATAATCCTTGGATTTTTAATGAAGGACAAAAAAAACCCGATATACTTCATCCAATTTATAGAATGTGACTTAGGAATGATGGCCATGCATTACCATTCAAAGAATGGAGCCTGAATCTAATTTGTTCTTTGAACTAATCCAAATTTATTTTCCTAAAAAATAACTAACAGAGTAATCTACTTCTAATTCTACTCAGAGAGCTGAGTGCCAGAAAAGAATTTCTTTACAACCATGGATTGCAAAGTCTGCTAAGGGCAACAGGCAATACCAGGAAGGGAGAAGGAAAGAGAGAAAAAAAAATAGTTTTACATCTGAAAGACAAAGATGAAGAAGAGCAAGGAAACAGAGATTTAGTGAGTAAAATCAGCAGTTTCCTCTGAAGACATCTTGCATGTTCAACTGCACCCCTTTGTAGATGTCATTTATCAGGGCAAATACTCTGGGGCTTTGCCAATGAAACCAGAATCTATTTCCACAGGATCCTGGTTACCTAGATGCTAGCACAGCCAGATAAGCCACAGAAAATGCTCTTAGGTGGTTCCTGTTTCATAGTCTTACTTCATCTTCCACCCTAAACTGGACTTCACAGATCCCTTTTTCTATTAAACTATTCCAGTCTCTGCTGTTTACTTGGAAATGAATATCACATTAAAATGAAAAATTGGCCTTTGTCCAATTTAGCTTTAGTCAGCTGAAACAGTATCAATGGGAGAAAATGATGCTGTAATTTTCTCCTCTGGTAAAATGTGGCTAGAAATCCATGCAGAAAATGTAGCAATATTCATTAAAATGAAGAATATGCTACTATGAATAGTAATAGTTTGCTTTTAAAAGCACTTGTTAAAATACTATTAGATGTTCAATAATGACTAAGACGATGCAACAGAGGCGTATGAATGAGAATGTTGAGTTTGATTATTTACTTTGAACTCTGAAGTGATCTTTTTCAGATTCCATTTTCAAGTATGACAACTGGAAAGGACAATTAAACAGTAACAATGCTACCAATGTATTCTGAAATGTTGATTGAATTTCATCTTCGACTGCACAAAGAATATTAGACATTAGACATATGCATACGTGACAGAACCAGGTTTAACATAAATTTAATCAACATCTCTGAAACTGGAGAAAACCAATTGAATTATACATGTAGATCCTCGATTTTCCAAATGAGACCCATAGTTATATGTATGAAAAGAGAAGATATATTAGATGTAATTGATAAAAAATCTTAAAATTTATCTCCCTATGTAAATTTGTATTGAAATAAATGAATAATGGCTATTCATTACTTAAAAGAATTAAAATAAGCTGCTAAATTGTGGGGTTTAGCTTTTAAAAATTGTTTAGCTAAATTGTGGGGCAAGCTTTTAAAAATACAATCATGAACATGCTTACAATTCCATTAAAAGCAGTATCATAAAGTGGCTAAGTGGGCCAACTCTGGAGTTAGATGGGAAGCAACTGAAGCCTGGCTTTGCCACTTGCTAATTTGGGCACAATACTTAACTTCTCTTGGTTTCTACATCTGTAAAACCTGAATAATGATGGTAACTCAGAGGAAACACTCAATAACCGTTCTATGTTTTTACTAAAAATCCCTCTAAGGAGGTAGAAAAGGAAAATCCAGAGGATAAAGCAGGAGTAATAGATAGTCCTAGAGTTATTCTTAAGCCTTTGATGCTCATGAAAAGAGCAAATTTGAGTAATAAAAGTAGTCTATATTAAAACCTTAAGGCCAAGTTACTATTTCTTCACATGTAGTGGCCAAACTGCCCCAACCACACTGTCCAGGACAATGGTCTTGGCATAGTTCTGCACCCAGGATGTGAAAATAACAAAAGTGCGTTGTTATAGTCCATCAGCAACCTTTCTTAGTTGATCACTTTTCATAAGCACTCTCCTTGAAGTCTTGAACATTTTCACTAAGGTACTGGCTTAACTATCTTTAATGTTATAGATAGATAACAGGAGGGAGCAAAATGGTAAGTGGGTAGAATCACAGATTGTTACTGTCTTCTTTCCATAAACTATTTCATGAAACTACTTTGTTTTAAAGCACACAAGACTTCCTCTCTGCTACTTACTACAGTCAGACATTAAAAGGACAAATACATTTTGCTCATAAAAGTCAAATTCTAAAAAACCTTTATAGTTCTCTCACCATTATTCTTAGTTTAGTGAAAAAATTATGTACACTATTTTTATTTTCATTTGCTTATTGAAGAAAAAATATTACTTACTTTCCATCCCAGACATGGTCACCTCTGTGGAAAATCACCAGGTTATTCTTAGGGTCTAGAGCCACCCCAGAAACCTGGCCTGGTAACAAGTATACTCCAGGCCAATCCAGTGCCTCTTCCATGTGGAAATCTAAAAGATATATCCACACATTTAGTGTAAAAGGGAAAGGTCGAATTGCCTCATGAGGATTCATAATAGTTACAAGAAGCTCATGCAATAACATCACTAGATGCAAAGAAATAAAAAAAGACAATCAAGCCGTGCTCTACATAAATTATACCACATGCACATTCCAAGTAGCTTTCTGAGTGATGAAGTGACTGGGAACTTGCATTAGGACTGTTTTCTTCTCCTTTTGATAAGATGCCTGTAAAGCCAGCTAACCCAAGTCATTAAAGGGTAAATTTGAGACAGCCTTCTTCTCAACAAGATTTTTACTTTACTCTCTTTGGAAAATACGACAACATACATGGCATTTTAATACAACGCTTTTAAATGTTTTAAATAAATAGGAAGAATGGGCAATAAGCCTGGCACTCTGTGTTCCTCTGTCCTTTTCCCTCATCTATCTATCTATCTATCTATCTATCTATCTATCTATCTAATCTATCATCTCCTGAGTAAATTCTGGATATTCAGTATAAAATAGCCCCCATAATAAACCACTCATTGATTATTCCTTGTTACACAGAACTAAGATATCAGTCTCATTCTCCTAATTTCAGTGACCCTATAAGAATAGGACTCTCTCTTTCACTGTTCATATTTGGTTTCCTAAAATGAGAGAAGAAAAAAATGACAGAAACTCTGTGACTGAATGATTTCCAAATTATTCTTATTTCTGATCAGAATATATCTTCAGAGAATATCTGGGTTTGCATGTGTGGGTGTTTTGAGACAGGGTCTCACTCTGTCACCCAGGCTGGAATGCAGTGGTACAGTCACAGCTCACTGAAGCCTCAACCTGCTGAGCTCAAGCAATCCTCCCACCTCGGTCTCCTGAGTAGCTGGGACAATAGGTGTGCACTACTATGCCCAGTTAATTGAAAAAAAATTTATTCGAGAGATGGCATCTCACTGTGTTGCCCAGGATGGTCTCCAATTCCTGGGCTCAAGTGATCCTCCTGCCTCAGCCTCCCAAAGTGTGGGGATTATAGGTGTGAGCTACCACAGCCAGCCTCACTTGTGTTAATCCCTTTTATAAACACGCTCACGGATAAAGGGGTACAATGTATATATCTATACTAATTGAGGATATACAGTTATGAAGATGACTATGAAAGCTATTGTATCAGCGTTGATATTTCTGTCCCTCCCAAATTCTTCAACAAAGATTCTGAGGAGAAAAGCAGCAATTTGAGTCTCATTCCTCCTTGCCACTCTGAAGGATGTGGCAACATGCAGTGAAATCCTCAAAGACGGACATTAAAGACTGGGGGGAGAAAGAGAAGCTCAAAGCTTATATGATCAGCTATGAAAACTTGAAAGGATGCTTGTGTGAGAACAAGCACTTCAAAATAATTCTGTCAACTACAGAAAAGTACCTTTTCACCCAAAATATTTTAAACTTTGTACATTTTTTTAATAAAAATTAACAAAACATAGCACAATAGGATGCCCAGATTAGTTCAACCTTTGCTGAAGCATCATCTTTCCTTCCTTCCCTTCCTTCCCTTTTTTCTTTTCTTTCTTTCTCTTTCTCTTTCTTTCCTTCTTTCTTTTCCCTTTCCTTTCCTTTCCTCCCCTTCCCTTTCCTTTCCTTCTTTTTTTTCCCTTTCCTTTCCTTTCCTCCCTTTCCCTTTCCTTTCCTTCTTTTTTTTCTGAAGCATCTTCAACAACTATTCCCTAAGCGTATTTTCTATGTAAGGTACTATGGTAGAATCTGGGAACGCAAAGGAATAAAACGTGGTTTTTGGCCTTAGTAAATAAAAGGATATAATAGGGCTATAATAGGATAGGAATATGACAGAATAAAATGTTTTTAAAACCCAGGAACCCAATACTTATGACACAAAGTAGTACAGGAATATAGGAGAGGGCCCAGAATCCTTCCCAAGGATAGGGCTGGGATAGGGTAGGATTAAGGTCTACTTAAAAGGTTTCCCACGGGAGCAAACGTTGGTGTATGCACTTAAAGGTAAGGTGGAATTCATTAAGTGTAGAAGTGGGCAGAGAATATTTTGGTCAAAAAGAATAAAAGTGAGGATGTTTATAATTGCAGAATGTGTTGTAAGATTTTGTAAAATAATCAGGAAAGGATACGTGTGTATGTCAGGTGGAATGGGGGGCTGGGGACTGGATTAGCTGACCCTGATTTCTGATTTAGACTGGAAAATGTGCTGATACCACATAAAGGAGGCTGGATTTAACAATGATCATATAGTGTGTAGCTGTGGTGTCTTGACTTCTACTGAAAATTTTGAGGTACATTACAAGTACTTTATTAGCAGCAGTAAAGCACAGAGGGAATAATTTGCTTTAGAAATATTTTAGAGCATATGAAAATGTCATTGTCACTCATGTGTATTGTGATATGCCTTTTGGAGAGAAGGTGGGCAGAATGACAGCTGGTATGCCTGAATTTGCAAATAATCCTAGGTATAGAAGTGGATGTGAATGGAGCTGCTCAGATGAACAGTATCTATCATCTATCACCCTTGCTTGTCACAAAAGGGAGAACAATTGCAAATGGCTGCTACCGGCAATTGGGAGCCACTGAAGGTTTAGAAACATGTTTTATTGGTACGAAATAATTGTACATATTTATAGGGTACATGTGATATTTTGATACAAGCATGATCAAATCAGGGTATTTAGAATATACATCACCTTGAACACTTATCATTTCTTTGCACTGGAAACATTTCATATCTTCTCTTCTAGCTATTTGGAAATAGACAATATATTGTTGTTAACTATATTTACCCTGCTGTGCTATCAAACACTAAAAGTTATTTCATCTCTCTACATGTTGGTACCCATTAACCAACTTGTCTCCATTCCCCTGAATCTTTCCCAGGCTCTGGTAACTATCATTCTATTCTCTACCTCCATGAGATCAACTTTTTAAGCTTCCACATATGAGTATGAATATGGTATTTATCTATTTTTGGCTTATTTCACTTAATATAATGACCTCCAGTTTCACACATGTTGCTGCAAATGACAGGATTCCATTCTTTTATGGCTGAATAGTATTCCATTGTGTACATACACCACCTTCTCTCTATCCATTCATCTGCTGATATATTCTTAGGTTGATTCCATATCTTGGCTACTGTAAATAGTATTGCAGTAAACATGGGGGTACAGTTATCCCTTTGATTGACTTCCTTTCCTTTGTGAAAAATGTCATTGGTATAATGATTGCACTAAATCTGTAGATTGTATTAATCTGTTTTCACACTGCTGATAAAGACATACCTGAGACTGGGTAATTTATAAAGAAAAAGAGGTTTAATGGACTTACAGTTCCACATGGCTGGGGAGGCCTCACAATCATGGTGGAAGGTGAAAGGCATGTCTTATATGCTGGCAGACAAGAGAGAATGCAAGCCAAGCAAAAGGGGTTTCCCCTTATAAAACCATCAGATCTCGTGAGACTTATTCACTACCACGAGAACAGTATGGGGGAAACTGACCCCATGATTCAATTACGTCCCACTGGGTCCCTCCCATGACACATGGGAATTGTGGGAGCTACAATTCAAGATGAGATTTGGGTGGGTACACAGCCAAACCATATCAGGTAGTATTGTCATTTTAACAATATGATTTTTTTCTGTCCATGAGCAGGAAATATTTTTCCATTTTTTTGGTGTCATTTTCAATTTCTTTCATCAGTGTTTTGTAGTTCCTGAAGAGATCTTTCATCTCCTTGGTTAAATTTATTCATCAGTATTTTTTTAAGCTATTGTAAATAGGACTGCTTTCTTGATTTCTTTTTCAGCTAGTTCATTATTGGTGTATAAAAATGCTACTGATTTTCACATGTTGAGATTTTGTGTCTTGAAACTTTACTGAATTACTTTATAAGTTCTAAGACTTTTCTTGGAGAAGTCTTAAGGTTTTTCTCTATATAAGATCACGTCATCTACAAAGAGGGACTAATCTGACTTCCTCTTTTCTGATTTGGGTGCCTTTTATTTCTTGTTCTTGCCTGACTGCTTTGGTTAGAACTTCTAGTACTATGCGGAATAGGAATGGTCAAAGTGGCCATCCTTTGTCTTATTCCACTTCTTAAAGGAAAGGCTTTCCTCTTTTCTCCATTCAGTATGTCAGCCATGGGTTTGCTCTACGGGGACTTTATTATGTAGAAGTATATTCCTTCTAGGCCTAATTTATTGAGAGTTTTTGTCATGAAGAAAAATAGAATTTTAGCAAATGCTTTTTCTGCATCTATTGATATGATCATATGGTTTTTGTCCTTCATTCTGTTGATGTGCTGTACCACATTTTTTGATGTTGAACCATCCTCATATCCCAGCAATAAATTTCACTTGCTCATGATGCATTATCTCTTTGATGTGTTTATGAAGTTGGTTTGATAGTACTGTGTTGAGGATTTTGCATTTATGTTCATCAGAGATACTGGCTTGCTCTTTTCTTTTTTCACTGTATCCTTATCTGGTTTTGAAGTCAAGATAATGCTGGTTTCATAGAATAAATTAAGAAGAATTCCCTTTTCTTCCATATTTTGGAATAGTTTGAAAAAATTGTTATTAGTTCTTTATAATTTTGGTAGAATTCAGCAGTACCATCTGGTCCTGGGCTTTTCTTTGATGGGAGATTTTTTTCATTACTGATTCAATCTCATTACCTGTTATTGGTGTGTTCGGGTTTTCTATTTCTTTCTAGTTCAAGCTTGGTAGGTTATATGCATCCAGGAATTTACTCATTTCCTCTAGGTTTTCTAATTTATTAGCATACAATTGTTGAAAACTGTATGCTAATACAGTTTTCATACAGAAATCAGTATATCTCTAATGATTCTTTATATTTCTGTGGTATTTGTTGCTATGCCACCTTTTTCATTTCTGATTTTATTTATTTGAATCTTCCCTCTTTTTCTTGGTTAGTCTAGCTAGCAGTTTACTCATTTTGCTTATCTTTCAAAAAGCCAACTTTTTTTTCATTGACCTTTGTATTTTTTTAGTCTCTATTTCATTTAGTTCTGCTCTTTTTCTTTCCTATTACTAATTTTGGGTTTGGTTTGTTCTGCTTCCTAGTTCTTTGAAGTGCATTGTTAAGTTGCTTATTTGACATCCTTCTACTCTTTGATGTAGGTATTTACTGCTACAAACTCCCCTCTTAGCACTGCTTTTGCTATATTCCATAGGTCTTGGTACATTGTGTTTCCATTTTCATTTGTTTCAAATTTTTTTTTTTATTTCCTTCATAATTTCTTCACTGACCCAATAGTTGGTCATGAGCATTTTGTTTACTTTCCATGTATTTGTACAGCTTCCAAAGTTGTTCTTGTTATTGAATTCTAGTTTTTTCCTTTGTGGTCTAAGAAGATACTTGATATAATTTCTATTTTTAAAATTTTGTTGAGACTTGTTTTATGGCCTAACACATGGTCTATCCTGGAGAATGTTACATGTGCTGATAAAAAGAATGTGCATTCTCCAGCTGTTAGATAAAATGTTCTGTAAATGTCTGTTAGGCCAATTTGGTCTAAAGCGCAGTTTCAATCCAATGTTTATTTTCTGTCTACATGATCTGTCCGATGCTGACAATGGTTGAGGTCCCCAACCATTATTGTGTTGGAGTCTATCTCACCCTTTAGGTCAAATAATATTTCCTTTATATATCTCTGTGCACCAGTGACGCATATGCATATATATTTAGAACTGGTATATCCTCTTGCTGAATTCATCTCTTTGTCATTATATAATGATCATCTTCGTTGTTGTTTGTTGTTTTTACCATTCTTAAAGTCTATTTTACCTGATACAACTATAGCTACTCGTGCTTGTTTTTGTTTTTCATTTGCATGAAATATATTTTACTATTCCTTCACTTTCAGTCTTTATGCGTCTTTACAGGTGAAGTGAGTTTTTACGAGCAGCAAATAGTTGGGTTATATTTTTCTCTCCATTAAGGCAGTCTATATAAGTGAGAAACTTAATCCATTTATATTCAAGGTTATTATCGGTAGGTGAGGATTTATTTTTGTCATTTTGTTAATTGTTTTCTGGTTGTTTTGTATAGCCTTTTTTTCCTTTCTTTCCTATTGTTTATCATTGTGGTTTGATTTTTTTGCAGAGGCAACACTTGAGTCCTTTCTCTTTCTCATTTGTGTGTCTGCTCTGCCACTGAATTTTATTCTTGTGTTTTTGTGATGGTAGATATTGTTGTTTTGCTTATAGAGGTAAAATCTGGACTTCTTTATGCATTTGTTGTAGGGATGTTCTAATGCGAATGAATTCCCTCAAGTTTTGCTTGTCTGGGAAAACTTTGCTGGGAATAGTATTCTTGGATGAATTGTTTTTTGCTTTTAACACTTTGAATATATCAATTTACACTGTCTCCCGATCTGTAAGGTTTAAGCTGAGAAAGTTGCTGTTAGTCCGAAGGGGGTTTCCTTATATGTGACTTGATGCTTTACTCTTGATGTTTTTAGAATTTAGTCTCTGTTTTTAACTTTTGAAAATTCCACTATAATGTGTCTCGGAGAAGACCCTTTACGTTGAAGCTATTTGGGGATCACTGGGATTCCTCTATCTGGATATCTGTATCTCTTTCAAAACGGGAAGTTTTCAGCTGTTATTTCATTAAATAGGTTTTCTATGCCTTTGCCCATCTCTACACTTTCTAGAACAATATAGAACAATAAAAATTAGGATATTTGGTCAGTTTACAGTGTCCTATATATCATATTACATAGGCTTTCTTCATTTTTAAATATTTTTTTTCTTTTTAAAATCTCAGGATTTTTTTTTTTTTTTTGGACAGTCTCACTCTGTCATCCAGGATGGAGTGCAGTGGTGCTATCTTGGCTCACTGCAATCTCCACCTCCTGGGTTCAAGTGATTCTTATGCCTCAGCCTCCCGAGTAGCTGTAATTATACGCACACGCCACCCCGTCTGGCTAGTTTTATTTTTATTATTTTTAGTAGACATGGAGTTTTGCCATGTTGGCCAGCTGGTCTCAAACTCCTGGCCTCAAGCAATCTACCCGCCTCAGCCTCCCAAACTGTGGGATTACAGGCATAAGCCACCATGCCTGGCCTTACCGGGTTATTTTAAAAGATGTCTTCATATTCAGAAATTCTTCCTTCTGCTTGATCTAGTCTATTGTTGAAGCTCTCAACTGTATTTTTTATTTCATTTGATTAAATTCTTCAGTTCCAGGATTTCTGTTTCACTCTTTTTTATAATATCTCTTTGTCAAATTTCTCATTCAGATCATAAACTGTTTTTCTGAATTATTTGTATTGTTTATCTGTGTTCTCTTCTATTTTACTGAGCTTCTTTAATATCATTATGTTGAATTCTTTTTCAGGAATTTCATAGATTTCTTTTTTGTTGAGTCTGTTGCTGAAGAATTATTGTGTTCCATTAGAGGTATGTTTCCTTTTCATGTTTCTTGTGTCCTTACATTGATACCTCTATATGTGGTATAACAGTTGCTTCTTCCAGTTTTATAGATTGGGTTTCATAAGGAAAAATGTTTTTCTTTATAGATGAACTATAGTGTTGGTTGAATAGGGTGGTTTGGTTTTACTTCTAAGTGGACACAGTAGTCTCTGTATGATTTCTTTGGCTATAATCAGCATCAGTGGTGTCTCTGAGTTCCTCAGCAGCTTAGGCTGCAGTTTTTAGCAGAAGCTAAGGAGGCTTTGCTGAGGACAAGGACACAAGGTGGGTTGATCCTTGGGCCCCACTGGTGGCAACAGTGAGCTGAGCATGACAGGCTTTAGGCCCCTAGGTGGTGTAGGCAGGTATCAGTGGTAGCAGGTCCAGGCAGCTTACTCAGGTTCTGGCAGTGGCAGTGGTGGGCTGGATGGGCAGTTAGGTCCTTGGGCCCAGGGGTGGCATGCATGGCATTAGTAAAGGCAGTATCAGCACTGAACCTATCCTCGGATCCCCAAGTCATACACATGGACACCAGCAGTGGTGGTAGTGGGCTGGAAGGACCAGTCCTCAGGCCCCCCTGTGGCTCATGCAGGTGGGTGCTGGCAGCAGTGGTGATGGCAGGCTTGACAGACCCATCCTTAGACCCCTGGGAGGAGTGCACAGACACCAGTGGTGGTAGACAGGGCGGGTGAATCCTCAGATCCCTGGACAATGTGTCTGGACTCCGGCAGGCTGGGTTGGTACCCAGGCCTCAATGATGTGGGCAGGCACTGGCAGGGGCAGTGCTGGGTGGGGAGGAACTGTCTTCAGGCTCTCTGATGGTGTATGTCCATGGGAAATTTAAAACATGGGGTGACATGATTAATGCTGTATTTTTGAAAGTGAACTCTGGAAACAGAGTATAGGCATTAGATTTAGAAATGACTAGATAAATCAACAGATGGATAAGTCATTCCCCCACCAAATGTTTAAAATGATTTCAAAGTTGCTTGAATCTCAGATTGCACTTCATTCATTCTTCTCTCATGTAGTTGTCAAAATTCGGTACTCATTCACCACTCCTGAAACTTCTAGATGGGCTCCAAGGGGAACTCAAAGCTCACGACAATGCAGATATTTAATTGCTTTCATCACGTTCTCAGAGCTCAGAACTGCTACAACTAGACAGAATTCTTCAAGGGCAAGGATCATCCCTTATTCATGGTTTTGTCACCAACTGTCACACAGGGCCTGGCCTACTTACTGTATGGCCTCATAAATGCATTAAAGTCTATGTTTTAGTCTCTACTTGTTTATGGTATCAATTAGCATTCAAACTCCCCTACAACCTTATAATTCATCTGTACTACCTTTTCACCCATAGCAGAATGCTGAAGATACTATGAGAATACTCAATGAAAATGCTAATTGGCTGATTACTATCAATAAAGACAATAAACACATATAATGGCTTCTGGAACCTTTCTATTCAGTGGCCTGCCAACTAGGTACTGGGAGCTAAGTGCCCATGAAGATGCAGAGTTACTATTCTTACAGAAAATATGCAACGTCTAAAAAATTGCATTATTTTGGGGCCAAATATGAATTTCATAAAATATTGGAAATACTGTTTAAAGAACTTTAATCTGGCTATGAATGATCTCAACTATCATATGCCCTTAAACTGGTAAGTGCTTGGAAGTCTGCAAAAAAATATGGACGCATAGGTTGTTTTGAGCCTATCTTCACCAATTACAAAAACACTCATTTGTCACATATTAGAACCCCTGTAGGCTGGAAATTTTCAAGAAGGAAAATTAATGTAAATATCTAGAACATATTTATGAAAATATACACCTTTAGTGAATTTTCAAAACAGTAAAGATGATGTGTAAAAAAATGTATGAAGTCTAACACCATGAGCAACCTGGTTCTCTTAGTACTGAATGTTTGGAAAAATTATATTACATTATTGTTATTTTATTTTAAATTGTCTTTGCACACTTACATTACTTAGCCAAGTGTTCAAAACTTTCAGGATCTGAGTCTCTTTATTAACCAGAAATTCTAGGATAGTTAAAGAAAAACTTCATGGTTTTTTTCTGTGAATATTAGCTAAGTTAATTAATACTTTTGCTTCCAGTGTCACCATATTTTTAATTATCAGGTAGTTAAAGGCTATTCCCTATACGATGAAATGATCAAGAATAAAGGCATTGATTTAGGACTAGTGTGTATGTAAGTGGAATTAATATTGATTATTGTTCCAATTCCTGCTCATCACGACATGAGAATCAGAGAATGCTAGAACTGTATCGGAATTATTCCACATAACTGTCTTCATTTGACAGGAAAGGAACTTCAGCCTTGAGCCAGACTTTAGGCCTCAATTTCAGGGATAATTATTTTCTAATCCCCAATTAAGAACAATTTAAAATCCTTATTAAAGAAATTATATGATAAAATATATTTGAGTTCTACCTTAAACACTTTTGATGATAGAGAAGTTAAAAATTCTAGTTCAGATTTCTCTTGGTTATTATTTAAGAAATGATTCAATACATGACTAGTTAATGCTACAGATTTCCAGTGTTAGCCTAAAAATTAAATACAAATTTCTTACCCATGACCTTGGGCAAGTCATTCCCAACTTTGTCAGTTGCTCTAAATTCAGATAGCAAATGATAGAATTATTTCAAGCTTGATTGCTTGTTTTTAAAATCTGGAGTTGAGAACATGTTGAGAACATATTACTGGAAACAATACTTTTAGAAAAATAAGGTAAATATACATTACCTATTGATCCTAGTAGCTTTGATACAAATTTGTTTTTGTTTCTAAAAGATGATTAAAAAGTTGAAAGAACCCCTGAAATCTTAAAATATTTTTCCAATGACATATAACACTTTTTATGATAAATAAATTATATTATTCTATAAAGAATCCTTACGTCCTTACATTTATTATAAATAAAGGTTAATGTACAGCCGCATATCCTGCCATATATTCAGAAAAAGAAATTACTACTTTTAGAAAAAAATTAAATACTGCTATTAAAATTGCATCAATTAATCATGAAAAAGATTAATAAATTATACTTTTCCAGAAAGAGATTAATATTAGTGATCACTGTTGCATTCACATGAAATTATTAATAAGTATTTGAAAGGGCATTCATTTATCTGTGTTACCTAAAGACTAACAGACCTAAAGTTGAGGAAAAAATTCAAACCCAGAACTATGAATTAATTTCAGTGTAACAAGGCTCTTCACATTTAATTTTAAGAAATAGAACTGAAAAAAATCACTAGAAGACTTCAACAAAAACAAAATATGGTGCTTGCTTTTTCTGTACTTGTAAATTTTCATCTTTTGAGAAAAGGATGTCTTATTTTGGTCAGGGATTGTTATTCATCAGAAATGCCAGCAATAACTATAATTAACTAAAACTATTGTAGAAATATTTATACCAAAGTAAGAAAGAAAACAAGAATTAATTATAATGCTTCATTTAATGGGAGTGAAGTGAGGAAGAGATTTACCATATAAATAGGGGCTCAAAAGCATTAGCAGTATTCTTTTCCTTTTTAAAATTTCTTTAATTGCAAATGAGATTTTCATATTGGTCAAACTGGCTGAATACTAATCAGGAAACCATGACCAATACACCTATAATACCTATAGTTATTACAATTGTAGCCTGAGATAATCAGATGACTAGAAAAAATCATCTTCCTATTTGTATATCTAGGGTGTTTGTGTGTATGTGTGTGTGCGTGTGTGTGTGTGTGTGTGTGTGTGTGTGTGATGCAGAATAACAGAGTGATTAAGAAGCAAGACTTGGGAGCAAGTCTGCCTGGCTTTGCATCTTGGTTTCTTGAGCTGTGGAATTTCGGATACGTGACTTAACCTTTCATCACTTTCTTCCTTTCTAATGAATCAATGCATCTAAAACACTAAGCTTGGCTCAAAGTAAGTGCTATGTATAGGTGTTTTTTTTTTTTTAACCATTCTCCTCCCCTCAGAGATCAAAATTCAGCCAACTGAATGGTTTATTTTACCCTGAAAATTCTGCAAGACTTGAACCTAGAGGTAAGACTATGGCTGAAATATAAGAATGGACTCTGAAATTAAGTATAAGTTGTTCATAGAAATGAAGAAAAAACTAAATGTATCATAAGAATAATTGAACACCTTCTGAATCCTCTTATCTGATCAGAATTGTCACACAAATACAGGTGTATTTTCTCACATCCAGAGGTTTGTAATACAGACTGAATCAGGCTTCCACATGCAAGTATGTGGTAGTCCAATCAAATCTGCCACTAGAATAGTTAGTTCTACTTTTTAAATGTTCAATGAGTCTAGTTTCCAGAGGGCAACTAGAATAAAGATACCTAAGATTTTGTTTCTACTCTATTAATGCTATCTCTATCTAAACTATTAATGATAGAAACTAAACTATACTAAGTTTAAAAAGAAGTACATCTGCTTCTTAGTTTATTGAGGTTAGCATTTTCACACTGTATGTCATATATCACATGCAAATATCAAGGTAGATCAATGTATGTGATCAGATGTTTGAAGAGCCACAAGTTCCCACTGTGATAAAACACTGCCAAGTCACTTTTTTCTTAACTTATCAACTTAGAGTGCCAAATTTTGCTGCTTTCCTGCATACTGCAAGAAAATTCTCTGTCTCACAAATGCTGCTTAAGATCAAATAATCAATATTTATACTTTGGTATTTCATTTTTAAAAATCTCAATCTAACATAACATGACAGTAATGGTAGCAATAATAGTCACAATTGTTAATGTACTATAACATTTTCAAATGCTTTCTGCATGCCGACACTGTTCAAAGCACTTTGCATGTATAATATCATTTGACCCTCACTTGAACTCTGCGAGGAGTATACTATTATAATCTCATTTTATAGATGAGAAAACTAAAGCCCAGTGAATTTTTTTATACTTGCATAGAGACCACATAGAAAACTGTATAGCTGGAATTCAAAGCCACCAGGCAGTCGGGTACCTGGACTTGCAATATTCTACATTATACTGACTCCATGAAGTAGTTTCCAAATTTGATTTTGGCCACATACAGAACTGCTTTTGGGGAAGCTGTATTTTGTGTGTGTGTGTGTGTGTGTGTGTGTGTGTGTGTGTGTGTGCGCACATGCATGTGTGTGTTGGGAAGCCTGTGACTATTACCTCCTACTTGATGGGTCTCCTTTCAAACAACAGTTTGAAAACCTCTGGTCTAGTGTATCTGAACTTGTCCAGGAAGTTTCTGTTGCTAATGCTGTTTTCACAATTGTTCAGAGTTTTCAGATCTTCACCAAAAGTCATGAAGATAAAACCTAAAAAAAATGCTATTCGCAGATATTTGTACTCCTAGAGATACAATAAGACACAGTATTTAACCGTCTTGTTCTGGGGAACGATAAGGACTTTCTCAGCTGGGCTAAGTCAGAAGATATCATTCTATTGTCTTCTTCATGTAGCTTGGTGACCACTGATATCCAACCCGTAACGAGGTGGAGAACCCAGTTTTAAAGGCAGATGCCAGGGTGGAAAACAAGTGGAATCCTGACCAAACTAAAGGTTCAGAAAATAGTATGGTTTTTGAAACCCTCAGGTGTTCCTAGGCCTACCATATAGTCACACCCACATTTTTGAGCTGATCTATTAATTTCACCTTTGAACCCTCAGGTCAACTGGATGGGCTTCATCATCATATTACAGTTCCAACATATAGACCAACTGATGAAATCTAAAATACTGCTGCAGAAAACACCATTGTATTAGATTATGCTGGTGTCAACAACTGGGGACATCAGATCAGGGTTCTGAATAGAAATCTCCATCTTCTAAGCAGTGAGGGTCCAGTGTTCTTGGGAAGTTTATCTTAATTGGGCAAGCTCATTAGGATCTCTTTGATTGAGCACAACTGTATTGAAATGTAAGAAACTAGAAGATGCACATTGGAAATAATCAAGTCCAAGTTTCAGATTTAGATCTGTGACCTCATTCAAACAGGTTAACTTCTGGCTTCAGCTTCTTTATTTGAAAATTAACAAGAGATGTCAAAGATATCTGAAATAAGTATGAGCTATAATATTAAGCAACAGACCAGCCTGACATTTTTGTTTTTATAATAATCTCATATAAAAAGTTACTTTCTTCTATGCAGCAAATACAATTCCTTATAGTAAATTAGGCACTTAGGGAAACAGTTAATTCCTCCGACCATTAGGCTCATTCTCAGCTTTGCCTGGAGAAGGGTATGAAAGAAACAATGGAAAATTATCCATCAAATTTATTCTCTTTGACTATACCCTGAGGACTAGACATTAATTAGATTACTAATAAGTTTTATTAGGGCCTTATATGCTAATAACTTCCTACTTTTTTTTTTTACAAAATGGAAGCTTCCTGAGGATAGGTTTTCCTCTGGCTTACCCAAAGGAATGAAACAGCATCGATTAAAGTTAGATATTACACTGCATTACAGTAAATGGTGAAAGAGAATTAAGAAAAAGCCTTTTAGAAACAGCTTACCTAAATATGAGTTTTTCTGTTTTGCATTTTATTTTTTAAAAGTTTTTGTAATTAGAGTAGGGAAATAACATTAAATTATTTTAGAAAGGAAATACATGTTCCTTTATTAATTTGCAGTTGTGCTGTATGTTTCTATGACTCATGTTATTCACGTCAGTGACATTCACAGGAAGGAAATTTCCCTAAACAGATACTAGAGAAGCATTTTTCTCTTGAGCACTACCATTTGACCACTTTGGAAAGTATGAGGATATTTGCCAAGTACATGCACTTGGGTATTTTAAGGATTTATTTCGTAGAAAAACTGAGTAAGTTTCAGAAATGCAATATCTTAAGTCAAATTCTGACTGGGACACTGACACTCTTGATGCCTACAAATGACCATGATATCATTTCAAATCTAAGAATAACAAAGACAAGTCATGGAATAAATAAAGCATGCTGCAACTCACATTTCACACATGAACACAATTGTATTCCCACCAAAGAGGCTCTTTTCCCTTTTATATTTCCATGTTGTCTGGGTTACAATTCACTGTCCTTAAAATATAAGTTCAGGCAGACATTCCTGTGTGTTTTGAAATGGATAGGGGCATGATAAACTGCAAATTTCTAGGCATCATACTCAGAAATGCTGATTCAGTTGTTCTTTGATAGGATTCAGGGTCTAAATTTTTCTTACGCATCCTAGGTGATTCTGAGGCAAGGAGGTCCAGGGACCACCTCATGAGAAACATAGTTTTATTTGTCAAATCCAGAATGAGTTAGAGCAGGGCTGATCCTGTTTAAACATGAAAAGTTAAAAATCCAGGTTCCAGTTAACATCTCACAGAAACCATTAGGCCAGTACCAATGGACTATGCTTTGAAACTCTCATGTGAACAAAAGGCACTGCATGCTAATTTTTTTTCAATTATAAATAAAAATCAGCTGGGTGTTGAATAATTTATGGCCTCCTACAAAGCTGAATTTGAAAACATCAAGCTGGCAGCCTGTGCCATTCCAACCCACACATGGACAGCTGCCATGCACGCATATCCGTTACTTTTTTGGAGATTATCTCCACATGCTGTATTATCTGGCTTTCCACATTAGCAAGTAACATGAAACGCAATCAATATCACAGAGGCCACAACACAATTAAAGACAAAGATGAGGCATCCATAGCTTGCTGGTACGGAAACCTGAAGGGAATAAGGTATTTTCCTCTACTTATGGAAGCCTATTTGGGCTAGAAATAAAGATAAATCTGATAGTTATTGACTTAGTAGAGGTCCCTTCAGAAATACTCAACTTTCCAATTAAGATTGTAATTTATAATGAAACTTAAGAAATCAAAATCATAAAAATGGTTATATTTTACAAGTCAACTGGATGAGAATGTTGAAAGTGTAAGATTCATTTGAGAGGAATTTAATTACCTTACAAGGAGACAGTATATGAGCATTTCTTAAACTGGGACTTTACATATCAGGTTTTAAATTTTCAATGTATTTCCATTGAGCAAAATGAAAAATATTCAATTGTAAGAATTTTTATCCTGAATTTCATATGCCTCCTTTCCCCAAATGATCCAAATATTTTTTGGTCCTTGTAGTTCTGGCTCACCAATAGAACAGACACTAAATTTATGCAGTAATAGACCAAAACCAAAACAAAAAAAAATCTTCAAAGATGTTATCTGATAGCCCAAATCTGAGTAATTTTTTTCTAATGATAAGTCCTTTTCATTGATGAATTTTTTCACCCATTAATTCTTATTCCCTTCAGGTTTTGCTAACGTGGATTGTAGCATTTCACACTTTACTGCTTAAAAGAAACCCTACACGCACCTCCTGTGTGTTCTGGTTCCCAGGTGCCTTCACCAGGTGGGGGCTGCTGTAATGAGAAAACTCTGCTCTCTGGTGGCCTCAAGGTAGATACTAGTCTGTGGAATTTGTGAATTCTGTCTCTGACAAGAATAGCATTACCCCTCTCATGTTCTGCACCCTCTCTGGCATCAGATCGACCAAGATCCTTTTTTTGGACTACATTTGCAATCTCAGCTACCAGGTCTGACTCTGATTCTGCCTTTTCTGTAGGATTATATTTGTGCACATGAACAACATCTTCCCTTTCTCCTAGCAGCTTGGAAAGTAGTGAATAGAAATCACCTGTGGAAAAAAGAGAAGAGATAAGGGCGTGGAGGGTAGATAAGATTGCAAAATTTACAAAATTTGGTGCTTTAAAAAATATCTACTCATTTCTCATAATAAATAAGAGAGAAGTTTGCACTCAGACTTTTAAGCATAGGAGGAAAAAAAAGAAAAATTCCTAGACCGATGAAATACTTTATTTCATATATCATCTATTTCTTTATGTATAACATCTATTGACATATTAGTAGAAAAAATAATGCTTATGTAATTGCATGGCACATTTCAATAAATGGTTTTCAAAGTATAGTTTGATACGGAAATTAAGAGCTCATCAGATTTCTAAAATAAAATATCATCAATAGCTACATTAGATAACAGCTATCTGCACAAGAAACTCTTTGCAGTTGTCCTTTAAAACCTATTGAAGTGCAAGCCACAAGAAATGAAATATACATTTCTTGAGCAGGAAATATACATTTCCTGTAAAACACAAGTAAATACGTATCCATTTGACAACTGGGAAACCTAAATTTTATTATTATTTTGTTAGCAGTGCTACTGTAAGCTCTAGTTGTTCCTCTTAAACAAAAAATGAGCAAGTGAGAAAAATAATTTTTTGAGCAAAGGATACTTTTAAATCAGCTTCAAACAAAGGAAAAGATTTTAATAAACTGATATCATTAGGGTGATTCATCACTAAAATGCATTCTATGCCTTCCTGTATTAAGGAGTAAACTTGGGTATGAGACTCCAATTCTATGAAAGCAAATTATTTGTAAAATATTATCACATATACAAAATATGACTACAGAAAGTTCATGAAGTATTTTAACCCTCATCATTTCCACGATGACTTCAAATCCATTTATATCAACTGTGTGAATGGTAAACATATTCTCAATGAAAACACAAATCTGCTCTCCTACACCAAACCCAAGGGCAACCACCAGTTCTTCCTTTTCCTCATCCTATACTAGGTGCTGCTAATGATGAAATTACTTACGACTATGGAGTCCTGTTGCTTACGTTTTAATTACATTTACAGCACAATTAGAAAACATTTATAAAATCTCTTTTCATGACCATTAGGAAATGAAAATGATAACTGGTTTAGCCATGATGTATTTCACTGAAGAATATATTATTAAGAAAGTGGTGCAAGGGGAGATGAAGTCTTTCCAAAATGATGCTAAGAGATTCTGTCATGTTTACAAATAGTCTTGGTTTAATGTTTCAAAGTAGGTTTTCAATTCTTGCCAGTGAAATCAGCTTATCCCAGGTGAAATCTTCAATCAGAAAATAATTACCAAGTAATAGGGCCAATCTCAGTAAAATAAACAAAGCAAATTATAAGTCAACCAAATCTGTTAGGGCACAGTGGCATTCTGCCTCACAGAAGAAAAATTAATACAGTTCATTACTGCTAAATTCTCGTGTACCACACATTAAATATAAATAGTTTCATATGCTTGTACAATGAAACGTCTTATTTAGGAAATAAAATACAAGAGTATTTCAGGGAGAGATAAACCATTATTTAAAAACTTGAGGCTGGGAGTGGAGGCTTACATTTGTAATCCCAGCACTTTGGGAGGCCCAGGCAGGAGGATCGCTTGAGCCCAGGAGCTCGAGACCAGCCTGGGCAACAGAGTGAGACCCTATCTCTCTAAGAAATAAAAAAATTAGCTGGGTGTGGTGGCATTCAATTATAGTCCTCACCACTTGGGAGGCTAAAGTGGGAGGACTGCTTGAGCTCAGGAGTTCAAGGCTGCAGTGAGCTATGATCACGCCACGGTACTCCAGCCTGAGTGACAGAGACAGACCTCATCTCAAAAAAAATTAAAATTAAATAAAAACTTGAATCCATATGTTTAAGCTATTATTGTTATTGAGACAGGGTCTCTCTCTTTCGCTCAGGCTGGAGTACAGTGGCACAATCTTGGCTCACTGCAACCTCTGTGTTTAGGGTAATCTTGATGGAGGAAGACAGGTTCAGAACTATGCATAGTCATTCAGGTTTGTAAGAGGAAATCTAAAAGCTGTGATAAAATACCAAAGGTAGAGCACTCCAGTTCATGTGAATTTATCATTTAAAATTGTTATTGGGTTAGGAAAGCAAAAATTGTTAAAATAATGCAACAGGCTTGGCTGCACACAGTTGCACAGGCCTTGCCAGAATAAAGTTTCAGAGCAGAATCTGTACAAACATCTTGTTACATGAGAGAGAGACCACTAGATGGCTATCTCTTACATTCCTATGTGCAAACCAGAAAGAGTTTTTTCCTCTTCTAGTGTACTAGATATAATATGGAATCCTGAAATGTTAACCAATTTTCTTAGTCACATTAAGATGTTTATTTAGAAAATACATCTAATGAATATAACAGATGGAGTAGAACATAAATAAAGCAAGTTGGTGGTCCTGACCCCTGTGTCATCTCTCAATGTTTCCTTTTTCTTTTCAGTTTATGTTCCACTCATATTGGCTTTTCATTTCCTTGAATATCAACTCTAAGAAGATATTGTTTCTTCTGCCTGGACCACTCCCTCCCCACTAATAAACTAGCTCCTCAACTTTCAGATCTTAGGTGTCACATCAAAAAAGCCTTTCTTGACAATTCAACTCAGGGGTCTCTGCTGGGTGCACCTATAGCACTCTGGTCTTTCCCTGTATGGCAACTCCTCAATTCAAATACACATCAAACCCTATTTCTGTGCCCCTAAGAAATAATTCTACTTTGTGCCTTTAAGTAAATTCTACTTAACTTAATAAAGATAGTGACAATAACCTTTAGAAATTACTTTGTAGATTTAAAGAAGACAGCTAATATTAAAATACCCAGTCCAGTACATATCATAAAGTAGGTGTCACTAAATTATAGCTATTATAATTACTGACTGAAAAAACAAACTAATTGCAACATGCATCTGCTTCAACCTGTGGTTTATATAATATTTTAAAAATCAGCTCCTTTTTCCAGTCAAACATTTGGATTTTTGTAATAGAAAACAAAAAGCCCTTTTAGGACTGGGCACGGTGGCTCATGCCTGTAATCCCAGCACTGGGAAGCCAAGGCGGGCGGATTACTTGAGGTCAGGAGTTTGAGAACAGCCTGGCCTACGTGGTGAAACCCCATCTCTACTAAAAATACAAAAATTAGCCAGGTGTGGTGGTGGGCACCTGTAATCCCAGCTACTTAGGAGGCGGAGGCACGAGAATTGCTTGAACCCCAGAGGCAGAGTTTGCAGTGAGCTGAGATCACGCCACTGCACTCCAGCCCGGGAGACAGAGTGAGACTCAGTCTCAAAAAATAAATAAGTAAAAAAAATAAAATTAAAAAAAAAGCCCTTTTAGGTTCCTAGCCCTCTATTTTCTTAATAAGTCACTGTGGCTACTACAGCTAATTGGTTACTGGCTTTGCCAAAGGAGGCTGTATCTGTACCTTCTCCATCTCTTTTAGCGTATCTTTGGAAAAAGAACTCTCTCTACTCCACTGTTCTGAATGCCATTCCTCCAGAATTCCCTAAAGCCTCTCCTGTCTTCTCTCTTTTCTTTTTTATTAATAAATACAACTTCTTTACCTCATATCTGACTCACAGGCTATACATACACTCACTTAGGGCTTGAGTTGTTGTGGAGGTGGGGAGAGACTCTCCTCTAACATAACATATCCTTCAGGCTTTTCCATCTTCTCTCTTCCTTTACAAGCTCCAACACTGTCCAAAAGAATTTTCTGTAATAATGGATGTAATCTATGTCTGCACTGTCCAACCTAATAGCTGCTAGACAGACACATGGGGCTGAGTACTTTGTAAATGGCTAGTGCACCTGAGAAACTTAATTTTTAATTTTTTACTTTGAATTAATTTATATTCAAAACATAAATATTTTCACCTAGTGTTTACCATATTGGATGGTGCAGGGCTACTTGCTGATTCATTCTTCCTTACATCCTTTTCCCTCCCTAAATTGGATGCATTTCTTTCCACTTCCTATTTCACCGTTGTATGACTTCTCCAAGAGGTAAGGGATCCTAATTGCCAATGCTAATAGACTCTTTATTTTGATCTACTGGGAGGCTGTAGCCCTGTTGAAAGTTCCCTTCAGAACCTCTCTCCTTATAATGTTGTTCTTTACAGGTCTTCTCCACCTATCATCTGTGCTTCCTCTTTTTACCGTCCATCATGTAAAAAACGCTGGTGTTTTGGGAAGTCTGTCCCTGAAACATTTTTCCCCTGGCTAAAGCCTCTTCCTACTAAGTGATCTCAGTCACTTACAAAACTTAAGCTACCACCTCCAGGCACATGACTACCAAGCCTGGAGCTCTCCTAACACCAAACTGGTGTTACAAAACTGTCTTCTGGAAAATCCCACTTGGATGTCTGTCTGTCTCATTTGAACTTAAAATGTCTAAAATGGAGCTCTTAATCTTCTCGCCATATTTTAACCTTTTAATAGTGTCTCTCTTAGTGATGACACTTTTTTGAGTAAATCAACTCAGAAAACTGTGTTCTTCTCTCTCTAACCAGTGAATCACAAGGTCCAACCTAGGCTGATTTGCAACATCAACTTTTCCCTCCTTACCACCAGTACTCATTTGGGAATCTTATCTTTTGATTGTCATAGTGAAAGACTCTTCTCCTTCCTCAGAAAGGACCCCCATCTCTGCTCTGGATGACAAAATCTGTCTAGGATGGTATTAAAAGTGGCTCTACCTCTACGGAACTGATGTGTGATTGATGGCACCCTACCCACCTTGGACACTCCTGGGTTATATCCCCATAGCTACCTTTTCCACAGCTCTGTTCAGCTATATATTTCTGAGTGGTATTTTCTTTTCTTTTTTTTTTTTTCCACTGGACTAACTTTGATTTTGATTTGTGGCATTTTTTATTATACTTTAAGTTCTGGGATACATGTGCAGAATGTGCAGGTTTGTTACATAGGTATCCACGTGCCATGGTTGTTTGCTGCACCCATCAACCCATCATCTACATTAGGTATTCCTCCTAATGCTATCCCTCCCCTAGCCCCCTACCCCCCGACAGGCACTGGTGTGTGATGTTCCCCTCCCTGTTCCCAAGTGTTCTCATTGTTCACCTCCCACTTATGAGTGAGAACATGCAGTGTTTGGTTTTCTGTTCCTGTGTTAGTTTGCTGAGAATGATATTTCCAGCTTCATCCATATCCCTGCAAAGGACATGAACTCATCCTTTTTTATGGCTGCATAGTAGTCCATGGTGTATATGTGCCACATTTTCTTTATCCAGTGCAGCATTGATGGGCATTTGGGTTGGTTCCAAGTCTTCGCTATTGGGAATAGTGCTGCAATAAACGCATGTGTGCATGTGTCTTTACAGTAGAATGATTTAAAATCCTTGGGTATATTCTGGGTGGTATTTTCTATTTCTATTCTGGGACTCCCTGCTAAGGTGACCATATAATTTGTTTCTCAAACTAGAATACTTTTTAAAAGGAAAAGGGTGTTAATAATATTTATACTAGGCATAAACTGGGACAGTCCTAGAAAAATGGAGACGTTTGCTGCTTACCAATTGTTGACAGAGTTAACATATTCAGAACAATATAAACTATAGAAAATAATAATAGCAGCTAAAATTTCTTGAGAGCTTAGCATGATCCATTCACTTTGCTGAATGCTTTATACGGTTTAATACGTTTAATCTCTATTAAATTGTTATTATTGTCCTTATTTTATATGAGGAAACAAAAGGTACAGTACTAACCTGCACAGCTGGTAGGAAATTGAACTGGGATTTGAAGGAGACGGTCAGAATGACAGTTGCCCTCCAAACTGCTCACTAGACTGGATTCAGGTTTCCCTGTCTTTTCTGTACTGGCCATTACACTTTTTCCTATACATTCTTCTCAAACTTATCAATCTTACTATAAAAAACTTAATTGTTTTTCTTTTTAAATTAACCATCTTCTGAGCTCAAGTGCTAGGTTTATTCTTTAACTGGGTTTCTCTTTGTCATATCCTGGTCTATCTTGTCCATATCGTAACACAAGAAACGTGCAAACTGGTCAATACATACATACCACAGCGATTTGCACAAAACTAGCTTAAAAAATGACTAGTTTTTGGCTGGGCACTGTGGCTCATGCCTGTAATCCCAGCACTTTGGGAAGCCAAGACAGGCCTATCACTTGAGGTCAGGAGTTCGAGACCAGCCTGGCCAACAAGGTGAAACCCCATCTCTACCAAAAATACAAAAATTAGCTGGGGGTGGTGGCGGGCACCTGTAATCCCAGCTACTCAGGAGGCTGAGACAGGAGAATTGCTTGAATCTGGGAGGTGGAGGTTGCAGTGAGCTGTGAGCTGAGATAGTGCCACTGCACTCCAGCCTGGGCGACAGTGCAAGACTCCATCTCAAAAAAAAAAAAAAAAAGGCCTAGTTTTCTTTGATTTGAAAAAATGTACCTTACATGTATGACCAAATTCTTTAAGATGTTCTAAAAATACTTTCTGTATATTTAAATTATCTCTGGGAAGGGAGAAATTACAAGATAGAACTATAGTTTTATATAAAAAAGTCCCTCTCATTTCTTATTTCTTGTCATAGTTCCAGAGATTAGTACTTTCCCTATCCTAGCAGATACTCAATAAGCAATTCTGGGATGAATAATAATTTGTTAAAAATGTCAGCCCTTGCATCTGCATTAGCAGAGATAAAAATATTTCCTTGATGATTTTAGGCTGCAGTAATTTCCCATTTTTAAATTTTATTCCCTAACTTTTGATTCTTATAAAATACCCAAATGCTCTAGATCTTTTAAGGAATTCAATTGTGTGAGTTTGGTATATGGAAAACACAACTATAGTAGCAGCTAATGTGTGGAGAAAAGGAATGCAGCATAGTACATGGGAATCTAATAACACCACCAATTAAAGTTCCTAAGTTGTGTGCTTGCATTAACTGCTTTGTGGATCAATGGACATTTTTCTATTATCAGGGACCACTCACTATTCCCTGCTCCCAGCATGGAAATTTCTCTGATGTACTTTCAGGAATATGGTGAGAAAAACTAAAATAGATGAAATATACATTGAAAAATGGTCCTATGAAGGTTTTTTAAAAAATGCTTTAAGATTACTGGATAGAAAAAAAAAAGTATCTAATTTTTTAGAAATTGTAAAATCTTAATGAGGCAGGTGCTATTATTTTTTAAAAATGATCAAATACCTCTCAGAACTTTCCAGAATATAAATTCCCATTTCCCACACACATTACTAGTTCTTCATTACCTAAAAAAACCCAGCTCTTGTTACTGCTTATTGTTCTGCAATTTCTATAATATAAGGAGAGTAAATAGGATGTTCAGCAGCAGTTTAGCCACTGACAAAATATGTCAAGTAACCAAGTTAACATGATTAGAGCCATGGAACATAACTGATTAATGAGAGGATATGAGGAATGGAAAAATAAAAGCATCTCTTTTTAGAATTTAATAATTTGTTTTATGACTTAGTCTTAACTGATTTTCCCTTCGGGTTAAAGTCAATTTGGTTTATTGATTGTTTACTTATTACTGTCCCACAATATTTATTCTCTAGCCTTAGAGAAATAAAACACATGACCATGGTGACCAGCTCAAGGATCACAAATGAAGTGAACTTTATTATTTCTTCCCCTTATAGGGCTCATTTGATTGAAAAGCAATCAGAAATCAACTTTTCTTCCTTTTTAAGAAAACGAGACAAATATAAAAAAGGAGAAGATAGAAGATGATGGTTTTCATAACTACCATGCACACAGATCTATATTGGAAAGCCTAACTGTGTGATAAATGATCATTCACATCTGCCTATTCCGTTATTAGGAAACCAATTCAAAACAGCATTCAGTCAGCTTCCCAGAGCCTTGGGGGGTATTTAGAATTGTGTTTGATAGATGAGTTCAATAAATAAAGACTTGTGAAGTGCTCATAAATCATAAGAAACCAATAAATTTTTAGTGAATAGGCATACAAACAAAAACTGTATCTTCTTTAAAACAGCAAAGTGGCATAGAGAGTGCTTGGAATTAGTTAAGAAGATGTTACTAAAATTATTTGTGTTTTATTAGAGGATCAAAGGAATGCCCTATTTTGAACAAATCAATGAAATATAAATTTTAGCTACCATGCCCAGCCTTTATTTAACTCTTCCCATAAACTGTTTACAACTGTAACTTTAGCAGGCTTTGACAGTAGACTATTGTGTTTTTAACTGGCAACCTTGTTCCCTTGATTCTGCTTATTTGATAAAACATGCCAATGGTAATTCATTTTTGTTAGCATAAAACCACTGTGAAATTACTGTTTCACAGAAGGTGTCCGAAGACCTTTAACTATCTGGGGTCATGGGGTATTTTCCCTCAATAAATTATATTTTTGTCATATTCTCTCTGCCTTGGGAATACAGTAGCTTATGCTGACCTTTGAGTAGAAAGATTGATTATATGAGGGCACAAAGACTACAATGAGGAGATTTTGGAGCAAACTGAATAAAACATGTTAAAGGCTGTTTCTGCAGCCAAATAAATGTTGTCTAGAGCATAATACATAATAACAAGGACATACTGTTATTATAGATTTTGATTTTCAATTCTGCCTGGAATTTAAGACACTGAATCTTCCCAATACAACAGACGTAAGTTTCAACACTACATCTAGACTTTGAATATTAAAGAGGTGAGACACTCAAATTCAGAACTCTTAAATGTAATTGTGTAGACTTTTGCTTCCATCTAGTAAGCTTCTTAGTTTCAAGCCCATATTCTTTGCTTAAACAATGGTTATAGAAAGTTCAGGATGTTTATAGCTTTGGTATAGTGAACGCATATAAGAAATTATAATGCATAAGAAATAAAGAGAACTTACAAAATGTGTTAGTTTTCTAAAAGTGCCAACCTTAATATATGTGAGGTGTGTGTGTGTGTGTGTGTGTGTGTGTGTGTGTGTCTGCTTTGGAAGACATCAGTGTGAACTTCCTCATTCTATATAGTCTCCTAGGATTCATTTCCTCCATGCAGAATCACTGCCTAATTGAGTCTATTGTATAGTTTATTGTACTTATTACATATATAGGTAATTCTTCACTCACAATGTCTTTGAAGGACGGTGACATTTTAGTTTGTTTTAAATATCCATTTGTGTTTTTCTCCCTGTAGGCAGACATAATCAACTCATTCGCAGATAAACTCCCTTATATGCAAATGGGTTATTTTCAAATTGATATAGGCAGGAATATGCACGTATTATGCAGCCATTAAAAATCACTCTTGCCAATAATTTTTACCACTGGAGAAAATATTCAAGGTATATTTTTTAAAAAGGGCTATGAAATTGTGTATACATTATAATTAAAATAATGTGCTTTACATATGCATATATTGAATATGTAAATATATGCATAATATATATTTCACATACATATATGTACTCATGTTTCTGGGGACTACGGATGATTTCTATTTGTATATTTATACTTTACATAATTTCCTTATCTTTTATAATGAATATTATTTTAAAAAATCAGTCAAAATAAGCATTATTTTTAAAGAAATCCCTACAGACTCAATTAAAGCCTCATTAAAATGTTTCCTATTGTTGCATGATCCAGGACAACATGATAAGTAAAACTGTCATATAATGATGCTTTTGTGGTGTCTCTGTAATTACATCTTTTGAGACAGAATCTGAGGTACACTTGCTTTACACCAGATTTTGTTCTACAGAGAGCAGATGTAGACAAAGATATGGTGAAAGGTTAGTGTGTTTGTGAGAAAGCACAGACTGGATTTGCACAACTTAGATGTCAAGACATCTAGTTAATTTCTAGTTAATTTCTAATCAAGATTAATATTCTGGCAAAACATCAATAGCTAGCAATTTTTGAGATACAAATTTCAAAGAAAATATATTTCTCCTGGAGAAACAGAGTACTAAATAAATCTGTGTTTTAATGATCACTGGCTTTCTTTAAAGATCACTAACTTTCTTTGAATTTTTTTCCTCCATGTTAGAGATAACTCCCACTTCCTGTTTATTTGTGGCATGGCTACATTTCTTTCTTTTAGTCTATGGAATATGATTATTTCTATCTCTCCCCTCCTTCTTTTTTTTCTATCTTAGTAAAGGTCATTTCTTCTTTCTAACATAACATTTATTACATATCTTGACTTATATCTTTCTACCTGTTTTCCAATGTATTAAGATAGGAAGTAAATATATATATATAATACTATATATAGTACAATTTAAATAGCATTTATTTAATATATATATGTATGTGTGTATGTGCATATATACACACATATACACTATATATAGTATTAACCAGGTGGAACTATCTACATCACTTACAGAACTATCTGTACCCACTAACAGGTATAGAGCTTGTCCATGAGTACATATCCATCGATGGTTCAAGTCTTTTCTTCCTACCCCACATTGTGCTGTTTTCTACAGGGGTTTCACATCTTCTGTAGGACCAACATAGATGGTGTCTGTTAGCTTGTGGCTAGCACAACCACAATAATGTGGGCTTTTGCTTATTGGGGCTAAAAAGTATTAAAATAATTGTACAATGTAAAGAAATACTACACAAATTGTTTTGGCCAGAACACCAAATAAAGTGATAAGTGAAGTTTGAGGGCTTACTTTAAAAATTAACATACATGGCATAATTTATTTGAATAATTAAAGCCCCCTTATTAGCTACTTGGTCAAGTTGACTTTCCAAAGAATGCATACAAATAGACACTTTGTGCAAACAAATATCTCTAAGAAGAATGAAATACTCTTTCAGCAATGAGATTTGCCCTATGTGTTGTAAGGAGACAGACTAATCTCATTAGTGCATCACATGAACTATGTGTACAAATGTGCATTTGGTACATTTCTGTATTTCTCTTTTAATTCTAGGCTGGTGGTCCCCATAGACTGGTAGGATCATACACAGACTATGCTAGCCATTGAAATGGCTTTTGGTTAGGCTACTGTCTTTACCGTCATTAGAGATGACATTTTAATGGGCCCACTAATTTCAACATATGAGTAACAGCCTATTTTCTGCAATATGAAAATTGATAATATCAGAATGCTTTTTTATTCTCAAGTTAAATACCTTTAGTTACAGCATTTTTATTCACAAACAGAAGAAAATAGAAACTGCAGGAAAATAATTTCTTATGTGTCCATAGAATTATTCTCGGGGACCAGTAAGAGTTTGGGTATATTTGTATATTTGGGTATATAGATAATGTTCACCTCTGAATATTATATATATGCTATAAAACACAAAAGGGTAAATGAATGGCAAGGTATGAAAGTATTTTAAAGAATCTGGTTTGTAGGCGTATATAACACCTCCTACATCCTACTATTTGGAAAGAACAGATGAAATATAACCTTTAATACCGCTTCACTAACAAAACCCCTGGGTTTTTAACCTTTTAGAAGTGTCAGTGTTTCCCTTGATCAACTTGACTAACTTCAAAAGGAAACCATAGTCCAACTGCAGTTTCCATAGAAACATACCATTTTATAAGATGCATCTATTAAATGGTGGTATCTCATTCCGTATTGTTTCATATATGTTGTTATTTGTAAATGTATTCTAAGACAAAATTATTTTAAAGACATACATTTCAAATAGCATTTGAAATGTCAAAATAATTCATTGAAAGTCTGAACAAACTTCATAAGAAGTTACAGTAAACACTCTGAATACCACTATATTTAGGCTGCTATTACTGGCTTACTTACAAATATATAAACAGGATTGATAAATTTAGCTATTTTAAATTACTCAGCCATTTAGTGCTTTGAGCTAAGCTGTATTTTTTTGAAGGTCACTTTGTTAGAATGAGATATTATAAAACATCCGCTGTATAATTTAAAAACCTCAGGATCACAGTTTACTTTATGCTTCTTTCAGAATGCATTTTCCCCTTTCTAAAGTCTCAATTGTTTAATTTTGTAAAAACTATTCATACAAGAGTGATATTTTTGAACTAGACCTAATGTAATACATTTTGAAGAATTCCAATAGCAGCTAGCAATAAGAAACAGGAAACTTCTACATGTTGCTAATAGAAAAATCCTTTCTATTCCTATTTGTGCTGTCAGTAGAAGTGGGTTTGCATTAACATGAAACTAACGTTTAAAAACGTGTATCGTAGGCCAAAAACAACTTTTTAGGATAACAAACTCCAAAGCCTAACCCAAAGCACTACCTTCCAAACAACTGGCAAAAAGCCAAGATTCAGGGAAGTAATTTTTTAGTACCAGCACATGCAGTATATGACATACAAGCATCAAACATTACCACTTTCAATAAACAGAACAGGGGAAGAATGATGCTTTTTTTAAACTCTGCAGATGGCAACTTAACACAAAACTATAGATGTATAAGACAATAATCGCTCCTACCTTGATGAAGGCAGAGAAGAATGACTTATAGAGGTAAGATGTGGATTTAATTCTTAATTTCTTTTTTTCTTGAATCTCAAATCTACTTAATGAACATACCATACAAAATATACAATAATTTAAATGGTTAAGGTTATTAGATTTCAAAAGCAGCCTGATGGTTTTTAATGATTATGCTTGCACTTATTTGTACTATACATAAAAATTATAATATTAAATGAAGTAAAACAAAGACAGAAAATGAAACAGCACTAAATTATATGAATGAATTTTACTTTCAAAGCTAAAGTGCAATAATTGACCATTTTCTCATGAATTATGCATTGTATAAAAATAGCAATACATAGTGTTTGAGGCAGATACAGAGAGACATACAATATCTCAGTAACTTTACAATTTGGTTGCCTACTTGGAAATTGATACTTTTATAGGACTAGTTATAGAAATAAGCATACATACCCTGGTCTAACACTTCTTCTTCTTCTCGTTTTGGCTGCTGTAGTAAAGGAATCTTATCTTTATATTCTGTTTCTGTAAAGGATCAAAGAAGCTGAGCATAAATTTGCAGTATGTATTACATACTTAAAATAGTTTATTGGAAATAGTCCATCAACATAAAAATACTATTCAGGGTCTTGTGCTTATTACCGTATTAAGAATTTATAAGACAGAAATGCTCTAATTCATAAGCTCCCCACCCCCCACCCCCCAGCACAACCTACCAATTACAAGACATCTGACTTAATAACTAGGTCAACTACCCTTTCAATAATATATAAATGATACAGAATTTTCAAAATGCATTGACAAAATGACTCATATTTGTTTTCTTAAATTAAATTTAGCACTGTTTTAAGAACATTTAAGAACACTTTAAGGCATATTCTATAAATATAGTAGAATCTTAATAAATGGCCAGAATGCTATGCTAACTTCTCTCATAAAATTTCCACTAGAAAGAAATAAGAAGCTGCTCTAGCGTGTTAAGACTGAACTTGCAAAACTCAATCAAGTCTCAGCATACTTCATGCGATAAAACAAGGAGTAGACTTTGCAATTTTAAGTTAAAAAGTGACAGTCAATATGACCATTTTGCAGAGGAACTATATATATGTTAAATAACAATTCTGAGAATTAGATAAAAAAAGTCAAGACTAGCAATGCTTCACAAATCAATAATTGTTCTTTGCCTGAAGAAGCCCATTAAATGGATAATTTAAAGTATGGCTGGAGATGATAACCATTTTCCCTGGCAAACTGTAGTGATCTTTAGAACATGGTGCATAAATTCATAAACTGTGTAAGTCATTACTGGTTAGGGAAGGAGTTAGATGAGGAAATGAGAAAACATGAATTAAGTGAAAAAAGGTCTACATTTATGGGATTGGTCCCAAAATGAATCTGTTTCATCCCTGGCTGAGATTTTCCTCTTTAACTGTTCTGATGGGTACATGTCAGGGAGGGGAGATAGGATATGAAAGAGAAAAATGAGAAAATAAGAAATATGTGTGTACATGTGACTGGTAGAAGAAGGGAATAAAGATGATTTTAAATATCATCAAACAAGATACATACAAAAATATAAAATACAAAATCATATATTACTTTATATTAAACATCAATTATTACCTTTATGATGTTCATGCATCATAACCATATCAGACTTCACGGGAATTGGAATGTTGGCCTCTGGTGGTATGGTTCTGAACATATCTGGAGCTACATTCTGGGTACAGGTCATGAAAGAAACTGCATGCTTGGCTTCCATGTAATACATAATGTATAAGTTGCACATTTCATCACTAGACGTGCCACTGCAGGCAAAAAAAAGATATAACAAATCAACTATTCACATAAAACACATGCTTAATGCAAGAAAAATGAAGCCCTTAGATCTGCCAGCAATGGATTCAAAGGTAGAAATATTGTGCATTTATTTTATAGCTTTCATTAAAACCCATCACAGTTTTCAACATCAAAAGCACATTGTCAAAGGCATATTTCCACTTAACAATGGAGTGTCAGTTTGCAGGCACACCATGAACACTACTAAATACCACTGATGAAAATGGCATTTTAGTAGATGAGGGAATATGGTACTTTCTTTTCTCTCTTGAATCTTTTTATTCTTTAGTCCCCTCCTATTTGCTAAAACTCATAGACTGGGAAAAGTTATTGTTCTCGTGGAAAATCTTTATTATTTCCTTAACAATGGTAAAAATCAGAAACCTTCAATATAATTATCATATATTATTTATTATAAGTCTTTAAAAATGGCTTTTCCTCTTAACATCAAAAGTCCTGGACCTTGTTTTTGGTTAACTGCCTCCTTCCTTACAGCCAGATGAATCTAGAATCATGTGTCCCCACTAAGACATTCAAAGTGTATCCCTGATGTCTGACTTGGCAACTAGGCTTTTATAGCAGGGTTGAAAAGAATGCCTCAGGAATGACTCAAAATGAAATCAGCACTAATCTTTTTTAAGGGTTGAGATGTGACGGAAGTAGTGCTGTACAGTTGAATGACTCAATGTTAAAAATAGATTTTAAAACAGTGGATATTTCCAAGAAAAAAGTTCCCAATGATAGAAAAAATATCTAATAGTTTACAAAATATGTATTCTGCTTCCTTACTTCACATGGGTTATTATATATTTCATTCTCTTTAGCATTATTAGGAAGGAACCATTTAAGTACACCTTCACAAGACTTTTACATAGCAAAGTTGTTTGGGCAAAGGAACATGTCCATTTTAGTATTAGTATTGACAATTTTTAGCAAGCCTACACTAATAAAAAAAAGCTATGAGGTAGGTTATTTGCTGTACAGAAATACATCAGTGTTGATTTTTCCAGCAATGTCATGCAGCACTCACTTTCTCTCCATAGCAACAGTATGACATCAGCAAGGGAAGGAAAAAAATAAAAATATTTTTCAAACAGGGATTTGATTTCTCTAAGCTTTGAAAATATAGAGCCCTTGAGAGACCACAGGAATAAGCCCCTGCCATGGGAAGCTCTGTTTATGCTTTAGAAATCATTTGGCTTCTTACTCTCTGAATCTGATACCTGTCAGTGTAATTGCCTCTCCCGTGAAATATAAGCAAATAGTGAAGTGCAAAGCCAAACAAACATCTGTTCACTACACATGTCTTCATGGTGTCAAAACACCATTCCTAAGAATTACATTTTAACAGCCTTGGAGTTGGTCAGTATGTGCTATAAAAGGAATGGCTGTTGCAAAAATAATAAACTGGAGCCTCCCGCCATATTATCCTTCTCTTTCCTGCTTTAAAAAAAAGGAGGTATATGTAGATCAACTGAGCAAAAAGGAAAAAGGAATTTTAGATGTGGCTCTAGCTTTAAAAACCTTTAATCATCTTGCAGAGAGGAAAGGCAAAATAATCATTTAAGCATCTCAAATTAATGAAAGGAAAAACATTTTAAATTCATATAATAATTCATGAAACTTGCAACTCATCAATGGATGGGTCCTTCCATATTTTCTCTTTTTGGGAATGCCAATACCCATGTTTTCACTGGAGAAGGTATACCCACCCACAACAGCATATGTAAGAAGCCAGTATCCTGATTTTTTTCCTTACTAAAAAGCTACACACAATGAAGTAACTATCACTGCTGGTCTAAATATTGTTGGTCCCTTGGGCCAGTGTGTTCTCTGTTGCATAAATGGAAATTGTTTATTCTGTGAGCTATTATATGTTTTTATAAAATACTTAGAGAGGGAATTCTAGAACTTTTTTTACTCTTCCTACTAGAGTAGTATTTCCACAATTATTACCACAAAACTTTGGTCCTTGAAATGCTTACAGAAGAGTTGAGAAAAACTTACCATATGGCCTGCCGGGCACGATGGCTCACGCCTGTAATCCCAGCACTTTGGGAGGCTGAGGTGGGTGGATCATGAGGTCAGGAGTTCAAGACCAGCCTGGCCAAGATGGTGAAACCTCGTCTCTACTAAAAATGCAAAAATTAGCTGGGCGCAGTGGCAGCTGCCTGTAATCCCAACTACTCAAGAGGCTGAGGCAGGAGAATTGCTTGAACACAGGGGCAGAGGTTGCAGTGAGCTGAGATCTCACGCCACTGCACTCCAGCCTAGGTGACAGACTGAGACTCCGTCTCAAAAAAAAGAAAAGAAAAGAAAAAAAAAAGCAAACAAACAAAAATCTTACCATATGAACAAATGAAAATGTTGGGCTATACAAGTTAAACAATGTTGTACTGCCTGATCCTTTAATACACAATGTGCTCATGACTGTATGGTGGGGTGGGGGGCGTGGATACAGTAGGTTCTATTCCCTAAATGAATCTGACCGGGCTCCTTTGTGTTGCTGTGTGTTCCAGGGCATAATTTAAGAAAAGCTGTACTGTAAGACTTGCTCTTACGTAGGTAGAAACAAAATGCTAGTATTGTTTAAGAATGACCAATCAAAAGGATTTCTTCAATAGAGTAGTGTGCATGTAGTAAAGCTATATAAAGCTATTCAAATGAATATACATAGATATGCATACAGATGTGTAGCTAGAAATGTTTCATAACATGTCTTATCTGTATAAAGACAGGTAAATATCTATGTATATTCTATCTATATCCTTCTATCTGTCCATCTGTCCATCCATTCAGATAAACACATAGTTCAAGCTTTCAGAAAAATCCATTAGAGATTTAAGAAGCAACTAATACTGCAAAGCTTCAAAATAACTAATATAAAATATCTTGTTAATATATATTTCCTCAAAGATAATTTTGGTGTTACATGTATATTTGGAAGGATTTGTTTTTAACATACATTTGAAAAAAAATTGTACTAAAAGTAAAAATTTCATTTCAAACAAGTGAAAGGTAATTAATCTGAGAACAAGGAATTAAATTGTGCAATGTCGGCTAAATCAGGACAATAATTTACTCTTACTAAATTAAATTCATTATTATCACCAAAAAGCAGTAAGTAACAAAAAACAAAAGAAAATTATAGATCGTAATTATGGAGAAGAATATGAAATAAAAAGGTGGCATAAGTTTAGAATAATTATATACTAATATTGGAGACAAAGGCAGCAATTACTATATTAGAAATAGTGTGTACCAAGGTACAAGGTTACATGTTTGAAAAACACATGTACTTAAGTATAGCAAATAAAGGAAAATCAGTAACTTTCTGAATAATGTAACTCTTTGTCCTCTACAACTTATGATCACACTTTATTATTTTAAATAGCATATTTGAGAAAATAAAAATAAAAACATAAGCTAAGGTCGCAGGTTATTTCCTCAAAAGTGAATTATCTTACCATGTACTGAATTAACTTTTGAGAAAAATTATGCATATATGTGTAAGAGTATACATATATGTATGTGTGTACACACATGCACATATACATACACACACAATACACTAATTCAATTACACATACATTATGTGTTAATTTGATACACATATAAATGTGTTTGCCTTTACACACGTGATTTTCTGAGACATATTAATCAGCTCACCAATACAGTTCATTTGGGGTACCAATTCTATGATTCAAAATTGAATTTTATCAAATAATTTAGGAATCTTTGCTATCACAAGGAAAATTTCATTAAAAGAGCTGAACAAAAAGAGTCATACTTTATTCCTTTCCATCTATAATTAGACTTGTAGTCAAGGTAACTCTGAGCTCCTATGTGACAGAGAAACTATCATATGCTAAAAATGTCAGGAGTCAAATCATCCTTAGTATCAGCATCACAGTTTGCTTATTTTATTTTACAATCATTCACCTTTCATTCAAAAACAAAAAATCTCATTTTAAAACAAATTGCTTTCTGTATTCCTAAGGGAGTATTTTGACACATGTACCCTTAATTTCCACCGAGATCAACATATGCAATTCAACTCTGCTAATCTGAGTGATTTATGAACATGAGAAAGTAGGAAGGGAGATTATGTCCACTGAATGGCCCTTTAAACATTCTCCAATGCCAGTGTGATTCCTTAAAATGATGACTGCTGGCATTACTTACATTCCAAAATTACAGTAGTGCATTTATTTCATCTTCTTGAATAATAAAGTGCTTATGTGATAACTTCCTGTTTTATACTGGCATACTTAATATAAATAGCTTTAGGTCTGACATAATGTGTGAGCCTGAAAATTGGAAGCCCTTGATAAATATGTGTTGAATGAAGGAAGAATTAATAATCCTGCTTAATAAATGTTTACAACTTCATATGACATAGCATGTTTGCCCTAGTATATTATACTACTGAATAATGAGTCAGATCAAATTTTTGTACTCAATTGATCTGTGGGATTTCTGAAAATATTTATTTATATCCATATCTGTTTATCCATCTGTCTAATCTATTTACCTAGGTTCCATGAGAGCTTTTATTAAAATATATTATATTAGAAAGATATGTAATACAGATTTAATAAAGCACCAAGTAATCTGAAATGTATGACTTAAAAACTTCCAAATATCATTGTATTCCATGTCTATACCGCAAACACTCCACTAGCTCAAGAATTCTTCACCTCTACCCCGTTTATATTCAACAAATGTTAGGCTTGAAAATAGGCAAAATCGGTAATAGTAATTTTAGAAAGAAATATAAAAACTTCAAAGAAGTCATTTTACAAAACTGTTAATCATTTCTTAAAAAGTTTCGTGGTGCCTTTAAATGTATACATTAAGAAGTTATTTATCATGTAACTTTATCTTTGCATGTAATATATTTAAAAATGCAGATTAAAGTGCTATGTTGGTATCCATGAACATTCATATTTTAATGAAATGACCCATTCCAAATGAAAGGTATGACCAACAAAACTGACCAAATTGGTAAATATTGTCTACCTAGTCCCAATAATTAATATTAAATTTTAGCATATAAACTTTTAGCCTGATTAGCTGACTTAATGAGCTTAATTGGCTGACTTAATTAAATTCTGTTTTTATTTAAACTTGACTAAACATTTGAAACGAATTTAGAGAAGTATCATCCTGAATATAAAATATGTAATGCAGTCAAGCACAAAATATTGCTTCTTCATAGAACAATTAGTAGTACTATGTTGTCAGTATATATAATACTTTGGTGCAACTTTATTTAGGCTATATTATTCATATTTACTATTTAAAAATAAATATAATATATGGGTAAAACATTTTACCATTAAGTATATTTATTAATATATCTCATATTAAATATACCTACTTTTAAAGTAGTTTTTATTATTAATATTACTTTTGATTGACAAATAATGGTAAGCACTTAATCATATGTTCTCATTTATAAATATGAGCTAAGCCACACGGAGGCAAAGGCATAAGAATGATAAAATGGACTTTGGGGACTCAGGAGGGAAGAGTGGGAGGGGGTTAAGGATAAAAAAAACTACATATTGGGTACAGTGTACATTGCTTGGGTGACAGGTGCACTAAAATCACAGAAATCCCTAAAGAACTTATCCATGTAACAAAAAACCACCTGTTCCCCAAAAACTATTGAAATAAAAAATAATTTTGTAATATAAGGTACAATGTGATTTTTTAATATATGGATACAGTGTGGTACTATTAAATCAAACTAACAAATCCATCACTTTGCTTACCTATCTTTTTTTTAATATTTTTTTATTTTGAGACGGAGACAGGGAAACATTGCTCCTGTTATTTACTCTATAGCCCAGTCTGAAGCGCAATGGCATGATCTTGGCTCACTGCAATCTCTTCCTTCCAGGTTCAAGCGATTCTCCAGCCTCAGCCTCCCAAGTAGCTGGGATTATGGGCATCCGCCATCATGCCCGACTAATTTTTGTATTTTTGTAGAGATGGGGTTTCACCATGTTGGCCAAGCTGGTCTTGAACTCCTGACCTCAGGCAATCTGCCCGCCTTGGCCTCCCAAAGTGCTGAGATTACAGGCATGAGCCATTGTACTCGGCCCTATCATTTTTTTAATCATGAAATATTTGACATTCCTCTCTTAATTATTTTGAAATATATAGTGCATTATATTGACTATAGTCATTCTTCTGTGCAATAGATCTCAAAATCTATTCCTCCTGTCTATCTGAAACTTTATGTCCTCTGATCAACAATTCCTATTACCTCCTTTCCCACCCTTCAGTAACCATCATTCTATTCTCTATTTCTATGAGTTCAACTTTTTTAGACTCCACATATAAGTGAGATCATGTGGTATTTGTATTAATATATCTGTGCCTGGCTTATTTCACTTAATACATCCTTCAGATTCATCCACCTTGTCACAAATGACAGGATTCCCCCCCCTCCTTGTAAAGGCTAAATAGTATTCCATCATGTGTATGTAAAACACATTTCTTTATGCATTCATCCATTTATGGACACTCAGGTGGTTAAATCCATCTCCTGTTTTTACATCGTGGTATTTTAAGATGAATCCCTGTTATGGGAAAATCAGCCTCTACTTTTAAGTGCTGTTCATTAGTTACCCATGATTGTTCTACCCAAGCAAAGTTTTCTCCAGTTCCAAAATTTCTAGCTTAATACAGTTAAGCTTGATTTTGGTAGAAGAATCACTCAACTGTAAATCTTCCTAGTAGGCTACTGTCAACGGTTTTTCTGTAAAACCTAGTTTCTATGTAACCATAGAACAGAAAGGTTTAAAACTTGAAGCTGAGAGTTCTCGCAGTACATGGAGGAGGCACCTACTGGCCCCAGCCTATCCTTAGTTAAGTGTGATTTATACCTATGTGTGCTTCACGCTCGGGGCTCAAATCTGTGTCCTGTGGGAATGTGTGTTTGTATGTGTGGGTTGGAGGTAGATGGGAAAAGAGAAGAGGGAGAGGAGATATATGGATTTACAGAGTATCATTTAATTTAACCGACATCATAAATTACTAGTTTATTTCACTGGTCACATTCTCAACTGTGATCCTGTAATCATCTATGGAGGTTTTGCCTATTATTTTATAAAACAGAGACACATTGCTGTTGTTATTTGTCTAAAAATAAAAAGCATATTAACTGCTATGAGAACATTATCCATTATTATGAAAACTTTTATTCATACTTAAATGTATTAAAACTTGTCTTACTTGTTTGTCATTCCACTGGTAAAAAAATTGCCTCTGTAGTAGAAATTAAATATTCAGAATATGGACTCACCCAATAAGTTAATTTCCTATAATTCCTTTCTATTTCATTTTTATTACAAAATGGTGTTTCCTTTAGCCCACATGAGATTTGTGAAAGGATAAATTAGTGTAGTCATTTTAGGGTATTATTTTAAAGCAAAATGCACATTTTAAAAAAGACAAGAATTATTCTAGACTCATGGAACTGATAGAGGCCTCCAGAGATCACTTTGGCCTCCCATCCTAGTACTATAACAAGTCATTAATTTCTATGGCAGATATTACCTCACAGACAGAACTCAAAAGGATAGAATTTGGCCAAAGTAACAAACCTCCCCGCTGCAAACTGTAAAGAGCCCTCTAGGCAAAAAATTCTGTTTTTTTCCCACACTTAAAACTTGTAAGTCAATGCAGGTAATGTGTTGAAAGGGATTTTTTTACTGCTCTATTTACTTACTACAAAGGTTAATAACATAACCTGGGGCATTTAAGTAAACTACCTATGGCTCTGCACTGACATAAAATGAACAACTGATGGATACCCTCTGAATCATGTTACCTCATGTAAAGATTGTTAAGAAGGGACTCGTTATGCTCTTTCTTTCAAATCTAGTTATGCCTCCTTTGTCAGTCTTTTTCTTACCATCATCGTTTCCCATAACTCAATAATAATATTGCTTTCCTGAAGTCTCTTTGCCAAATTTAGCAAATTTATCCAAAAGCAAAGCTGTTGGAAACTATTTCTGTAACAGAAATTGATAAAGGTTTATTTGTTTTATCCTTAGCCTTAAAGTTTATGCTTACTTATATAAAAAAGCCATTTAGAGTGACATAAAAATTCTTTTACACTATATCAAATGCTCCTGCTTTCCTTTTTAAACCTGCCTTAGTACCTTTTCCCTTTCTCCATACAGCCAACAGTTAGTGTTGCTATCGCAAGAATCATCTTTAGGGCATCTAAAGCATATTTTCAGATGCTTACTTTCTGTAACTTCTCTTTGATTACGACATAAATGGTTTAAAACTCTAGCTTCCAGATGGCATCAGTAAATATTTAAAAGTTGTTTAACATAAAAAGAAGTCTCCTTGATTCTTTTCTATCAAAAAGCATGAAAAGAAACTACCTTTCATTTTTCATTTAGGTAAGTTTTTTTTGAAAGAGTTCATAGTGCTTTGAAAATTTTATGTAGTGTTATAGAATATAATTATTTCAAGGAGGCTCAGTATTTAAAAAATTATTTAAAAGGCTCAACATTCTTTTTTGATAAAGTGTTGCATATTATTATCCTTATTTAGTAGACTAAACAACTGGAAATTATTAAATTCACGAGAGTTTTAACATCATGGTTCTGAGTATTTAATAGGAATCACCAAATGTAGACCCCGTGAACACAGGGCAAAAAGGCACTTGAGAAAAAAAATTTTCATTATCATTATATTTTCTTTATTAAGATGAGCCTCAGAAAGTAATATGAAGTCTTTGATAACTGTAATATTTAGAGGTATGATACCGAAGGTTTTGAGGAAGTAAGAAAAAGAGTAGCACAAAAAAATGAGCACATGTTCTGGGGTTTATCTGAATCAATCAGCTTTGAAATGATAAAATGCCACAGTTTGTTGTAATTGTCCATGACAGGACAAAAAATGTACAATTTATTCACAAAGATAGCTGTCACCTGTAATCATGCCTTATCCCAATAAAATATCTTTAAATAGTGGAATGTATAGAATCATACCCAATGTGTGTGGCTTCTGTCCTTCCTTCACCAGTGAATACACATCTTGCAGCCAGTAGGTCACCAAAACTTACATCAACTGGATGCCCCACAGGGTAGAAAGCCTACCAAAAAGACAAACACAATGAATCATTAATATTACCAATAAAATCCAGAACTACATGTTTGACTGTGTTGAGGTATGTTCCTCCTTTACCCCTTTTTTGAGGGTTTAATCATGAAGGGATGTTGAATTTTATCAAATGCTTTTTCAGCATCCATTCAACTGATCAGAGGATTTTTGACCTTAATTCTATTGATATATCACAGAACCCCATGCTTTAATAATGTGAAGCTTGGTACACTCTGGGTAGAGAGGATGAAGACAGACAGTGAAATAGACACACACACACACACACACACACCCACCCACATACACAAATAATCACTGGATAAAAACAGTTCACCTTTAATCATCGGATAAAAACAGTTCACCTTTAATTAATAACTTCTACTTTATGACAAGAGCACCAAACTTTGAAATAAACAAAAAAATACTATTAGCAAATGCATCCCATAAAAATCAGAATAAATGTGATAATAGAAGAGCTGTCTGAAATACTGTCTTTGAATAAATGATGGGATGTGAAAGGCCACCAACATGGTTTGACCATATTGAGAAAACTGACAAAGAAAGCAACAAATTGGAAGTTGCAAAAAGGAGGTTATACAGCTCAGTTATACAGTTAAGGCAGATTTAGAGATTTTTAGAGAAATTCACAAGAGTTGCATAATAATTTTTAAAAATTACTTTCTGCTGGTTAATATTTTTTTCTCTCAAAATTAAACTAGATTTTACCCACCTGTGGCAGCTGAGGGCTCTGCCGTCCAATCAGTGTCCACTGTCCATTTCTTACTCTGTATCCACTTACTACCTTACCTGTAATAAACACAAATTTTAATCATTTAATATAATAAGGTATTAGAAAAACAAAAGGCATATTTACTTTCCTACTTTAAAGTAGAAATCTGAGTATTTTCAGAGCTGCAAAGACTGAGTATCTTAAAAAAACAATATGATAAAACAGCATAAAATATTTCAAGGTCTTATATGAAATCACTTTCATTGAAACAGACTTAAGGTCAAACACAATTTGCATTTTAATTTATGGCACCAGGAAGCACAATGGTAAATATTTATAATTTAACATGTAAAGTTCTTACCTAAATGGTGAGTGTGAACTCTATAGGCAAAGACATGCATTGGATAATTTTTATAATGGCATGAAATGTCAGAATTCACCACTGTGGGAAATGAAAACACAGACAAAAGTCACTATTCAACTGGAAAATGACATTATTCTTATCTAAAATTATGCATAGGGTATTCACAAGATGCTAGGGACTGAGGTTTTCTTATGACTTAAATACACAGATATTAAGCACTTATTCTGTGCCAGCCACTTTACTCACATGAATTAAGAACCCCTTGCCTTATATTTTTATTTTATTCATAAACAGAATGACTAGAACCAAATCAAAATACTCTGTTAGTGAAAACATAGGCTTAATTTGTTACCTTTAGCTTGAAATTTATCCAGTTGAGAAAGCTTAAAAATTGGTTTTTATTTTTGGAATGAAAGAATTTTTGAAAAATTGAATGCAGACACCTAACATCACTACATTGACAGTTCCTGTTGAGAAGAGGCCATTTCATACTGTTCCTTCCTTATAGTCTAACACAGTAGCTATTCAATAAATATTCATTTTATAATAGATGAAAAAATGGTAACAAAGAGACCATACTGGTCATTAACTTTAAGAGATTCCCAGCGAAAACAAATGAACAATATTTCATATGGCACTTTCATCAGAGGATCGTAAAATATATTGATAAATAATAATATACTTATTCTCATCGCTTCTAGTAAGCTTGGGAGAATCAGCTATTATCATCCCCATTTTGCAAGTAGAGAAGTAAGCCAACTATATCCAAGTTTAAAGACTAAGTTGGTGCTGGATTTGCTAGTCGTTTAATTTTTAAATCTTTCTATGTAGAAGTTTATGTCACTGCTCATTATGCAGTGTGTCCTCTGCATCTCAAGAATGGATGATTTATTTTTAAATACTCAAGATTTATTCTTTAATTTATATAATACACACCTACACAAGGGCCTCAATTCCTAGCATCTCAATAAAGAATGGAAAAGTAATAAACCACTGGCTTGGAATAATACAAAAATCTATTTTAAATCCAAGGACAATAAAGTATTGGTTCATTTTTCCAAGACATAAAAATATTGATTATTTTTAAAGTTTATAAAAAATACAGTATAAATCCATTTCTACAGATTAGGTAATGAGGTAATGGTAAATATTAAAAAATCATTACTCACCTTTTTCTCCTGCTGGGATAACAGTGTCAACAGACATCATAAGGTACATGCCAGCAATTAAAGGCTGTCTGCAGAAAAAAATAACATTTTTCTAAAATACCTGAAAAAGTCAAAATGACTGTTTTGGAAAAACAGCATATACCTCAATACTTTGGTTTATAAAATGTGATGCTTTTGAAAATTGAAGTAGAAAAAGAGGAAAAATTTTTCTTCCTTAAAAAATACTTTTTCATGTGAAGGCAGACTCTAAATGGTTCCTGTGATAGCTAACTTTACGTGTTGACTTGGCCAGGTGCCTGGTTGTTTGGTCAAACACCAGTCTAGGTGTTGCTGGGTAGGTGATTTTTAAATGTGATTAACCTTTAAATTAAACTTTGAGTAAAGCAGATTATTTTCCATAGTGCGGGTGGGCTTCATCCAGTCCATTGAAAGTCTGAAGAGAAAAGACTAAGGTCCCCTCAAAAGGAAAGGATTCTGCCTGTGAATTGCCTTTGGACTCAAGAATGCAACATCAACCCTTCCTTGAATTTCCAATTGGCTCAATGGATTTAGGACTTAATCAGTCCCCACAATAGTGTCAGCCAATCCCTTACAACAACTCTTTCTCTTTCTCTCTATTCTATTGGTTCAGGTTTCTTTGGAGAACCCTGACTAATCAGCTCTCATGATTCCTAGCTGTGACATTCATGCCCTGGTCTAATCCCCTGCCCTTTAATGTGGGCTAAAAGAAGTGTAGTAACATCTTTTTAAACATTTTTAACATTTTTTTTATTTCCATAGATTTTTGGGGAACAGGTGGTATTTGGTTACCTAAGTTCTTTAGTGGTGATTTCTGAGATTTTGGTGCACCCATCACCCAAACAGTATACACTGAACTCAATTAGTAGCCTTTTATCCCTCACCTCCTTCCCATCCTTTACCCTGGGAAGTCCTCAAAGTCCACTGTATCATTCTTATGCCTTTGCATTCTCACAGCTTAGTTCCCACTTATGAGTGAGAACATACAATGTTTGGTTTTCCATTCCTGAGTTACTCGGTAACTTATCTTTAACAAATAGAATATGGCAAAAGTGATGGTATGCCATTTTGAACATTAGGTTACTGAAAGACTCTGGCTTCCATCTTGCATGCATGCCCTCTCTTCCTTTTTTTGCTTACTTTCTATGATGGAGGCCAGGTGCCATATCATGAGCTGCCCTGTTTATAGCCCACTTGGCAAGGATATGAGGGCGACCTCCAGCCAACACTCAGCAAAGAACTGAAGCCTGCCGACAACTATGTGAGTGATGTTGGAAGTGGCTCCTCCCCAGTCAAGCCTTAAGCTGACTGAAGCCCCAGCCAAGATTCTGACTACAGCCTCTGTGTGAGAACACATGCCTGAGGATCCAGCTAAGTGTGCCCAATTACTGACATACAGGAAAATGAGACAATACATATTTGTTGTTTTAACCCAGTTTAGGTTAATTTTTACCCACAGATAATTAATACAGTAAACTTCCCACTCTAAGTTCGCAAAGATGTTAAAGTTGCTGCTCCTCTAGGAAAAATGGAAGTACTTACGGCAGACGTGTGAGGTGTAAGGACACACCAGAACAGTCCTTGTTATTATCTGAAAACACACATAGAAACACATATCTTAAATATGATAATGTAGAAAATGGATTTCCAACTAGTAAGATAGAAATGATTATAACCAAATATTTTAAAACACAAGTTATGTTTCATCTGTATGGTTCTTTATGATTTACTAAGTACTTTCATATCCAGTAATTCCTTTAATTGCCAATGTATCATAACAGCAAAAACAAAACTATCATTTCATGCAGTCTATGGTATTTCTTGACTCATCAAACTGACCAATATATTGACTTTCCTGCAGACATACTAGATACTAGAAAGTTGTTAATACTCTCTATGCATTATCTGTATTGTTGAAAAACCCAGAAAAGTTGCTGAACTAAAATAGTTTGCTCCATGCTGCACCAAACAAAAGACTTTTTTATTTTCTAAGAAGTGTAGTTCATAATTTAGGTTTTCATACACTTTAGGCATTGCTGAAGTCTACTGACATTCATATATTATTTCAAAATAGAATTTTATTATTGTAGAGACTTTAAATTTCTTCCAGTACAGCTTTCCACAGTTTGACCTGAAGAGCCCATATGCTTGCACATATACACAGTGAGAAGTCCCAGTGGGAGCAACTTGAATGCCCTCAAACAAGGTGGTCTGGAGGCCAACAGGGGTCCTGGATCAACAGCTGCTCCTATAGCAGGTGGCAGTTTTGATAAGCAGCATATTTCAGCCTCAGTGTTTGGTGTGAAGATTATGACCTCCAACACGATCCTTGCCACAGTGATGCATTATTATTTCCATAACCTCTATGCTGATCTTACTTCTGTGAACTCAGAAACTTCAGCTAGTTTTGCATATTTCCCTGATGATTTGCAGTGTGCTCTGACTTTGTCCTTCTGTTGTAATACAGTGCTTGGGCCACAAGATATGAAACCTCCTAAGAATTAATTGATTTCAATTCATTAGGCTATATATAAAATCTGTCTCTGACATGCATCATCATAAAAGCATTTGACAGTTAAAACGTTTATTGCAATAAAAATTGATGCTTCTGCTAATATTTTACTACATAAAATGAAAAAACAAATCAGTACTCAGACAGTTAAGAACTGTACAGAAAATGAACTCAGAATATCAAAATCATATATCCTGGCTGGAAAAGCCAGCTGGATAGACTTATTCTGTGACTAGAATAAAAGTAAAAAGGAGAGAGGGGGGGAGAAGAATAGATAGGCAAATTAACTCAGAGCCAAAGACCACAGAAATGGAATCCCACTGCTTAAAAAACAGATGGGAACTGTCGTGAATCAAAAAACTAAAATAGTCAGGTAAGAGGATTGAATTTGAAGGAAAGGCAGAAAGGAAGCAAAATATATTTATATATATTTTACATATATTTAGTTTATATATAGTTTATATAAGCTATATGAACTATAGATTTACATTTCAATATAAATATTGAATTTATATTTCAATATAAATATTGCACATTTCCACATGCCAAATTTGTCAAATAGAAGGTTTGGGATTCATTTGTATTTTTCAATCCTGCACAATTATTTGATCATAGGATAGTGCCTTACAGGACCATCATCAGTTTTCAACGAAGTGCTCACTGAGTTCCTTTGTCTAAGAGAAGTAAAATCTAGGTACTTAATACTCAATAGATTAGCACTAGTGATCAACATTTATACCAGTAAGAAACTCTAAGTAGTCTACAACTGAGATAACTTAGGTAAAGAACTTAGCACTCTATTTAGAGCATAGGAAAAAATCACTAAATGCTTAGTTATTATTATTCTATTGGTATATTCCAAAAAATACAGTACATGAATATTTTATTTTTAAGAAATGTATTTTACAGTTATGAGTGTGAAATTTCTTTAATGAAAGAAACTGAAGCACATAAAATTTCTCCAAGTAATAAGACAGGACTAGAAGAAAGCAGGAAAAACATGGGAAAATTAAAAGAGTAAAATAGTTAAAAAAATGAAATTAGAATTGAAATTTGGTATGTTATTGTGCAAAACATGTTCTCAGAAGGGTCTGAACTAGCTAGATACAGAATAAAATCATAAGTGAAGCAAAGAAATTTTAGTAAGATAAATGCCATGGTCTGGGTAAAAGGAAATTCTTAAATTAGAGGCCATGGGACCGTAAAGAAGTTGATAATGTTTCAGGGTCCTTCCATGACTTTTAGTAACAATGCACTCCTTGACCAGTCCCAAGACAACCTTATTTTTTTTCTGAGTTTTGGGCTTGAAGTCAGTTCGACGGGATCCTAGGTTTGTAGAAAAGACAGTGAGGTCATTTTTGTGTTGATCATGAAATTATTCTTCCAATGTACATTCAGTTATTCTGTACAACATTATCATGCAAAAGTCCTAACGGCTGTTCTTTTCAGGTGGTTTCATTTATTCTTATTTTAGTTTTATTATTCCAAAGTAAATATTCTTTCTTTCATTGGGTTGGGCGCCAGGTTAACTCTCTCTCAAAGGTACACAGGCAAATACCTGGCCTTTAGCTACTAATGTCCTGTATTTACAGAGAACTGAACCCCAAGACATCCCTGTTAAAAAGATTTTTCATAGTGGTTGTTCTCTTGCAATAAAAATAATTTTAGTGTAAGGGTTTTCAAGATATGGAGATGAAACTTCATTCACTAGATAGGTATGAGGTAAAACTGAGAGGGATATTTCATTATGTCACTATTCCATTATAATGTCATATGCATGTACAAGAAGCTTTTGTAATGTTGAGGACATTTACAGTGGAAAAGTTGAAATAATAATTTTTAAAAAGAAATGTAAAATAGCCAAGTCTGATAATGCCTTAGAGGCCATCACAACATAGGACAATATTGTAGTGCTGGTTGTTGGGTGGTAAGACTTCCAAAGAGTAGTCTGATAATGAAAGAAATGAGTATTTCCAGATACTGGATGAGACTTGAAAATAGCATTCAATCAGAATCTAATTTTAAGGAAGATGAAACTGAATGACTGCTTCACAAGGGTCTGGGCTTGCCTTTGAGAAACTGCTTTCCTCTGCTTAAGCAGAGATGTATAACCATGCCGAATTATTTTATCAGATATATAGACTCACAGAATCTCAGAACCGAAAGGGAAACCAGACATGATTTACTCAGAGAGTGTAAGTTCAAATCTTACACTTTATGGATAGGGAAAAAGAGGTCACAGAGATTAAGTGTGTTGCCTCTTAAAGTAATTCAGCTAATTGGTGACACATCTGAGTATCAAATATAATTCTCTAATATTAATGTTTAATAAATGCTATTTACTAGAAAAAAAGGCAAAAATAAAAAACAAGGGTTCTATATCTTAGAGACTTCCAAGGTTAAAATTCCTAGGAAGCTAAGATAGAGGAATTAAGCAAAAATGGGTAAGTAACCAGTGGTACTTAATTAAGGACATCCACTTAAGTAGGAATTCTCTTAATGGGAGGTGAATGCATGGGATATGAGGTTATTCATCCCAAACTATTTAGCTTGCTTTTCTAATAATAGCTTGTAGTTCCTGCTTGGATTCTTAGCTAAGTAGTAAATTATGTGGAATAATGCACGATAATAACCTACTACATCTTACGTTCTTAGATGATCTTAGATGGTTCTGTTGGTCTCTCCTAATTTTTCCTCTAGAGATAGTGCTCTATACTTTATGAGCTCATCTTGTCCTGGTTGTTTCCTGCTTCAATAAAAAGACAGATTAACCGCTGATCCTGAGGGAACCAATGTATTGTTATAAACTACGTCCCACTAATTGGGAAAGTCCTTCAGAAAGACATTTGTAGAGTGATTTTCAATTCACCACACTCTTCTATGAAGGTGAAGGTAAAGGTTAGAGCACACTCATTTCCAACTATTCCAAGCCACCCTTTTGGATAATGGATTCTTTCTTTAAGGAGGTACTAAAAAGTATGCCTGAAACCACTGCCAAGTCTTAGGAAAAACAAAAAGAAGTAACATCTTCAATAATAAAAATTAGGCTGGGCATAATGGCTCATGCCCATAATCCCAGCACTTTGGAAGGCCGAGGCAGGTGAATCACTTGACCCCAGGAGTTTGAGACCAGCCTGGGCAATATGGTGAAACTGCATTTCTACAAAAAAAAAAAAAAATTAGCCGGGCATGCTGGCGTGTGACTGTAGCCCCAGCTACTTGTGAGGATTGCTTGTGCCTGGGAGGTCGAGGCTGCAGTAAGCCATGATCACACCACGGCACTTCAGCCTGGGTGACAGAGCAAGACTCTGTTTCAAAAAAAAAAAAAATTTAGAAAATTTGGAAGCAAATAATTCTAAACTGTATCGTATCTTCCCACCCTCCCAGAGTGTTCTGAACTAATTTAAAGGCCACCTTCTCTACTTTCTCTGTCTTGAACATACAAACAAAAATGAATCAGGGACATCATTTTTATATTATCACTAAATGCAAATGACTTTGCAATAATACACATACATAGATGTTGTAATAACTATTTGACTATTAAGCTGTTTTGATCTTTACCTTATGGTTCTTTGTTCTAAATTAATAACATTAAATTACTGGGACAGGATGTTTTGCTGGGGCTAAATCATGGCTCCCAAGGTGATCAAGCAGGAGTAGGAGATTATTTGGGGATTAATTTCTAAAGTTGAGGGAAATTTCATATAATTATAATTACTTTGAAAATCCCGTAGGAGAATAAAGAGTGAGGTCTCCTAACAGATCCAACACAGCCAGTTTCCTTAGCATTGGAACAGATTGCTGTCAGCTGTGTCAGTTGGGCCATGTTGTTTTTTTAAAAAGATATTTCTATACAGTTGGGCTGTGCTGTTATATAAAAAAGGTCATTTCTGTGCAACTGAAACTGCTGCAGAGAGATGGGACATAGGTATGAGAGGCAAATAAAAAATGAACCCAACTGAGGGAAAAGCGGATCCAGATCTTGTGTTCACTCTGGGCTCTATTAGAGACGTTGAATGAAACTCTGGTTTTAATGAAGCTAAGACACAGCTCTTTTTTTTTTTTTTTTTTTTTTTTTTGTACCATCTGGATTAGAAATGCAGGTCCTAAAGTCAGTTAACAGTACTCAAAAAAATGGTGGTCATCCAAATTAACCAGAAAATTCATATATTAAAGTTTTTTTAAATTAGTTCCTTTCAAACAAAATCTGAGTTACCAGATTTTTTTAAAAATTAGTTCCTTCAAAACAAAATCTGAGTTACCAGTCCTGAGCATGAGGACTCTCCAGTTACAGATACATCGAGATAAAATAGTCTCCATTCAAAAGCACCGACACTTTAAGCTGTCATGGCAAATGTGTATCTGCTTAGCAAAATATAAGTGAAATTGGGGGACTGTTAATACATGACACAAGCTACACTGAGGTTTTCCTGGAGGCTGCTGAAAGCTGGGTTAGCAGATGACCTTCAGTGCTAAATAAACCAGCACTATGGGAAAAAAGAATCTTCAAAAACAATTCCTTTTGAAGCTGTCACTGCATTGAGTTAGCCTCTTTTGATTTTGTATTCACTGCTATGGGACTAGAAATTACTAGCTTCCATTTGCCTTGCGGCAAGGAAGAGAAAACGCATTTATCCATCCTGCAAGACGACGACTTTCACAAATGATGGCCTGTGCTGTTCGCAAAAGAGATCAAATGGAAGGCAGGAAGGCAGGCTCTCCAACCTGCTTTTATAATTGCTGTGTGTGTGGAGGATGTTATGGCACACCTAATGTAAGAGCACTTTCCTGTTTCCATCTTTTATGAATGCAAAAAAATATGAGTCTACAGTGAAGTTATGATTTATACTATTTTATCTCTCAAAATTATGAACCTGCTCCAGAGGCATCCTTCTAAGAAAGTAAAATTAAAAGATAAAACCCACCAATCCTAGATAAAGTTATTTTTTTAAAGTACAGTGCTAAATTTCAAAATTATTGATTGGCTTTAGAACTCTTTATTGAACTCTGATACACAGAAAAGTGCACAAATCAGAAAGTACAGATCCAGGAAACTTAAAAAACTAACACCCATGTAACCAGCACCCAAAAATCCTCCACTCACGTCCCCTTCCTGAGGCATTAAGTTTTAAACCTTTATATTTATGTATATACCATATTTAAACATTCATTTGTCTTCTGAAAGAGTTGTCTTTTGGCTAAAACCAAAAGAAACATTTAACTAACTTGTTCACTTGCTTCATGGGCTTTGGTTGGGCAGTTTTAAATATTATACTTGGTTACTAAGAAATATTTACTTTTTTTATTTCCTCTTTCTTCTAGTCAAAAGGCCTACTAACTGCTTACCTCTGATATCACTTTCTTACCTCTGATATATATCACTTTCTTACCTCTGATATATATATATATAGCTGATATATATATATAGCATTATATACATAGCATTATAGATATAAAATATATATAGCATTATATATATATATACACTTTAAATGTTAATCTGAATTTCCTTTTGCGTTGTCCCAATTATTATCTGTTTTTCCCTGAGTCCAGAATGTAGCTGCAAAAGTCTAGAAACCATAAAGAAAGTACTAGATAAAATAAATCATGAAATGAAAAGGGATTGAAGAGCTTTGATTTTAAAAAGTCCTTTTAAACACAATTTAAAATATAAAGCTGAAAACTATTTCTCGTATAAAATTCTCTATTATAAATTTTTGAATAGTCTTGAGGGTGTTTTCATATATATGTGTGTGTGTGTATGTGTGTGTGTGTGTGTGTGTGTGTGTGTGTGTGTATGTATACATATATAAAAGGTTTCCTTTCATTCCCATTGGAATTCTCAACTATTTTGTGCAACAATGTGTTGTCTCTCTTTTGTTTTACTTAAACCTCTAAAGACTCATGATAAACAAAGGGAGGGTAACCTGGCAGCAAAACTATCCATTTTGTTGGGAACACAGAAAGTTTATATTCTCCAAAAGCTATAATTTAATAAGAATATATATATTTTTTAAGGTCAACCTAAAATCAGTATCTACATTTTCAACCCAATCATCTTAATCTATTTACAATACTATTCTGTATTGTGTTTTGGTTCCTTGGTGAAAAAATAAATCCAAAGTATCTAATTTACATATAACTATGTATGCATGTAGTCCCTGGTATTAATTAGGGAATACACTTTGAACATTATACCTCATACATTTGATTTAGTATTAATTTTTCAGTCATTCAATATGTTTATGTAGTAATGTAGTATGAGGATTAAAAAAGTAACATAAGGCACTTCTAAATTGAAAAGTAGTATATAAATGCTAAGTATGATTACTATGTTAATGAAAAAAATACTGAAACCCTTCAGTGACCTGAATTCTCTCTCAACATTCCCTTGGAATTTTGCAAGACTTTATACTATAAGACAAAACGTCAGTGTAGAAGGGTCTGTGGCTACTGACCAGATTTTACTTTACTTTCAGTTATTATTAGGGGTACATCACAGTTAAATTGTGAAACAAGGATAAGACGTACTTGCAAAGAAATGAGACTCGAAAAGTGTGGGGGAGGACAGATGACCCCATGAGAAGAAAGAGTTTTGAAAGTTTTTAAAGATGGAAAAAAGAATAATTAATATGTAATGAAAAGAAATGGAGATAAGGTGAAGGGTTTCCAAACTGGATGAAAAGAATAATGTTTCTATTGGGAGAAATAGGAAGGCTAGAATGTTCTCTTCTGGGTCTAGGGAAGGTTTGATTTTATTTTGCTAATAGAATATTCTGTCCATATTATTAAACATTATATTTGAATGGTTTTCATCAAATGCTTTTTTAGGTCATGTATCTATTTAGGGTATCCTTTTCGTTTTACAAGTAAAACAGTCAATTAACATAAAAGAAATTAGTACTAAACGGGAAATGGAATGTGCAAATCCCAGCACTTCTAATGATTCCTTCTTTTCCCAGAATTCCTAGAACATAATAAACAAACATGTCAGGGCCATGAAGAGAGCAGTGGGGAACAGCGTGAAAGGCAGGAAGCCTGTGGGAGTGGGAGTGGTTAGTGAAAAACAAACCTCGTTTAGTGTTGTGAGTGCCCTGAACTACATTTCACTGAAACAGAATTGTAGCTCCTAATTTTAGACTGTGCCAGTGAGCAAGTGACTTTATTTCTCCTCTTAATTTACTTGGGTTAAAAATTTAATGCTATTTGCCATTAATTCAAATGGAATTAATTAGATGATGACTATGTAGCTCTGACCAGCTTTTAAAAATGAGTTAATAATTATGAGCGATTAAAAAAACATGAGTTGCAAAGGGATCAATAAAGGTAAAGCATAAGGATTTCTCAAAAAAACTAGAAGAACTAAATGTAAATCTGAAAAACTAAATTGCATGTAGGAAAGCTTTTCTTTTCCCAAAAAAGACATCACTTACGCTCTGCTCAATGTTGAATTACTTTTTTAAAAATCCACGTTTTAAGGGATAAAAAACATTCTGAATATATTCTTTAAAAAAGAAGTATAACTGTAGTGCTTTACATATCTTCTCATAACCCTATGAATGAAAGTGTAATTCCTGATACATAATGGCCATATTTAGGTATTAAAATAAACAGGTGTCCCATGGAATCAATGAGATGACTGAGGATCATTTGTCTTCCATACTAAAGATGATTAACAAAGTTGAAATGCAGCAAGCTAGAGAATCAGAGAGCTCACAATTATGTGAAGAGGCTGCAAGAAAAAAATACTGAAGGATAATAGGCTTCTTTCAGATCATTTGGGAGGTACTAAATAGTCCTAAAATCATTCGCATGACTCACATCAAGCTGCTTGTGTATAATGAAGGTTAGAGAAGAACATGAAGAATATCCGATTACAATTCTGAAATCAGTGGGATTATCAAGCAACCTGATTTAGAAATATCTCTACATGATAAGGGAAATGGATTACTTCAGACATGAAAATGAAAAGGCACAAATGAGATGAAGTAAACCACTCTGATCTTTATTAATATTAATTCTACTGTGCATGAGTTCATTTCACTTCATAACTATGGCTCAAAAGACTTTTAAAAACAGTGACTCTATTACTTGTTTTACATAGTTAGAGCATGAACTTTGTTACATACACAAACTAGAAAACCAATATGAATTAAATTGTTTTGGTTTTTAATAGCACTGGACTACCTTAGGCAAGTCATGCAACCTTTCTGAGCATCGATCTTCATTTCTGTAAAACGGAAGGGTGAGGCCTGATGATCCCTTTTAGTTAGGCTGTTCTCATTCTGTCACTCTGAACTCTGTTCTCTGTCTCTGATTTTAAAAACGAGTGCTTTATAAACAAATGAGTACATGACACATAACATCCATTGGTCTTACTCCTTTTCTTTTCAGAAGAAGGAAAAAAACGTCATGCTTTCCTGTTCGACAGTGCTTTCTCAGCCCATTTCAACCTCTTCCCCTTAACTGAAAAGGCCTGAGAGGCCATGGCGTTTCGTGCAGGTTGAATGTTACCTTCTTGCCAATCATTTCTCTTTCAGATTTGGTTTCATGGACCTCTTCCTTTCCATTTCTAGTGTCTGTCAACACATATATTCCACTTTAAAATAAAAAATGTAAAAAAATGAAGGAATATAAATTATTTTGGCCCATTCTTCAAAAAGATATATCTAAATCAAGTGTGAAGAAGGAACATTTTTGCACCTGTATATGGGGAGGGGGATCTCTGAGAATGTCAGATATGCATTGTAAGTGGCTTCTATTAAAGAATTTTAAAATCCAAATGCCAAATTTTGTGAAAAAGTTAAGAAAATAAATTCTTCTTCGAATTTCTAAATGAAATAAAGTGCTAGAATAACCAGACAGTAATTAAATGCATTTTCTTCTTTCAAAGCTCCCCTTTTCTTAAGAGAATTGAGATTTAATTAAACTTATTTTGGTAAATGCAAATTATTCTGCTCATGTCCTAGGCCCCAGGAGATTGCCCTGACACACCTGTTCTACAGGAAAAAAATGCAGGAGTGACTTTAATCCTTGCTAGGAAAATTTGAGCGCCAGTTGTCAAAGTTTAGTTTGCATAAAAATCAATGAGGCAGGTTGTTAAAATTTCAGAATCCTGGGCCCAGTGATATTCTAGTAATACATTGGCTCTGTGAAAAAAATACACACTACTGGTGTGTTTATATGTTTGTTACAGTTTTTACTGGCAAAAATGTGCAGCAATTTACAAATAATAATAAAATATACAATACTTTTCATTATTAACTCCATATAAGCTGTTGACTCTCACATAATTCTTTCCTTGACTTTTGCTCTACTTTTTATAGCCCACTGATGGTTGTAATTGCCATGAAGTAGTTCAGACAAGAATGCTTGTTAATATTTTTGTTTAGTGAAACAAAAATATTTGTTTAGTGAAATAATATTTTGTTTAGTGAAACAACAAAGACCTATGTTGGAACTTGCACATTAAGGATGTCAGTAAAATCTTTGGTGTAATGGGTAACAGTCTGCAAATCCTGGAAGAATATGTCCTAAATTTTTGGGGGCATTTACAGTAATCCACATTGCCAACATCCTCTCCATCATTTTCTCAGGTCTAGACAACCAGCAAAATAATAGACAGAACTTTGACTTGCACTATTTGTCAATTTCCATGGTGTAAATTTTTCCACCATAGCTGATTTCAATGTAAATTTTCCCACCACAGCCAATTTCAAGCTACCAACATGACATCACTGCTTTAGGAAGAAATTAGCAGTAAAATAACACTTTGTAGTATTTCCACCACACAGATACAACAGATGCAAATACCCTCAAGTGCACAGATAATAGTAAAATTAGTAAAATAATTAGGAAATAAAGATTTTTGAGTATTTCTTGCCTTTATTTTTAATGATTGCGATATTTAACAATCAGCTTACAAAAACACTGCAAATTACCAATTGGCTCTTGTGAGCCTATCTGAGCCAGCTCTGGCTGCCTATGCTCTACCTTCTGTGCATCTGATTCAGTAGGCCTAGTTTGAACTAGGAACTTTCATTTTAAAAAGTACCCCAAGGACAGTCTGGTGCAGACGGTCCTCTGATTAGATTTTGAGAAATCCTGATCTAGACTATATAACTTTAGAGGTAATTCTATTAAGATCTTTCAGTTAATTCTTATCTTTTAAATGAAACATTATAAGGAGTCTGTTTAAGTAAACACTGAGTAAAATTTTTTAAGTGTGAAAACATCTAGTGCAGGCAAGGATATGGGACTTGCTCATTGCCCAAGGATATGGGATTGTAAACTGGAAAAACTGTCGAGCGATTTGGTGGAACCTGTTAGGATTTAGACACTCCATGACCCCAAAATCTCATTTCTAGATATCTGCCCTGCAGTAGCAATACATGGTTACCTAAAACATTTCTAACATTGCTTATAATAGCAAAAAAACTCAGAGCATCTTTAATAGACAATAAGATACACACATTAGAGTATATCCACACAAAAGAATACTAGGCAGCCTTTATAAATCATGGAAGAGCTTTACATGTGCTGCCTTAGAAATATGTCCAGGGTACACTGTTAAGTGAAAAGCAACAACAACAACAGATGCAGATCTGTGGGAAATGTGATCTAATTCTTGTCCAAAAAAAAAAGAAAAAAGTACATATACACATATCTGATACATTAGTTTATCTTCCACATATAGAAATGCTGAGATAAGCTAATGAAAAGTTGGCAGACATAAGCAATAGCTGGGGTGGGGAGGAATTAGGTGAGAAAGGGAGGTATGATTGAAGAGGGTTTTATCAATTTTTTTCAATAGTAGGGGTATTACAAGGGATTTTCAACTTTTCTTTTTAATAATTTTCTATATTTTCCAAAAGAGGAAAAATAAAGTTCAGAAGAGAAGATTATTTTAAAGGGAAAATGTGCAGATACATCCAGAGTCCTCCAATCCTTTTTAGTATTTTAACTGAAAACTCAAATATGAAGAAATAATTTCTTTGTTCTAATACTGGAATTTATTGCAATTCTGAAATCTAAACAGCTTTGGAAGGCTAAAGTTTTCTCATTAAGTTTTGGCAGCAAAATCTGACTTGAATGAATATGATGATATTTATGTTTTATTCCTTTTTGTGTGAATATTTAAACATTTGTTATAGAAACATTAGTGTATCTACATAGGGATGGTGCCCCAGATTCACAAAGGTGATAGAGTACATGATTTATTCAGTTGAATACCTTTCAAAAATATTAAAAGCTCCTAATTCCAGACCACATCTGCCCCCAAGCATTTGCATAAAGGTTTGTGTCCCTATCCCCATCAAAGCATACCAGAGAAATTGGAAATGGGAGTCAGGGAGAGAAAAAAGGAGAGTTGGTAGATGACATGAGTATCACAGCCTTGAGAATAAAGAAGGAAAACTGAGGTAAAAGTGTATCCTTCCTGGAACCATATTTCTGACACATTTCTGGATCTCCCAGGGGTGAGGCTTGTTTCAGCAGGGCTGCTGTCTCTGGAGCTGAGAACTTGGAAACGCAATATGTGCTCTGGAATGAAAGATCATGGTAAGAACTAACATTATGGTCTATTCTGGAAAGGGGATTCAGATTGATGGCTGATGTACACGCCAGGGCCCTATTCAGGGAAGGCTAGGATGAGTGCTTAGATGGTGCTATTTATGTCTCCCTTCCACTGTAGAGACTCAGTTGCTTTTGGACGTCTATGTCAGCTGAGGTTGGAGGAGCAGTAACAATAACCTCCCTCCCATGTTTGCAATTTCAAGGGAGATTCTTAAATATGGAAAGTATTCCGAAATACTCTAAAATACATAGGCTTAAATATCCTGGCCCATAGTATTGTGCACTTCGCAGCGGAGTGAGTAAAAGCAGGATTAATGTATCTCACTGGAAAGCAGGTAGGAGGAAGCTACTTGTGCAGATTGAGAGAAGACAACAGGGAAAGCAACAGGGAGCAATCTGATCCAGTTTCCCACTCTCTCTGCAATTAGGTGTCAGGAAGTCAGGAGCACTCAGATGCTTACACTGAAGTCAGAACAACCTGCTTTATAGTGGAATGAAATAATTTTAAGCACAGTTACCTTGCCACTGATCTCTGCTCCATCTTGTTCAAAATGCATTAGCAAGGGATTTTTCCTGAGCTCACAATTTCAAAGCTTTTTCTAATAGCTTCCTGGCAGTAGTCTTCTAAGAGGCAGAGATACAGCTGGAGTCACAGTGGAATCAGAATTCCTCTGGAGTCCTCTGTTTTTTCTTCCTCCTGCCATGATTACCATTCCTGGCTCTTCACTCTACTACTCTTTCAGTTGTGGTTAGGTAGGAACCCTTTGTATGGATACATGTGTATTTGTGTGAATACACAGATGCACACCCTGTGTTCAGGAATATCCACCTGTCTGGAACTAAGCTTTGCAGAAACCACACCCGAGTGGATCACAGCCAGCATGGAATAATGCAAGAGGGCAAGGAAAAATCAAATCTGATGGTCACAAAGTCCAGGCTGCAGTGTTCCCATGTTTTTATTGTATTTTTTAATCCCCATTTTCCAGATGATCATGTTTTTATTTAAAAAGTTTCCCTTAAGGGCTGCAAGCCAAAGTCTATTTATGCTAACTGATAATATGAAACTCATCTAGATTCCATATCTAACTGATAATATGAAACTCATCTAGATTCTGTATCTAACACATAAATTTAGAACAGGAAGAAGGGTGCCTATATGATATCAATCCGATAACTTGAAACATCTAAACTAGGTGTGATCTTGCCTGCTTTCCAATCCCCTCTCTCATGGCACTTAACTTTGTACTGGCTCGCATTATTACGGTTATTATTTTAAGTGTACTTATGCTCACTGGACGGGAACTCTATGAGGGCAGACTTTTGTTCTTACTCATCTTTTCCTCCATGTAGTGCGTTGTGTGAATTAAAATGAGTTGCAATGGTAGCTTGACAACAAAGGAAGCTACAGAAAATACAGAAGAACAGATAGGAGATGGCAATGAGCCCAGTTACATGGAAAAACTCTACGTACTCCTAAAAACTGGAAAGAAATCATAGCACAATCATTGATATTCACTAGGCTATCTCAAAGTTATGAAGAAAAGGGAGAAGGGGATAAGGAGAACTAACATTCATTGCCAATCTGTTCTGTGTCAGGCACAGCTGTAGGCATTTAACATGTACCATCTAATTTAACTTCCTAAGACACGTAATATACTCTATTTTTTATTTTTTATATATATATATTTATTTATTTATTTTGAGATGGAGTCTTACTCTGTCACCCAGGCTGGAGTGCAGATATATATATACAATTATATGTATATATATCTATACATACACACACATACATACATATATGTGTGTATGTATAATATATACATATATATATACATTTATTTATTTATTTATTTTGAGATGGAGTCTTACTCTGTCACCCAGGCTGCAGTGCAGTGGTGTGATGGCTCAGTGCAACCTCTGCCTCCCGGGTTCAAACGATTTTCCTGCCTCAGTCTCTCTAGTAGCTGGGATTACAGGCACACACCACGACAGCTGGCTAATTTTTGTATTTTTAGTAGAGACAGGGTTTCACCATGTTGGCCAGGCTGGTCTTGAACTCCTGACCTCAGGTGATCTGCCTGCTTCGGCCTCCTGAGATTACAGGCGTGAGCCACTGTGCCCAGGAAAGACACATAATATATTCTAAAATGATTTCTATCCAAGATGTTTTAACATTATAGTACTTAAAGGGTTAAAACCTTAGCATTCTGGAAAATTTGGCTATTGAAAACAATCATCCTCTGAGTGTTCTAACTAGAGCTTTATGATCTGATTTTACTAATATAATCCCCAAAGTTTGGAGATGAAACTTCTTAGAGCTTACATAAAGGAGAGTTGAAAATAGGATCTCCAGGCTGTATTCACTTAATTTAGAATGTAAATATTAAACACCCACTCTAAGGAAAGCAAAACTTTTGGCTATACTTCCAGGAACATACTAAATGTACAAAATGCAGGTGTACATACAGGGCTGTGAGAAAGGCATGGAAACAAGCCGAGAGAGACAGAGAGAGAGAGAGAGAGAGAGAGAGTGTGTTGTTTGTTGTTAATAATATCTGCTAGTTTTCCCATATGCGCCAAGAGCTTAATGACAGTAAGTGGATTATAGTTTGGAAGTCTTGACAATCCAAAGACAATCAGGGCAATACATTTGGGAAGAGACCCTGACCTTCATTCTAAGAATATCAGTTCCAACTTCAATAGGTGAGTTCACAGGATCTTCAATTTGAGAAATGAGTTATTGTTGGAGACTAGTAAGCTAATGCCAGAAATTCTAAAAATGAGAGGAGAGCTTTCTTAAGATTCCCCTAGGCCAAAACATCGAGAAGAAATGTGGCAGCATTCAGCAACAATCTCAGGAGAATTTTCACTTCGGAACAAGATTTCGCTGAAAAAACTGGTCAAAAAAAGGGGGAGAGGGAAACCTGGAGGAATCCCCAATTCTCACTATTCTAATTTCCTTAAGGGCAGGAAGTTGGTCTTGCAGTTTATCTTTGTACAGCTGAACTATGAATAACAAAAACTGCTGTGGAGAACACGAAACACAGCTTAACTAGGAAACTTCTACTGGCAACGTGACACACTCAAAACAGTTCTGTGTCTAAAAATAATGAGAAACTACAACATCTTTGAAAAGTAACCACGTCCTTTTCATATTATGTGTAACTAGACAAAATATTGTATTTAGGGAAATTTATCCTTTCATGAGGACTATAATGATAATAGCTAACATTTATTGACTACTTAACCAGGTACCTTTATTTATATAAAGGTATGGTACCTTTATGATACCACTATGATACCATTTTACAGATGAGGAGAGCAAAGAGAGGTTTAGAAACTCAGCGAGGGTAACAAAACTAGGATGTGCCATTACCAGTCTGCCTGGACTTAGAGTTTGGTCACCAAACCTGGTACCATACATACTATCACCTACGTGGGACATTCATTTCTAATTAGAGTACATCCTATTTCCTATGGAATATTAAGTTTTAGAAAATTTAAAAGTCTATACATTTTTTAAAAAGTCATTCTGGCCTTCCTAAGCTGCAATCCTAGCTCACTCTGGCCACCTACAGCCCCATACTTTCTTCATAAGGCTAGTAGCTTTTCCATGTACTCAAGCCCAAGACTGAGCGGCATTAGGAAATGAAAATCCAGTCAGGTTACAGCTTGACTGAAGAGCATTCTGAGTGCTTTAGGAATCAAGTCCTAGCAAGGATCTTTATGGCTTGCTCCCCACCTTTGACCTCTCTTCTAATTTCTTGCCACTTTTCCCTATGCATTTCACATTCCAGCAACGTCAGATGACCCAAAGTTCTTTGTGTCTAAGATGCTGTTTCACTCCCGTGTCTCTGCATCTACTTTTACCTTTGTCTGGAACCTGTCTTCCCTCCTGCTCTGGCCTGGGAGCTCCTGATCACCCTTCCATACCCTGCTCTGGGTCCAACTTCTGGAAAGCCTTTCCCAGACTTCATACCTCTCCACTTTCAGGTATACTTGTACGCTCCTGTCTCTCTGCAGACTTCAGATCCAGTATGCATTATTATTATTGCCTATAAACACACTCCTTTTGTGCTTGTCTCACCTACTAGAATACAATAAACTCCTACAGGCAGGAAGACTAGTATACCCAGCACTAGTATAGGCTTGACACTATGGTTGATATGGCATTTAATACAATTGATTGTTTTTGAAGGATTATTTTACAGCTTCACATTCTGTGTAATTTCCAAAACACCAAACAAACAAACAAAAAAACAAAGTAAAGCAAACATTTTATGTAATCCCATAGAACTCACTCTAAAATCACAGCCAATCTTTTCATACTAAGGAAGATCACAGTCTAAAACAGGGATGGTCCAATCTTTTGGCTTTCCTGGGCCACATTGGAAGAAGAATTGTCTTGGGCCACACATAAAATACACTAACACTAATAACAGCTGATGAGCTAAAAGAAAAAAAAAAAAGAATCGCAAAAAACATCTCATAATGTTTTAAGAAAGTTTATGAATTTGTGTTGGGCCGCATTCAAAGCTGTCCTGTGGCCTGCAGCTTGGACAAGCTTGATCTAAAACATGCCCAGGTATGGCTTCAGGTTATACTCTCTCAGATACTCTACCACATTCCCACAACTTTTAGAAGATGTTTTGCCTTCATTTCTGGTGCTTTATTAAAGAAAGATCCTAAGTTTCTCAATTGTCTAAAACATTCCCTGTGTGGAAAAATGCTCATACCCTTAAGCCAAACATTTCCCCACTTTTCAGTAGAATATAATAATTTCCTAGTAGTGTTACTCTGCTTCAGATTTACAATTTATATACTTTAAAATATCACCAATAGTTTTAAAACCACGAAATAAAATCTTCCCTGACAATGGCACCAAAAGCAGTGCTGTGATTATATATGTATGTGTATAATTGTGTGTTTGTTTATATATATAATATGTACATAACATAAATATTTAATGCATTTTTTATAATTAGAAGATAAAATGATACAATTATTTTCCACTTCTAGGTGCATCTGGAGATAAGTATGAGATCACAATACAGAAGCTGCTGAAAGCAGAATACATTCCTATAGTAAATCAGGCATATAGAGATTCATATTCTTTTTTTGGCATGAGGTGTGAGTGGGAGTGCAGTACACTAACTGGAAGGTATTGAAGGAGTTAACAAAATGCTTCTATTTGTGGAATTTAAACATGTAATTATAAAGGCAATGTTATAACATTTTAAAGGAAAAAAAAATCACCCAATCCTACCTTTCTTATTCATCAACCATTTCCTTTTTTTCTTGGGCTTGACAATCCTGGTAAGCATACATGAATTTTATATAGTCTGTATTTGATCTTATTGTTGGCTATTTTTGTTGTTATACCATTTATTTAACCAATGTCCTAGTGAGGGCCATTTGAGAACTTTCCAGTTTTTCATGTGCATGAATAACTGGGTAGATAGAGTAGCATTTTTAAGAAAAAAAATCTTTCTTTAGGACAAAAGCCTAGAACAAGACTTTAATACTATATATTAAACATACATGAAATGGTAAAAATGCTTTCCAAAACATCATACTAAATTTATAAAGCCTCCTAAAGCACATCAGATTCATCCAAATGCTGGACAATTTAATATCCACCACTTCCCAATTAATAAATATAAAACGATATCTCATTGTTTTAGTGAGATTTGATATTTTCCCATGTTTTTACTTACTACTCTAAATAAAGCTTTAGGGACCTGATAGTATCTACTGAATGAATTACATGAGTGAAATTTTTGCTTACATTTTAATAATATTACAATAAGTTATATGAATTATAGCACTAGTAATCTTTCTACCCCATATATCTTTTAGAAAAACTTGTTTTTAAGAGAAAATAAAAAACTACTATTGAAAAGTTAAAATTTCTTATCTGTCTCTTACAGCAAAGAATAATTATATGTTTACATATTAAAATATCAGTACTTTTACTATCCCTAGATTAAACATAAATTATAAAACAAAATTAACTCCTTATAAGAAATTATTACAGTAACATATTTTTAAAAACAAGCATATATCATGTGTTTTCTCTGGAGTATCAATGCAGTATCTGTTAGGGGTCCTTACAACGCTGAGGGGAATTAGATTGAAAAGTGAAGTACAGGGTTTTATAGAGGGTAGAGATTAGGGTTTGCGGGAACCTGCGCCAGTATGATGAGCTACTTTAGTTGTGGTGATCTGGAAAGGTCTGCTTGCCTTTTTTGAGGAAATTAAAGCTTTGTCAATACTTTGGAAGTCAGCAGTCTCACAATCTGTCTGTTCTACTGAAACCAGCATGGTCAATTTTTAGAGCAGATAATCTCTGTCTTTGTTCCCCAAACACAAATATTATTTATTTCTTTGTTTTCAGCAAAACCTTCTCTCAGCACTATAGAGAGTTAACAGTTTAAGATTATGTTCTATTCCAAAAAATGAAAAGTTATTTGTGTATAACTCAAAGCATATTTTTAATCTAAAAATAAATTTTATTTCTAAGTTAGGTTCATAGGCTGGTCCATTTATATATATATTAATTTATATATATTTATTAGTGTATTAATAAATATATTAATTGATAATATATTTGATTATAGTACATTTTCAATGACATAAAATCATTCTTTCAACACCCTTTTCCAGAGGGAGACTGCATTTACTGTCCTCGTTCTGAATGCTGGCAATCTATGGTCCTTTCTACCCCATGGGGCTCTCTTAGCAAAGGTCCTAAAGGGTATTTCATAGGCAGAGATGGACATCTACTTCCAAACTTAGTTGCTGGAGAGATAGCTAATGTATTTGGAAAGGGAAACATATCAGGTTACTTAGAAATATACTGTCAAATTAGAGAATTCAGGAGAATATATATAAGTCAGCAAGACATAGTAGAAAAGCAAACAAGACAAGGAGAAATCTTAATATTTACACCTGTGAACACAAGAGTGTGAACCCGAATGCAGTTGGAGTTTGACTAAATGCAGCAGCAGGAGTAACAAGCATTGATCTTGGTTGCCTTGGGAACAGGGCCCCTTCCTCATGCTAACGATCTATAGTAAGGAAAGGGGCATTTAAATAAAGTGCATAGCGATCACTGGTAGAGCAACAGGTGTCTAGGGGAGTGTTCAGCATTATCTAAAGGGTGGCTGGGGTCTGTGCCTTACAGCAGTGGACAATGGATGAGTTCATGAAGTGCCACGTATGGATAGATAAGGAATCGACATGAGCCTGAGTGTTTGAGAACCCCTTTGGTATTGCAGAACCTATAGACTCTCGGTGGCTTGCTCAGAGCAACATAAATATAAACAACCAGTACCTTCCTATGCTTTCCAACAGTGTTGCTTGGAATGATCCGCACTCCTAATAAGAGCAAGAGCAGGCTGATAAAACAATACACTAGAAGGCAAGAGAGCTCTATAAAGTCAGCATAAAAGAAAACACAGTAGGATGCACAGGTGCATAACAGAAATGACTTCTAAAATAAAAGTCATTCCTTCAACAGTTCCAAATTAAAGGAAACAAAAGCTGTTATCCCCTAGTGGGCAGAGGGTGTGGGCAATTCTTTTTAAGATGTAGATAATAGTTTGTGCATGTATTTTAAACAATATAGTACTAGAAGTTTTGCTTAGTTCCAACACTTCAAAACTTACCTCTAAAAGCACTAATATCCCCATAGTGTACCTGTAGTACAAAGTATTTACTTCCAGTCTCTCCTCCAACTCTGAATCCAACACCTAAAGATTTACAAAAAAGTTAATATATTAGAAATGAGCATCTAAAATGGAGTTAATCTCAAATTGCTGTTCTATGAACTCCAAAGGGAAATAACATATAACATATAAAATTATATTATATGAAAACAGAAATATACCATTGACTGATAATTTCTAATATAATCTGTCATTATAATCTCCTCAAAACTATGATGAAATTCTACTCATAGTTCCCACTTCAGAACCAGAGTAATCACTTACACTTTAAGAGGACAATTCACTCATTTTGAAAGAAACAGAGCAAAACAAAATTCTGTCTCTATTGATTATTTAAAAGACATACATTAGCCGGGCGCGGTGGCGGGCGCCTGTAGTCCCAGCTACTCGGGAGGCTGAGGCAGGAGAATGGCGTGAACCCGGGAAGCGGAGCTTGCAGTGAGCCGAGATTGCGCCACTGCAGTCCGCAGTCCGGCCTGGGCGACAGAGCGAGACTCCGTCTCAAAAAAAAAAAAGACATACATAAACCCATTCTCCCATTTTGTTTTGTATATATTCATATTTATTTTATTTTGTGATTGAATATAGGAAATAGACCTCTTAGGAGCATTTAAGTGGCATTACTTTTCTTCTGCTGTGAAAAGAGGTATCTACAAAAATGTCATTGAGGAAACCAGTTACCAACTAGATTACTGAAGTCCATTATCTCAGTGATTTTTTGGAATCTGAATATTCTTATTAGTCTTACTGTTAATAAAGCTTGCTAGTGAGCTTTAAAAAATCTAGAGAGAAAATATTTACAGGCAGAAGTATACTTTTTTTTTTTTTTAAACAAATCTCCTCTACCAATGTATGTCAACAAATCTATGACAGACCTCCCTGTTAGTTTCAAACTTGTTTGGTTGCAGCTGCCTCATATGGAGAGAATTCTGAGGCTCATTTGAAGTGCAAGAAATCAGACATCATTTAATGATGCTGGCAATGAGTAAGGGAGGAAAGAGAGGTGCATGTGTATCACGAGATCATCCATGAACCACGACAGACCTATTCTGTAACAGACCCACACACACCCTTTAAGAAATATCCAGGTAATAAATGAGAGTCTGGTAGTACACTCACACATTGAAAGCTATGTACAATTTAGAGGTGCAGTCAGAAAGCCAGCTGAGGTCTTGGCATCACATTAGATACCTAGGTTCCAGGACTGTAAAAAATTCTTTGCTGAAACAGCAGTTTATTTAATTCCTAGCTCTCTTGGCTCATGAAATGTGTCTGCTGTCAAGAACCAATGTGCCTTAGGTCAAAGGTGGCTTGAGGTATCCTTGGTTATTTTCTAATTTTATCTAAACTGTTGTGTGGGCAAACTACTTACCAAAGAGAGGCAGAAAAAGAGTAACTACCTAAATGAAACCTTTTCAATACAAAAGAGGTAATGCAAGTACTTTCACTGTGAAGCAGCAATACAGAACACTGTCAACACTGGTTAGAAAGGACTATAATGAAAAGTACTTTGGAAACAGAAATTAAGCAGCTGAACATAAGACCACCCAAGAGGCTCTGACATACCTTTGGGGAGCCGGGTAGGGGGAGCATTTCTCGCCCAGGCATACAGAATATTGGCTTTATCTGTACAGGTTCCTTCATCACAAAACCTGAAGAAAATAAAAAGTAGTATAAATGAAGATTTAAATAGTGAAATGCATAAATTGCTCCCCATGGTGGGAGGTGATGGGGGAAGGTATTTGAAACCAAAGTACATCAATATATCATCATTGCATGATATTAGCTTTAAGATCCGAATAAAGACTGGAGCAAAGAACTATTACTGTGTGAAAAAAAGCACATAAAAGAGGAAACTTTTTTTTTTTTTGCCTGATATGAAACAATCCTGTGAGGGAGATATATAATTTTTACTTTGATATGTTCATACATGGAATGTACTCTATGTAATCAGGTAGAAAAGCAAGCATTACATAGACGGTCTGTATAAACCAAAGCTAATGCAGCAGAAATCTGGACTAAAAAAAGTGTCATACACATTTCCCCTTTGGCGATCACTGTTGTCAACAAATCTGGCCAAAGCAACAAACAGTGCCTACAGTGCCTACCATCAGTGGGGTGAGCAATACAAGTGTGTCCCTTTTAAGAGTTTTTTTGTTTTTTTTTTTTTTTTTTGAGACGGAGTTTCACTCTTGTTGCCCAGGCTGGAGTGCAATGGCGCGATCTTGACTCACTGCAACCTCCGCCTCCTGGGTTCAAGCGATTCTCCTGCCTCAGCCTCCTGAGTAGCTGGGATTACAGGTGCCCACCACCATGCCCGGCTAATTTTTTGTATTTTTAGTAGAGAAGGGATTTCACCATGTTGGCCAGGCTAGTCTTGAACTCCTGATCTCAGATGATCCACCTGCCTCAGCCTCCCAAAGTGCTGGGATTACAGGTGTGAGCTACTGCGCCCAGCCTCTCTTAAGAGTTCTTGATCTTATACATGCATGACATTTTGAGTTTATGAATACTGGAATGCATTAATAAGTTGTATCATATTATGCAAGTTACTTAATTTTTTTTAAGTTACTGAATCTTACCAAGCCTTAGTTTTCTCTCACGGAAAACAGGGATAAGTACACTTACATCACAGAGTTATTCTGTAAATCAAATGAGACTTTATAAACTTCAAAGTACTATTCCAGGGCAATGCATTATTTAACAAAACATTCACTTTATCTGAAGATTCACTGTTGACAGAGAGTGTTGCAGGGTGAAAAGAGCACCCAGGCAGAAAGACAGATCTGGAGTTCAATTTTAGAACCACCCCTTAGCAGCTCTGTATCTTGGGCGTGTTTATAAGCCCTCAAAGGCCCAGTTCCTATATGGAAACCTCTGTGATAGGGCTGTTGTGGTGATGTGCATAAGGCACTCAGTGCGGTAACTCAGATATTTGGTAGATCCACATTAATAGATGGTAGTATGTCTGACTCCAAGCCACCATTTTTTTCCCATTACAATATATCTCAGCTTTTTCTATTATTGAATTGGATTTAATCCAAACATTGTTAGGCTACATTTTATGTTGATTTGTGTATTTGTGTTTTGAAAACTGGGACCAAAAAAGGTGAGTCAGGTGTGTAGGCAGATCTGAAAAGCTTGAAGACTATAAAGGACAAGGACAAATACAGCTTCTTGGGACGGAGGTTGGCTCACACAGAAAAAAATGTACACTGCCCCTGACCTGGATGGGAAGCAAAGGCAGACTGTGATAGATTCCTAAATAGGTTAGAAACTGAAGCCAGAAACACAGAAAACACCCACGTTGCACATATGAAAACCACTGGTAAGAAGTTGCTTCAGACTCAGAGGCAGGGACTCTTACCGTATTTTCTGCTTCTAGCCAGAAATGAGGTTGGAGGATAGGCAATGAGTGCAGACAACTGTATTATCTGTCTGAATTAAGGGGTGAGGGACCCAGAACCAGGAAGTCTTGATAAGGTTATACTTAGCAAAGTGATCTTGCTTCTATAAATCAGGCTGTAGAAAGAGATTGTGTAATGTGTAATATAAAAGACATCAACTAGTGGTTTCTTCCTGTTCACTGTCAAATACAATATACTTATGATGACTGATCATTACCATGTGAGAATTGTACGTTGGAAGAAATGTCTGTGACATCCTTGTGCCAAGTGTGCTAAAAGGCTCAGGATGTTGGATGATGCCCAAAAGCAAAATTTTCCTTCCTGGCCTCAGCTATAATAGTTAAAGAAATGATATTGTCAAATGTGTTGAACTTTGTATATCACTGCTGTTAGCTACTAAAATTTAAAGATTTGGGTGGCAATTTTCATAGCTTTCAACAAAGATCATAAACATTACAAATGCCTATAACCAATGTGATGACAGTCTTAGGTTAAACAAGATAACTGTTTCCTCTGATATGCAAGTTGATTTTCAATGGATGACTAGAAAGAACCAGATTGAAATATAACAGAGAAAACTGGCTTAGTAACTTTTTCTAAGTTATACATTTGATTATGTCATTTGTTGGCTCAAAATCGTTCAAATGCTTCCCAAAAATAAAATCAAAATAAAATCCAAACCTTGTAGCATAACACGTAAGACCTTTCATGATCTAGACATTGTCTCCAGACAACACCCCCTTTTTTAATCCTGCCAAGTTGCTTCCAGTTTCCAATCTTCCTTATTTCCATTGCTCTCTTTGCCTGAAATATCCCATCCCAGCTGTCTGCCTGAAAAACTTTTATTCACTTTCTCCTTCAAGATTCAGTTCAAGCCTTCCTCCTCAGGAAAGTGTTCTCCGACCCCCATCCACCTTCCATTCCTTAACTATAGCACTCCTCATCCTAAGTGTCAGCTTACTTCTCTCTCTCCACCCAGACTGTGAGGACTTCGAGTACAAGTATGTAGGATAATATCTTCATGCTGAAGTCCCGGCATGAAACAAATGTTTGGTGAAACTTACCTCTCGGTGAGTTTTTAACTTTCCATGTACAGAGACTTAAAGAGCTGAATTAGCTTAAATTGTATTGCACTCTCAACTTCATGTTATAATATTTTATTGAAAAAAATTAGATTAAAAATTTAAAATATAAACACCAATAAATTTGAATTATTGTTTGCCTAGTTTTTTGAACAAATCAGCTCATATAAGAACACTGCCAGCAAGTTGTAATTTAAAGTTGAATAAGCTCAGAGAGTTTAAGTAACTTCCAAAGGTCAAACAGCTAAACCATGACTTAAAGCTCTGGCTGTCACAGTCCCTTCTATCTCAATTCTTGACACTGATTTATGGGCAGAGAATGATATTATGTGGAGATAAGCTTTGATTATTACTGTCATCCTTGAACTAAGTTGCAATTTGTGCATGCAATTCTAAAATCAAATTTGAGATAAAACAAGTTGTTTGTGACATATTCACAAAGAGACAATGATTTTATATTTTATTCTCTTATCAGGTCTGGTAAATAAGAGCTTCCAAGCAAACATTGGTTTAATTTTTAAAACCCTGTTTTACAATAAAAAATATATTAAACTCAAGACTGAGTAAAGAATGACTCACTGGAGGACACTGGGGCATTGGAACTAATCCTAAAACTCAATGGGAGGACTAAGAGGAAAAACAAAAGGGCGAGAGAACTGAGTTCTATAACTGATAACATATCAGAGTGGTAAATATTTCCATTTCCCATTTTAAATGAAAATGGCATCATATTTTCTCCATGTAAAATGACCAAAAAGAGAAAGATGGTATAGTATATTTTGGCTTCCCAAAAAAAAGGACCTATGGAAGTAGAGGGGATTTTTACTATTCTTACTAGTAAAGAGAGCCTTAAGGCTGGGAAGCAATGTAACTCTTGATCAATGGCTGTTGTAATTTCAGGCCTCATCAACCAGGTTTCTTTTTCTTATCATTCTAGCAGCTTCTCCTATAAGGCTCCTCCAGACTAAGTCGATTAAATTGTGGAAGGGTTCACATAGCTCCCTTGTGGTTTCTTAGTATTCATAGTAAAAATGATGAGAATTAACATTTGAAAATAAAACTAGTCTGGATTCTTGGACCTTTCCTATAGAACCTTTTTCACGTCTAATCCACGGGGAAACCATTCAGATGGCATGAATATTTTCTGACTGTGCCAAGCACTGAAAATGGTAGCTTGTCATTTCGAATTATCCAAATACAGCATGACTGACTGTTAAAGTACTCTCTGGTTGTATCTGTTAAAGGCTATTTAAAATCCAAGGTTACTCAGGGAATATCAGAACTGATAACTCGTTTCTTCTTTTGGCTAAAAAAAAAAAAAATTGTCATGCCCTCAAGTTAAGTCTGTATAGCCTTAAATTCCAATTTTAATGCATTACATATCTAACAGAACCACAACCAGGAAAACTGATCTAAAGTTAGAAAGTTTTTTAAAGAAACACAACACAAAATCAATAGCATGAGGGGATGGTCCTTACCTTTCAAAATGCATTCAGTATGAGTCAGATATTCAAATACTATTACCTGTTCTATAAACCCATAGAATATTTTCCCAAATTCAGACAATCCTATGTGAACTTCAATGCAATGGACAGACATTAATATAGTAATTAGAATGATACATAATGAAAAAGCAAATTAGAATGGTGATTAAGAAATATCAGCCTGATAAATAGCATCACAGAAACTACCCACTGTTCCTTTGCTCCAATAAGGTTAGACAGGCAGTAAGTCCATAAAAGCAGAGTGTGTGTCTGTTTTATTCATACCAAATTCTCCATGCCCAACAAAGTGCTTGGCACATAGTGAATGATTAATATATACTTTATCAATAAATGAATAAAAATAATAGCTATCCCTTCTACATGCCAGACACTACACCAAACACATTACTTATATTACCTCATCTACCCTTCATGATGGCCCAATCAAGCTGCCAAGATTAGTAGCCCAATTTTACAGATGAGAAAACAGACCAATACAGGTTACATCATTTAACCAATGTTTATTACCACTACCAAGTAGCAGAGCTGAGATTTGAAACCAAGATGTTCCGATTTCACAGTTCTGGATCTGTGCTAAATACAACGCTGCATTATAATATTGCTACTGTATTTAACATAAAGTACTAGTCTTGTGAGGAAAAATGCATTTGTTTCTGTTGAAACAGTCAAAAGGGTTCCAACTGTAACATTCTATTTTATTAAAGTTGACACTAGTCTACAAAGAATTGGGCAATTTCTAAGGAACTCCTATTAACACCTTTAATCCAAGTACCTTAATATTATTAGCCAAGGAACATACTCACCAAATTGGTGACTGGAAGTTAGAATCAGAGACCAACTGTGTTTTAAAAATTGATCCGTTATACTATCCCAATATGCGATATGATAGGAATCTATTACAATATTAAAGTGGAAAAAGGGAATGGATGCTATTAATTTTAGCCTATCAGTAATTTATGTCTAAACATTGCTACTGCACTCAATGACACATTTTACAGTGCTTAAAACAAGAGACAGTGTAGATTTGGGAGATTCTGTTATTTTTATTTATACTGACAAGGATGTTACATATATTTAACTTTAGAAGTTTCCTACGGCAGAAAAAACAAAGAGAGGATTGCAGAAGACACACTGAATCCTGCTGTATATAGTGTATGGATGACAGGGGCCAGGATGTGGAACAGGAGCATAAAGACAGCATATGCAAATACTGTTCTCAACCAAAGAATCATTATCACTGGGAGGGAGGCAACAAAGCTGTGGGCTTATTTGGAAAACAACATCACCTTTAAAAAACAGTCATTTAAATAAGTACCCAAGCAGAGTATCTCTCATACAGGCATATATATATATATAATGTTTTATCTCCTTTTTCTTCTCATCAGCAGCTGTAACCCTGTGGAGATAGTGGCATTTAAAAAGACACAGCAGGTGGTTAATAAATAGAAGCAGTTGAAAGGGATTTAAGCTAAAGCTTCATAAGATGGTAAAGCACTACTGCTTTAGCTTGAGAATGATTCCCAGTTAGAACAGCTGGAAATAGCCTCATTTAACCAGCTTGGATTTTTTTTCATCAAAAAACATCAAACAACCTGTAGAAGCCATCTTTGGTTTGTTAAGATTAGTTGGTCCTAAGTGTCATTAGAAATAGCTTTAAAATCAAATATTAATAGGAAGAACTAAAAATAATTTTAGCTATGTATAGAAGATCACACCAAAGTATAACACTGGATACATAAGAAGCCCACTCGTTTTAATCATCCAATATTTTAAACACAAAATCTTGGGGTTTGCAATCCTAAATTGCTTTAAACCCTATGTCCTGTGCTCAGCAGAATAAAAAATGCACAAGCCTACAATCTCATATTTAAAAAAGAGAGCACTCCAGAATTACCCCAAATGCCAACACAATTTGTATAAACAAAATATTATGATTTTCAAAGCCTGAAACTCTAAGTAGCTAATCACTTATCATTTAAAAAATTGATTAAGAGTAAAAACAGAATGAAGTAATTCATAGAATAGATGAATACAATATTTAAATTTCCAAGATATCCTCAAAATTTACTATTTAAGTAAATTTAAATTTACTTACTTTAAATTAAACTGGGTAATTTAAATATAAAAATTTACTTAAATAGTAAATTTAAGCACCTTCATTTCATTTCATTACTGACTCTAACAACTTCAAAAGAGCATCTGCTCACTTAGAGCTTAGTTTAGGCTCATATTCAGCTAATAAATCTAGGGAACTTAGAATTGTCATGCTTTGAATTAAGTCTATAGAGCACAAATAGAGTGCAACAAATCATGCCATTGATATGCTTGCTCTAATCTTGGTGCTATTATTTTCTTTTGGTCCCTAGATAGGGTTAATTGTTTTCCTCCTCCAAACGCCTGGGAAGAAGGCATTGGGGTTACATCTGACAGGTACTGTCACTTTCTTTACATGGGTCAGCAGAGCTGCTTCTTTTCCATCAGCTGGTCCTTATTTGCAACCTCTAGAGGTATGTTAATTTGGAATTGAGCACTAGGCCCACTCTAACTATAAAGGGACCACCCTACAGTATATTAAAAGGTTCAAATCAACGTATGCAATTTAAATGCACATGCATATAATTAACTAGACACATTGCCAATGTGAGCTGCTAATTTGGAATGAGTCACAAAAGGCTAGAATGTGTGCAGAGGAAAAAAACTTTAAAATTAAAATCACTATATAATGAAAACTGCTTCATGCTGTGTCTACTATTTTTATATAAACTTAATATAACTGTAAATATATTTTAATGAACAGTAGAAAGAGGCAATTACAAAGAGCAAAGGAGGGCAGCACAACAGTGAAACATCATCAGAATAGCTATTTGCGTTAATATTAAAAATGCTTCCTGAAGATAGAAGATGAATTATAACTTCATAATTTCAGGGGAAACATGTTTTCTATATTAAAGACACCTATTTGCCAACCTGCTCGCAATGAAAATGGAACACTGAAGTGTAAACAGGAGGAAATCCTAGCTAACAAACAGAAAAGAGGAAATCCAAGTTTGACATTTTGATGTTAAAATAGCTTTTTCTTCTTTCCTTAAAACAGCTTTGTATTTCCTTATAAGTTTCCCTAGAGTGTGAATGACTTCTGGTTATTTTTAAGCATCAAAACTGTTATAGGTATCATCCCCAAAATATATGTGAAAGTTTAGGAGTCTTCATTTAAGTGCTGTCTATGTCTTAGAATAATTGAAGAATAGATTTGCAACTATAAAATGAGTGTGATCAATTCCATGACTCAAAAAATTTTAGAAAAATAATGCAAGACGTTTGACACTGATAGATTTTTGTTGTGAGTACTATAATTCAGATGACAGGATAAGATGTTAAACAGCTGGAAAATATCCACTGACTATCTTCAGGGCTGAGCCTGTGAGGCACTGGGGGTGGGGAGTGAAAGATGTTTCTGTGAAGCAACTGAAAGTTCTGGCTGTGAAATATCCTGTGAGCTCTAATTCTTTAAAGTATAGATTTTGCCAAATATTGGAAGATAAATAATGTATACCATATTTAAATAAGAATATAAGGCCTGTGGCTGGGTGTGGTGGCTCATACCTATAATCCCAGCACTTTGGGAGGCCAAGGTGGGTGAATCACTTGAGGTCAGGGGGCTCGAGACCAGCCTGGCCAACATGGCAAAACCCCATCTCTACTAAAAATACAAAAATTAGTTGGGCATGGTGGCACGCGCCTGTAGTCCCAACTACTGAGGAGGCTGAGGCAGGAGAATTGCTTGAACCCAGGAGGTGGAGGTTGCAGTGAGCTGAGATCGCACCACTGCACTAGAACCTGGGTGACTGAGTGAGACTCAGTCAAAAAAAAAAGAATATAAAATAAATATATGATATATAATATATATCATATATTATATACAAATATACATATAAATATGTATTATAATCTTTATATATATATAAAGGAATATATATATATATATATAAAAAGGCCTGATTGTGGAAGTCAGAATCATTAGAACAGTTTTACTTAATGTATGTCTTCTAGTTCACATATTGAAAAGATCCTACTTTTAAATGTTAGACTTAAACGTGTTGGGCTTGGTTAAAAGATGATGAATAACAGCACCAATTGTCCTTGTTTTATGATTATAAATTCAATCATAACAAGTCTACAAATTAAGTGGGGCTATGGGATACAAGGCAAATATTTTAAAATCCATTTAAAATGATATGGGTATAGTGTTATTAAGAATTGTAATTACTCAATGATGCAACTGACTGGCAAAACACAGTGAGCTGCTTGCTTGAGGTGAGTCAAGCAGTACACACACTTCCAGCTCCTAGAAATAATGCTTTTCCAATCAGACTCAGCATTTGGATGCAATTTATATTCATAGAATTATGGAATTTTAGAGCATAGAGAGGCTTTAAAAATGGCCTAGTATAAGTCTTTTGCAAAAATGAAGACAAGAACTCCATCTCAGATGGGCTAAATAACCTACCCAGGGAATCCAGCAAGTTAGTTCACTGCTCTTTCCTTCTACTATGTTGACTTTCAAGTAATAATTTTAGCAAAATAATATACTTAGCAATTACTCTACTCAAAATTTCTGTTTTCACTTTCATTTATATTTTTCTTTGAAACTTCTTATTCCCCAATGTGGAAGATTTTTGGTCAATATATCTTATAGATTTAATTTCAGAATAGTTTATTTAAGAATACTAATAAATATTTTAAAGGGGCCAAAATGAGGTTTTTGTTTTATTCCCTTAACATGAGAACAATGAGCTTGGCTCATTTTAGATAATTTTTCCTAACAATTAGAACTGGAATAGCATTTAAGTGTTGTGTTATTTTCTCACTCATTCCCTTAAACCAAGGTGCAGCAAAAGCAGACTTTAAAAGCTTACATTCCTTCTAGCTATTTTCAATGAGTCCAATTCAAAGGTAAATATTGGTAATTTCAGAAGAAATTGTTTTAAAGCATAAAAACCAAAGGATGTGATTTACTGAATAAGATTCAGGAAAAGCTGTCACAGAATAATCTTTTAATCCCAGAATTTTATTTACAAAAATTTACTGAAGAGTATAAACGGGAATGTTGATATTGAAGGGTATTTACTGTGATTTGCTGACTCTGTTTTTACATAAACCCAGTCACATAGGTTGGGTTCCTATGTGATATGTTCCTTTCATCAAATAACTTAAGCCTATTAACAAATGCTTTGACGGTACTTGGTCCATGGAGATTTCCACTAATTGCCCTGTGTTTTTAACAGTTCCAAATACACATTATATTGTTTATTACAAAAACGACAAGAGAGCAGTTGCTGCTTGACTCACATCAGGCTAATGAATGTTAGGATGCACAGAGAAAGGTCCATCAGTCTACATGATTATGTAAGGACAGGACCTCAAAACAGATTCCTCAGTGCAAAGCAAAGCACACCAGTCATTTCGGACTATTAAATGTGTGACAGTGATTCTGGGTCTACGTGAAAATAAGAAGCTTAAAAAGTGTGGCTATTTTCAGAGTTCAGTGATCTTCAAGAATGCCAAAGAACAAAATGAGAGGGACAATCTCAAACCATAATTATGCTGTAAACTTATGGGGGTAGAAAACATCTTATTTTTCCTAGAACCTCCCAAGCATCTGCTACAGCTCTGGCATATGACAGGCATTTAATAGAGGTTTACTGATTGTTTATGGCATGATATTAAGACTCACCATAGTGATTCAAATACTTTCTAATAATATCTAATTGAATTAATAATTACTTGAATAAATAGAAGGCAGTGTGGTAAAATGAAAATAACTGTGGGTTTGGAATCAGACAAGCTAGGGTTCAATCTTTATCTTGCACCAGTTTTGTTACTACCGTAAACAACTTACTGAATCACTTTGAGCTTCAGGCTTCTTGTCTGTAAAGTGGAAATAACAATATTTGCTTTGCAGAGACATTAGGATAAAATGAAATGGCAAGCCTACATCACCAGTCACAGTGTCTGGAGAAAGAGTGCTCAATAAACAGAACCATGATGCTCTTCGGGTAGAATAATGAACCTTAAAAAATTAATATCAGAGTATCAATAATCTATATTTTCAGACTTTCTTTACAAACCTTCTGCACCTGGACATATACTGTATAACAATATACATATATTGAATCTGTTTTATTTTAGATTCCAGGGGAACATGTTACATGGTATATTGTGTGATGCTGGAGTTTGGGCATCTATTGAACCCATCACTCAAATAGTTAACATAGTATCCAACTGGTAGTTTTTCAACTCTTGCTCCCTTCTCTCCCAGCCCCTTTTGGGGTCCTGGTTTCTACTGTTTCCATCTTTATGTCCATGAGACATATATTTATTAAGTCAGTGACAAAGGCTGATAGATATGCTCTATAGCAGACTAAATAACTGTGATAAACCATGATAACCACGTGATGACAATGAACAATGTTCTTTTTCTTAAAATGTTCTGCCTATTTATTAACTAGTTGTAAAATACTTGCACAGATACACTTTGCACTTGTAAAACACATTTTCTACACCCTTCTATACTGTAAACCCATTATCCTTACCAGTAACTTCCAGTGGATGAAGGCATATTGCATCCAAAAAGTAACATGTGATGGACAGTATCCATGCTGGCTCGAGGCTTGAAGTCAACTGTTACGAGAAAATAATACATGTATGTGAATACAAGTTACACTTCTGTGCACCAAAGTCATAAAATACATCTTTGAACAGTTCAAATACCTGTATAACAAAGATGTTTTGATGTTCTTGTGATCAAATGCCCTGTCTGTATAAATTATCTTGTTAAGGATAAGCATGACTTGATAATTTGATTAAGAGTAAAAAGGAAAAATAAGGCTGAATATCACACCCACATACACACACACACATTTTTAAAATGGAAGACCTCTTTTAAAGTGGTGAGGGCATTATATGGGTATTAAATGAAATCTGCAGGCTATGTATTCACAGTATATTTCCTTTTAGACATCAGTACAGTGCTGAGTATCATAAAACACTGCTCAACATTGTAGTGAAAAAGAAGCCACAGTGAGTGGTCAAAATATGAACACAAAAATTCATAACACAAATTTATGACCATCTTAGAATAACAACAGTACGATAGTCACTGGGATGTATATGAAGAAGCAATTTACCAGGAAAGAAAAATAAAAGTGGAAAATGTATCTTTACAAAAATACGAAAGACATAAAATTACTGTCCTCAATAAGCATGGTATACTTGTTAAAAGATATTAGAAGTTATGGAATGACATTTCTCGTTTTCTCCTAATAATAGTTGTTGAAAGACATTAAAATAAACAAGTGCATAATTAAAAGAGAAAAAATTAAAAATATATTATTATCTATGAACTCCCTTTCCTAGTGTGGGTTTGGCTCATCCTTTTGCGTTCTCATCAAAATGCTGTCCAGTATGAAGTAGCTGTTTACGAGTCACCTTTGCACATAAAATGCTAAATAGCCCCAAAATGATCTTAAATCTCAGGTGTGTGCAAAAATGCATCTTTCAGCTATTTTGGTCTGTTTGATAAAATTAAGAAAACATCACTTATTGCTAAAATGTGTATGTGAGACATGAGTACTTATAAAACAAAAAAATGTTCTACACCAAACTATAGCACCATGACTCACAGTGTGTCTGACCAAAAACATAGCACTATGTGCCAAACCTACTGTGTGCCATCTTGGCTTATAACTTTCAGAAGAGACAAACCTTTCTTTTACTGCAATGAAAGTAAGAACTTGAAGCCTAAAAATCAAATCTTGAAGTTTTCATGTCATCATTTAAAATATTAATGAAGAGAGAATGGCCAGAAAATGGACTTGCTATAACTTGAGGCTTGGTTTTCTATTACCAAAGAATATAGTAAGCACAAGGGATGGAAGAAGATGCTTTGGAAGGAAAGAATCACTTGGGAGTTACAGCCGTTCACAATTCATAGAAAGTCCTTATCATCATGAAGCCGAAGTTTGTTAGCAAGAGAAACAGAAGAAAGAAGAAGGATTCTATATCTATAGACCACTGCCAGGTTGAGTGCAGGATTTCCTTCCTCCCTTCCAGAATCCTACCAGGGATCTTTCCTGGGGCAGAAAGAAAATGGAAAAAGTCCTGAGGTAGGAGTACTGGTCTTTTATTCACCTTGATTTTATTTTGGTATGTGATACGATTTTTAATCTTATATTCATTTTTATTAAACTGTTTATACTACTTTATGAACATCTATAACTGTTGTCTAATTGTATCATCCTCCTCCCCCTCCCACGTTTTTAAAAAAATATTCCCTCTGCCAATGCATGAGAGGTTATCTGACCCCTCTGCTTTTTCAGAACCTATGTAGATGATTACATGACTTCCTCCCCTCAGAAGATCTTATTATGGGTGGATAAATTTCCTATGACTGAATCATTCTTGGAATTTTGGTAATATGCCAACATGGCCAAGTGCAGTTTATTCCAAGAATTAAATGGTTGGATGCAAAACAATGTTTCAAGCACCCGCTAAAAATTCAGGTGGAAGTATCCAGCAGAGAGTCAGAATTCTGTGACTCTTGTCCTAGAAAGAGGTCAGAGAATTACATATTTGGGAAACATTCAAAAATTGAACCCTGAAGCTGCGAGGATGGATGAAAGTACCAGAAAGGGTAATAGGAATCATAGAGAAGGCTCAAGACAGAGTTTTGGAAAAAGCCCAGGGCTGTCAGGGTATGTTTAGGAGACACCAACAGTATCTTTTTTATACTAATGCAATGTATATGCTGCTGTTAAACAAGGCAAAGACATTTCTGGAAAAAGAAGGAGCTATTAGTAATTTTTAAAAATGAAATATTAATAAGCAAAAGATTCAGGTAAGGGCAAGGAAGACAGCTGTTGGTAAGGGAATAGATCATAAAGACAACAACATATAATCTCTGTAGCTTTTCATTAGGAAAGAAAGAAAATAGTTTGCCTGGGCCCTTGCTTATGTAAGAGACTCTTCTAACTGTCCTTTGTAAAGTAAACTGGGCAAATCTTAATTAATCAAAGTATAAATTCTCTAACTATTTTCTGATTTTTTCTCCTTCTGACATACATTTTTTCCTGACATACATTTTAAGTACCACTTATTTATTTGCTCTACTTTGAACTCTAACTAGGTATGTGTTTAATTTTTGCTTCTAAAATGAGAAACAACTGTCTTTAAGTGGTAGAAAAAGAAAATTCTTCAGAGTTTCCTTTCACAAAAACAGATTCTCACTGACTCACATATTTCTCCAGAAACTCCAGATCTAATTTAAATGCTAAGTATATTAGAAGTACACAGCAAAAACAAGCAACTAACCATCTTTTTTCATATCCTAAAGAAAAAGTATAATATCTAAATATTTATATAATTATAGCTCAAAGTACAATTCATTGCAAGTTGAAATGAAAACTACCTCCAGCAAAAGGAATGTCAAATCAAAATGTAAATCTAAAACAAACAGTAGATGCCTTAAAATAAAGCAGCACTTGGACAATTTCACTGAAGGGCTGCTGCCAGTAGTGAGGAGCGGCAGGCTGGGAAAAGATTGGTCTGACAGGTTCATTTCAGGGGTTTGCTCCATTCCTGCTGATTATGCCTGGCTTTGCAAAATAAGACCCCACCCCTAGTGAATTCTAGGTGTGCTGGGCACAAGACACACATAAGACTATGCAGGAGATGTCAACACAACACAATACAGAATATGGAAAAATACTTTAGAATAACATCTTAAAAAGAAATGTCTCTTTTCTTTTTCACCCATCATACACCAAAGAAATAAAGGATCCAAGGGGAAGAGAGCTAGAGGATAATAATGGAAACAACTGCATTTCAGTGTGCGATTCTGACAGGCAGAATAAACAAAGACAGCCTTGGGATGGTGACAAACAGTGCAAAACACAGCCTCAAGAGAATGCAAAGGAATATTATATCCGGTAAGATTAAAAGTGCCACTGACTCTTCTAACTCAATATTAAGATGACAGTTGCTTAAGTGGAAATGGTACTTCGGTCTCAATGGGAGCTAACAGTTCAGATTGCCTGATGTATGAGATCAGCGAACATTTTATAGGTGAGTAAGTCCTGGGAATGAAATACCTTTGAAGGACTAAGACTCCAAAAAAGTGACTCACACACAGTAATTAAAGGAAATCTGATGACACTGAAAGCACAGAGGTTGGAGGGTTTCTCAAAGGATAATGTCGTCTGAAATAAAAGACCTGAAACCATATGTGTGGATGACATGTTGAAAAGAGAGATGTCTAGGTCTAAATCCTGGAGTTCTAAGCAAAATTTCTCCTCATTGCATGGGGTGTTTGGGATTTATGGGCTTTTTAAGCTAACATCAGACTATAATCAGGGCCACAAAATTCTCTAAGAACGTGACCTGGGGGAGAATGTCATTTAGTTCTCCATTTTTCCCTTCTAAGTGGATATCCAAGTCTGCACGTCAAATTTTGATTCTTCTGCCAGACTTAGGACATAGAAAGATTCTGAAGAACACACATAACCAAGTAGAGAAACCAGCAATTTTGGAGATATTCATGTATATATAACCAGCTCTAAATTACCATTGGAAATGGCAGGAACAATTATTTTTAGCCAAAAAATATTCTGTAGAGGAATACTACAGAGCATAGATAATTGACCTATTGAATAAAAAAGCACCGACTTGCAAGTTTGGATCTGAAGAACTTTGGCATTCTAGAATTGTTGCTTGTATGTATTAGGGATAACTATTGTTAACTTTCTTTTTTCCTCCCAATGTAATCGTGTTATACACTGTAAATAGCTTAGCTTGCATATCATGGGTATTTTTACATGTTATTAAACAATTTTCTTAAGCAGCCATTTTTAGCCTGGACTTTAAATTATTACCTATGGAACTTGGTAAAAATACAAGTGCCTAGAGTCAATCTAGATGAGTCCCTTCTCGCCTCCCCCATCAACATCTTGGTCAAATCTCCAGCGGTTATTCCCAGGTAAGTATATCTTTTAAAGGTTTCACGGGCGAATTACCAGTAATTCTGACTATAGTCCCCATTTATAGTGACTGAATATACTCTATTATGTGAGCATAGTTTGAGTTTAACCAACTCATCTTAGTTAAATTGGGATTGTAATGCTCCTTTAAATGTACAGGACAAAGAGCAAAAGCAGGTTTCTTTTAAAATAAATTCATAAAGAATTTCTAAAGATAAAAATTAGTTGATATTTTAGAATTATTTTATTCAAGGAGACCACTGGAAGGAACTCTGTATTATATCATGTGAGTTTAGCTGTATCACCTAAAATCGTTTTAGTGCTGAGATCTGAGGCAGGCATAGGAAGCCTCTAGTGATTGTGTTCCTATCTATGATAAAGAGTCAGTATTCTAAGACTGTTTGTATTTTCAAGCCATATTTAATATTGAGAGAATTGGGAAGGTGTGAGGTTCAAGAAAATATAATATAAAAGGTATGTCATGAATAAAAAAAATTACAAACCCTAAAATCTTACTATCAACATTTCTTTATTTCCAAAAAAATAATGATTATGCTTCAAAAACTGCTCAAAGTAAAGATAGTAATGCTCTAAATTGCAATTTAAGTTTAGGATCAATCAACCTTAATGTTCATAATCTTGCAGTTGAGCCAAAAAGGTACAGAGAAATGTAAAGCTCACAGCATCATAGTCTATTTTCCAGCATGCTAAAAACCCACCACAATGGCATATTACATTATCTCCTGCAAGCTTTCCCCATAACCATGAAGCAATTCTGTACTAAAACAAAGACCTTTTCCTGGAACATTTTTTTTTTCCAGGGCAAAGACTATTTATTTATTTATTATTTTTTTTTCTTTTATTATTATACTTTAAGTTTTAGGGTACATATGCAGATTGTGCAGGTTAGTTACATATGTATACATGTGCCATGCTGGTGCGCTGCACCCACTAACTCGTCATTTAGCATTAGGTATATCTCCCAATGCTATCCCTCCCCCCTCCCCACACCCCACAACAGTCCTGAGAGTGTGATGTTCCCCTTCCTGTGTCCATGTGATCTCATTGTTCAATTCCCACCTATGAATGAGAATATGCGGTGGTTCATATGGAACCAAAAAAGAGCCTGCATCGCCAAGTCAATCCTAAGCCAAAAGAACAAAGCTGGAGGCATCACACTACCTGACTTCAAACTATACTACAAGGCTACAGCAACCAAAACAGCATGGTACTGGTACCAAAACAGAGATATAGATCAATGGAACAGAACAGAGCCCTCAGAAATAACGCCGCATATCTACAACTATCTGATCTTTGACAAACCTGAGAAAAACAAGCAATGGGGAAAGGACTCCCTATTTAATAAATGGTGCTGGGGAAACTGGCTAGCCATATGTAGAAAGCTGAAAATGGATCCCTTCCTTACACCTTATACAAAAATCAATTCAAGATGGATTAAAGACTTACATGTTAGACCTAAAACCATAAAAACCCTAGAAGAAAACCTAGGCAATATCATTCAGGACATAGGCATGGGCAAGGACTTCATGTCCAAAACACCAAAAGCAATGGCAACAAAAGACAAAATTGACAAATGGGATCTAATTAAACTAAAGAGCTTCTGCACAGCAAAAGAAACTACCATCAGAGTGAACAGGCAACCTACAAAATGGGAGAAAATTTTTGCAACCTACTCATCTGACAAAGGGCTAATATCCAGAATCTACAATGAACTCCAACAAATTTACAAGACAAAAACAAACAACCCCATCAAAAAATGGGCAAAGGACATGAACAGACACTTCTCAAAAGAAGACATTTATGCAGCCAAAAAGCACATGAAAAAATGCTCATCATCACTGGCCATCAGAGAAATGCAAATCAAAACCACAATGAGATACTATCTCACACCAGTTAGAATGGCAATCATTAAAAAGTCAGGAAACAACAGGTGCTGGAGAGGATGTGGAGAAATAGGAACACTTTTACACTGTTGGTGGGACTGTAAACTAGTTCAACCATTGTGGAAGTCAGTGTGGCAATTCCTCAGGGATCTAGAACTAGAAATACCATTTGACCCAGCCATCCCATTACTGGGTATATACCCAAAGGACTATAAATCATGCTGCTATAAAGACACAAGCACACGTATGTTTATTGCGGCACTATTCACAATAGCAAAGACTTGGAACCAACCCAAATGTCCAACAATGATAGACTGGATTAAGAAAATGTGGCACATATACACCATGGAATACTATGCAGCCATAAAAAAGGATGAGTTCATGTCCTTTGTAGGGACATGGATGAAATTGGAAATCATCATTCCTGGAACATTTTTAATCAGAAAGAAAGCTTAATAGTGAAATTGTCATTAATTCCTGCTAGTATGGACAATGATGTACCATTGGTAAAGAATGCTTATGGTGGTTTATGAGGACTTCAAGCTGCTGCCACCAAATTAACTAAGAAATAAGACACCTGAGCAAACCTATATATTGAACATCAATTTCAAATAAAACAATCCTCACCTCTGAATAAAGAAATTTCAACACACAACACAAAAACTAAATTTCTAGATGATATCTCTTTTAAAATTATGATATATATCAAAGAATCAATAGACTTCATCAGCCAAGCTATGCAAGATAAAACAGCATAAGCTTTACTAAGCCCTGTTTTTGTAATGTCATTCCTATAATAGTCCACTATTAATTTCCTACAGAATCAAGCCCATACCCTTAGCCTTTTAGGGCTATGCGTAACATTGTGCCAGTCCTCTAGCTCACTACATTTCCAATATGGCAATCTTTACATCCACTCCTCATTCTCATTAGGCAACTCCCTCACTTAATAATCACAACTACTAACATTTACTGAGGGCTTTCCATGTGCCAGGCACTCATTTACTTCTCAATGACCCTATGAGTCTGGTTCTTTGTCCTCCCAAATAGATGAGCCTTCAGGAAAGAGAAGTGAAGTAATTTGTCCCCTAGTAGTATAGCTAGAAAGTGGTGAGGCTGGGATCTGAATGTGGAGTGTTCTGGCTCAGAGCTTGCTCTTTTAACCACTATATGATACTGTCTCTCATACTTGTGCCCAGTGTGTTTGGGCTCATACTGTGGGCCACTAAAATATTCACCCCTTTGCATATTCAAATAGGTCATCTTCAGAGGTCCAGATGAAATTTTGCATACCTTTATCATGAAGTTTTCTCTGACTAGACCAACTCATAGTGATCTTTTAAGAGTTGACTACTAAAGTAGTTCCTGCTGAAATAGCTAGCTGGGAGGAGGTGGTAGGTTGGGGGAATGAAGGATTTTAACATTTCTCCATTAAAATAGCTATATCAACATGTCAATTAATTTTTGGTGATCATTAGATGTACCTAATTGAAGACATTAGAAATGGCTCCTATTCATCTCTCACTGTTTTTTATTACTTGAGAAAAGCTGAGGAGATGTTGGACGTTGTCAATTTGGAAACATGCGTACTTGGGTGACCAAAGGATAGAAGACGTTTAAGAAACTCTGAGACTCTGAGACAAGGTATATAGCAACAACTTCTCCTTCATGATTATGACCAAGAAAAATGGGCTGTATCCACTCATCAAAACCTCTACTATATATGTCTTATTTCTGTTTTTCATCATAGCTCTTTCCAAGTAGCTTTCACTAAGAAACTAAGTGTTTTCCAGGGTGATTGGTGGGAAATACTCAGTCATCATCTGTGAGACAGAGACTACTCATTATTTATGTTTGAAAGAAGTCCTAGTTGAAGACAGAAGAGAAAGGATACTTAGACAACTCATTGGAAGCAGAAAGGTAACAGAATGATTGCATGGGGATGAGGACTCACACACATGTACACACACATATGCATACATACACAGATACTCTCCTCTACTTACTGCTGCCAAAGCCATAAAACATGGATATACGAGCAATGTACCCTGCCCAGACCTCGGTCTTTATGTCGTACTATCTAGTGACCCATAAGCATGATCAAAATTGAATTGTTCATGCAGTTCTCAAAGTATCTGGACATCACTTGATCATGTGCTTTAAGAAAGGTCATATTTTGAACTATTCAAATCTAACTGTGCAATTCTGCAAAAGAAACTGTTCTACATTCAAGAGAGAAGCCCAAGAAAATGAAAAACAATGAATCATTAGATTAATTTCATCTGTTTCTAAATTCAATGGCTTCTATCTCATTTATGTAGTGCAATTTGATAGATAGGGACCTGTCATCATTCACTAAGGAAAAGACACAATTATTTACAGGTCATCCATGTGAGGGAAAGCAAGTGGATGAAGATGACAGTCAAATTTCTTGGCTGAGTGGGCTGCTGTCAGAGCCAATTCCGCTGAGTGTCTGTAAAACACCTTTTAGACAGCACCACAGTTCAGTGGTCAAATGCAGATATTATTATACTTTCACCCATTCAAATTCTATGGTTTCTTATTAAAACAACAAAAAAAACACACAATGCCCTAGGGAAAGCTATAATTTTGTTCAAAATATAAAACATATTTTTATCTTCATCATTGCAGTTCTTCAAACACCTACTGTAATTCACATTCAATAATTAAATACAGATATATAGACACATCACACATGCTATATGCTCATATGTAAATATAACAGGCATATACACATATGAGTTCCATAATGACTGTGATGGTATTTGCTCAAAATTTAGAAGTATGTTTAAGATGGGTTATATAACTAGCATATAAACATAAAGCCAAAATAGTGAGTTATTCAAATCGAATTTTGACTTTTAATGCCATCAAGAGAGTCTGTCCTAGTATTAATAATGTAAATTGTATTGTCTTTTGTAATTTTCTTCAGAAATTTGAAAAGTTCAAGGAGAAAGTCCTTTTTATATGTTTTAACACTTTTATTCTTGTCTAGAATTCTGCTAGCCTGTGACTTCCTTAAACAGGCATCATACTTCACATCCCTATTACCCAATAACTTATATGTAGCAGAATTTTAAGTTTGCTGAATTCATGCACAATGGCTTTTCATAAACACAAGCAAAACAATGATTCCTTAGATTAGAATATAATTCAAGGTAGAAAGGTAAATTATCTACTGTTTGAAATGCTGAGTCAGAAAACGGCCAAAATCCTTATTTAGTATTCACTCGCGCATTCAGCAAGCAATTATTGAGTCGGTGCCTATCCTGCTGGAATACAAAAATTTAAAGAGGCACAGATAATGAAAACAGAAGGTATAAAATCATTAAGTGTCTTAAGGAAAGAATAAACAAACAGAATGACTATGAGAAATAAAAATAATTAAAAACAGAAAAGAACGAACAAAGTATTATGGGTTTTTACAGCTCTTCATTTGCAACCATGTCTAATCTCAGGATAAGGCATCCTGAGATCTGGAATTTGGGACAATCCACAAAAAGGCTATAGCTTCATTCTCTATGCCATCAGAATCCCTTAGAATGGAAAAAGCATAGGCTACCCTATAGGCAAAACTTTCACTTTGGGAGTCTGGAAAAGCTATGTATGGTCACTCTCCCAACATATAACTATCCAAGCCCCTTTCCTTCTACAAATCTTTAAATCTTCATGGGTATTTGTTATTTGTTTTGTTAAGATGGTTTGAGGTTTATTTTTCCTTTGGCAAAACTGGCCAGAGTGTATCCAGTAGGGAGTGAAGGTAAAGGAATGAAAGAATAATTGTATTTGATGTGAGGAAGAAAGAACGGTGCTGCTCTTGCTATATTTCAGCTCCACCTATGCACTTGATAACTTTGCTCATTTCTCCCTTTGTATCACTATCCCCACACCAAAATCTGAAGTACGACTAGGTTAATACATAGCTAGTAAAAAGCTTGGGCAGATTCCTTAACCTCTCTGACTTTCTGTTTCCTCTTCTGAAAATTGGCTTAGGTTATGTTTAGCTTTCAGTATCTTACAGTGTCTGGCAGGCTCTTAGTGAACAATGGCAGGTAGAGATGATGGTAACGGTCCAGCCGTTACATAAATGAGAATTCCATACAAACTATTGTCTTAGCTCCTCATTAAGTCACAGATATAGATGTTTCTGTCTCTGTTTCTCAAGCTATGAAATGAGACTATCTATACAGGATCGTCCTAAGAATTAACGAGATAACGCATGCAAAATTTCCTTTACTTATTCTTTTATATAAATGATTATTTGCTAATTGTCTCTAGTTTTCCATTTTCCAGTTCTAATTTGTCTATACTTAAACTTCTTTGGTTGCTGAATTATGTAAACAACAGTAACCACAAACCACCTGGGCATAGTTCATTAAAGGACTCACACAGAAGATGAAACAACCCATTGTGAATAGGGAACAAAAAATTTCAGTATCCATGCAATCCTCCAAGTAATAAACAAAGGAAGAAATACTGAAAATAGTTATTAATCTTACAAGACCTTTTAAGGACCTTATAACTTGGAATAGTTTAATCTTAGAAGAAAAGTGCCTAAGAAAGTATGAAAACATTTAGCACTCTGGTTCTAATATAGACCTTTATGTGTTTCCTGTGAATATTTTACTTGACTGAATATACTCACTTGTATTTTTTCATTTTAAATTATGTGAACGTAAACACATTTATAGTAGGAGAGCAATAACACACAGGATATATATTTATAGTCCTTACAGTCACTGGTTCTAAAATCATATACTACCACCAATCTCCAGAAACAAACCTATTAATGTGAGATGTGTAATACTGCTGTAACACATGACTACCATATTTACACAGGTGTGTAGGGTGGCCTTCTCTTCATAGCTGGTGTGAAAACAGGACTCAAAACAACCCCTGAACTTGGACATAGAAAATATAAATTAGGAAAAAAAAATTCATGGGAAATTCCTTTTGCGAGTAAATATTATTTTCTCTTAGGTGGCCAAGTGTGTTAATATGAAATTAAGGAAAGCTTTATGGCTAGGATTTTAATTATGAATGTATGTTCTAAATAATATTTAGTGTTACTCAAAGCACTACAATTAGAAACTTAAATTATTTTTGTCTTTAAAGATAGTTCAGGATATAGAAGAACTTGGCTTCCTAACTTTTTCTTGGTAATGTCCAAATATTATACAAAACAACATCATCAATGTTTAACTTTGTATGGTCTTTCATTCTTAGGAATTAACTATGCAGCAAATTTTGTTGAGAGTGTTATTAAAGGTTGTATTTGCTGTTGTAATTGCCACCAATGTGTGTGAATAAAAAATGCACATTGCTCTGGCTTTGCAGGTCTATAATGTCCATTCCTGTGGGAAACACCTCATAAAAATTCATCCTCAGACTGCCCCAAGGCTACTGTACACATTTCACAATTCACATAATAGCCAGTTCAGACAGCCCACTTGAAGATTAGTTTCAAGGGACCAAAGTACTACTACCAACACTTTCTCTCCAAAATCAACATCTCAAATGTTTTAAAATGAAGCAGAGAAAAGCCAAATACATGAATAATTTGCCAATCACAGCTCTTCCCTAAACAGTTAAATGTCTGTCATAAGGGATGTTTAAATGGAAACAACCTAGAAGGAAACAGATGGTGCTTTGTCACTTTTCCTCTCTGATTTAAAGGCTCAGTTGGGGAAGAATCTGTCATTTAAGCGTTCTCTTATTCTATAATACAAACAACAACATAAATGTTCTTTCTTCCATTTCTTTTCTTTTCTGGCTCTCCTTTCCCTTCTCATCCCTTCCTCCCTCTCTCCTTCCCTTCCTTTCTATCCATCTACCTGTCTGACAGGTAAAATCTTACATTCACCAATGTTGATTCTAAGTGCAGTCGATTTATAGCATGAACCAGCAGGTAAATAAACTGTCTGTTGAGTGGAGTGGAATTAAGCATCCTGCCACAGACAGAAAGCCAATACTATACAAATGGGACCACACAGTATTGGCGGCCATCAACATCTGCATGCAACTCCTTAATTACTATTACTCATGAATCTCTCCAGATACAGTTTATAATCTTGCCTCTCAGTGGCTCTCTCTAGTTTGTTTCTGCATTAGGCATGATAAATGCATTTTAGAAACTGACAGTAAAAGATTAATATGCTCATAACCCTCAAAGAGAACCTTTCACTGATTTCAAATCACTGCCCTCCATTAAACTGCTACTCCCCCAATCCAATTAATACTTACTCACGAAGGCTTCCTCATCCACTGGTATTCGCATAGACATGCAGAAGTATGTATCGGACTATTAAAAAAAAGATTAAAAAATCCAAATTAAACTGTTGCTAGTAAGGAAGAAATAATAACTATTAAAACGTGGCTTCTATGACTGTAAAAAGTAGTCAGTGAGGGTAGTTTTCCTTCTGAGGGCTGAGTGGCAGGTTAATGGAAAGGCTAAGTCCAGAACTTAGATACCCTAAAAGTTTGTCTAAGACTCTTTCCTAAACAACTTTAGATCCTATTTATAAAGCCAATCATCATGAGTGATATTTCTAATACTCTCTAAGTTAAAAGGCAAATTTTTAGATGCTTTTATAAAAAGAGTAGAACAATTTAATGCATTTGATTTTAAAATGGTAGAAGTTAGTTTTGACCATCTTTGCTATTTGCAAAATTAAATATTTAATTTCCTGAATCACTTTACAAATGCCTCAAATATTAGAGAAGTACAATGAATAAAAGTTGGTCTTAAAATTTATTATTTTTGGTTGCCCTCCCTTACTTTAAATTTTTTTATGTAATACATTGAAGAAATCAACATTAACTCAAGCTATTATTTCTTTTCTAGTTATTGGTCTCATCTAAATGGTCATTTTTTCACTATCAAATATATTAACATCAAGAAATTTTAGTGATAAAAATTACAATTTAAGGAGAATGAGATTCAATGTACTCCACTTCCTTAATGGAAATCCATACACAATAAAGTATGTGCTATTGTTAATAATATGCCCAATACAAATACAGGCTGCACTCTTTTAATAATTCATGCTTCCTGGATTATTACTGCACAGAGCTGGAATGATCAGATTCCACTAACATGGATAGAAATCATTTGGCATTTCTAAACCTAACAATTAGCACCAAAAAATTGTGAATTTTGTACCTATGTTTCTACTTGTGTGTTAAAAAACAAGGGGGTTCAAGTACACATCAAACAAATATCTTAAAATTTGAAAAATTACTGAGATGTGATCTATTCTTAGTTACTACTTTTATATATGCCATTTTCTTCTCATTTCAGCATTGTTTCATTTCTTAGAAGTCTTTATAATAGATTCAACTTTATTTTGCTAATAAGGATTTGTGCTGATTTTGTCTACCCTCTTCCCCCCGCCCCCCCCCCACACACACACATTAAGAGACCTGAAGAAACACATTAGCACAGTTTCTAACAGGTCACAGCTGCACCCCTCATGTGATCCTATCACCCTTCAAGGAGATGCTTCCAGGAGATTTTATTATTTGTTCTAGCCAAAACCTGGTAACAAGCATAAACCCTCTCTTAGAGCAGTTACTTCAGAAAGCTTGCAACTGTAAATCCTTTCTCTGCTCCTTTGAGATGTAAATCTTCTACCACCCAAAAATGTCTTCTTACATTCAGGGAGATAACCGCACAGCTCTCAGTCCAGTGGGCACCTTGTTCTAATCGACACCACTGCCTCCTGTCATAAAGATACAATAAGTTTGCTTCTCCTCCCAAATAACAAACCCAGATGGCCCAGCCACATGGACCAGCTCCCTTTCACATCCTTCAGTGCCTTTCCCTCACCACACCCCAGCTTCTAAAAGGTCTCCTCCCTTTTGTTTTGTCAAAGTTAGGTTCACTTCACACTGGACCCACTTCCCTACTGCAATAGTAACTACTGAATAAAATCTATTTTACCACTTTAAGTGGTGTTGGCTTATTTATCTTGGACACCAAAAAGTGCAGGAGCTGGGATCTGAATATATGCACTCTGTGCATTATACTAATATATTCAAGATCATTCCCAGCAATGTGACAAATAATGACTTAAAAGCAAATATAAAAACAAAAGTAAATTTAAAGCAGCTAAGCATATATTTATAATGAAAAAGGATCAAAAGGTTATGATGAAAAGGAAACAGAACTTCTTTTTAATTTGGAATAACAGGTTTCGATTTTACTCTATCTTTGATTTTATTATAAGTTATCTCATTGTTTTTGGAATAGGGAAGTTATAGGCATACATAGATATATCAAATTCAGCAAGTTGGTTCTTGATTTAAAAAATTAAGTCAATGATGGTCACATATAATACAGAGAATAAAGGAACCTGCTATTTATACTTATAATTCATCAGATCCATACTATAATTATTATTTTTTACCATCAGCCACCCAATTTAAAATGAGAATAATTTGAAAATGTCTTTCTTCTAGCAATTTGTATTTTTTGGCTTACAACTTGTCTAATAATGATAATCCATTCCCATTTCCACTATTTCTTTCCTAAGTTGTTAAAGCCAGTTGAAGAAAGAGAGAGGTGGGGTAAAGGGAGGGTAGGGGAGGGAAGTGGAGGGGAGGGAAAGGAAGGGAGGAAGGAGACCCTCTGCAGGAGACAAGTATCATACACAATTAGAAGTTTCTATCATAGTTATTTTCCATGATAACACTATTCGGTAGGTATTACAGACACCATTTTACGCATGGAAAAATGAAGCTGAAGATGGTAAGTAATTTGTTTGCAGTTAAAAAACAATCTGGAAATTGGTGAAATGAAATTTGTACCAGGTTATTAAAGCACTTCTCTTCTACTATGGAAAGATAGCTGTTAAAAGGTATTTTTCAAACCTCTCTAAAAAAATGTTGTCAGTTCTTAGACACAATTTTAGTTGTTTAGTTGATTAATGGGAGAAATAAGGGAATCAAAGTAACATAAAATTTAACAGGAAGTTTTAGTCCAAGTACCCTACATTTTCAATAGCACCTGAGAACATTTCATAAAAGCTTGGTGACTAACTGCAATGAACTAGATTAGAGCCACAGCCATTTAATTTTGTCACTATTTTGTTTCTGCAAAGTTATTTGAAAATATATACATAACTCAGATCAATGTTTCTCTGAAACACATTCTGAAGAGATAAAGACAGCACCTTATTGCCCATTATAATAGTCTTCCTATGAACACACTGTCCTAGTAAGGATGCTTCTATAATTCAACCCAAACTACCAGCACAACCATTCACAATTTTCCATTTATCATCATCATGAATCCTCTTTTTCTCTCTGTGGAAAGAACACTGTATCTGAGCTTGGTGCCAGGGGACTGTCTGTAAAATACTAAAGATTCAAACTGCTAACATAAGGCTCAGATATACAAAAAGGGAGAAATAATATGAATCTACATAGCCATGGTGCCCAGTGCTATCTATTTTGGCACATCAGCCGAATCTGAATCGAGAGGGATATGATATTGCTGATGCCTTTTTACTGATGCTACTGGGAACTATCCAAGAAAAGTACATTTTTCTGACAAAAGAAGATAGTGTGCTAGAAATAAAAAGGCTTTATTACTATAACACTCCTATAATATCCTATTACTCCCCATTTTTAACCAAGAGTTAGTTCTCTCATAGCATTCTTTATTTTGATTTAGTTGTTTGCGAATAGAGATGTAGTGGTTTCTATGGAAAAGGACGTTAATAAAATCAACTGCTTATTTAAATTATTATGAGACAAACAAAATCTCTGTATATTATTACATATGAAAACTGTTCACATAAAACCAGTAATTTTTGTTTGGGGAAACCAAAGATATCATTCCTATTCTAGTGTTGAATACTATGATTTGATCCTGATTGAATAATAACCTTTTATTGTACAGAATCCTCCCAGACTACCTTTCTTAAAGACTATTCAATGTGATGACACAAAGAGGTGTACAAATAGATAACATGATGCAGTTTTATCTGGTTATGGCCCTTTTGCTTATTTCTTTGGCTATTTGTAAATTGGTTGTTCCCTGTAAATAGGCCATAAGTCATAGAAATATTATATTGTGTATAGTATGGTCTCTGGTAACTTTTCTAAGTCATCACTTATTAAATAACCAAAACACCAAACAATAAAAATAAAAATAACTGTGAAAGATGATGGAGAGATTAATTTGCTTAACTATAGTAATAATTTCACCATGTATATGAATATTAAAACAGCATGATGTACACCATAAATATATGCAATAGGAGTAATCAAAACCCAGAACCAGTGGAAACATCTTGTGGTGGCAGTTGTGACTTTGTACCTCAGAGTAGCTAATCAGAAAGTTGGTAATAGTCTCTATACCAACCCCTGATTGTGTACATTTTAAATCCAACCCAGACAAACTGGTAAGGAACCCTAAAGTCCTACGTTTCCACATATTACTCATTTAGGGTTTGAATAACTGCATTTTGGGAAAAACTAATGGAAATTTCAAGAGCGTTGGTAGTTCTACCCATCCAACAAGGAAAACGTATGGAAAGTGGTCAAGCCTCTTTGGCCAGAATTTTGATTATGAGAGGAAGAAAATAATTGGAAAATTATTTTTCAAAGTTTTATTTTATGTGATCCAACTATGTAAAAGAATCAAATCGCTGTCTCCCAAAGTGTTTTTAATGCATGCATAGGAGGCTCACACTAACTCCGTGGTGTTTGTACTCTCCACCTCATCCTAGTATAAAAGGAAGCTAGAGCAAAAGAAAATTATACCAAAGCATAAAAGATTTTCTGAAGCAAAAAAACTCAAGTTTAAATAATCCATCTCTCTGAAGCCAGAATTTAAGACACTTAATAACAGATAAAATTCCTTAAACTATCACTATTATATGTAGTCTATCCTTGTTTCCCTTTCCCAGTTTTCTTTTTCTTACCATTTAATTTTTTAAAGATGTTACCATATTTCTTAGGCTGTGGAAGAAACAGTCATAGTGAAGATTTTATGTTAAAACGTTCCCAAATGATTCTCCAAAATGCTTCGCTTTTGTCCTTACCACTATACTAGTTCCATCCCCTATCAACATTTTTCCCAACCTAGAATGTAATCTTGTAACAGTGTCTGTCTAGCATTCTAGGTATTTAGAATTATATCTGACACATACTGGGAGCTCTAGAAATAGTTGTTGAATTTTGCACTTATCTACTTCTTTTGGTGGCAATAAACTCACAGTTTAAGAAAGGCTGTATCATAGATGCTGCCTAATTAGGGTTTTATACAGATCACTTTTTCATATGAATTTTATCCTTCAGTTGATTCATCCCAGAATCCCATTTGCATTTTTAAACTATAATCACACTGTGGCTGATGATGAGAAGAATCTCAACACCAAGTAGTTCAAATGGAAGTGACTCTCCTGGCAAGCGCTCTTCTATGGGAATTACAAATCTGTATGAGCAAACGATGAGGGAAAAATATTTTGGTGAGGGAACAGCTGTCTTAGAGCTTTCACATACTTTCACTTATGAGTAAACAAAAAGGAACATACTAATAATCTACTATCATTAATTGCCTATCATACAACAGGGTGGCGATAGCGGTGGAAACCTCCTTGGCTTCCCTGTGATGGGGACTCGGGAGTTACATGAAGGAAACTGTGCTATTCTGAACAGGGAGTGCTGACGATCTCCATTACTCACCTTTCCCAACTTTAAGCTAGTGGTTCATGCTTTTCATCAAGTTCCCCTGAATACGGAATCAGTCAATCTTCTGAACCTGGTGCCAACATTTATTCACACTGATGTTCCTCTCCTTTAATACAAATGATTAGAAACTAACTGTATGTATCAAATCTGTTTGTGGACACTTCAGAACAGCAAAGGCTCCTCAATGACTACCCCAAACACCATATTTCTGTGCTAAGTGGCTTATATTTGATACTGAGACAATACAGCTTCATAGGAGAGAAGCTCTAGACTTGAATGGGTCTGTCCACTATCTTACTGCCAAAGTTGCATTCTATTCTCTTGACATTTATAATGAACCATCAGAAAACAAAGTGGTCTTCTCAATTTCTGTGTTTTTTTCCCCCCAGGCCTGTTCTAATTCTAATATATCTTGCCATAGTCATCTCATTAATACTTGCCTACCTTTAAATCTCTTTCAATGGCTGCACAGAAAGCCATTCTTCTACCCATCCATTCATTCACTTAGCAAACATATATGAGTAATTCCCAGGAACCAGACACTGTTCTACATTCACAAAACTGTGAGCAAAAGTATACATAGTCTCTGCCCTCATAAAACTTAGTCTACTAGTTTAGCAAAGAAATAATTACACATAAATGTTAAATTTTTACTGTTTTAAGTGCTACAAAGAAGAAATATAGATTGCTACAAAAGCTAATAATTCAGAGGAAATGCTCTAGGTCAAGGGGGGTTGGCAATGTTTTAGCGTAAGAAATAGTATTTTCAAAGGCCGTGTAATTAGACAGAACTTGGTGTGACAGAAAAAACAAAAGCCAGTACACACAGACAGAGGAACATGTTTTAAATTGGACTGGGCATGTAGATGTGGCACACAATGCAGGGCCTGTAGTTCATTTAAGAATTTTGGTTGTTTTGTTTTTCATGACAGCCACAGAAAGCCACAGACATTTTTTTTTTTTGTAGGAAAATGACATGGAAATTAACCAGATGAGGTTAGTGAAGATGCCATGTAACTATTCAGAAAAATTGTAGCTTAAAGCTAGGTGATGACAGTAGAGAAGGAGAAAAGAGGGCAGATTCTAGAGACATTTAAAAGGTAAAATAGACATGACTGGGGAGTGGATTTGAAAGGAAGGTAAGGAGGCAGTGTTGAGAATAACTCCTGGATTTCTGGCTTGCATAACTGAATGTATTGGTGATATAATTCACTGAGACATAAAACACGGATGACCAGGTTTGAAGAAGATAATGAATTTGGCACTGAACATGTTGAATTTGAGCAGCTTTTGAAAATCCATCTGTAAATGTCAAAGGGGCAGTTGGGTCAAGGTCTGGAGTTCAGAGGTGAGGCTTGGCCTAAAGATGTAAATTTAGGAAACATAAAAATTGGATAGTAATTGGGCAATGTGTGTAGAGGAGGCAGCGTATTGAGAGTAGACAGAAAAAAGGGAAAGAGAAGTGACAGAGCTGTGAACTGGCTGGCCAAGTAACAGCGGCCAAGGAGTTCAGAGAAAAATCAGGGTAGCCACATGCCTTGGAAGACAAAGAAAGAGAAGTTTTAAGGAGAGGGTAGTTGACAATGTGGATAATCAAAATCCATAAGTAAGCTGTGTTCTTATAGGCATGTCTATAATACAATATTAATATCTGGACATCTACCTTTTGTGTTAATATCCCTAACTTATTAATATTTTAAAGAACTCAGTTCTTCTTCTCTGTGGCTCCCCCTAGAAGGACTGAGACCCTGTGGGTACTCTTCTCGTAGTTCAAGCTCTTCCCAAGACTATGTAAAGCTCTAGCCACACTCGCTGTCCATGGTATTTACCCCCAGGATCTCTAGTGCTGTCATCTACACTGACCCCATTCAAGAAATGCCTGCAGCAATGGTACATAGCAGTCACCACAAAGTTTTCCCACCAGTTCCTTTGGTGATGATCACAGGGACTAGGGCAGATTGAGAAACAGGAAAGACAAAACATCAAGGGAAAAACAAACAATAAAAACAGCGACAAAAACCGAAGAGCTTGAGACAACAAAAGAAAAAGGATGAGTCAATAGGTTAATTTAAAAATCTCAAATAGTCAAAATAAAATAAGGTAAGGAAAATTATTTAAAGCAATGTTGATATTACACAGACTCCAGCAAGAATATGCCACCAAGTAGAGAATTTCAATGGATGCTTGTTGACTTCCAACCCTGGAAACTATTTCTGTTCCATAGACTAGTGATACCAACACAAACTTAGGAACCTAAACACCTAATTTACCCTTTCAGCACACAGTGATTTTAACTTCTTATGATGCACTGGGAACTAGTGAAGTGATATACTACAAAAGCAGATACTTTTCACATGAAAGAGTAAGAAAAGAATAAAAACTACAATGTTAAAGTAGATGACTTTTAGAAACAACCCAACAGACTTCAGCATATTTATAAATGTTACAGTTCTGTGCAAGGTTTTGGGTTTTCAGGTTTTACATATTTGTAATACTAGTATTTTGAATGTATTCACATTCCTCTCCCACATAAATCATATTTGGTTCCCCAGCAAGCATTCTGTTATGGCTCCAAGGAGGTTGGCAGGGCTAAAGCTAAGCTGGGAAAGGGAGAAAGCATGACATAGGGGAATACCTTTCTAAATAAAAGGAAGAAGTAAAAGAAATTCCTCTGGCCAAATGGAGGTTAATTTCATAATCACAGTTATTGAAATTGACACCAATTAAGGAAACAGAGGCAATGAATCCCATTCATTTAAGACCTCTTCCACTGCCCAAGGCCATTCATGTAAGACCTCCCTTTCCATCAACCAAATACTGTACTGACAAATAAAAAAGGGAAGAGGAGGTATAGCTTACTAAAAAGTTGAGGTGACTGTCTTGAACCAGAAGAAAGTGAGATACCTTTAACTGATATTTTGAAGGTTTTCTTCCCTTGATACCCAGAGGTCACAGGTGTAATAAGCTAAATTAGATCAATTTTTTAAAGTAAAATATTTATTTTCTTTGCCTACTTGAAGAATAGTCTATAAACTGTGAGACTCTGCTACATATATAACAAACGACAATTTGAAAATTAATGTATTCATGTATTATTTGCACTTTTACTATTTGTTACGCATTGATAACTGGTATCAGCACCATATAACATTGCCTGAAATGGTTCCTGTTAAAGACAGTATGTAAAATATGCAAATAATCTTGTAAAACTCAAATAAATGTATGTACTCATGGCAACTATTAGCAGAATTTTCAACTTGAAAGATGCTTAAATTTTTATTTCATTGCTGGTGACACTTAAAATTGGTACAATGATTTTTAAAAAGCAAAATGGCAATGCACTGTTATGGCTATGAAAGTGTTTATCAGAAATAGCTCTTTTCTTTATTGGGATTATTGTGCATACAGTCATCGGGACATATCACAAAGATAATACTAAATTAAACACATGGCATCTCAGTCACATGTAAGAGGTCTAAGAAAATGTTTACTATCACTAAGAATGCATTTGGCTGCAAATTGCAGAAGACCAACTTAAAATGACTTAAACCAACAGAGATGTAGTCTCTCACATAATGAGAAGTCCAGAAGTAGAACAAATGCAAGAATGATTATTTCATCCAGCAACTAAACAACGTCATCAAGTAATCAGGTTCTTTCCATCTTTCAGCTTTGTCATATTCAGCATGTTGCCTTTATTTCATGGATTTGCCTCCCTTCATGATCACAAGATGGTTGCAGTAGCTTCAGTATGTCGTTGTCACAATGCCCAATGCAATTTCCAAAGGCTAGGGGAGGGAAAGTCTCTTCCTTAAGGTCCTTTTCAAGAATGACACTTTCCCAGAAGCACTTCAGCTCCAAAAGACTTCACCTCACATCTAAATGGCCAGAATTATACCACATGCCCATCTCTAAAGCAATCATTAGGAAGAGAAAAGGAATGACCAGAATTGGCTTAGTCTAATCAGGAAAGGGAAGGCCAATGCTGGAACAAAAGGGAATTTCTCTTAGGCAAGAAAGAACAGGAGATGTCTGAAAAGTAGGCAAACAATAGGTCCTGACAGCATTCTAAGTTTATTCATCAGTAGATAATTTTCAGGTAACCAGGCCCATTTCAATGTATTGACCTGTTCAGAATTTTTGAAATCCTTGTCTTTTCATCTATCATCAATTAAATATACTCATCTAGGCAGTTTCCACTGAGTCTCTTAACTAGCTACTAAGATATAAGAAGACAGAATGATAAAATGCCCATTCCCAGTTTAGCAAGCCTGATAATGTTGACAGAAATAAGAGATGGAAAGCCAATTCAATTCTAAGTTAATATGAAGAAACTGTGCCTTCTGAAAAATTATACTTTTTTCCTTTCAAAGGAGAGGTGAAACAGACATGGGGTACTTATGTTTAGTGATGGAGTCATATATTTAACCATAATGGTCAAGGGCAAAGTTATTCTGCTTCTCCCTACCTCCCTCACAGTGATTCTGTGACCTATTCATTTCCCTTAAACTTCTAACTCATAAAAGAAACGTTTCAACAGATTTGCATCCTTAGCTTTGAACTTTTAAGAGGAACTATAAAATCAAATATAAAAACATTCTTTGGCCTGCTCTTGGATTTTCCTTTATATGTCGTAAACATTTCTACTTCAGTATTAGGCAATTACAACAAAACTCCTTTTTTGCTAGTCCTGCTATTGGATTGTGTTTTAAGGGGTGACGCCTTGATTTATTCTTCTTTGTGTTCCCAAAGACTACCTGACATAGGAACTGGGTATGCAGTGAATGTTAGTTGAATTAGTTTGTTGAATTTTGTTCTGTTTCATGACTAAAAACCTTTTATAAAGGATTTGATCCTATAAAAACAGCTCTAGAGCATTGAGTCATTTTTTCCTTTAAGCATTTTATTTATGCTTTTTAAGTCTATCAAACTAAATTTATCCCACTGCAATTTTGCAACTTCCATTCAAAGATAATATTAATAATTCAAGAAAAGGAAGGACTCTACAAAGGTTGTCTTCTAAACTCCCAGTGGATACTTGTCACACAGTTAATGGGGTTATTAGTATATGAACCAAATAGCTGTAGGAACTGCAAATGCCCATTTTCCAGATATGTTTTTACCTGTCATAAGTTAATTTTACATTAGAAACATAAATACTACATTTTAGTACATTGTATTCTTCCCTAAACCTCCTCGGAAAATTCCTAATTTCAACAACAAAATTACAATGCTTTAAAATCGGCTTTATTTTCTTATGTTTTCTCAGGCTTACAAATACACATGCACAAATCCACACATCATGGTAAGTACAATTAAATTAAACAATTCTAAATTATCATCAATATATAATTAGATTTCTGTAGTCCAATGACCATGAGTAGGTGTTACAAGAAAAGTTTTATATCTAGCAATTATAGAACAAAAATGATGTAAGCAACATAAAGTGTATTTAAAGGTGATCAAATAGCTTACGAGGGAAAGTTTCCTTGTATAGATGTATTTCCACTGACAAATTCAGAAGGAATGAGAAGAATACTTATCATACGTAACTTCTAATTAACCACGGCAATGATGATCATTTATGGCAACTAAAAGCAATAGATAATAAGCTGACAAAAGACTTTATAATGGATTATCAACCTCACATTTCCTCATTAATAGGTAGTATTAACATTACAAGAAGAGAGACAATCAGATTACCTTCTGCTGGTAATACATACCACCATCTATGAAACATTCTTGCCAAAAACTCTAATCTAAATCTGATCTAGCCTCTAGATGCACCAGCACAAAAAAGAAAAAGAACAGAGAAACATGTTAAATGATACTCTAGTGATGCAATCAGCAAAACCTAAAATGTATGATACTCTATCGAATAAATACCCTGATTTCTTCACAAATACATTACAAGGAAAAGGAAAGAAAAGGATCTTTAAGATCTTTTTTGCTATGTATGTATTGCTCCAGGGGCATAAAAATAGATATAAAAATACTCTTTTCACTCAGAAACTTTAGAATCTAATGGATGAGACAAAGTCTGCCATTAGGAAATGGTGAAGTGTTAAGCCTTGTTGTAAGGACTAAAAAAGTAGTAGGAATTCTGAGACGGGAGAGACCAAAGTGCTGACTTGGTCCTAGACAGGCCCAATAAGGGGACCAAGGAAACCGCTGACTTGGTTCTAGACAGGCCCAATAAGGGGGCTAAGGAGGAGGGCCACTTGGCCAGACTTTTTCCCCTAACAAGATCATGCAGAGTCAGAGACACAAGATAGGAATCAAAAAAGATGATATTCCTTCCATAACCACACTGTATCATTTCTATAATGAAAGCATTAATTTGCTATAGTTAATATTTAAATGATATCAATGTTCCATTAAAAAAAATAGAAGACACAAATAAAGGGGGCAATTCAGAAGAATTTAACCAAGGAAGCAAGGACAAAGACGGCTAGGTTAAGGGAAGCATGCAGGGATGTTAAAACACCCCAGGGATTTATAAAGCAGCAAACTGTACCACCCAAAAACCTAAGAGCCAAGAAGAGGAAGAGTTACCAAAACCAGAAACTGTTATAACCATGAGAGATGATAGGAGCTATGGCATCATTAGAGAAACCCAGTTACTGCCAACCTGCTGCCTACCAGAAAAGGAACCAAGGAAATAAATACTCTGACCTCCTTATCCTCCTGCTGCCCAGTCTTCTGCCAGTTCCTCCCACAAACTAAAGCCACTGAAAGCCAGAGAGCAAGGGAGCCCATTAATGTAGTCCATAAAGGTCAGCCTCCTGGAGCGTGGAGCAGGCTGAAGAAGGGTGGGAAGGACATCTGGAGAGGCCAGTGGAGAATATCCAGCACATAAAATACATCCCTGTTTTTATACTTCTCTTTGGCAGTTCTTAGTATTTTAAAAATTATAAAGTGGAAACCTCAAAAAACAAAAGGAGTACTGAAATTTATTAAAAACTTTTATTTTAAAACATGTTCTTAAAGTCCTAAATCTGTCCCCCTTTTACATTTAGTTAATGTTTGCATTCTATTCCATGGATAGGATTACATTTCAAATGGTGCCAAGTGTTCATGTGATTTTAGCATATTAATTCAATAAAATTTTAATATTTGTAAAAAGGGTATTTTAAATAAAAGCATTATTTTAAAGAAAAAAAAGGAAACAAAAGGAGGTAACCAAGACTTCTCTCAGCATCAGAGAGGCTCAGAAAAGAGACATTAAGTTTTCACACAGGAAGGGAGGAATTCAGATAAACAAAGTTAAGAGGAAGACACTTGGGGGACCTGAAAATACAGCCTGAACCAAACCCTGAGATGGGAGTAAGTGTGGTGGAGGCAGGGACAGTCTGGTAACTGGACTATTAGGTACAGAGGTGACATTTTAGGGAGTTCTGAGAAAGGAAATTGAGTAGACTGAATAAAACCAGATAATAAAAGGCCTTGGGAGATAAGGAGAATTTAGATTTGATTTGAGAATTTTGTCTAATTTAGAGAATATTAATTTGATTTAAATTAGAATTTAGATCTGTTTAAATGTGATGTTAGTCATGCTGAATGAGAGGGGTATGGGGCATGAAATTATAGGTGCAGTCCTTTAGGAGACACACTGGTGGAACTGAGAATGTGCAAGGAGGATACAATGGGCAGGGGGAAGCAATGGAGCTGGAACAGACCAGGAAGTGTTGCTGTCTGGATTAAGTCTATAATTGGAGAGTAGCAGTGGAAATTCGTCCATTCATCCACCCATATGCCCCGTATGTCTGTTTATCCCTGAAATACATATTGAGTCGGCTACTGCCATACACTGGAATAGACTGATGAGATACAATGATGAGCAAAACCTGATGTGCTTCCTGCCCTCCATAGTCTGCAGTCTGGTGAAGAAATATAGGCATGAATTGAATAACGATGCTAACAAATGTGAAACTGCATTTGTGAAGGTTACCCTGAAAAAGAGGCATGGGGTGCTAGGAGAGCTACCATAGCACTCTAAAAGGTGGAGGATGCGGGGAACAGGAGGAATAGGGGGAATTGGAGGTGGTCAGGAAAAGCTTCTTTGAGAAAGTGATGCCCAGGCTGAGATCTGAAAGATGAGAAGGTATTTACCAGGTTAAACAGGGAGGGAAGAGTAAACTTAGCAAGAAGACAACATGGGCACAGACTTGAGAGGAAATGTAGTAAGTGCAAGGAAATCAAAGAAACCAGTGCAGCTGGAACAGAGAGGAAAAGGGAAAAATTTGAAAGACATTTTGAAGGAAAAAAATTAAAGTAATTGTATACACCTAGAATTTAGACCACTAAAGAGGTAAATAGTCTAATGTGGTTCCAACCATGTTAACCAAGAAGATGAAATATTTACTACACTATAAATTTCTTTGAAGTCTAACTGCCTAATCAAGCTTTACTTGCTAATGTGCTCTGTGCTTTGACTGAAGAACACAACTGTCTTAGTCCATTTTGTGTTCCTATAACAGAATACCTGAGGCTGAGTAGTTTACCAAGAAAAAAGGTTGGCTCATGATTCTAGTGGCTGGAAGGATCAAGATTCGGTAGCTGCATCTGGTAAGGGCCTCAGGCTGCTTCAACTCATGAATAAAAGCAGAATGGAGAAAAAGCTTGTGCAAAATCACATGGTAAGAGAGGAGGCAAGAGAGAGAAACAAAGGGAGGCACAATTTCGAACAACGCATTCTCCTGAAAACTAATCCATTCTCACTCACCCCCATGTGAGGGCATTAATCTATTCATGAGAGATCTGCCTCCACGGCCCAAACATCCCCATCTCCCAACAGTGCCACATTGGGAATCAACTTTCAACATGAGTTCTGGTGGGGACAAACCACATCCAAGCCATAGCAATAAGCATTAAATATCAATCCCTAACAAATATTTCTTAATGTCTACTAAGTACCTGGCACTCTGCAAGGCACTGAGAATATAGTCCTAACAAGATAGACAATCTTTTTGATACTATATGGGTCATCATCCAACTTACTTTCCTACCTGTATTGAAGAACAGAAGAAATAACTAGGTGTAGATTCAAGGGAGATCAGTTAATCAACAGATACTCACTGAGTACCTTCTATGTGCAAGGCACAATACAGAATACTGTGCAAACAATATCTTTCCCACAGGACAGACAGAAGCTGGCTTCTTGTAAATACAGACTGTGATGTTTGCTAAGTTTGAGTATACACTAACCAAAAATATGCACAAAGATGAGTAAGATGCAGTCATTGGTTTCAGAGATCCTTTAGTGCAAGATATTTAAAACATAAAAAATAATCACTATAATTAGTGACAATATAATGGTTCTATAAGAGTGATACAACAGGGTGCTCAGATCAGATCACTGTGAGAGGGTCAGGTAGGTTTACAGAGAAAGAATACGTATTCTGTAACATTACAGTGACAGATATTTAAATACTGAAAAATGAATGTAAAGAACAATGGCAACATAAAAGCCTAAGAGGAAAAATGTTGTGGCAGACTGGTATTTAAAAAAAAGAAGGGGTGGAAAATCATTTCAGTCTTGTTAACATTTCAATACTCCGCAAAATTACTATAAAAATATTATATATGCCTGAATTAACTCTATTAATACTCATATGTACATTATAATATCTTTGGGATTTGCTAGAAGGTTTGAATTTATCTCGCAAAAAAACCTCATTCTCAATAATTTCTGGAACTGACTTCCACAATGAAGAGATCATTCTTAATTTAATTAATGTTATCCTTCATAATAAATGTAAACAGGACAGCAAATCACAGGTTTGCTAATCTCTATTCTCTATAAATTCTTAACCATGATAAATATCTTCTGGAGGATTTGCTTTGCAAATGCAAGGAAACTATCTCAGATTTATACATTTATAAACTTTTTGACAATTGATATTTTTGAATCGTGGGGAATGCATGTTCAAGAAAGAGGCAAGTGAGAAAATAAATGATACAAGGTCTTCCAAAGAACCTGCAGTCTTCAAACAACAGTAGACTTGAAAACATTAAAACAGTGCTAGATTTGGCTTTTGTTTGCTTCACTGGTGAATGCTGTGGGCGGTAACTGTATGAAACACCTTATTCATTTCAACTGACTCCTGCCATAATTGACTGAAGGACTAGAAGTTCCCTTACACTCAGAAGCCATAAGCTTCTAGATCCCAGCTTACTGTGCCCATTAAATAAAGGTTAGATAGTAGAACAGTATTCACCTCTGGCAGAGTTAAAGAAATGAGTAAGACAAATTTTTTGCTCTTGACTATAAACTATTTAGGGCAGGTACTTAATTTCCTCACCTCTGGCCACAATTTTCTCCATTTTGTATCATGGAGTGGTTATGACAAGCTGAGAAAAAATATAGAGACTATTTGTTAACTTCTAAACTTGTTTGACCCCACTAAGGTCACCTCTTCAATACTTGCATTTACTCAGGCTACCAATCTATCTTCTTTCTTACATCTACTGTGTCTGCCTTCATAGTCTGAGTCAAATAGATGAAACTACAACTGCAATCTGTGAATTCTGCCTTAGCATTTATGAAAAATAGATAAAATATTTTAAAGATGTCCAAAATGAGGAGGCTAAATATTATAACTGATAACGTCAACTGTAGAAATGGTAAGATAAACAGAATTTTCATTTTCATAGCAAAATGATCATTCACAGATTTAATTTAGCACAGCTTACCACATGAAATAATTGTTATTCCCATAAATAGTGAAGGCTAAAATGTTCTAGTGATATTTTTTTCCTGCTTGAATCTACTTTGATGGCAGTTTTTGTTAGGAGTTTGTTGTTTTGTTTTGGATTTTATCTCCAATACTTAAAAATAATCAAGTAAAGCTTTTATAGTTATATATATATATAGTTATTAAACAAGGTTGCTAAAGTGTTAACTGTGTGTGCTTCTGAAATCTATGAAAGGAAATACTCCAATCTCTCAGAAACATCATTTGCCCTTTGTAAATCGATGTTGCCATGGCAAATGTTTTCATTTAATACTGGATTCGCTGAGGGTGGGAGTATGACACATTGTACAAAGAAATGTACTTGCTATTTTTATATACCCTCCTCTTTAAAAGTGCTGTGAGCTTTGTTGAATGAGGTGACTTTTGCCTGCTAAGACAGAGCCATTTCTCTAATGTGTACATCAGATTCGTCCCTTTATACATGATTAAGGAGAAGACATTATCTATGAAAAGCAATCTGTGCCTTGAAAAAGTATGTTCTGCACTTTTGCTTAAAGAATGCAACATTCATGTGGAATAGTTCCAAATGCTTTTCTTGAAGAGGGTTATTGAAATATTAATTCAGACTACATAAATCTGAAAATAAGTGAAACAAAGAGAATTTTTCTGGTGGCTAATAAGTGCAAAGAGAATCACTTTTGTTGCTAATGTGGAAAAGATATGCATGGTTGCCTTCCACAAATATCTTCAGACGGACTATAATAGAAGAATGACCTTCTACAAATCTGGATCTATTTGTTTCCAAATGTGTACCAAATTTCTTAAATTCTTTAATTAATCAGGCTCTTTTAATAGCACCGGTGCAAAGCAGGGGAATAGGAATGAAACATTTATCAATTAGAGGCTCTGTATGGAAAATCCCTCTAGAGATTTTTAAAAGTAGGGAGTTATATCAAAACACATGATATCTAGCTGTATCCTTTTTGTTGGTGATATTGTTTTTTCTTTATTAATTTTTAACAACTATAAAATAATAGATGATCTTCTCAATGATAAAATAACATATATTCCCCAAATTTTCTGTTATATTCCTCCATTGCTACCTCGCCAAGGGAACCAGTGTTTTTAGGCTGATGTGACTCTTTATAACTTACTCCTTGCTAGTTTAAAACTATATAACCAAACAGACACATGTATATTGGGATTTTTGTTATTATTTATTTTTATTAAGATAGGATCACACTTAGAGAAAAAAGGAAAATGGCAGATAGGAGGCAAGATTAACACATGATCATCTCAAGAGACACAAAAAAGCATCTGACAAAATCCAACATCCCTTTATATTTAAAACCCTCAGCATAATTGGCATAGAAGGGACATATCTTAAATTAATAAAAGCCATTTATGACAAACCAACAGCCAACATTATACTGAATGGGGAAAAGTTGAACACATTACCCTTGAGAACTGGAACAAAACAAGGATGGCCACTTTCACCACTTCTGTTCAACATAGTGCTGGAAGTCCTAATCAGAGCAATTAGACAAAATAAAGAAATCAAGGGCATTCACATCGTTAATCAGGAAGTCAAACTGACACTGTTTGCTGATGAAATGATCGTATACTTAGAAAACCCTAAAGATTCATCCAAAAAGTTCCTAGACCTGGTAAATGAATTCAGCAAAGTTTCAGGATACAAAATTAATGTACACAAATCAGTAGCTCTGCTATACATCAACAGTGATCAAGCTGAGAATCAAATCAAGGACTCAACCCCTTTTACAATAGCTGTAAAAAAATAAAATACTTAGGAATATATTTAACCAAGGAGGTTAAAGACCTCTACAAGTAAAACTACAAAACACTGCTGAAAGAAATCATAGGTGACACAAACAAATGGAAACACAGCCCATGCTCATGGATGGGTAGAATCAACATTGTGAAAATGACCATACTGCCAATTTACAAATTCAATGCAATTCCCATCAAAATACCACTATCATTGCTCACAGATCTAGAAAAAAACAATCCTAAAACTCATATGGAACCAAAAAAGAACCCACATAGCCAAAACAAGACCATGCAAAAAGAACAAATCTGGAGACATTACATTACCTGACTTCAAACTATACTATGAGGCCGTACTCACCAAAACAGCATGGTACCACTATAAACACAAGCACATAGACCAATGGAACAAAATACAGAACCCAGAAATAAACCCAAATACTTATAGTCAACTGATCTTCGACAAAGCAAAAAAAAACATAAAGTGGGGAAAGGACCCTATTTAACAAATGGTGCTGGGATAATTAGCAAGCTACATGTAGAAGATCAAAACTGGATCCTCATCTCTCACCCTATACAAAAATCAACTCAAGATGGATCAAAGACTTATATCTAAGACCTGAAACCATAAAAATTCTAGAAGATAACATTGAAAAAACCCTTCTAGACACTGGCTTAGGCAAAGACTTTATGACTAAGAACCCAAAAGCAACTGCAACAAAAACAAAGATAAATAGGTGGGACTTAATTAAACTAAAAGGCTTCTGCACAGCAAAAGAAGTAATCAGCATAGTAAACAGACAACCCACAGGGTGGGAGAAAATCTTCACAATCTATACATTTGACAAAGGACTAATTTCCAGAATCTACAAGGAACTCAAACAAATCAGAAAGAAACAAAAAGTCCCATCAAAAAGTGGCTAAGGACATGAATAGACAATTCTCAAAAGAATATATACAAATGGACAAGAAACATGAAAAAATGCTCAACATCCCTAATAATCATGGAAATGCAAATCAATATCACAATGTGATACCACCTTACTCCTGCAAGAATGGCCACAATAAAAAAAATCTATAAAATAATAGATGTTGGTGTGGATGTGGTAAAAAAGGGAAAACTTTTACACTGCTTGGTAGGAATGTAAACTAGTACAACCACTATGGAAAACAGTGTGTAGATTCCTTAAAGAACTAAAAGTAGAACTACCATTTGATCCAGCAATCCCACTACTGGGTAGCTACCCAGAGAAAAAGAAGTCATTATACAAAAAAAGATACTTGAACACTTCGCAATTGCAAAAATATGGAACCAGCCCAAATGCCCATCCAACAATGAGTGGATAAAGAAAATGTGGTGTATATATATATATATATATATATATATATATATATATATATATATATATATATATATATTCCACGATGGAATACTACTCAGCCACAAAAAGGAATGAAATAATGGCATTCACAGCAACCTGGATGGAACTGGAGACCTTTATTCCAAGTGAAGTAACTAAGGAATGGAAAACCAAACATCATATGTTCTCACTCATAAGTTGGGAGTTAAGCTATGAGGATGCAAAGGCATAAGAATGATACAATGGACTTTGGGAGAAAAGGTGGGAAGGAGATGAGGGATAAAAGACTACACACTGGGTACAGTGTACACTGGTCAGGTGATAGATGCAGGTAAGTCTCAGAAATCACCACTAAAAAACTTATTCACGTAACCAAAGAAACACCACATGTTCCCCCAAAACCTATTGAAAAAAAAAAAAAGATAGGATCACACTTTTGCACATGACTCTGTGGTTTGTTTTTCTCACTTAATATATAATGGCAATATTTCTAGGGCAAAAGATGTAGTTCTAACTCAGACTTTCATTTATTGCATAAAATTCCATAGAATGATCTCCCAAAATTTTAAGGATATGAGTAGTTTTACTTTAGAAGATAACTCTACTTTCCTAAAAAGCTTGTAGCAGTGCACCCTCCCACCAGCAATGTATGAAACTGTCCCATGTATTCCCATCCTTAAAAGCTCTGTATATCATAGCTCTTTTGAATTTTTGCAAAATTAATGGGTAAAAAAAAATAGTAACTTTTTTCCCTTAATTTATCTGATTATTAACATGAACGAATTTTTGTCATTCTGTTACATTAATATTCCTAATTTACTTTTCTTTTGGGCTGCTTGTCTTCTTCAAAATCTATAGGAACTCTTTATATACATAGTATTTTAACTCTTTTTCTGCCATATGCGTGTTTTTCTCAGTGTTTTTGGTTAAATAATTCTCATCTTTAGAAGTCTCTGTGTGTGTGTGTGTGTGTGTGTGTGTATGTATAAAAATTATTTTTTAATTTTCCAGTCTCTTCTACAGTTAGTGGTCTGTTAAGTTTTTAAATATCTTCTTATATAAATTTCAGTTATTTTTCTAGAAAACCATCCATTTCCTCAAGATTATAAAATATACTGACACACAGTTGCACATAACAGTGTCTAAAAATTCCTTTTATCTTTTCTAACTTTTAATAATGCATAATTTTTGGCATTTAAGAAATGCTTGGCTTGCCATGAGTTTATTTTAAAGGACATTTCAAAGAAATAATTTATTTTGTTGATGTTTTCCATTTTTAAACCTATTTATTATTTTTAGCTTGTATCACTTCATTTCTTTTTATTGATTTTAATATTTATCTTCATTTCTTAAGTTGACTTTGTATTTGTATTTTCATTCTATTTTTCATTTTAAGGCTATTAATTTTTCTCTGAGTACTTCATTAGGGTCTCATGGGTTTTATTATCCAGGATTTTCCTTACTGGATACTACTAAAGAGTCATTACTCTCTAGACCATTTAAAACTTCAGGTTTGATCTTCTCCTTGTTCCAGGGATTGTGCAGAAAAAATGGTCCTTAATTTCTAAGTAGCTAAGTCTTCCATGACATCATTTCTTGGTCTATTTCTAGTTTTATTGAATTATGAGTGGACATGAGTTTAAAAATTCTAATTATTATAGTCAACTAAAATTTGTTAATATCCTGCTATGTAATTTTTATAAATATTCTCTATGTATTGGGAAAGAATTTATATTCTCTTCCCCAAATATAAATTTTATCTACATTTATATGTTAGATTATATTTACTATGTGTTAAATGCAGTCATATGTCACTTTTTTTTTTTCCTTGAGACAGATTCTCACTCAGTTGCCCAGGCTGGAGTGCAGCAGCACACTCTTAGCTCACTGCAACCTCCATCTCCCAGGCTTAAGGGATCCTCCCACCTGAGCCTCCCAAGTAGCTGGGAAAGCAGGCATACACCACCATGCCCAGCTAATTTTTTTATTTTTTGTAGAGATGAAATTTCGTTACGTTGCCCAGGCTAGTCTCAAACTCATGGGCTCAAGTGATCCACCTTCCTTGGCTTCCAAAGGTGCTGGGACTACAGACGTGAGCCACGGCACCCAGCCAGTCATAGGCCACTTAACAATGGGGATATGTTCTGAGAAATGTGTCAGGCAGTACTGTCATTGTGCAAACATCAGAGTGTACTTACACAAACCTAGATGATATAATCTACTACACACCTAGGTTATATGGTATGGACTATTACTTCTAGGCTGTAAGCCTGTACAGCATGATACTACACTAAATATCGGAAGCAATTGTAACACAATGGTATTTGTATATATAGGATACTGTATTACACCATTCTCGCATTGCTAATAAAGAACTACCTGAGACTAGGTAATTTATAAAGAAAAGAGGTTTAATTGGCTTACAGTTCTACAGGCTGCACAGGAAGCATGGCTGGGGAGACCTCAGGAAACAATCATGGCAGATGGCAAAAGGGGAGTAGGCACGTCTTACATGGCCAGAGAAGGAGAATACAGCAAAGGGGGAGGTACTACACACTTTTAAACAACTAAATTTCATGAGAACCCACTTACTGTCACTGGAACAACAAGGGGGAAATCTGCCCCCATGACCCCATATCCAATCACCTCCCACCAGGCCCCTCCTCCAACATTGGGGATTACAATTTGACATGAGACTTAGGCAGGGACACAAATCCAAACCATTTCAGGTACTTACTATGAATGCAGCTTGAAGGACTGGAAGTTTCTCTGGGTGTGTAGGTGAGTGAATGTGAAGGCCTAGGACATTACTGTACACTACTGTAGACTTTATAAACACTGTACATTAGGCCACAACACATTTATTTAAGCATTTTTCTGGTTGGGTGTGGTGGCTCACGCCTGTAATCTCCCAGCACTCTGGGAGGCCGAAGCGGGCAGATCACGAGGTCAGGAGATCGAGACCATCCTGGCTAACATGGTGAAACCCCGTCTCTACTAAAAAAATACAAAAAATTAGCTGGGTGTGGTGGCAGGCGCCTGTAGTCCCAGCTACTCGGGAGGCTGAGGCAGGAGAATGGCGTGAACCTGGGAGGAGGAGCTTGCAGTGAACGTAGATCTTGCCACTGCACTCCAGCCTGGGCGACAGAGCGAGACTCCGTCTCAAAAACAAAAAACAAAAAAAAAAAGAATTTTTCTTTCTTCAATAATAAATCAACCTTAGCTTACTATAACTTTTTACTTTATAAACTTATTAATTTTTAAACTTTTTGACTCATATAATAAAATTTAGCTTAAAAACAAACATTACATAGTGTATAAAGATATTTTCTTTATGTCTTTATTCTATAAGCATTTTTCTATTAATTTTTTTTTTTACTTTAAACATTTTTGTTAAAAACTAAGACACAAACACACACTTTAGCCTAGGCCTGCACAGGTCAAGATTATTTAATAGCACTATCTTCCACCTCCACATCCTGTCCTCCTGGAAGGTGTTCAGGGGCAATAACATGCATGGAGCTGTCACCTCCTACAACAATGCCTTCTTCTCAAATACCTCCTGAAGGACCTGCTGGAGGCTCTTTTAAAATAAACCTTTATTTTTTTTTTAAGAAGTAGAAGTAGTACACTCTAAATAATGATAAAAAGTATAGTATAGTAAATACATAAGCCAGTAACATAGTCGTTCATTATCAAGTATTATGTACTATACAGAATTGTATGTGCTATACTGTTACATAACTGGCAGTACAGCAAGTTTGTTAACAGCAGCATCACCACAAAAATGTTCCTGATGAAGTTATGAAAGCTACATCACTAGGTGATAGGACTTTTTCAGCTCCATTATAATCTTCAGTCCCTTTGATTGAAACATCATTATGAAGAACATGACTGTATATATAAAATTATTCTATTGACTGAAATATTCAAATATTATATATTTGCCTTTTGAGATCTATTTGATACACCAAATATCTTACAGAGGGATATTTATGTATTAATAATTATAGAGGGATTATTCCTTTATAATTATATATAGAGATTTTAACCAACTTCACTGAATTTTTTTTCTTTTTTTTTGAGAAAGGGTCTCACTCTGTCATATAGGCTGGAATGCAGTGTGACAATCATAGTTCACTGCAGCTTCAACTCCCTGGGCTCAAGAGCCTCCTGTCACAGCCTCCTGAGTAGCTAGGACTACAGACACACACCACCACGCCCAGCTAATTGTTTTAAATTTTTGTAGAGATGGGGATCTCTCCATGTTGCCCAGGCTGGTCTCAAACTCCTGGCCTCATGCAATCCTCCTGCCTCAGTCTCCCAAAGTGTTGATTACAGGTGTGAGCCACTGCATGCAGCCCAATTTGAATTTTTATTTTAAATGTTTGACAGTGATGGTATCTTATGACTATAGTGTATAAATTTTTCTCTCTTAGCAAATTGTACCTTTAATAATTACTAGTTTCTTTTAAAGACAAAATTATAAAAGTTGAGGTTCTGAATACTTCATCTGTTTACAGCCGTATTTCTAGAATGGTAGCTTTACAGGAATTCTAAACTTTTGTTTCCAAGTCTCTCTCCCTACCTCTTGAACTACATTCTTCAAATCCTGCTGCCTCCATAAATATTTTCTAAATAAAGCAAGAGAGAAATGTAGATTCTAACCTGTTTCCATAATGTGCTCTAGAAAATTATGATTGCAGTCCTGACTAAAATATTGTTGCAATTACTCTCTTTATTCCCAGGTTGATCCTCTGTAATTCTTTATTTCAAGTATTCTAATGTATTTATCATATAGGGCCTTGCATTAGCTACTTGCTAACATTTCTTAACTAATCCATTGTAATGCAGTTCAGGGCAGAAATGTTAATAACTAAATTTACTGAGCATTTACTGTGTTTTACACATATTAATTTACTTAACTGCAATCCTATCAGATAGGAACTATTATTATCCCAATTTTACAGATGAGAAAACTAAAGTTATAGTTTAAGTATCTTGCCTAAGGTCTTGCAGCCAGCAAGTGGTGGGACAGAGTTCTGATTTGTTTTGTATCTATAATGACTGATAAATATTATCTCCTTGACTAAACCATAGCCAGGCTCCTCCAAGCCCTCTTCTTGACTAGGCCTTCACCTTGGCTTACAAAGACTTGAACAAACACTAACAGTTTCTAACAGCTCAATGCCATATCCCTAAGATGACTCTAGCTCCGCTTAAAGTGCTTGCTTGAGAAGACAAGACTCAAGGCTGCCAAAAAAATCTACTGTTTGCTCTAGCCAATACCTGAGAATAGAGCCTTTGCCTTCCAGTCTCTGTGACGGGATGGAATCATAGCTTCAGTAATTTCCAGCTAGCAAACACAGCTGGCCCCATCGGGTTTACGCCAACTAACCTTTTGTAATGTTTTACTTCCCTGACTCTACTGAGCCCCCACATACTACTTTTTCCTACTCCCTAATTCTCCCTTTAAAATGCCCAGTTACTTCTGTAAAATCCATTGTTGATTAAAATCTGTCCCTACCACTTTAGGAGTGTCCAGCTTTGTTTATCTATGACACTATTTATAACACAGAAATGAGGGATGAGAGACACAAAAGTGGGAAAGGAGGCCAGGAAAGATGCAGGGCTTTGGAAGGAGCTATATAGTCTCGGGCTTTAAATGTGAGTGGTGCAGGAAACTCTTCAATGGTATTAGTAGAAGAGCAATGTGCTCTGACTTCTGTTTTAATAGAATCTTTGTGGCTGCTGAGTGGAGCACAGATTGCAGGGGTACACGGGTACAAGGTAGGTCAGTTAGGAGGGATATTATAATAATCCAGGAAAGAGAGGATGGTGCTTGGGCCAGAGTTGAAAAGATGGCTGTTGTGAGAAAAGGCTGGAATTTGGAAGATATTTGGAAGACAGGATGAAAAGAATTTACTAGCATATTGTTTACAGGCTCTGAGGGAGAAAAGAACCATAAATAAAGACTCTAGTGTATTTGGCCGAGAGAAATTATACCACGGGAATTGCCATCTAGTGAGGTGGAGAGCTCTGAAATACGATATTCCAAATAAGAGAACTCTTGTTTATAATCATTTACTCATGAAAACTGAATAGGTAACTAAGGAACAAAGATCAAAGCACTGTTAACCTTGCATTGGTATTTTTATTCTTTCTGTTCTGTAAGTCAGAAGACATTGTTCATGAGATGCCAAAGGTTAAATCCATTTATTAGCCTAAATGGCATATTCAATTGTTTCTATCAGCGACTGGGAAACTTCAGCCTGTGGGCTGGCTGCCTCTTCTAGTAAACACAGTTTTCCATTGAGACAAAGCCAAGCCATTCATTTACATAGTATCTATAGCTGCTTTCTAACTACAACAGTCAAAACAGAACCTATATGGCTCACAAGTCAAAAATATTTATTATATGACACTTCTTTAAGAAAGAATTTGCTGACCTCTAGTTTAGATTTAGACAAGAATAACAACAAAAAAAATTCTTCATTGCAAAGCATCTTTTAACAGCCAAGTGACCAAGAATATCTTGCCAGAATTCAGATTAGTAGCATGTCTTTCTACATATGCATTAGAAGATATAAGAAAAAGTTATTCAAGGATTTAGGATGGGCTGGGCACAGTGGCCCACACCTGTAATCCCAGCACTTTGGGAGACCGAGGCAGGATGATCACTTGAGCTCAGGAGTTTGATACCAGCCTGGGAAACACAGCAAAACCTCATCTCTAAAAGAAATAAAAAAATTAAGCCGGGTATGGTGGTGTGTGCCTGTAGTTCCAGCTACTCAGGAGGCTGAGATGGGAGGATCCTTTGAGCCCAGGAGGTTGAGGTAGCAGTGAGCTTTGACTGTACCACTGCATTCAGCCTGGGTGACACAGTGAGATCCTACCTCAAATAATAATAATAATAATAATGATAATAATTTAGGATGAAGCCAGTAACATATATTTTGTTTAATAAAAGAGAGCTTATATTCTACAATATATGTAGAATAAAAATATATGTGTGTGTGTATAGACACACACCTGCACACATAAAAACACATATACTAAAATTCTGTGGGAGACAGATCATTAACAGATTGGCAGCACAGAATTACAAAATGAACCATGGGTTTCAGATTCAAGTAAATCTGTATTTAAATCCTTGTTCTCCTATTTACCGGCTATTTGCTATGAACACGTTATTAATCTCTTTTAGTTTCAACTTTTAATATAAAAAGTGGGGATAATAATGCCTTGAACACAGACTTTTTATGGGAATTAATGAGACAATGTACGTAAAGTGCCCAATATAGTAGTGTTACATAATGAATACTCACTAAGTATGTTTTCTCCTTTAAAATATTTACTAGGAAAAAAAATAAAAAGCAAAAGGACTCTGAACCTTATTGAGAAAATAGGTGATCATAAGGAGTCTTTTACACTGTAGCTAATTTTAAAATATTCTCAAGCATCATGTTAATTCAAACATACTCAAAATTGATTGAAAATAATTTTCAATTTCTTATTTTTTATAAGAAATAAAAAATCTGTTTCTCATTTTTTATAAAGAAAGGAAAAAATGGTCAATGTATACTCATACTTGCAGTTCTGAACCCAGATATGTAGCATGTTTCTATTATTAAAAAAAAACATTGTTAATAGTTCAATCGTATCTTCCCTAAGAGAACGTTAAATAAGTTTCAGTAAAAATAAAGAGGAAGTATCATAATTTAAACTTAAACAATTGACAGTGGATGACAAGTGACTTTAATTTGTCGTTTACAAAAGCCATTTAACATTTTTGTAATCTACTTAATTCATATACTTGACACTTGCCGACAAAGCAGAGTAAATATACAAATAGATCTAATCTGAGATTTTGACATGTATTGTTTTAAATGACATCAATCCTGAGCTCTCAAAATAGAAAGGGAAAAAAGAATGAATGTGTCACAGCTAAATAAACAAAAAAAGGGCTTGGTGGCCATCCTTTCTAATAACGATGCTATTTTCTTTGCTATTAGCTTTCCCATTGGTAAAATGAAGATAATATTAGTTTCTCAATTTGGGGAGGGAGGAGATACAGCATTTTATTTTGTTGCTCTCTTCACAAATCTTGTAATTTTATACACATTGCATAAGTCTTTCTAAATAAAAAGTAAATGCTAGTCTAGAATTAGGATGTTTCTCAATATGCCTCCTTCAATAGGAAGATCACCATGCTAGTTTTATTTTCTCTGAAAGGAGAAAAAAAATAGAAGAAAACGAAACACTAAAAGCCACGACTCATATTCATTTTAAGACAATGACAATGCAATCAATCTTCACCCAGGATTCTTCTTTCTAGAGGCTGGCCACTGGAGCGACTTTTATCTTTCACATTCGTGGCAGATGTTGTTTATGGGTCGCTGCACCGTTTCCCATCAAGTCCCAATGTGGTCTCATAATTCTTAACACTTTCCAGGCAGCTCTTCCCAATCAAATGTATTTGACTCAAGAAGTAACCCTCATTTGCTATGTCTATTCTGCTGTACAGATTCAATTAGACGAGGGTCGGGCCTGTAGTGGTGGACAGATCACAGCACTAGGGAAGGTAGGCTGGACCATGGCTGCTGACCACACAGAGGTGATAAGGAAATCCATGGGGCTCCTGGAGTTGGATGGGGATCTTCTTTAGGCACTTCCCAGCAATCGCACAGCTGCTTCGCGAAGAGCTTGGATCCATTTTCTCAAAAAGAGTATAATAGATATCCCACCAGCTGGTGCCCAAAAGGCTGTTGGTTTTCTCCCCTTCTGCAGTGAGGTTTAAACTCAAAGTCAAGCTAGCCTATGAGGGGAAACAGAAAAATGGTGGTGTGGGGTGTCTCCCTTCCTTTTATTCTTATGTCCAAGAGAAAGACTGAAATTTTAATTTCAAAAGAATACAAATATTATATACTAACAACTAGAGAAAAGATAAGGAAATCACAACCCCTAAAGTACTAAAAACTTATTCCAGTAAAGTATCATTTTTTTCTGGAGTCCTTGCTAATTTTTTTTTTGTAACTTTTATTTTAGGTTCAGGAGTACATATGTAGGTTTGCTATACAGGTAAATTGTATGTCATGGGGGTTTGGTGTACAGATTATTCCCTCACCCAGGTAAAAGCATAGTAGGCTGTAGGTAGTTTTTAAATCCTTTCCCTCCGTCCACCCTCCACCCTCAAGTAGGCCCCGTTGCTAATTTTACTCTGAGTTTTTAGCACTGACTGAGGATACGTACATCTTTTTTACACAATGATGGAATTAAAAAATATATAGACCTAACGTTATTGTAGCCTGAAAACTAGACAAAAGCCAAGCTTCTGAACAACTAAGTAACATACATACAAAGTCTAATTTAATTGGCATTCTGAATTTAATAAAAACAATTCTGCATTTAACTTGTATATTACCTCTGATAAAACAGATATTCTGAGCAACTGCCACTTATAAATGATGTTATGATTATGGTTTGATATTTTAAAACTGATTCCTTACAGGAGTGCAGAAAGAAAAGCCCATGAAAGCTGGGTTCTTTTTACAGATTATACATGTATTGTGGAGGCAAGGGAATCTCTTCCTCATGTTAGAAAATGAAGAAGTTAAAGTACGTTACTTAACGTTTTCTAATGACTGTTAATTTGAGAAAACAGCAAAGTGAAACACAGTGGGAAGATTTTGAGAACATTTTGTAGGAGTATTTTGTTCATTCTGGTTTCATTTCAACGACAACATTCTTTCATCAATATTTTAAAATAAGTAATAACTTAAGATTCTAATTTCAGGTTTTTCAACCTGTTGCTCTGGGGTATCTGCTGTGATTCTTAAACTCAGAATTGTTCTGATTCCTGGCAATAGATATATGTGCTTAGATACACAGGGATAGGCTGCTTTCTGATTTCAATGCATGATCTGAAGAGTCCTTTAAAAGACAAATGCTGAATGAGACAAGAATTTGCAAGAGGTTCAGAAAGGGTAAGATGTATTTCTTCACAGTTCTCAAATCATCACTGCCAAAATAAGGGAGGAAAATGATTACACTAATGACAGCCTAAAACATCTTCATTGAAAGAAATTCAATTAATATAAGGCTTTAAGAAATTAGGCTCAAGGAAGATATTTAATTTGGTAAAATCATTTAGTTTTTGCAAATTTGTTTGCACTTGTAAGTTCTTAAGCTAAGAACACAGAGGACCTAAGTTGAGCAAATAGCAAATAAATAGAATGCTACATAAACCTAGGATTTGAAAGTACTTACATTAGATAAAAGTGTTTTTTAAATAAGGTCAATGTATAAAGTCCTTAGGAAAGTAGACACTGAAAAAAAATCAAGGCTTATTTCAAATATACATATATATATATAATATATATAAATGTATTATATATAATATATATATTTTATATATATATAAAATAAAAGGTTTCAAACCGATGAGAGTTCTTTTAATAACTTCTCCTCCAAGCAATATAAAGATGTATAAGAATTTCTGAGAAAAGCATATCTATTCTCAGTGTTCCTTTTATTCTCTTATGATAGGTCCATTTTTAATGAAAACAACTACTTATGAATACTTAAGGACACTGAAAGATTTACTTCTTTGAGTACTTTATCCAGGTTTCTCTTGCCTAGGTTTGTACTTTCTATTTTCTTCATTTGGTTCACTTTCATCTCCTTCACAATTATTGCAATGTCTTAGCTTCTCCATGAAGCCATTGCTGAAAGCCTAAGGGTTAGCAATTTCTTTCTAGTGTCAAGGTGCATTCACATTTCCCTGAACACAAGTAATAATAATATTAGTATACATTTTCTGAGTTCTTATCATGTGCAAGGCAACTGAACATTATGTCACTCAGTCTTCAGAACAACCTTGGTAGTGTGGGATAATAAACTATTATTATCCTTTCTACAGAAGAAGGAACAGGACTAGCCAGTTAAGAAACAAATTTGAGTTGAGACTGCAAGAGCTGAGGCCAGATGCTGTCAGCCCAGCCCCAATGCATCTGTTTAACCCCTGGATTTGAGTTAGATTTAGGCAATAAACATTATGGAAAACCATTGTAATTATACCTTTATTTATTTTGAAATCCAACACCAAAGGGATAGTTAACATGTCAAATTGATATCACCATACTATGACCATGAACTGGCAGTTTATCAAATTCTTTTGTTTTTTGATATGAGAGTTGGTGACAGCAAAAGTCCAGTGGGTCCTGGGTGAGAAAGGGAATCAAATAAGAAAGAAACAGTGCTAAAAGAGGAGTCTCAAGATATCACCACTTCATGGCTCTGCTGGATTTGAAGCCAGTGCCATGGAACACCAGATCCTGACTTTATCTCTATGATAGGCTATTTAAAACCTGCCTACTCTTCTCTCTAATCTTCCCAAAGGCTGGAAAAACACCTATTAACAGAGATTAAACACTGATTATCCATTTCTAAAAAAGGATGGAAACTATTTTCAAATTTTTTAAGTCAGAGAAGAGACAGAATAAGCTTACTTTGATTATAAAATTGATATTGCAACAGATAATAAACCACTTTTCCCAGACTCACTGGATCTAGTTTAATGGGAGAAATTTTTAATTGCCACTTTAAAGTCCTGTGGTATGGCAGAATGGCAACTCAGAGGCCTGACATGACTGGATATCCTTGATAAGACACTAATCTAGGCTTGTATTCCATCTGTAAAATTAGTTAGTTGCACTATCTGTATTATGTCTAAGGTTCTTTCCACCTCTGTTCTACATCTGCTTGTTTCTCTATCTAAGCCTACCTAACAATCTCAAGTTTTCCAAAGAAAGGATACACATAAGATGTATTGATATAGCTTTCATTATTGCCAAAACTTAAGATGTACTTTATTTTAAAAAAATCTTGTGGAATGAATACATTTCTTTAATCAACATGATGTCTCTCAATTCCCAACTCAAGTTCTTCTCTGTTCCTTCTTTAAATTTTGTTGCTCTTCTTGATTGTCTGCGATCAAAAAAAAAAAAATCCTCTGCCATTTAACTCAATGTCTTTCCTTGTTTTTACATTTTCCTTCAACCTCTATTCTTTTATGATTTTTAGATGTTCTTTCTTCATAGTCTAGTTATTCCTGATTTTTTTCCTTTTATTTTTGTTCTTGATCATTCCATTTTCTTGGACCTTTTTTTCATTTTGTTTTTCGGTCAACTCTTCTTATTTCCCTTCTACCTTTTGTTTCTTCCCTCTAATACGTTTTCATTATTCTGTCTTGCTTTTTTTCACCTCCTTTCCTCTTAAGGACTTGTGTAAAACTTTGGTTTTATCTTCATTTTAAGAAAATAATACTTTCTTCAAAAGTACTTACGGCATCAGAGCTCTTGGTCTTCCTCACTAGAACACCAAATTCAGAAGGAAAGAGGTTCTGAAGGTTCTGTATCCACCTCTTCCTGGGCATATTCAATGGATAGTCTACCATTTCTCATAAAAGTTTACAAAGTATAAGATCTGTATGTCAGCTGAACCAAGTTACATACTCATGGCACATGGTCAACAGAGAGTGATGGGAAAAAAATGGAAGAAATATTCAACAAGCAGTTCTGAGCTGTCAGGCAGAGCAACTGAATCATTTACCCAGTAGTTTCAGTTGCAAGTAAGACAAAACCCAACTCAACTTTATTCAAACCAGAAAGGCTAACATAACTGAACACTGCATAAGTAGTGACGTCACCAAGCACTACATTCTTTCAATCTCTCTGCATTGCCCTCTATGGTGTTAGTTTTATTATAGGCATGGCTCCCTCATGAATTCAGCAGACCCTAGCAAGACAAGCCTACTGCTCACATGCAACAGAAAAATACATTCTCAGCAAAAGTCCTAAGATTTGAATGGTCTAAATCACACACTTTCTTTTGAACCAATCATTGCGGAAAGGGAGGCGGGATACAGTCAATTATCAATCACGGTCCATGTGTTCCATCTCTGGAGTCTGGGTAGGAAGCTCTTGGGAATCACATAGTCTCAGAGAAGGAGCAAGGAGGCAACCAGCTATTTGCTGGAAAGGCAACCAGCAAATATGCACTGCATGAGGCCAAGGTGAATACAGATAGTGCAAAATAAAAAGCAATTATTTAAACAATGTATGTTCTTTCCCCATGGAGTTATTTTGATAATTATAGGATTATAAAAATGAACACATTTTACTTTATGAAAATGGAGCTCCTCCATGACTTTTTATAATCAATTCCTCTAAGATCTCTTTCTGAGATTACTGACCCCATCACAGTTGCCCATTATTATTGTTAAGTAATTTAAATGTTATTACTCTTAAATAATGAGAAGAAAGAATAACAATAATAATGAACCAAACAAAAGACTATTTGATAAAATAATGATATTCTTGTGGGGAAAGAGTGCTTGAAAACCCAATTAGTGGATATTTTAAAAAAAATACATTCAGTTCAAGCAAATACAGGGGGGAAACCCAGTTTTAAAAGTGAGAAAAGAGGCACACTTCATAAGTGAGCAACTGTTGTTCTTCTCTCCTAGTCTCAATCTCATTACACTTTTTGCGGTTAAATACTAAATAAAAAGCTTATGAAATTAAAAGCTAGCACAGTAACAACTGAATGCATGGAAAGTCATCTGCATGGTCATTTGGGGATGAGGAGGAAGTGAAAGTCATTTTTACAGTGGTAGTTAGTTATAGACAATCATACACAGGTCTTCAAATAAATGAATGCCAATTCTTAGTCCCAAAAAAAGGCCCATGTGTATTCTCTAAAGCTTCTGGATGTCAATTGCAAAGGGAATTCTGCCTAATAAGTAGAATACGAATACTTTATTTTCCTAGTACTGAAAATAAAATAAAAAAGAAAAGAAAAATAGAATGTTATCTGCAACAATGAGTCATCAGCCACTGCAGCTCTACAATATCCAGGTCTTTCCCTGTCTCTGCAGCCCTTCAAAAGGAGAGGACTATCTTTTAATGACACACATAAATCCCTGCACTGCCTGGCTGCAAAGCATAATTAATTCTGGCCTTTTTATGCTTAATGAAACACCTTGCACACATGACAGCAGTGGGTTTGAGCTTCTTGCGTGTACCTAAAAGAGGGAAAGCCCTAGCAGCAACCTAGTTCTACACAAAATGCTCTATAAGTCACATTTATATGAGCTTTGCCATTATTTCAAAATACATCTCTTACAACGAGCAAGTCAGGTTAAAGAAAACTCACAATCAGCCACCTGTATGAACAGTTTTCTTAACTTTTAAAAGAGTGGAATGTTTTGTTTTTCAAATTCTTAGCAGTAAACACGTTTTTATTTCTTGACTTGTGGTTGCAATAAAAGGATATTTAAACAAACTAGCTTAAATGCAGCTGCTCAATATCATTTTCCTTTATTAGAATAATTTTTCATATTTTAATGCGTACTTGCATGCTGCATTACAGAGGCTATTACTCCACAGAGAATCTCAAAATGTAAATTTTCGACATTCCATTTCAAACCACAAATGATAATATAAGTAAAATTTTAAAAACAAAATTTAAGTGAAAGATTCACCTTGAAAGACTTAACCCTCTTTAAAATATTCAATTATTCTAGCCTTAGCTGGAGTCTTGAAAGCAAATGCCTACGTTTAAAGAAGTTCCTACAGCTGTAAATGCAGTTTCCTTACTTTAATTATAGATTGTATCCAGAACAAGTGAATAATGAAAGACAAAATTCCTCTCACCTGTTTAGGTGTAACCCCAGGCATGCGAATATCCAATGCAAAATCTGATGAATCAATAGGAACTACGGGTCTGGTGGTACCAAGACATTCATTGGAAAATGGTCTGGTAGTTTCTTTAAACCTTAAAAAAGAGGGCAATTTCAATATTCTTGAACATAATGGAATCTAAACTCAACATGAGAAGGGGAAAGAAAGGAATTCTATGACCTTAAAGATGATTGATTTAAACCCAATGAAAACTCTAAAGATGTGATGACTACACAATGTTCGTAAACATACTCAGATTTTCATTTTATAGTCCAATAACAATATATACCTAATTTGTAAATAAAATATAACCAATGCAATCAACCAGGCTACATTTAAAACTCCATTCAATAAAAACTTGTTTTTATTGAAAATTTATAAAAAATTATGTCATATAAAAATATGTCAAAACATATATCTGTTTCAAGTTAATGAAGATATAGTATTAATACATTACAAATTATCACAGGCATGCCAATTTTCTAATGGCAGAAATATTAACCATGACCCAGTAAAAATTTCTGTAACTATTTTCAGTGTCCAGAATTACTAGCTAGAAACAAGAAAGCCAACCATAATCTTGCTAGGAGGCAGAGCTGTTAGGAGGAAGAAATAAAAGACTGCGATGTGAATTACAAATGTACAAGTACATAAATATTTAATAAAGTAATTATGAGGCGTTTGTATACAGCTCAGTGTTTCCTTGTGAGCTATTACAGTCTATGATCTGCTTCTCCTCGACACTGATGTATCCTTATATTTTATTCTTCGAGCTGTTATAAACAAGCAGGCATTCAAAACTAAGCGAATATATTGTAGTTCCTGAAATACCTCCCCCAGAGGGAGTGATTAGTTTTGGAAATCACAACTTCTAATTGGAGTTTTGAAAGCCAGAACTGCTTGGCTACAATGCAGTGGGCTTTTTCTGCACGGGGGACTTCACAAGAAGTTACTGTGGTAAAATTCCAAGTCATTCCAGCAAAGAACATCAACCCCGTCTATTTTGCCAACACTCAGGTTCATAAAAGTGATTACATTTCTCAACAGCATGCACAGAAAGCACCCGAACAACGAACACCCACCTCTTAAAGACAGAAAGTGGGCTTCGGAAAGCCAAACAGCTGCTTGGAAAAACAAGGAGAACTAGCAGGCTAGGGACGCGGCCAGCCATGTCCACGCCGATACGACCCCGCCGGGAGAGGACCGGGCAGCGCAGCGCGGGGCTGGGGCTGGCGGTTGGGCAGCGGCGCCGCCAGCAGCCGCTACTTCATGGCCCGGGCACGGCGGGCGTCCTGCGGCGGCCACACACCATCCGCCAGCGAGAGCAGCGAGCTGGCCGCGGCGAGGCGTCTCGGTCACGAGCGGCGGGCAAAAAGCCGTGGGCAGGCGGGACTTTTGTCCGGCCCGCAGGCGGAAGCTTTCCTCCCTCCAGCGCCGCTCGCGTGCCCTGGCGCTGGGGCTAGACGCGCGGGTGCCTTATGACTCCGGAATGACAGGGGCTGTGAGGGGTATCACCCAAACCCGCGTCAGTCATCATTCAGAACCTGCAAAAATAGAAGCAGATAATGGATGACTAACACGTTACAGCATTTGTCCTCAGCAAATCCCAGCTGAGGTTCTTTAATACATTAGTAGTTTCACAAGGTTGCGCCCAAGCCTGGGGAAAATGCTGGTCTGTTGAGCTCCCTCCCCCACAGCCAGCCCCCAAGATTTCAGGAACCCCCACGGCGCAGCCCCTGTAGAGCCGGTGTTCTGTCTTTGCTTGCTCTTCCTCCCTTGGACCCACTCCTGTTTTCTTTTCCTACTTCTTCCCCCCTTTATCCCTCACAGCCACCCCAGTCTGAATTTCTCTTTACTTCCTCTATCACTCCTTTCTCTCACCAAAAATGCTCTAAATACCTCTCTGCTGAATGTAAACATCACACAAATGACCGGCTAAGGCGCAAGGAAAAAAACAAAACAAAAAACGAAGAGAGGCAAAGACAAAGCACTGGATACCACAGTAATCAGATAGAAAAAGACTTTTGAGAACAAAGGCATGCTTATATACATGCATCACAGAGCTACAGATCCAAGAGGAATGATATCTCCTACCAAGAGCTCCCAAGGATCATCACAGAATTGCCCAAGTTCTCAGAATTATTTTAAAACAAACAAAAACTCTACAGCTAACATGATACACAAGATGTAAATGCCCATTTAAAAATCCTGCATCTCATAAGCAAAATAATAATTTTGTACTCATAAGGCATGCCTTCCAAAAGATATCCTTTCCTAAGTTTGGAGTTTTACAACATAATTAGAAAGAGTAGGGAGAATCTTAGCTGCCCCCCAAATGAATTTTATCTTCAAAGGTTATGATCAAGAACGTCACATTAATACAAATGAGAGGCCATGAAGAACTAATGTTACAGCTCAACGTTTTATAAGAGGACTCAACTAGGTTAAACTTGAAAATATTCATATTTTGACTGAATATATTTAAAACTATGTTATCAAACCTGCAAATTTTAGTCTGAAGGCATAAATTAAAACTGTATAATTCACAATATAAAAATACTGTACTTCCAAAGAAAGAGATTAAAGTTTTATTTTAGTCAGTAACTATAAACATCGTTCCAAGAATCTCAAATGAATTTGATGGGAAGATGTGTAACAGTAAAAAGAAAAAATAAGGAAAAATCATATCGGAATGTTTCACAGTAATACATCAGCCTCTGGAAATCACAAGATAGTGAAGCTAATCTAAAACAAAACAAAACAAAAACCTAGAACCAAAACAAATAAAAAAGCACTAACCTTAAATGAAGTGAGATTCTTCATGATAAGTGCTTTCTAGATACCATATACCAAATATAAATAAAACCTGACTTAACATCCAACCAAATCAAGGATGCTTGAGGCTCACCAGCAGTCAAGGGTCAGCTAATTTACATAAGCAATGACATTTTTAAAAGACTGACAATATTTGTTTGAACTTTCTCTTTGGCTTGCTGTTTGGGCTTTCAGAAACAAAAACCTTCAGCTTTATCCTTATCCTGTGGGTAAAGGAAAGAACTCCTTCTGGAGGAAGAGAAACAATTGGCAGGAAGGCTATGCTATTGCCTTTGCTAGCAACAAAGTATAATCCTATCAAATGACAATACTTCACATTCCCTGAAGTTCTTTAAAAAAAAAAAAAATATATATATATATATATATATGAAGAAGGGATTATATTTTAATATTTTATTCAGAACAGGATTCAAGGACAGTCCCTCTTCCAGTTGGCAAGGAGATTTGGTATTACACAAACACTTGAAAACAAATTAAGTATTAAAATTCTCTAACAGGAACACACCCTTAAGTACTAGCCTTTGAAAAAAATATTCCACTTATCTCTTTGATTTTATTACCTTTGATGTCCCTAAACCACCCACTTAAAGAAAAGGGAATTAAAGTTGTGGGTAGAAGCAAAGTTGGTATTTGTAGCCATGAATAGAACAAAAGGTCTTATAAAAATGAAAGCTAATTATGCTTCTTGTTTCTGGATGACTTGTAAGCTAAAGACAAAATACAAATCATCAGATCAAAAAAAAAACATGTCCACCTATTTTATTTTTTTTATAATTCTGGATAATGTAGAACATATAATAATCAAATTTTATTAGTATTCTTATTTAAGATTTAAAAATTTTAAATATATTTCAGATATTTCATTGAGATAATTCCTTCACTCATCCAAAAAAAAAAAAACCCTTAGTTTCAATACTTTATACAAAAGATTATAATACATACTGGAGTTTTATAAAATGAATAAAACTAAAAAAGAATATAGTCTATTAAGGGAGATGAGAACTCTACACAGTAACATAAGGTATATTTAGAATGTAGTATTCTATATGAGTACTATAAAAAGAGACTCAGAATTTTGAAGAAGGAAAGAATCCTCAAAAGGAGGGCAAGAAAAAAGAAGAGTAAAAGCAGTATTCAGTGGAAGGGGTGGCTACTGAGCAAGCCTTGGAGGACAGTTAGAGTTTCCACTGTGGGAGGTGGACAATCAGCATTACAGGTACAGGGAAATGGCAGGAGCAAAGGAGCCCAGGTGGGGAACAGAGTATGTTCATAAAGTAATAAAATTTCTGCCTCCTAGACTCAAGCTGCAGGCCCAGATTTACTATTTTATTTGTAATACAAAGCAAATGTTCTGTTTACATATCCATAAAATCTTCAGGTAAGAATGATTTATAACCTATACCTGTATGGATATTAATTCCAGGAGGAGTATTAGTAGGTAGTTAAGTACAGCCTAGTCCAGAAGACCATAAAACTAATTTGGCTCTTACAAAGTAGGCAGTCCATTCCCTCTAATTTTCATTTTTTTTTAAAAAAAAAAAAGATAGCTGGCATTTGTTACTGGTCAAAGAGCCAAATAAATATATTAACCAATTTGACCATTCAGTCGTGTATTCATTTATAAGAGACCCTGTACAGCATAGTGGATACCTGTAAACTGAAGGAAAACTGCCTGATTCCTGGGTCCACTATTTATTAGCTGTGTGAAACTAGACAAGTACCTAACCTCTCTAGCTTCAGTTTCTTCATCTGCAAAATGGATGTAATCATATTACCTACCTCGTAGGGCTGTTGCCAGCAAAAACTAAATTAATACCCTTAGAACAGTGCTAGACACATAATAAATATTCCCTATTATTGTTGTTGCAACAAATATATATTGAATGCCTGAGACTCTGAATGCTGGGGACGGTGATAATCAAGACAGATAACGTTCCCACTCTTATAGAAATTACTTTCTGGGGGAGAGAAACAAATAAAAATGACTACCAAACTGTAAATTTCATTTTCTTGTAAGGGGATTTTATGCAGTTTCCTTGAATGACTTACGATTAAACTGATGAAAGGGCACATATCCATTCACATAGCAATTTGACTTCTGAGGATTAATTCTTAGGCAAAAACTGAACAAGGCACAACTATGTTTATAAAAATGTTTACTAGTATTGTTCGTAATAACAAAGACCCGGATGTTTATAATGGCAAAGAACTGAAAGCAATTTAAACGTCCTTCAATAGGAGATTTGTGGAAAAAAAAACTTATAGTTACAAAAACCAGAATGCTATGCACCCCTTTAAAAAAAAAAAAGACAATATGTGTCTATTTTTAAAGCCACAGGCAATTTTTTTTTTTTTTTTTTTTGAGACAGGGTCTTACTTTGTCACCCAGGCTGGAGTGCAGTGGCGCAATTTTGGCTCACTCCAACCTCTGCCTCCCAGACTCAAGCAGTCCTCCTGTCTCAGCCTCCCGAGTAGCCGGGACTACAGACATACACCACCATGTCCTGCTAATATTTGTATTTTTTGTAGAGACAAGTTTTTGCCAAGTTTCCCAGGCTGGTCTCGAACTCCTGAGCTCAAGTGATCTGCCTGTCTCAGCCTCCTGAAGTGCTGAGATTACAGGCATGAGCCATCATGCCTGGCCTCCAAAGGCATATTTTATAACATATTTTTGGCATAACTTAAAAAATTTTTAAAGAACCTGAAACTTATAGAAATGCTGCAAGTATAGTACAAATAACTTTTTTCCGTAATCATTTTAGAGTTACTGACCTGATGCTCCATCATCCCTAAACACTTTAGTATAACTTCCTAAAAACAAATATGTTCTACTACATAACCTCAATAAAATCATCAAAATAACAAAATTCACATGGATACATTACTAACATCTAATCCTCAGGTTCCAAACTTTGCCCACTGTCCCAATAATGTCTTTTATTAGTAAAATAATCCAGTTCAGAATCAGGTGTTCCAAAGAGAGCTGTCATATCTCCAGTCTGCTTCACTCCAGACAGTTTCTCAGTCTGTCTTCAGCTTCTATGACCTTGACTCTATGGAAGATTACAGGCTAGCTATTTTGCAGAATGCCTCTCAATCAGTGTTTGTTTTATGTTTCATTAGGACCAGATTCAGGTTATGTATCTTTGGCAGGAGTATGACAGAAATGATGGTGTGTTCTTCTCACTATATCTGTGTTAATTGTCCATTGCTGCATATCTAATTATCCCAAAACATAGTAGGTGAAAACAATAAGCATTATCTTGCAAAGTTTCTGTGTATCAGGAAAAGCTTAGCTGCGAGGTTCTCTTATGAGGTTGTAGTTTAGATGTGAACCAGAACTGCAGTCATCTGAAGGCTTGACTGGAGCTGGAAGATTTGCTTGCAAGACAGCTTGCTCACATGGCTGGGAAGTTAGTGCTGGTTGTTGGCAAAAAAACATGTCCTCAATATGTGGCTTCTCTCTCGGGCTACTTGAGTGTCTTCACAACATGGCAGCTGGCTTCCCCCAGAGTGAGCAGTCTTTTATTATGTAGCATCAGAAGCCACATACCATCATTTCTCTAACATCCTGCTGGCTATACAGGTCAGCCCCACCCACTGAAGGAGAAGACCACCCAGGGCATGAATAGCTAGGTGGGGAGGACCATCTGCTTGGAAGCTGGCTACCATAGCATTTTATTAAGTGGCTATGATTGTGACTTGTCTCATTACTGACAATATTAACTTTGACCATTTGATTAAATTGATGTCTTCCAGCTGTTTCCACCATACTGTTACTATTTTTTTCCCCTTTATAATTAATATGTTTTGGTGAAGCGGTTATTTTATTATTTTTTTTTTTGAGACAGGGTCTCACGCTCTGTTGCCCAGGCTGGAGTACAGTGGCATGATCTTAGCTCACTGCAACCCCTACCTCCTGGGCTCAGGTGATCATCCTACCTCAGCCTCCCAAATAGCTGGGACCACAGGTATGCACCACTACACCTGGCTAATTTGTTTTGTATTTTTTGTAGAGACAGAGTTTCACCACGTTTCCCAGGCTGGTCTCAAACTCCTGGACACAAGCTATTCCCCCACCTCGCCCTTCCAAAGTGCTAGCCTTTGACATATTCCTATCATCCTTTGAACATTTCCTTGCTTTCTGCCCCTTCTCCCACCTGGGCTCAAAGCCCTGCACAAGACCTTCCTCTTTGTGTACTTTATCTCACTTGCCCTTTGTGAACACCTTATACCAGGCTGCACACACATGGATGCCCTCCTCACCTTGTCTGGGCTCTGATGCTCCATGCCAGGTCACCAACCCCATCACACGGATGCCTCCTTACCTAATATGGGCTCCAATGCCCCATGCCAGGCCACCCTTCCTCAATTTCTACCCTGCTTTGCCCTAGATAGTTGCTTTAGGACTGAACCGGTCAGGAAGAAAAAAGACATCAATTTTTGAACAGCAAATTATAGAACAGCATACATATAGAGAGTCGTGTGTCACTTAAAAATGGGGTTATGTCCTGAAAAATGCATTGTTATGTTAGGCCATTTCATCCTTGTGTGAACATCATTGGCTGTACTTACATAAACCTAGATGGTATAGCCTATGACACACCAAGGCTCTATACGGTCTACTGCTCCTAGGCTACAAACCTGTACAGCATGTTACTATAGTGAATACTGGAAACAACTCAAACATAATGCTAAGTATCTGTGTATCTAAACATAGAAAAGGTACAGTAAAAATACTGTATATAAGATAAGAAATGGTACATTTGTATACGGCACTTATAAATGGAGCTTCAGGACTGGAAGTAGCTCTGGTTGAGTGAGTGAGTGGTGAGTGAGAGGCCTAGGACATTACTGTACACTACTATAGACTTTATAACACTGTACAGGAGATTTTATGCAGTTTCCTGTAAGCTATACTAAATTTATTTTAAAAATATTCTTCAATAATAAATTAATCTTAGTGCAGTGTAGCTTTTTACTTCATAAACTTTTAAAAATTGTTTAACTTTTTAACTCCTTTGCAATAACATTTAGCTTAAAAAACAAATGCATTGTACAAGTATATAAAATATTTTCTTTCTGTATATCTTTATTCTATAAGCTTTTTTTAAAAAAAAACCTTATTAAACTTTTTAAGCTTTTTTGTTAAAAGTGAAGACACACACACACACACACACACACACACACACACACTAGCCTGGGCCTATACAAGATCAGCATGATCAATATCAGTTTTTCACCTCCACATCTTGTCCCACCAGAAGGTCTTCTGGGCAATAACACATGGAACAGTCATCTCCTATGATAGCAATGCCTTTTGAAATGCCTCCTGAAAAACCTGCCTGAGGCTGTTTTACAGTTAACATTTTTTTTGTAAGTAGAAGGAGTGCACTCTAAAATAAAGACAAAATAGTATTGTAAATGCATAAACCAATAACACAGTCGTTTATTATCTTTATCAAGTATTACGTACTATACACAATCATATGTGCCAGACTTTTATGTGACTGGTAGGGCAGTAGGTTTGTTAACATCAGCATCACCACAAACACATGAGTAATGCATTGACATTATGATGACTACGATGTTACTAGGTGATAGGAATTGTTCAGCTCTATTATAATCTTATGGGACCACCATCACATATGTGTCGTGACACTGAGTAAAGCATCATTATGAGGCATGTGACTGTATTTAAAAGTCTGAAGTAATATAACTTAAACTGTTGCATTTCCAGAGATTTTCTATGGAGATGGTTGGGGAAAAGGTGGAGTTCATTGTCTTATTTATATGCTTTTGTAGTCTTTTAATTTTCACTGGCTTGTATTACTTTTGTAACTAGAAGAAAACAGGAATATATGCATTTTAAAATATTTTATTAAATATGGTTCGACAGATTTCAATTTACATGTTAACTGCTATCTGAAAGTTAGGTAATGTTTTGATAAAAGAAAAATTCTTCCTCTGCTTAGCAAGAACATTACAAACTAAATGTTATGGTGGCTATATAGCTGTAATGCAGAGCTTCTTAAGTTCAGCACTATCAACATTTTGGGCTGAACCATTCTTTGTTGTAGGGGCTGTCCTGTGTATTACAGGGTGTTCAGCGGCACCCTTGGCCTCCACCCACTAGATGCCAGTAGCATTCCCCTCAGTTATGGCAATCAAAAATGTCTCCAGACATTGCCAAATGTCTTCTGAAGGGTAAAATCACCTGGTTGAGAACCACTGTTGTAATGTGGCTCATTAAGATGAAGCTTAACTTGTAAATCAAATGCAATTCCATTTTCTTTAAGTACATATAATAAGAAATAAATAACTTAAAAAAGTGTTTGCAAAAATGGAACTTCCAAATAATGGGGGAAAATATCCTAAAGAATAATCATAACAACAGTTAACACTTACTGACTCATATGCCAGCACTGATTTTGCGTGTATAATCTTGCTGAATTCTTATGACTTTGAGATATGGGTTATTAATTCTGTTTTATAGATGAGGAATCTAAAGCTCAGAAAAATTAACTTGTTCTGGTTACACAGTGATAGAGCAAGAATTCAAATCCTAGCCTGCTGACTCCAGAATCCATGCTCTTAATCCATACTCTTCAACACAAAACAGACCCTCCATATTTATTGGGGATATTTTCTTCAGGTATAACAAATAGGTAAATCCTTTGAATACCATTTTCTTGCAAAATAATAATAGCTCATGTTTATTGAGCAATTACTATATGCCAGGCATTGTACTAAGCAGTTTATATAAATTAGCTCTTCTGAATCCTCACAGCAACTCTATGAAATTTGTACCATTATCATTCCTATTTTACTGAAGTGGCAACTGGACACAAAGCGAATTGGTAACATGCCCATGGTACCCAGCCAGGACATAAACACAGGCAATCTGACGCCATGGTTGAAGCTCTTAACTACGCACCTAGTCTTTTTTCCATTCATATACTAGGAAACATTCCCTCTTCAACTTTATAAACATTACTCATTTAGCTAATTCAGTAGGTAACAAATCGAAGTCCTATGCCTATGGTTCAAATTGATCCAAAAGAAGATTTGGTTTGGCCTGCATGGGTTTTTTCCCAACTCCTCCCCCATATTTGAGCTCTGAATAAACATTTCAAAATGAAAGATTTCATATAAAACCCAGATTTCCACTCTCTTGAAGAGCCATAAAAATCTGGCATCACTGGACTCACATTTCCACACAGCAACAATTAGCTGAGCCAAGTAGTGACTCCCTTTTTGACGTGGCCAGCAATCCGCAGACTGCCACTGTCCCCACTGCTCCCTATCTGCTCTCAGTCTCTGAGGCTAGGAGTAGCTGTTAAAACTGCTGCTCAGCTCTCAAGTGCAGTTGTTTGTTCATTTGTTTTTTGCCCTTTCTATTTTTTTTATAACTGGCCAGCTTTTCTCATTAACATTACTAGCTGAAACTTTAAAATCATCTGTGTTGTGATCACTGAGGGACACCCTTGCTCTAGGAAGATAAACTTCACCCTAGGTGGAACACAGGGTTTACCACACTTAGGTGTACCAAGTTGCTGTTTTTTGTTGTTGTTGTTGTTGGTTTGTTTTTTAAGGCTCTCTTCATTAGCAAGACCTAGCAAATTGAATGGTATTTTCTGCACACAGATTTGTTTGGGATTCATGTCTTCTAACATGCAGCCAATTTGAAGTATCTTTCCCTTGCAAGTCAAAATTGGCTGGGTACCTATTAGAACATATATGCTGAAAAAAAATCTCAGGGGTACCATTCAGCATATGATTCTACTGCAATAAGAACTTGCCAAAAGTAAAAAATTTTATTTTATTTTATTTTTTGTTTCCATGATCAGTAACAGACGCCCTTTAAATATGTCCATTAGTCATCAAATCGCTCAGCCCTGTAAATACTTCCACGGGGAAAATAACAAGACATATAATTCTTAATTAAATTCCTCAGCTTTGACTAATACAAATGTTGCTTCCTAACACATGTATCAAATTCAATGCTGGCATATTTTACTGTAAAATAAAACAGATCCCTGTCTTCCAAATAGCACACATCTTTTTACTCTAAAGACTGAACTGTCAAGTTCTCAAGAGATGGGTGAACTGCAGCGGAAAGCATTAACCACTACAGATGATGCCAGAGAAGTGGACCACTTCTTTGTATCCTAATTTGCCTACCAGGTACCTTATTTATTTATAAGCTCAGGACATTACATAAAATTTAGTTTCACAAGAGCACAAAACACCTCTTCAGCTATCACCTACTTTCTCCTTGAAACATTGTTGAGTCAGGGGAACAGACTTTTGGGCTGGTTTTGCAGAGCTATTTGGTGGACAACCTTCTGTGAACTCTGCCTTAACTCATGAAGCAAGTCAGTCAGCAGAACCTAGACTTAGAGACTATGTCCGTAATATGCCATTTCAGAAATTAATGGACTTTGTTCCTCTTCAGTAAAATTTTTCAGGAACTAGTTTGCGAGTAATGTCAAAGACCTCACTACATTTCAAATCTTGGATGTTTTTTTCAAAAAAAGTGTGAATCATAGATTGACCCACTGATTTAGGTATTGAAAGATCTTTTGCATTAATGCTTTGTACTGCTTCTTTTGTGGGTCTTTGTGTTACTAGTTTCTTTTATTTTTAGGAGGAAGTTGGTATAGAATGGAGGGAGGGTAACCGCATGTAAGTGCAAATATTTAGTGTACCGGGCTTCAGTGGATGTGGTCTGAAGGTGGGGATCTGCCTTTCCTTCTGTTTTTCTTGCAATCAATCAACACATTTTTAATGAGATGTTTGTGACTTTTTTTCCTGTTTGATTCCACATCCTTAGGCATACTAGTTATTCCTGAAGCATTTTAATATATATTTTGTTAAATGCTTTCCAACGACTTCAGAGGCAGGAGGTATTAACTACATGCAAAAACCAGCTCAGACCCAGACCATGCAGTTACAAAATAAGTATTCTCTTTCTTTAAAAGTCTATAGGAAATGTCTAGATTTTCACTTAAAAACAACAGTGACCTTTGTCTTCTGTTTCTGGTGCTATCCATACAGAAGTGTTTTCTCTCATAGCATAGTTGTATTTTCAAATGATTCTTATGTTTTCCATTTCAAATGTTCAAATTTGTACAACAAAATGCATAAACACACTCTTTCCTATTATAAAAGTTTTGCTATCCTTTTCTTCAAGCCACTCAGCTGTATTATTACAGTACTTAAAAGTGAAATCTATAATCATATAACCCTATTATAGAATTGAAAAACATATGGAAATTTTTCTTAAAGATCATCAAAGAATGTCAAAACATTCTCTCATTTGAATAATTCTGCTCAATTGGGTTTAGAATCCCTTAGAGGGATTCTGCAAAGTGTAAACTACACACTGCCCTCTCAATTCATCTCAACTAGATAATCTGGAAGTCATTAACAAAAGAACAAAGTTGCTTAAAAAAACATTTTAATGTCTTTTATTTTAGGGCAGAGAGGCTAAAATAAAATTTAGCTTAATCGTAAGACAACCATTTGAATTTTTAAATATGCAATTCACCACTGAAAGTACAATGTACTGAAGTAGCTTATATGCAGATATCTTAATTTCTAGTCTATAGCACTAACAGTTTTCTTTGATCAGTGTCCCCAAATTCCCCATGAACTATCAATGAAGAGCTTCATAATTTTCTTCTGGCTGAAAATGATCAAAGCATTCTTATGTTTGTTAGAATTCTTTGATGCTGATGCACAAACAGGTGGTGAGTTTATTTCATTGCTATTAAACTGTTTCTTGCTGTCTTGAGCTTAGGAAGAAGTGGTTTATTTTAACAAGGTGCTCACAGAGTGGCTTGTTCTTTCCCAGTTTTTAATAATTTTTACAAGGTTTCCCACAGTGACTAGCAATATGCACCCTGGAATGGAAAATGAGAGCTTAAAAAAGATGAGGTCCATGATCCTCCAGGCCTAAGACACATCCGAGGTGGACTTCCAGGAGTATCAAGGAAGTGAAGCCCAAGCACACCCAGTTGATCTTATTAGCTTTCTCTCTCCATTGTTGAGGCTACATGCCCTAAGCTTGAGTTATATCATAACTAAAAGTTGAGTTTTTAAGTCGCAGAAAAATGTGAAATACCCAGCATTTGCCAATTTAAACCAAAATAAGGAGGCCCGCAGGCAGTATAGTATAGAGAAGTCATTCCCATTTTTGAAATATAAAAATCCCTTTTTAAAATGAGGACATTTCATGGAACTATATATTATAATGACGCTATTAATAATTAAAATAATATTAATAGTTTTTGAGTATTTGCAATATGCCAGGCAGCATTTTAAATACTTTCCATGTATAATTTCATTTAATGCTCATGACATCCTATAAGCTAGGTCTAAGTACTATCTACATTTTACAGATGAGCAAATAGAGGCACAGAAGTCAAGGAACGTGTTGCACATCATGTTGCCAGCAGTAGTGGGGCAGGGACTGAACCGCAACTTTGGCTGCCTTCAAGGCAGGATCTACCAACTTGATAGAGGCTGTACTTCTGGTATTTATTAGCAAAATACATAAAGGCTAAGCTGAATCATTACTGAATCAGTAATGCTTTTAAATAAATTTTTACTTCATGTCACATATAATTCAAACCAATAGTACACGTAAGTGTGAGAAGTGTTATTGTTTCACATCGCACAATGCTCATTTCCTGGCAGTGACTCTGGGCTTCACCCTAAATCTGCCTCCCCTGTGGATTCTGAGCCAATGAATGAAAACCACTGGTGTAAAATGAGGGCGCAGACTTGAAGTCAGAAGTGATAGTTCTAAGTCCTAAAGGGATTCCCTTCACATTTCTTAACTTTGGTTCCCCCTGTCTAAATAGATGGTATTGATAAATGCTCTACCAAATGGCTACTGTGAGAAACAAAAATAATCTGAGCAAATTCTAAAAAGAGTAAAGCACCAGAGAGATCACAAGTTGTTATTAGTGTTTCAGGTTTAGCGTTATCAATGGATAAAATATAAAATCTTTCTTTTATTTTTCTAAATTTACACTGTTCATTCTGAACCTATATATATTTCATCTTTATTATTTCAGAGTACTAGAACATCTTCAGACGTCAGGCACTTTACAATTATCTTTGAAGAGTCAGGGAAAAAACAGAGCTAAAAACCCAAATTAAAATACTCTTCCTAACACTAAAAATAAAAACAAAAATGGTAACTCTCTCACTTAGCAAAAATATAACTAAAACCTCAACCTAAATAATCTGAAATATGCTTCACTAATCAGGAATAACAATTTGTATTCCAAGGGAATAATCAATGTTATGTCAGGATTATTAGGAAACATTTATTAGGTACTGGCACTGACAGGTACTATATGTCTTAGCCTCAAGTTTGTGTTGCATGACTTAAGAAAACTATACAGAAGCAGTCTGGCAGAACCAACTGCCAAAAGAAATCAGCAGTGAGGGTCAATTATGTACATTTATATTCCAAAAGTGGCTGGATGTTTCTGGAACAAATGAAATATAAAATGGTGTGCTTAACTAGGTGCTTAGTATTTGAATTACACAAATAGATTCTTAGTAATACTTGCTTATTTCCTTAGAGAAATACGGACAAGAAATGTACCTTATTGTTGCTAAAGCATTTTAAAAGATCAAATGTATTGTATGACTACTAAGTGCTATAGGAATACTAAATGCTGTATGTGTAATCAAGTTTACTATTTTTTACTTGATTCTATTGAATTTAGTATTCATTCCTAAATAAAGGGCTTATGTAAATTATCTTGCTGGGAGGTAGTTCCTTTGAAGTGGAGTTTTAAAAGTCAGCATATATGCATAAATTTTATTTTATATTTTAAATTTGCTTCCCATTATAATCCACATTAATTTCTATTGTCATAAAATTACATCCCTCTTTAAAACACTGAAGAAATCATACAAATTAAAAAAACTTCTTTGATCCTGGTGCGACTAACTCATAACATTATGTAAAACTCTGGATAAAGCAAACAACATACTTCTAATAATCCCAACCAGAAACCGTTACCCTTTTGAAAGGTTATGTTTTTAAAGATTGAAAAAAATAGAAACCAAATAGAAAAAAACAGAGCATTACTCTTTTAAATAAACTATTCATAAAGATACAAAATTTACACATTTGATAGAGATCATATTTATTCTTTTTTCATATTTATTCTTATTTAAAAATATATTAAGGTCATTGTCAAAACCTGTAAAATTCCATTGACAAAATAAAGCTTTAAAATAATCAGTAGTCCCCATAATCAGTCCAGAGGTATATCAGATACTTAAAAGAAGCTGACCATTTTATTTTTCAACATGATTTTCAAGGATGTATTCAAAATTAATGGCCAATGCTTGACTGGCCAGTCATTTCCACCATCATAATGGCTGGTGCAGATGACTGCATCATTGATTCAGGGATAGATACCAATGGGGAAAGCAGCTTCCACATTGGTTATGCTGGGTATATATCTAGGAAAATAAGAATATGTTGTACAGATTACTGCTTTTTTGGCATAGTAGAATTTGCATTTTGTTCCACAATACCTTCATCTACGGTTAAATAGAAAAGATAAGTTGAATGACAGAGATGAAAGAATGATATTATTAAATATTAATGCATTCAAATATAATGAGAAAACACACTTTAAATTATTTGATCAATTAAAACAAGGTTAAGAAAAAAACACAAAGGTGAAAGTCCTTTCTCCATAAATAATAACATAGCACTAACATGCCGTATTTCTCTTGAACTCAAGGCTACAGAGTTATTTTAAGATATTAAAACAATACTATTAATTGTTTCATTCTGATTTAGCCAAATTAATATGTTAAAATGGCCTATTTTCCTTGTTCCTAAAACTTTGCAATTGTCTCATCTTTTCACAAAATGCCAAAAATGTGCTTGCTATCAAAAAGGTCAACATCTTTTATCAGTAAGCTTTATCTTAATCAAATGCTGACTTTAAAATCAGAAAAATGAATGAGTTAAGCAGTATTATTTGCCTAAAAGAGAATAAAATTTATGATAAATTTTCCCTTTCATTTTTATATTTAAATCACTATTAGTATTACATTGTAATGAGATAAAGGCTCATTAAGGCTGCCTTTGTTATGTAAAAACAAAACACACTAGAGGGAATATTCTTTATTGAGTTCCAATTATCCTCCAAGGATATACCAAATGAGATACCATTAAAATATTTAAGTTTAATTATGCAACGTGTTCCAATATATAATCAAAATACATATACACACAACCTAAGTATTCACTCACACTCCTGAATCTTTTGTATTTAAATTTTTCTCCTAAGGAGAAAGTCAATAGTAATAAAATTATAGAAAAATTCTAAGGGAAAGCAATCCCACTTTTATGCACATAAAATAATATTTTCTAAATGAATCGTGCATCCGATTACTGAGCAGAGTTCTCCTCACAGTCAGTTTTAGGTTTTCCCAATCCCTCTTTCCTCCTGTTCCAGCAGATTCAGTCAATAAACTAATCTGCTTTTTGTCTTCCCAAAATAGAACCTACCAATATGAGTTTCCTGTCGCCCCACATTTGTCCCACCAATTAATTAATTTGAATTTGAGACCAAATGGTAGTCAGTAGTTACTCCTGCTCTTTTTTCTACCTCTAGATTTCTTTCTTCTAGATTCTTCATATCAGAATTTCCCAGATATCTGGTTTTTTGCAGGGCGTTGTATGAGCTGTAAAGAAGACATGGCTCCGTTCCCCACAGCTGTGCAGCTTGAAGTACCACCACCCCGCCAGCCGCCCCCTCGACTACCCGCGCTTGGTGGGGAAGTCAAGTACTGTCCACCAAGTGGCCATGTGATCTCCTTTAGCCAATAAGGAGGAACAGAAGTGAATTGTGTCCACTCTGAAGTTTTAAAAGCCTGTGTGTGATTCACCACACTCTTTTTCCCTCTGCCAGTGAGCAGTGATGCTCACAGGGAGGCTCTTCTAACTGCCTACTCACACAAAAAGATGGAGGGCAAGTTATGGAACAGCCCTCTAATAGGGACTTAAATTTAGAAATTACTCAAATATTTACATGAAAAAAGAATGTTAAAGCAGACAAGCCAGATAACTCTAAGGAGCAAATTTAATTATGTTCCAACTACTCAGCAGGATGGGGGTTTATGAAGAAGTTTATATCAGTTACAGAGAAGACAGAATATGAATTTCAATACCTTCATCCATGCTTACTTCTACTCAATGCACTATGTTTGCTAAGGGCTAAAAAACATCCTCAGTTCAGAAGAAAGCTCATTTGTTTTTTTTCAACCCAGCAAGCATCAAGCTTCATCCTGCACATTCCACTGTTATATCCCCAAACTTAGCACACAAAAACACATTGACATACTTAGTAAATGTTAAGTGAATGAATGGGAACAAGGAATAACATAAAGAAATACATGACACAGTTCTTCAGGATCTCATAGTAAAGTTTAAGGAAAATGGCGCATACCAAATTTGGATATATATCAAGTTTTGAAATAGAAAATAAATGTTTAAATGATTTTTAAAATGAGAGTAATATATACACATAGTTAAAAGTCAAATAGTACTAAAAACCTACAATGAAAACAGCATTCCCTTGCCCAGCTACTCCAAATCCTGCTCCTGAGATGCAATTATTTTCCACTCTTTTAGCAGGGTGTTCTGGTACTGACATTCATTTTCCCGAATATGTTGATATTCTAATTTATCAATTTCACAGTTCCATTAATTATCTATTGACTTCTTACTTTGGAAGATGAGGATTTAAGTCTCCTATCACATCCCACCAGCATTCCAATAGATTCATATCACAATTTTTGGTTAAATTAATATTTAAGTTGCTAAACTATATAACTAATGCTCTCCACTGAACCAAGTAGTGTCCCATGATTGTTACCTTTACTTATGCACCTTTTTCTTTTTCCTTTTTTTTTTTTTTTTTTGAGACAGTCTTGCTCTGTCACCCAGGCTGGAGTGCAGTGGCGCGATCTCGGCTCACTGCAATCTCCGCCTCCCGGGTTCAAGCGATTCTCCTGTCTCAGCCTCCCAAGTAGCTGGGACTACAGGTGCATGCCACCATGCCCAGCTAATTTTTTGTATTTTTAGTAGAGACAGGGTTTCACTGTGTTAGCCAGGATGGTCTCGATCTCCTGACCTCGTGATCCGCCTGCCTTGGCCTCCCAAAAAGTGCTGGGATTACAGGCGTGAGGCACCGCGTCCGGCCACCTTTTTCTTTTTACTAGAGTTCTGGAACTGGAGCGCGGTTCCAGATCCGTGTTGAGAATATCTTTATTTTAGCTATATCCATGATTGTGTTTGGGTGGATAGGGGTTTATATAATGACAATCCTTTCCCCCAAGAATTTTAAGGATATTGTCCCTCTGTCTTCTTATAGTCCTATTGTTTAGAATTCAGGTGCCATTCTGATTTTTTATAGTTTATTTGTGATATCTCAATCTCTTTCTCTCTCCATTCTCTGGAGGCTTTTAAAGTTTTCTCCTTGACTTCTTGTTCTGAACTTTTATTGATGTGCCCTCATATGGGTCTTTTCTCATTCATCTTGCTAGGCCATTCTAATCTGAAGACTTAAGATACTGATTCTGATAAATATTCTTACATATTCTTTGACAATTTCTGTTCCACATTTATCTCTATCATCTTCTTTAAAACTCCTATATTTAGATGTTGGACCTGCTGGAATGATCCCCCAAATTTCCTGGCATTTCTTTTCCACTGTCTCTTTGTTTTTATCCTTCTTTGTGAGGGATTTCCTCAACTTTACCTATCAACTCTCTCCATTTTCTAGTTTCAGTTCTATTATCTGTTCCTCCCTACATTGTTTCAGCTGAGTTCTTTTCTCTCTTTTTCAAAATTCTCCCTTTCTCCAGACACCTCCCTAAAAAGTCTGATGATTTGTGACTGTGTATTTGCATTTCACAGTGAGACACTAAAAAGCTGTCTGGTGCTGCTCTGGAGGAGGCCTGAGCATCAAGTTGGTCTTTTCTTTGTGGGACGCTCATAAGTCAGTATATATAGGGTTCCCCTTTCCACAGTGAGGCTTTTCAGTTATCCAGGGAAGAATCCATCCATCTGCTGAAGGGTTAACCCTTTCATGTAAGGGCCATGTGTTAGTCATCTTTGTTGCCTTTGCCGTGTACAGTAGGCACCAACAGTATCTCATATTTCTAAAATGCAACAGTTTATAAGGTATATTCACAAGATTCCCCAAAATAATCAGGAGAAAGCAAAACCGGTATCAACATCCTCTTCTTATAACTGGGAAAAGTAAAGAACAGTCAAGTTCTATGACTTCTGCTTAGAGAAAAAAAAAAGAGGAAGAAAGAGAAGGACATGAAGAGAGAGAAAGAGAACACATCTGGTAATCCAAATAAATTTTACAGAATTCTTTTCCTTAGGCATTTCCTCCTTCTGACACCCACAGAAGATCATTCTATATATTCTGCAAATCCCAGCATGAAGAACAGGTTTTTCAGGAAGATCATGAAGGCTACTTGGAACAGAATCCTCAAAAACCAGTGTTTTTCATTGGCAATAATCAATAATATTTTCACCATGCTCTTATTCTTGCTATAATAGAAATAATGTTTTGTAAGATAAATTCTCAAAATAGGGCACAATGGAAGAAATTGTAGGATGTAGTGTGTATTTAAAGATAAAACTTTTTAGTTCTCTGACCGATTTCAGTTTTAATTGAGTTTCTTTAGGATATTTCCACCTAAATAAGTTTTCCTAGGAAATTTTGCCCCTTATCATCTGAAGTACTCTCACCGGAATAGTCTTAGGAAGTAGTTTAGAGAGCGGAATGATATTAACCTAAATGTAATTTTACTATCTTTAGCTGACTCAAGTAGATAAATTTTCACAGCACAAGGAATTTTAAATATCGAATTTTCTTTTATATTTTACTAAATTTTTTTTTCCCAAATAAAGAGTTGCATTCACTGCATCAACCAAAGCAAATATTTTATAATGATCCCAGTGAAACCATGCCCACTCAAATAACTGAAGTTGTCTTCTTACTTGGCAAAAAAAACTTTTGAGATGGAGTTTTGCTCTTGTCACCCAGGCTGGAGTGCAGTGGCATGATCTCAGCTCACTGCAACCTCCACCCACCGGGTTCAAGAGATTCTTCTGCCTCAGCCTCCCGAGTAGCTGGGATTATAGGCACATGTCACCATGCCTGGCTAGTTTTTGTATTTTTAGTAGAGACAGGCTTTCACCATGTTGGCCAGGCTGGTCTTGAACTCCTGACCTCAGGTGATTCCAGCAGAAGGGTTTCTTAATACAGGGCAAGATGCTGCGTCCTGAAATCTGAGTACCTTAGACCCTTTGAGTGAAGGATAAGGAAAAATGAGTGCTTAGGAGCTTAGTAAAATGGGACTCGGGAGAAAGAAAAAGATGGTCTACTTCTAAGTGGTAGAATCAAAGCAGCAGCACTAACCACACTCTCCCAGCCTTGAAAGGTATGACCCATGTAAGATATGATGACCCTCTTCAGCCATAGCTAATTGTCCACTTGACTTAACTGGGTCCATCCAAAAATCTCTCCCTGCTAATTTGAAAAGAAGAAAAGGAGATGTTAGTTGACTTGAAAATTCATGTAGAATCAGGGCCAACTTGACATTAGAGTAAGCCAAAGCAAAGCTACGAGCAAGCTAAAGTGACAGAAGAACTGAGAAGCCAGAACATCACTTTGTAAATCAAGAGAAGAAGGGAGCAGGCACAGAAAGAAAAGAGATAGAGATCAAGCAGTGCCATAAGACAGCACGTGACCAACCTTAGTTCTTGACTGTCCTCTTCCATACCCAAAGTCCTTGCTATATAACCTGCCTTATTCTGGGATGTCCATGAAGTGGCCTGCTCTTTCACTTGTATAAACACTTTTTATTTGTGGGTTTCTACTCCTTGAAACCTAACAGCCTGACTGAGACAGGCAGCTTCCAGGAGGAAGCTGTATCTGAGCTAACCACCAGGTGTTTACCAGGTGGCAGTGGAGAAAAAGCATCCAAAAGAGAGGAAACCGCTTATAGATCAACCTTGAGGCAGGAGACAGCAAGTTGAGTTTTTAAAATTACAAGTAGTTAAGTACAACCAGAACACACAGAGGGATGGGAAATAAGACCAGAGAAAAGGGCAGGAGCCAATGCACAAAGGACCTCGTGATCCATGCCTAGGGATTTATCTTTATCCTATAGGTGAGAAGATCCCATGTGTGTTTTACAAGCTCATTCTGGCAGTGACCTGGAGGCTGAAATGGAAGTTGGGGGCAAACTGGAGGCAGGTGACCAGTGAGAATGTGAACTTCTCAAGGGTAGCTGTATATTTCATTGTTATTTTTCACCATCAGGGAGTAGTTTAAGGGAGGAAGAAAAGGAAAAAAAGCATCAACTTGCTTCTAAGAAATAATTCAGCACAATTCAACACCCCATGAAACACAAGCCTGGTTAGTGGTATAGTTAGTATATACTTCAGGCCTGATGTTTTAAAGAAACTACTACAGCCTAAGGGCCTGTTGACCCATGAGCAAATGCACCACCAAATGTGAGCTAGTATATGATAAAACATAGATCACAAAGGAAGCTTACATTTTGAAATACCACATAATTTCACACTTCATTTCCCCAGTTCTCATCCTCATTTATTAATTTCCCATCATAACATAAAGCCATATCAAGTTTTAGTTACTTCAGAAAACCTGGCACCTTGCATAAAGCCTGATAAAAGCACTAATAATTAAATAAAGACTTTGAACGTAGGGCATCTAAAACTCTTCAGCACGATGTTTTCATGCTATTCAGTAACACAAAAAGAAAACATTTGTACCCCTGAATAAATGGAAGTATTGGATGTTCTGACCTTAATTAGTTTAGATAACAGGACAAATCGAATCCCCAAATATTTAAATGAATGAAAATGGAGCCATCGGATTTTATGACAGTCTAGGCTGTAGAAAAAATAAACTTCCTACCTTATCAGTAATTTTCCTTACACATGAATGTAGGAAGTGAACATTACATTTATAGCAAACAGCTGATATTCTAGCAACTGACCACACGGCATCACTTTAACATTATGCTTTGACTCTTGTTTTCTCTTTCCACACTCAAAATGCCTGTCAATTGTCTCCACTTATCTGTGTATATAAATAAAGCATATCCTGTTTTCCCTTATGGCTAGATCCCCATACTTAACACTATAGCCTGACAACGCTTTCTTTGTCTCTCATTTCATGTGCCCCTCCTCTCATCTCATGTGCAGCATCCTAACCACATCTGAAACGCTGTTTGTTATAAACCATTTTAAAAGTCACCTTAGTTACAAACAGCTGCTCAATGTGTGGCCCACGGACTGCAGCTTTAGTATTACCTGGGAGCTTATTGGAAATGCAGTGGCTAAGGCCTACTCAAGACTGAACGAGGAACTGTATTTTATCAAGATTCCCAGGTGATCTTGTGATGTTTGAGAAGCACTGCCAGATATTTTGGATAACACAGGTTGAGAGGAATTTGACTACAACTTACAATCTGATCTCAATTATATCTGCTAGTCTGGAGAAATGGCTCCCAAGTCCTGTATGTAAAAACTACTCCTGTTCACTTCAAGAGAAGGGCATTCCGAGGAAGGTGGCATGGGTTGTGAAACAGACAAATTTTAAAGGTCCTTAGTTTATATCTAAGCTCTGCTACTCATAAGCTGTGGAACCCTGGACAAGTTACTTAACCACACTGTTGAGTTTTGTGTTACTTTTCCCTTGTGTTTAAGAGCCCATTCTTTTTTTTGTTTTTATTTATATTATTATTATATTTTAAGAGAGACAGAGTCTTGCTCTATTGCCCAGGCTGGAGTGCAGTGGTGTGATCATAGCTCACTGCAGCTTCGAACTCCTGGGCTCAAGGATCCTCTGACCATAGACTCCCCAGTAGCTGGGACTACAGGCATGAGCCACTATGCCCAGCTGATTTTTTAATTTTTTGTAGAGATGGGGGTCTCGCTATGTTACCCAGGCTGGTCTCAATCTCTTGTGGCCTCAAGCAATCCTCCTGCCTCGGCCTCTCAAATGGCTGGAATTACAGGCATGTTTTAGATCATTGTAGACTCACATGCAGTTGGAAGAAATAGTACAGAGAGATCCCACATGCCCTTCATTCATTTTCCCCTATGGTAACATCTTGTATGACCATAGTACAATAGCACAATTAGGAAATCTGTTCTCCATCTCAAAAAGCTTATTGTTTCAAGAATGTTTTATAAACAGAATCATATAGTGCGTAATCTGAGATTGGCTTTTTGCACTCTGCATCATCCCTTGAGATCCATCCAAGTTGTTGCATGTATCAATAGTTCATTCCTTTTTACTGCTGAGCCTCCTTACATAGTACAGATGTACTAGGTTAACTGTTCACCTTTTGAAGGACATTTTGGTTGTTTCCAGTTTTTAGCTTCTACAAATAAAGCTGCTATGAACATGTATATACAGGTTTTTGCATGAACATAAATTTCCATTTCTCTGGGATAAATGTTCAAGAATGCAATTGTTCTTTTTTCCAACATTGTTGTACCATTTTAGATTCCCACTAGCAATGTATGAGTGAACCATTTCTCTGTATCTTTGTCAGTATTTGATGTTACTATTTTAAAATTTTAACCTGTGTGATAGGTGTTTAGTGATACCTCATTGAGCTTTTAATTTGCATTTCCCTAATGGCTAATGATGTTGAGCATCTATAGAAGGCTTATGTGTCATCTATAGATCTTTCTCAGGGAAATGTCTATTCATGTCCTTTGCCCATTTTCTATTTGGATTGATTTGTTTTTACTGTTGAATTCTGAGAGCTTGTTGCATACTATAGGCATAAGGTCTTTCTCAGATTTCTGGTTTGCAAATATTTTCTCCCACTCTGTAGCTTGTCTTTACATCCTCTTCACAAGGGATCTTACAGAGAAGATGTTTTTAGCTTTGATGAACTCCAAGTTACTAGTTTTTCTTTTTATGGAATTTAGTGTCACGTCTAAGAACTTTTTATCCAGCCATAGGTCCTAAAGAATTTTCTCCTATTTTTTCCTTATAGTTTTATTTTTTACATTTAACTCTGTGATCTATTTTGTGTTCGTTTTTGTATAAGCTGAGGCTGGGTTGAAGTTCTTTGTCATTTGTTTTTTCTATTTTCTTGGACCATCAGTTTTAAGACGTAGTCTCAATTTAATAGTAACTTTGAAGGGAGGAATAAAAAGAGATTCATTACACTAAATATACATACTCAATGTGAGAAACCACAATTCCAGTAACATTAAAGTGTTTTATCATGTATGTCACATTTAGTGGTGCATTTACTCATGGGTCAAGTCCTTAGGCTCTGGTGGTTTATTTAAAACATAATTAGGCTTTAGGTTAGGATACTGTACAACAGTACCACTGATCAAGCTGTAGAACTTTCTTTTCACCTAGTGGGCTGACTTGCTTCTTAGAGCCATGTTAGGACCTTGCTTCTTAAAACCACATTTTTCTCCTCTTCCTCTTCCCTTGGAATAGTTCCTGATGGTGGGATAAGAATGTCTCTAGATTATGGCGAATTTACCAAATCCTAACATTGTTGTATATATCAAATGGAGAAGTTATGTTTCTCTCAAAGTATGGCTCATAAAAATTATTCAATGCAGACTGTGCATTAATTCTTTGCTTTTTCTCCCATTCCTAATTGTTTTGGTTCAATAAATGATACATTAACTCATTACACTGTTGTTGTTTCAGGCTTCAAACTAAACAGCAGTACTTGAGTAAACTGTCAAAGACTAACTCACACAACACCCATTCCTCAAATAAAGGTAACTTCTCTTAATAATTTTGTACATATTTGTGTTAGTCTATTCTCACGCTGGTGTTAAAGACATACCCAAGACTGGGCAATTTACAAAAGAAAGAGGTTTAACGGACTTAAAGTTCCACATGGGTGGGGAGGCCTCACAATGATGGTGGAAAGCAAGGAAGAGCAAGTCACGTCTTACATAGATGGTGACAGGCAAAGAGAGAGCTTGTGCAGGGAAACTTCCCTTTATGAAACCATCAGATCTCATGAGACTTATTCGCTATCATGAGAACAACATGGGAAGGACCTGCTTCCACAATTCAATTACTTCCCACCAGGTCCCTCCCACAACACATGGGAATTTAAGATGAAATTTGGGTGGGGACATAGCCAAACCATATTAATATTCTTCAGTCTCTTTTCTATGCATTTACACATATGTGGAGATATATATATATATATATATATTTAGGTTGTATTTTTGTAAAGTTAAATTATTGATATTTTTTCTTTGTGTTCTATGCGTTTTCCTTTTGTAAGTCCTTCTCTCATCTGGAGTTTAGGACTTACAGAATCAGAATTATGGTTCTAATTCATTTTTGTCGATAATGTTTGGACCCATCTGAAATATATTTTTGTGTATGATATGCAATAGGAAGAAACTTTCATTTTTCAGTTACTCAATTTTTGTGTATAGCCGTATTAAATTCTATCCAGATAGACTTGCCACATGCTACTTACCTATAAATTTAGGCATATTTTTCAGATGTTTATGCATTTTCATTGATCTAACTATCCATTTTGTTGTCAGGTTTTAACTTTGTAATAAGTACTTCTTGACATCTGAAAATTCAAGTTCCCCTTGTCTTATGTGTCTGTATTTTGTTGCTTACTATTATCTCCAGCTTCTATTTCAAAATAAATTAATGAATCTATATTTTCGAGTTCAAGAAAAAGTCTTAGTGAGATTTTGATTATGACAAAATTTATAAATACTTTCAGGGGTGCTCTATATTTTTGCAACTCTTCATTTATGTTCATCTGTAAAGTTATAACTGCAGATTCATAAATGGTTGGGAATGCTCCAGAAATTTTCTTGAAGCATTAAAATTAATGCCTCTCTTTCAAACCTTTAAATGTCTTTAAGTCTTTATGAATATACAACAAATCTGCTAGGATATTCAAAGGACAGAAAAAATGCAGACTGCACATGTTCTGATAACTACTTTGTGTGTGTGTGTGTGTGTGTGTGTGTGTGTGTGTGTGTATTTGTAGGTGTTTGAGAATGAACAGGTGGAGAAGCTAGAAAAACAAGACTTAATTCTGGGTCCCAGAATATATAAACAGGATGCTATTACTCTAAGTGCAGAGGACAACTGTCATATAAATGTAAATCAAAAATACTTAATCTGGAGAAAAGATAGTAGTAACCCAGCAATTATGCTAAGTACAACTTATTAGCATGAGTTGCCTGAAAGAATTAGGCAATTCCATTCTAAATAGCTGAATTTTAATGAAACTTACTATGTATGCTATTTCTTGTTTCTATACTAGTTTGTTTACTCTTCTTAATGACAAAATTTTCTTAAACAATCCAGCTCAGTGACACACTATTCCTATACCAAGAGACAAAGTAAAATCACATAAAGAGTATGTTTCTTCTAATCTTCCAACAATTAAATCAGATTAGTTATTAAATAAAAATACCCATCTATAACAGACACTTGCCTTGCAATATCCTTTTCCCCTTTCACCTTCATCACAAGAACTCTAATTTTTGGCTGGTCATATTACTGCTCAATTAAAAAAGGACATGCCCAGCCTCAACTGCAGATATACGAAGCCATGTGTCAAAGTTTTAAAGTTTTGTGTGCTCTTCTTTGCCCCTTCCTCTACCCTGCTGGCTAAAAGGAGCATGTGATGATTGGAGGCTTAACAGCTGTATTGGACCATGAGAATGGGGGCTGCATCATGAAGATGGACGAGTGATGAGCTGCAAGAAGGCTAGGTCCCGTAAATATATGGAAAATATATCACCTTATCTTCAGAATTCTTTCATTCATGATATTGATTAACTTCTATTTTATTGAAAATATTTTCACTAGTTTTGTTCTATGCAGCTAAACTCAATCCCAAATTATATATTTTACTACTACTACTATTACATAATCTATATACCAGTAAAAGCAAAATTTGTGAAACCCAATTTATTATAACCACATTTGTATGGAAATTCCTCTTCAAATTATCATTGCTGTAAGAATGCACTATGTACAAGTCAATACATTTTAATTGATGAATTTTTGTCACAAAGCTTACAAGACAAAATAATCATAATGATTATTCTCTAGACTTCATTTTGCCCATGATTGTTCATCAATATAAACACTTTTGAATGGAAACAAAGATTATACGATCATAAACAACAAATGAAGATAATCTACCTTTCTTGCCTTTTAAGCATCATCATTGAAAATTTAGTTTGCATAGGTGTTTCTATGTTTCTAAATTTGTTTCTAAGAAAATACAATGTATTAATTTAATTGTACATTAATTTTACATATAAAATTACATGTAATACATAAGCATATTAATTTTAATTAGGTATGTAGATAATATTTGAACTTTCATTTTTCTTGTTTTATTGCTCTGGTTAGAACCTCTAGTATAATGATTAATAGAAGCAGTGGGAGTAAGCACATCTTATTTCTAATTTCAAAAGGATGTGTCTAATGTTTCAGCATCATATATGATGTTTGTTGTGGGTCTTGGCAGATAACCTGTACCCAGTTAAGAAAGTTCTTTCTATTCCTAGTTTCTTAAGAGTTTTTATAATGACAGGACACTGAATTTTATTAAGTATTTTTGGTAAAACCATTAAAAAATAATTTTTTCTCTTTTAATCTATTAATGTAGGAAATTACCTTAATAGATTTTCTGATATTAGGCTACTCTAACTCACTGGATAAAATTTCTTTGGCTATGATACATGTTTTAAATACATAGCTCGATTTAGTTTTCACCCAAGCCTCTATAACATTTCATTTGAAGCCTCTGTGATTTAAAGACAGAAAGAAGGATGCTCTACACACCTTATTCAAATGTAACTGGCACAATTTTTTTTTTTTTTTTTTTTTGAGACTGAGCCTTGCTCTGTCGCCCAGGCTGGAGTACAGTGAAGAGATCTTGGCTCACTGCAACCTCCACCTCCCGGGCTCAAGTGATTCTTGTGTCTCAGCCTCCCGAGTAGCTGGGATTACAGGCACATACCACCACGCCTGGCCAACTGGCACAATTATCTAAATGATACACATTCACTTTCAGCCTCTAAATGCATTTCAAAAGTACCAGGAATAGAAATACCTCTAGCTTAAAGAAGATCTCTATAGAGTTTAACTCTTTTCAGTAACAAATTTCTGACATTTTGGGAAAAAGAAATAATGATTCTACATGGAATCCTTGAATATAAACTTTGAAAATACCTGGAGCTTGTTTTGATAGAGAGTAAATGAAATTTTACATAGAGAGGGCTTCTGGGATATTAGTAATGTTCTATTTCTTGACCTGGGTGGTGGTTCTGTACAGGAGTTTACAGCTATTGTTTAAGCTGTCTAAGCTTTATATACGCATCTGTGTGTATGATATATCTCCCAATAAAAAAGTAATGAAATTTTCTTTAAAGATTTCTAGGAACTCCAACACTTAGGTGTACTTCTCCCAAGATTCAGGGAATTGGAAATGATGTCTCAAGGATTATTTCCAGATCTCTGATTCTGTATTTATTACATATTAGTTAATCCATCACTGTCAACTCTCCATATTAAAGAATATTTAAAGGTGAAAAACCAGAAACTCTTCCATCTTAATCAAGATTTTAATGCAGAATTAGACATTCATGATATATGTGTCATTAATGGATTAGAATATGAAGAGAAACTAACTCTGCCTTCTCCTCACTGTTTCCTTCTTATTTTTATTTACTGCTCATGAACAGAAACTCATTATGAAACAACTATTCCCTCTGAACTCACAGTAAAACAAAAACAGGCATCTACATTGAGAGTACAATTACAGTGATACTATGTTTTACTTAAATAATAATATTTATTTAAAACATACACTCAACTAAAACCTCAGGAGTTTAAATAAGTTTTTATGCCATACATGAAGAACATAAAAGTTAAAACATTATTAAATAATCTTCAAATCTTTCCTTCCCTTCTCCCCACATATTCAGCTGAATTTATCTTTTACTGTATAATAATTGATGTTTTACAAGAACAATATAAAAGTAGACTTCAAGTGTGGCTATTTTCACAACAAACAAACTTGGGCATTGGTGTTTTTTATATTCTTCCCCTTCTGGAGTAATCAATGTCCAAAGAACATGATGGCCATTCTTTAAGATTGGTATTATTAAAAATGATGAAATCACATGCAGACTTAAAAGACTCTGCCAAAAATCAGAGAAAAAAAATGCCATGATATTTGGAGGCAATGACTGCTAATCCACAAATTGATGATACTTATTTACATTTTTAAAAATTAACAAAGAGAAAATGGCAAACAGTTCTGAAACTAAAAGAATGAACTATAATCAATTTCTTTCCATATTAGAGATGAGCAAACAAATAAAACCATGTGCAACTAAATATTCGAAATGTAAATTACTTTTTAAATGTTACGTTAAAATGATGTTTAAAACTTTTGCTGTGAAAAATTATAAATATCTATACTGGTTTCTGCATATGCATGATGCCATCATCCACATAAAATAATTTTTAAGGCTGTGGTATTTTTCTCAGAGTTATGTTATAATTTAAGGTGAGCCACATAATTGATTGCATTATAATGAATCATACAGATCTTCAAATGACTTACCTAATTTCACTTTGTAGCTTAAAAGTGCACATATAATTATGTTGTTTTCTGCATGTTTCCCATGTTTCTCCTGATTAATTCTAAGTATGGTTCAGCATCCTGCTCTCTTAGGTTGAGAAAAATATAAATAGTGAAAGAGGGGAAACTAGTGATTAATGTACCTTTTAAATTTTACTTAATTGACAAGAATGCATTAAGTTACTTAAATTAATCCTTATATCAGATTTTATTTTTCCATTTCATCATTTAGGTATCAGAAAGGAGAGGAAATATTTGTGGGTTGAAGTTATCATAAAAGCAAGAAGTGTAAGTTTAAACAACTTATTGATTTGGTTAAAAAATACAACACAGTTATTGAAACTAATTGGCTTCAGACACTGTGTTAGCCTCTGGTAAAACAAAGGTGAATAGAAATTATTTATTCCTACCTGGCTTTTATTGAGGGCAGGTGGGCTGTGGCATTTTGGAAGGGGACAGAAGACAAATATTGCAAGGCAATGTGAGAAGGCCTATAACTGAAGCAAATAAAACATGTTGTGTGGTACGAAGATGATGAAGCAGGAGGCTGGTGTAAGGCTCAGGAAAGCCTCTGAAATACATTATAATTACTGTATTCTTAATGGGAAGTAAGAAAAGGGAGGCATATTAGGCAATGTCAATCTCACTATCTTTGGCATATCCCTAAGGGAGGGAGAAGAGGTAAAAGCATGCCATTGGCTTCAACTCTGGGCAGATGGAAAGTGGTAAATGCAGCCAAGCTACTAGGAATCTGTGGGCTACTGTAAAGAAAAAGAGCAGGAGAAGAGAAACAGCTAGCTCTTATCATTTCAGGCTTCAGCCTTCCTGTGAGGTGAGCAGCTTTCCCTCACCCTGTGAATACACACAATTTTGCACCTCTCTCTCTCTCTCTCTCTCTCTCTCTCTCTCTCTCTCGGTTTCTTTCTTGGTCCATCCATAATTAACATTTTCATTTGTTTAAATTGTTTATTGTCCACATTCACTACAAGATAGCAAGTTCAAGGGAGCAGAGAGCTGTATTTCTAGCCCCTAGAATAATGCCATGGCATATAGGTGGCACTAGATAATACTGTTGAATGGATAATTTAAAGGAGGGAGGGAATAAGAAGGATGTAAACAGTAGTTCACCTAAAAAAAGGAGAGGAACAGAGAACCATAAACTCCTGTCTCAGATGTCACCCATGGCATCAATCCCTCAGCTACCTCAGAACCATTCCCTACCAAAAAGTTCAAAACAATGTTTCATCTGGACTCAGTGGTTCACATCTGTAATCTCAGCATTTTGGGAGGCCAAGGTAGGAGCACTGCTTGAGGCCAGGAGTTCAAGATTAGCCTGGGCAACATAGTTATACCCCATCTCTACAAACAAAACTAAAAAACAAAAAGGAATGTTTCAAAAGGACTATGCCTACCACATATTCTACATATTGCAAGAGTTCGTCAGACTGATAGCCAGAACATCAGTTGCATATTACACATACTGTCATTTCAACAGAAAAGTGAAAAAATATATCTTTAACAGGGAATATTATAATTGAAACATTCAAATAAGTAGATTTTTCAACATAAAATATTAATCATTTCAACAGTCATATTTGTAAGAGAGAATGGATTGCTATTGTGTGAACCATAAGTTCAAATTCCTATCTTGAGCACTTAAATTTTTTCACAAACATCTCTACATTAATCTGCCTTTTTTGCATTTTACTGCTACTATGTTCAAAAATTCAATCTCCCAGACAAATGGCAATTCGAGAACGCAATTCAAGTGATATATTATTCCCTTTGACTAGAAAGGTATATTTGCCCATTCAGGTTTTTTTAAGTCAAATTTTGCAACAGCTGTTACATGATATATTTCTGAATACAAAATACCACATCCTGCTTTCTCAACTACTATAATATATAGCAATTTCTGCAATCTCTCCCTCCTTTCCCTGAAACATATGAAATATACTTTAAATTTAAATAAAATCATACATAAATGTTATTTATGCTATTTTCTTTGACATAACTTGAATATTTTCATTGTATTCAATGCTATCTTGTAGGTTAAAAGTAAAATGTCATGAGCCTCATTATTTAAATTTCATAGTGAAATCTTTTTTGCCTGAAATATTTTGACATGTATAAGGCAACCCTGTATCTAGTATTACTGCTCAGCAAAAATTAAGTATTTTTGGTATTATAATTTCCCTCACACTTGTGGGGTTCTTCCAGTTTTTGTATACTTTTTTCTATTTCATTTTTAGGTATGTGAATCCTACAAAAAGAAAAGGTGAATTTAAAAGGAGAAAATGTTCCTGTTTTTAAGTGTTTTCGTTTTTAAAGAATCAATAACAATTAAATTTTCTCAGCTTACAACACAGCCACCACCAATGTCAGATATACTCTTAATGAGTCTTTGGCTAAGTATTCTTTAAGTGTACCCAAAACCTCTTCTCCACAAATACAAGGTTATTGATTATTATTTAGTTTGTATATATTCACCAAAGTCAATATCCTGAAAAGAGAAGGGATCACTACATGACTCTGGGTACGTCTTATAAACCTCAGAGCTGTTACTCATTCAATGTAGGCTATTTTGAGGGCTAGGCATGAAAATATATATAAGAAAGCCCTGAAAACTACAAAATGCTATATACATGCAAGATTCATATTATTATTATTATTACCAGTAATGACTAAAAATTGTGAAACATGTAATTGACTTTTCCTTCCCTTCCATGTAAGATTTGAACCACAAGGGGAAAAGAATTCAGACCGAAAAATCAACAGAAAGGACCTCTTTGTACTTGGTCTCTACATACAATACTTGCAGCATTAAATGCACAGTAGGTAGATAGACACTATCTTTGTGTCCAGGTTACTGTAACTGCCTCCTGACTCATCCCCCTGATTTGCCGTTGGTACCTTACAATCTGTTCTCAATACACAGCAGTCAAAAGGCCCTACAGAACCTACCTTTCCACCCCTATCCCATCCCAGGGATCTCTTCCCTCCACCCTTCCCTTCCTGGTAGTTCTCCCAGCACAATGGCCTCCTTTTCTTTTCACAGGCAGGCTCCTACTTCAGCATCTTTGCACTTGCTGTTTCCTCTGCCAAGAATATGCTCACCCAATGTATCCATGTGGTTTCCTCTCTCACTGCCCTTCAGATCTTTGCTCAACTGTCACTTTCTCAGTGAATCTTCCTTGACCTCATTATTTAAAAGTGTAACCCTTCCCCAGGCTCCTGGCATCCCAACTCCCCCTCTATTGCTCTAAAGTATTGAGTCCCATTACAATATGACTTGTTTTTCTTATCACTTTAATTTCTGACTGAACACTCTATGAGAGAACGGATTTGTATATGTTTTGTTGACTTCTCTGTACCACCAGTACCTAGCACAGTGCCTGAAATATAGAAGATCATAAACAAAAATTTGTTAAATTAATTGATATACAACTTTGACATGGACAAGCTACCTGTAAACTATAATATTATAAACTCTGTTGAGTTCTGTACTCAAGTTCAAGTTAAATTTTCTAAAAAGAAGGGGGAAAGATTACACTCATAATGAGGAACAAAAGTAGAATTTTTCTTTTTTTAAAAAATCATCACAAAACAAAATAAACTAAAATATGCCTAGTATATCAGTAAATTGGCATTAAATTCAGGCAAGTTCCAACATATTCATAAAACCTTTTATGTGACCAAATATCAATGGAGGATAAAGAACACATTTTGAACCCATCTTTGATTGAAATTTTAAAATCCAAAAAATTAAATCAATTATATATGCCTTTGATTCTCCTCCATATGAAATCAATATAGAGGAGAATAAGATTCTATTATCTCTCCATTTTGCTTCCACAAACACATAATGTTTGTGTATTGGCCATTACACTATAACAGCTTATTGGAAAGTCAAAAATAGCCCAATGTAGGATCTCTTCTCAGAAAATGTGGCTTCCTGGGGACAGGGGTAAGGAATCCAACATTGTCCTCTTTAGTAATTCTGGAATCCATGTATTGGAACATGAAGAAACTAAGTCTCTAGCTGTCTTTCAAGTATTTGTGAGGATGGACCAAATACTTTTAAAAAATGCTGATTTTTTCTAAGAAATTAAAAACTTACAAACAAGATCTGCTAAAAAGATTATTTTTACAGTAGCTGTTTCAGGATTATGCTTATTGAGCCCTGGTGTCAAACATACTTTTATGCTATTTTATCTCAATGTCCACATTGAAATAGAAAAGTGGAGCTGTCCTTTACATGGAATCTGATCCCCACAACGTGTTCTTTCCCTTCCACATTATTCTGTAGCCCTGATGACCTTCATGTAATAAGTTTTATATTTTAACTGTTTCCTGTATATCCTTATTGTTTCTACAAAAAAGCCCCTTGAAGGCAGATATCTTCAATTAACAAAGACTCCATTTAAGGAGGATGAATCACTGTTTATAGCATCATCCAAGAAAAATAAGCAAAAATATTTATAAATAACACAAAGCAGAGCTCAGGCACTGACACAATATTATCAGCCATGGCCTCTAAATTTCCCCAACCAATAGAAGGTAAACAGGAAGAACTACTGGCAAAGATATGATGTGCACAAAATTTGCCCTTAGGGTCCTCAGCTTCTCATTTATTCACTTTTTCTCTCTTTTCAGTTGTCCTATGTATTTCTATTTTGTTGTTATATTAATTGACATTTTCAGGTATTGACTAAATGTCAGGCAAATTACTCAATTTTTAAACCTATTTTTCTTTTAATCTTTCTAATAATACAGCTCATGAAACAGTATTATCTCCATCTTACAGATAAGAAAACACTGGTCTAAGTGAAGTCAAACAGTCTTGATTTTAATTGTTTCAAGGTGACAGAAAGTCTCTAAGAAAAGATTTCAAACCAGGACTGTCTGCCTCAAAACCTGTGCTCCTAGTCACTTAGCTGTTCTGCTCTCCATTTTGTCCAGTATTGGTTCTGTGCACAGGTTGTGTGGTTTATCACATTTCATGTGAATATGTTTCCTGGGACTTATTCCTCCAACTAGTTCTTTCAGGAAAGTTATATATATATATATTATTACAAAATAAAGGGCAGTACAGCAGTCCCTGCTTTTCTGAGGTTTCACTTTCTGCAGTTTCAATTACTCATAGTACAGCACAATAAGATACTTATGGAGAGGTGCCATATTCACATAACTTTTATTACAGTATATTGTTATAATTGTTCTATTTTATTGTTATTGTTGTTAATCTTATACAGTCCCAATTTATAAATTAAGCTTTATCATAGATATGTATTTGTAGGGAAAAACATAATATATATAGGATTCAGTACTATTATGGTTCCAGGAATCTAGTGGGGTGTCTTGGAAGGTATCTTCTGTGGATAAGGGGGAACTGCTGTACATAGGAATCAAAGAAAATGGGGATATTAACTGGGAGGAAGTGGACATGCATGCCCCCTGAAACTACAATGACCAGCTTGGCTTTGTCCTAGCTATGGGTACGATCAATGTCAAATCTGCCTTAAAAGGATGCTAGCTCCAATAATATTATAGCTTTATTTTTGTTAAAACAGGAATCACTGTGCGTCCCCAAATAATTGACACTGCTAGATACAAAGTAGGACTCAAATGCCATGACACACTTCAAAGTTTGGACACTTGTAATCATAATTTGGACATTTCTGAATTTTCAGATTCTGAAGAACCACTGCACAGTATAATGAAGGGAACGGCTCTGAGACCATCCTTGAAGGCTGGATTTCAATGGAAGATAAAACTTTGATACCACTGGTTATTTAGTCAGTAAGGTGAAAACATGAGTGTGGCATAGGAAAGATGAATGACTGGTGTAGTACATGTATGAGACAGGGGCGGGCGGGGGAGAGAGAGAGAGAGAGAGAGAAGACTAGTTCCTATAAAAAATGATAATACTGTAACAGAATGCCATAACATTTTCTTAGCATCTTAACATACTTCAAAAATTGTACCACATTAGCATAGTAGTAAATTTTTTTCTAGTTAAAGTGAATACTGTACGGAGGCAGAGTAATCATCATTGTTAGAAATTTACTGTGTGCCAACAATGTTAGCCAGGGAAATACACAAACTACATCAACTGGGCTTTAAAAACTGCATGAAATATAGCTATATCATTCCTAACATCATGATACAAACAATTACTCTCAGCTATTGATAAACATATTTATATTTCACACACATGGATATTAGCATGTTTTGGCAGTTACCTATAAATAATTCAAGCTAATTCCTCAAAGATTTAATCTATGTTAAAATGTGTCCTTAAAAAAGCTCATGGCATACTTTGTAAAAAAAAAAAGGAAAAAAAAAGAGCTCGATAATGAAGGGTCATACTTAAAAGATATGCATATGAAGCTACATTTCTCTTTCACACATCTTTTCTATGTTTTCAAAGTTGAATAATAAGGATGATATTTTTAACAAGATAATTTTTACTTTCTTTGCATATAATAAAAATGTCAAAAGTCTTAATTTTTCATGCCTACATAATGGATTACAAGGTTATAAAAATGTATTCAAGTAACGGTTTCCATGAACATTATAATAAAGTGACTAGGAAAAAATGAAAGTGAGACTAGAAATCAAAAGAACCAGGTTCTAGTCCAGGCTGTGCCACAAACTAGCTACGTGACTTTGATTTTATTGAAGGATGTCAAATTTATGGCCTCCAAGTGACCAAAATTCCCACTGAACAAAGCTGAAATAGAGATTAAAACTTATCTGTCTTTGGGTTAGTAACTACTACAAACTTCATATTCTGACCTATTAATTGAGAGAGCTGGTTTCTGAGTTACCTTGTAACTCAGACTCTCAGATAACCAAAAACAAAACAAAACAAAACAAAACAAAACATCCAAAATACAGAGTCAGAAGTCTAATGTTCCTATCACATTTGTGAGACTTGTTTAGGCAAACATGCTTAATTTGCCAAGTACAGAATTCTTAATTAATAGAAGACAAACATTATTCAGCAATCTAGACAGCATACCAGGGGAAATAGGCATGGGCCACATTCTTGGCAACTTGGGGACTTGATGGTGTTAAATCACATGTTAGGGTGTTAATTGGCTAAAATGATTTAAATGCTCCTTGTGAAAGTGAATCTGATTTCTAATATCAAACCTCCTTCAAAGACCTCCACCACTCCAGCTTAATACCCAGAACTTCCTAGAATGTCTTCTCATTAAAGGAACTGAGCTGAGGGTGTAGTAAGAGGAGAGTCATGGAGAAGAATGAACAAGCAGTTACAAGTTCTATATGAAAAACCCTATGAAAAGCTCAATAAACAATGATGAAGGTACTCAACAATACATTTCAGTGGTGAGATGCCCTGACCTGTATAAAGTAGTGAGATTCAGTACAGTGGTGAAATAAGCCACAACCTAGCAGATACCGTAGTTTTGTAGAAAAGTCTAACCAACAGGTAGAAACCATCCACCTTAATGACTTCAATCGTCCTGCTGTGAAAGACAAAGAAAAAAAACAATTATGCTACTCTTAAATGAGAAAATGGGGACGCAATGCAGGTACAGATATAAATATTTCTAGGTAATATTCAAAATATTTAACAACTGGTATTACATTGGTGATTAATCAGAATGAATGCCAGCCATGCAACCAGTTGTCACACCAGTGCATGGCAGCTGCACATAAGCCCCAGTACAGGCAGAAATATTTACCTAGAGCAGGTAGACCCCCAAAACATCTATACGTGTTGCTAGGTCTGTGTAATATTGACCCTTCTACCTGGTATGACTCTAGGGCCCAGAAAATAAATTATGTATTCTTTCTAGATTCTGAAATTTTTTAAAGGTCATATACAGAGACAGTTTGTATAAATTTGATAAAAGATATCTGCAGAATTCTCAGACTCTAAGATCTGTATAATATTGACCCATCTATCTGGTATGATTCTAGGGCCCAGAAAGATAAACCATTCTTTCTAGATTCTGAGATTTTTAAAGATAATATACAGAGACAATTTGTATAAAGTAGATAAAAGGCATTTTCAGAATTATTTCTCACAAATACAATTTTCTAACCACAAAAAACTCCCATTTGCGGCCAGGCGCAGTGGCTCACGCCTGTAATCCCAGCATTTTGGGAGGCCGAGGCCAGCGGATCATGAGGTCAGGAGATCGAGACCATCCTGGCTAACATGGTGAAACCTCGTCTCTACTAAAAATACAAAACAAAATTATCCGGGTGTGGTGGTGGGCACCTGTAGTCCCAGCTACTCGGGAGGCTGAGGCAGGAGAATGGTGTGAGCCGGGGAGGCGGAGCTTGCAGTGAACCGAGATCGCGACACTGCACTCCTGCCTGGGTGACAGAGCAAGACTCCATCTCAAAAAAAAAAAAAAAAAAAAAAAAAACCTCCCAGTTGCTCACTTTCAGCTTTCTTATTTAACGACTATATACTAAATATCCAAAAAAAGGTAGCTGTTTATATGAACATATTTTCAAAATTTAGCAACTTTGTTAATTATAACCATTTAACGTTGGTGTACCGAGAATACATTTTGTACGTATGACTTTCGGTCAAAATTTAGAGTACACAACCTGTATCCCAACAGTTGCATCTTTATGTTAATAATCATTTACTGAGAGGGCTGCATCTTTATATTAATGACCATTTACTGAGTGTTTAGCAAGTGCTAAACTCTTTGAATTGTTATATATCTTTAAGTCTTTAAAATAACCCTATGATTGCAGTCCCAGCTTCTCGGGAAGCTGAGATGAGGATTGCTGGAGTGCAAGAATTTGAGACCAGCCTAGGCAATATAGCAAGACTCTGTCTCAAAAAAAAAAAAAAAAAAACCCTGAGGTAGGAATTTCTTATATGCAAATGCAATTGATTAAGTCATATATATTTTCAGCCTAGGCTGAGAGCTGTATTCTACTACTTTGGAGATTACATAGTTTCATTTGTTTTGTAAAATAAAAAGTAAACAAGCCAACAACCAACTCTTACCAAGGCCACAGCTACATTAGCTCTAATCCTAAATCTCCCACACTGACATTTACATTTCTATCTGCCATGAACCATGAAACTAAACTTTATTGGGCACCTTCTATATGCCAGAGACTGTTAGATGCAATGCAACTTCATGTAACCCTCGCTACTGCCCTAGATGTGTATTATTAGCCCCATTTTATAGATTAGAGAAGCAAGAGAGGGTAAGTAACCTACACTAGGCCAATCAGAGCACAGATAGCAGTTAAGGGCTCTGATGCAGCAGCTAGTGTTCCCTAGAGCACACCACATGGTCCCTATAGCACAGACACAGCCAGTATTCATAGGACCAGAAGCCATCAAGATGAAGTAAATGTATAGTCAATATAGTATATCCAAGAAGAATAGGATATGAATATAACTTTTTTTTTTTTTGAGACAGAGTCTTGCTCTGTCACCTAGGCTGGAGTGCAGTGGCAAGATCTTGGGCTCATTGCAACCTCCGCCTTCTAGGCTCAATCAATCCTCCCACCTCAGCCTCCTGAGAAGCTGGGACCACAGATGCACACCACCACGCTTGGCTATTTTTTTTTCTTTTGTATTTGTAGTAGACAGAGGGTCTCGCCATGTTGCCCAGGCTCGTCTTGAACTCCAGAGCTGAAGCAATCTGCTGGCCTCGGCCTCCTAAAGTGCTGAGATTATAGGTATCAGCCACCGTGCATGGCCATGAATAGAACATTTAAGAAAGAATTGAGAATAGTTTCAAAAGGAAAAATTAAAATAAATATCAGCTTTATACTACATTAATATTTGTTTTTATGTAAATTACTCAATGAAGTCCAAGAGTGGTTTTTAATGCTAAAATCATAGTGAGCTTCACCATCCTGGCTAACAAGGTGAAACCCCGTCTCTACTAAAAATACAAAAAATTAGCCGGGCGTAGTGGCGGGCGCCTGTAGTCCCAGCTACTCGGGAGGCTGAGGCAGGAGAATGGCGTGAACCCGGGAAGCGGAGCTTGCAGTGAGCCGAGATTGCGCCACTGCAGTCCGCAGTCCGGCCTGGGCGACAGAGCGAGACTCCGTCTCAAAAAAAAAAAAAAAAAAAAAAAAAAAAAAAATCATAGTGAGCTTCAAAAGATATTGTAATTTTTATTTTACATTCCACTGGAATCCTAGCTATAAAAAATCACGCCTCATGAAAACAGACTTGGAATATTTCAAATTTATAGACATTTTCTTAAAGTAAGAATATTTTAACAATATTCAATAATCATTTGTATTATGAGGATAAAATTAAAAACAGAAGAAAATATTAGAATGTATCAGGAAGGTGTATAAAAAAAATACTAAAATGTTATTTTATTTTCCTAGGATCATAGTGGCTCAGCATACCTACATGGGTTGAATATCCTTTATCAAGAAAATGTTTGGGACCAGAAGGGTTTCAGGTTTTGGATTTTTTTTTGGATTTTGGAATATGTTCCATTATATTTAGTTGGCCATCACTAATCTGAAAATCTGAAATCAGAAATGCTCCTCCTTTGAGCTGTCAGTACTCAAAAAGTTTAACATTTTGGAAGATTTCAGATTTCTGGATTAAGAATGCTCAATGCATATTGTCCATCCAGGGAAATAAGAGCTGTCTCATAGAAAGAGGATAGCAAAGAGAAGAACCACAAACAGTTCTTGACTTTTATTCCTTTAATACTGAATTCCAAACAAACTAACTGGTTCAGAAGGTTTTTAAATATCAACAAATATACTTAGACAGAAAATATTTCTTAGCATTCTTTTCTTTAAAAGTACTAAAAATTAAGGGTACTACAAGGAAAAATTCTCTTATAAAAGCATCTATATGTATGCTAAATTTAGGTGACTCATCACATTCCTTCAATAATATCATTGAAAAATAAAGGTGGGGAGCAGCTAATTTTTACTTCCTCAAGACTGAATACTTCCTGTTAAAGTCTTTGAACTTCCTAACCTAGCAGACAGAGAGAGGTCTGAGGTCTGCATTTTCCATTCCAAGAGTGGCAGTTACACTGTAAGACCTGTCAAGGAGCATAAGATTACTAGCTACAACATTCAGAAACAAATTTGTATCCTTAAGGATTGCAGTTACAACAGAGTGCTAATCCCATTACCCAAGGAAAGGTTTGCAGCTGACTCTCTAAATGGATTTTAAGAGGTAGGGGATCTCTGGTGCATCTCAAATACGTCCTCTAGATAGGGCACCAGCAGCTCTTAGTGCCCTCGAATGTTTTTTCCTCTCAAAATTTAAAAAAATCTACCGTATGTCTACAAAGTCATACAAGCTCCTCGGTTGTTTTATACCAAATCCACCAACAAAACAAATTATATTTAAATTGTTATTAGCGATAGCAAATTATAAACAATGAAAGGACCCTGGATATCCATTTCTACTCAAGTCCCTTGAATCATAAAGCTCAAAAATTACATACAGAGCAGAAACTATCTGTTTAGGGAGAAAATGTCTCATTCCACATAAATACATAGATTAAAAGTTATTTGTAAGAAAGTATATGGAGTAACAAATTTTCAAGTAAAAATAAATACGGAAGTAAGTTTTTAAGTAAGTTAAAAAAATAAAATTTTATTATAACATTTTAAATCTCTAGATGACATTAAGTACATTTTTAGAGATTTAGTAAAAATAGCAAGTAATAGTAACTAAGATTTGAGCTCATACTTTGTTAACAATCAGTTTGCAAACACTGTATTCTTATTATCCTCATTTTAAAGTTGTGAAAAACAAGGCTTTATTTTGTTAAGTAATTTATCCAAAGCCGGGAAATTGTAGAGTTAGAAATAAAACCCAGGTTTTACACAGCACAAGTCAGTTTCATGAACAATCTCATTTATTTCTCATAATACTCTAACTCTAGAAAGCAGTATTATTTTCTTTTTCTTTTTTAGAGATGGGGTATTGATCTGTTGCCCAGGCTGGAGTGCAGTGGTACAATCATAGCTCACTTGTAGCCTTTAACTTCCGGGCTCAAGCAATCCTTCTGTCTCAGCCTCCCAAGTAGCTAGACTAGAGGCACATGCCACCAAACCTGGCTGTTTTTCATTTTTGTACGGATAGAATCTCACTATGTTGTACAGGATTGAAGTAGTATTTTCATTACTCTTATTCTCTGTATTGAAACTGAGGATCAAAGAGGTTCCATGACTTGGCCAAGTTCACACAACCCATACTCCTGGAGCTTGAACTCCAGGCCCGTTTCTCATGACTCTATATTAAATGTTCTTCCCAGCATCGCATGTTGACATTAAAATCTGGCATTTGATATTTGATCTTATACATACGCACACAGTAAGCAACCGGGTTCCCTCTAAGATTATCTTTGATTCTTTTCTGAGTTTATTCTCCTGGGCTATTAAGAATATATTTGATTTGGACAATATTTAATTTCTCACCCAAAGATAAATTTTTTAGTTTTAGATTGAAAGCCAGCGATGTTGAAGTAAAGGTATTACAGAATCTAAAACCACCTGGATGGATCTAGAGAGATCCATTATCCAAGTTTTCTTTGAAGCTCTGAAAGAAAATGTTTGATTTTTAAAATAAAAATATTAGCCATTTAATTTGTATATTTGAAAATGACTTAAATTAGATTGTTTCTTTTTCTGTTAAGTTACAAAAGAGGCTGAAATGTTACAGGTCAGGAGCCTACAAAGGTACCATAACATTAGTGCTCAGGTAAGAAAGGTGCTTTCGCATTAGCTATTCAGTTTCTTGGATCTTAGGAAGCCAGCACAAGTCTGTCATCAATGTCTGTGTCAGTGGTGGGTTATTTCCCACTTCCTGACCATTTCAAAATCTTGCAGGGTCTCTAAAGCCTAATTTAGGAACTACATATAGGTTTTTAGATCTGGCAATAATATGCTAACTATGTGGTTTATAATATATAAAATTTTATTTAGAGTGAGTCCTTATTTTAGAAAATTTGCATTTCCAGAGCTTGTGAATTTTTTAAGTGATTTGTTTCTACGTCCATAAAACTAATTAGGAAACACTGTCACCTGTATTTGATATTGCTTTGAAATCTCATTTTTCTCACTAAAAGCAACATTTAGCATGTATTGAGCAGGCAGCATAAAAACTTTCACAAATAGAGTGGTTATAGCAAAACAGAGTAATGTGAGTAACAGGAAAAGTAACCAGATGCAGCTATCACAGTTATACATGGTACCAATTAATTATACTCAGCTTTTTAATCACTATCAAATATAGTGTAAGTGTTGGGAAAATATTTAAAGACAAAAACTTGGAGATTCTGTATTTGGTATAAGGAAGTTTAAATACAAAATGACTATCCCAGTGACTATCACATATTACACCTTCCATTTGTACATAGAATGACTAAGATAAAACAATGTAGCTATAAAGTTTTGGCTGATTTCATAAAATTGTATTCTTCATAGGTTTATTGAAATGTGATATGAATAAATACTACAGATTTAGAAATGTTCGCAGAACCCTCCTCGCCACGGAATTTGGTTCCGTATACTATGCTCATGAACACTTGCCTCATATTTTCTTAAATATTTATGAATAACATAGTCTCGAACTCAACAGCCTTTTTCTTGCAATAGCTCTTCTTCCAGATGCAGCATTAAGTATGGTCTTGAATTAAGGATCAATAGCATCTTTAATGCTGCTTCCCTAAACCATCCGCTAGTTTTGTAGGGCTTCAATAAACCAAATGTCATCTTACATGTTTCCATTTCTGGTGCTCTTTAAAACAACAATAAATAAGCTGAATTAATGTTTAATAAACATACAAAGAAAAGATTACATAATGAAACTTTGAGTATTTTTCTCCTAAACGAAGAAGGGGGCAGAACTAGTATCTTTTTCATGGTCAGGGTCTATTTGAGATACAGTTAGTTCCCTTTCTGTGACCTGCATATAACAAGTTCAGACTCTGCTCTATGAAGTGAACATGAGAACAGGACTATTAAAAGTTCACTTATGAGCATAGATTACAAGTGTTTACAGTACATAAACTCAGGACTACTGGACTTTAGAGCTTAATTCTGGGTCATATTTCAGTTTCTTTCTTAATGCTCACTCTTAGAAGAAAATGCCCATGGAATAAAAGAAGGTCCATAACTCTCATTCTTAGTTAAGTAGGTTCTAAGATTACTTGGTTTTAATTGCTCACTCTGATTATAGTTTGACATCTGTTCCAGCGCTCCTTTCAGGAATCAAGTCACAGATGTAGGAAAGTCTGAATCACCCAGTTATTCAGTCTTTCATGTCTAATTATTTCCCACACCAAAGTTATATGTGATGGTCACATATTTGAAATACTTTAAGGAGAAAAAACTTTTAGGCTTTGATTTTTTTTTTAAAGTAGGGGTTTACCATTAATTTTTACTTATTTTTTTAAAAGTTCTTCCCTGAAATTTAGCAAGATTTTTATAGCAACTTATGACTCTATTTCAACTCAGTGTTGCTAAGTAAACATTGTGATTTTACTCTATTCTGTAACAACTTTTGACAGTATTCAAACTCTCAGCTTTGGTGACAAAATATACAAACATCAGGAACCTAATTCTGAAGTGTTAGCTAAAGCCTGAGACTAAGACAAGGGGATTCAGGCTCCCTCAGTCCAATGCACTTTCTGCTATCATGGTTGAAGGTCAGAGATTCACTTTTCCACATCCCACTCAATACCTAGCTCAGCTTCTCAGAAATCTTTTTCAACTGGGGGAAAAAAACGAAATAAAACTTATTTTCCACTAAAGGAGTGCTTGTCCTTACTTTGTTTCTTGGTTGCACATCAGTCCTTTAGACTGGCCATAGAGGGTGGGGGAGGGCCATGGACTGGGATGAGTGGGGAGGAATCCAGGTGGGCACATGTGTAGCAGGAGTCTGTGTATGGGTCAAGGTGAGTGTGTGCCAGGGCAGGTGACTCTGCTCTACAAAGTTGGCTTCCTCACCCAGGATCTCCAATGGTAATTTCCCTTCTCACTGCTCTTTCCTGCATTTGGTTTAATTGCTCTTTCTAAGGGTATCTTCTCAGTCTTCCCTGCTGCCCCTTCCTTGGGTTTAATCCTGGGGAGGCATTAACTCTTCACACTTAGGGCAGTTCTGGGAACTGGGTCTGTTTTAATAACACCAGAGTATAGCAGGTCCTCAAATAATGTTTCCTTCAACTTCATTTCATTATAAGGTTGATGAGGAGAAAAAAAAAATCGATTCCTGGCTAGGGCACTGTCTGTGTCTAGGGCACTCCTCATGTCTATGTGAGTTTTCTTGGGTACTCTGGTTTCCTCTCACATTCCAAAGCTGTGCATGTTAGGTAAACTGGTTTGGCTAAATGGTCCCGCTTGGAATTAGCATGAGTGAATGCGTGTATGTGCTCGTCGGTGGGATGGCATTCTGTCCAGGGTGGGTTCCTGCCTTGCACCCTGAGCTGCCAGGATAGGCTTTGGCCACCTGTGACTCTAAATTAGAATAGGCAGGTTGGAAAATAAATAGATGAATGAGCAAATGAATACAAATTATTGTCAAATAAAAATGTGTAAAGTAGATGATAATCATACAAATGTACAACAATAAATGATGCAAAATGAAAGTGCTCAGGGGGCCGGCCATAATCGTTATTATTTGGTTTTTATCTGCATGTTGGTAGGAGCTGTGCCTGACAATTTTCTCTTTGAAGACCTTTATCTCTGGATTTAACCCATCACCACTACAACTACCATCACTGATTGAATCCCCCAAATTGGGTAAATAATTATCTTACTTGCTTTTATTAGTCTTTCTTAAATGTATGTATAACTCACACTTATTTCAATGTTTAATGTGAGAAGCAATTTAGGTTTTTATTTAGAAGTTTGATATTGTTTTTGTGACCAGAAATATGCAGCAGAAACTTAAATTTGCTTATGGTAAAATTGCTTTCATTATATATTATTTCACTTAAAGTCACAGTTTTTCCAAGAACCTATGGGGATCTACTGTGCGGTAATCTGGAGCCAGTCTGTCCAAGTAATCCCAATCTCTCTACTGGATTAACTGGGTCATTTTAGGCAGTTTCTTCATTTGCAAAATAAGGTAATTATAACAGTACTTTCTTCATAGGTTTGCTGTGAGAGTAAAATGAAAAGGTGCTTAGAAAAGTGTCTGACACACAGTAGGTACTCAATAAATGTTGGTTATTAACCAAACGACATTTAATAAAGTTCTCTGGAGATCCATATTATATGTATAATCATAATAAGGGGTATTTGTACAAGTGGGTATTTGTAAATGTAAACTATATAGAAAATGTCAACACAAAATAAAACTGGCCCAGAAAGAAATAGTTTGGGAAGGAAGACAGCGCCAGTTAGAGGAAGAGGACTTGAGTGAGTGAGTCTGTGTTCAGGTGTTCTTAGACATACCTCTGAAGTGGGGAACGTTCTCCTTTCTCTGAACTTCCACTTTCTTTATAACACTTATTCCAATCCTTCATATCAAAATTATCCTCATTCTTTCCCTCATGAGCATGTAAGCTCCTCAGGATAAATGGTTTTTACATAAGCTAAAACTTCTCTTAAAGAAGGTTAAAACTCTTCTTTCTCCCTTCCCATCTCCAATCCTTACCTTGAAAAATTCCAAGCTTGAATAGAGGTGATGATATAGTCAAACAAAATGAAAATCTAATTCAGAGTTTATCTTTAAAGGTACAGAAGATGAAAAATTTCTATATATTCATACTATGTTCCTTCTTTTCTGTTGGTTCACCTCCAAAACTCATCTTCTCACTCCAACTGTGAAGTGATTAGCTTTACCAATCTAATCCTCAAATTCTTGCCAAAATCCAAGTCACTCTTGCCCTTTCTTGTAAGTGGGTTTCCACAGGAACCAAAGCAATGAGTGTATTCCAGGGTTCTTCAGAATGTTTTTAAATTTAATTCCTTTATTCTTTGTTCTAACATTCTGTAGAATAAACTTTAATTCATTCCGTTTTTCCCATAAGTACTACATAGCATGTTTTCATCTTGTCAATTATAATTACTTATCCATGTGGACAGGGAAGGTAGAATTCCAACCAATTTTTCATTATTATTTCATTATATACAGAATTTATGTTGTTATGCATAATACATGTGTATTCCTCACTAATCTAGATTATACGTTTGTGTAAGTACCATATATTGCAAAATGTTTCTAGGACAATGAAATAGTTATCTTTTTTTCTTCTTAAAAATACCATTTTTCCTATGCTTCCAATATCTTAAATGTATCTTTTTCTACATAATTATCAACCCACATTCACTTATCTGCATTAAAATTGGGTGAGCATAAATTTCTTTCCATTTCTTACCATGATATCCAAGAAGTACCATTTATCATAATCTAACAGTTATAAAAATTTTAAAATGAGCATATTCTTTTGAAACTATTTTAATGTTAGGCTTAAGAGAGAATATATTGAAGTAGTTCCATTTGTGAGTAGCTCTTGCATGAATGGTTCAACACACAGGACCCTGATTTGAAATCATCTCTAACAACACACAGGACCCTGATTTGAAATCATCTCTAACAATCTCACTAAAAACAAAATGCCCCATCAGCTCAATTTATTTAGAAACTTTAACTTTTCCAAGATGTGGTGATTTTATGCTATGTTCTAAATATTTTAATTGGAGAAAAGGAGTCATGAATTTTTTAAAAACACAATTATTAATAAATATTTCATTAAATTGCAAACCAACAGTGATAAAAATATATGTATTTTTTGCATAAATTATTTGATGCCTTCAGCTAAAGGAACATACTCTACTTAAAGTATCATGCGATGATGGGGAAATTCTACTGCGACCACCCTCTCTAGGCAGACTGAAGGCAGATGGCGCTGATGTGTTCAGCAGAGAGGAGTGTTGATCACAGAGTGTCTGCCAATCAAACACTTGGGAAAGAAATGAGCTCCATCTGTGTTTTAATTATGATAGCATAACCATCCAGGGTAACTGCCAGAACTGCACATTTTCAGAGTACGAGACATACCATGTACTTTCTTTCGTAAATGAAAGGAGAAATCCCTATATATAGTACTGGCCAAAAAACAAAAATATGAGCACTGTTGATTAAGAACAAAATCTGTGGTAGAATGACTCTCCTCTCAAAAATATTTCTATTTTATTGCAGTGCAATGGTTTACATTGTTTCTTTTAAGGCAATGCTAATGTCTGTGAAAGAATTAAAGTGAAGAGGCAATACCTGAAAAAATAAAATATTATACACAAATATTTTGGATATCTAAGAGTCACCCTACTAAAATTCAATAAGGTGAGAAAATTTACAAATTTATAAACATATATAAATATATAAATACAAATTTATACTATTATATGTATATTTGTGAATATATTCATATTATCACACCAGCACTTTCAAAACTTTTCTAGCAAGTGACACCCTGCTCATTTTCACCAAAACGATGGTAGGTTGTTTCATTGTTGTTGTTCTATTTTGTTTTTCTGTTTGCTATTATTTTCATAAATGAATGTATTCTGGAACTCACCATATTTCACACATATTTCATCACTTGAACAGAAAATGTGCAAGTACAATTATAATGTAAGGTTTGCACTTCCACTTTGGAGGGTTTCAGGATCTGTTTGACTGCAAAGTGCAAGCAAGCAGCAAAGAATATAGGAGAGATTAAAGAGAAACAGCTCTCGTCTGTCTTTCTGTTTTGTATCCTCCCAGCTCAGTTATTCTCTTTCGCCCTCTCACTACCATCAAATATTTTGGCATCAAGAATTAAAGAGTAAATTCGGAGATTCATATCAATCTCAACAGTTCGTTATGTTTTTAAGTTTGAGAAGAGGTGTGTGTGCACAAATATGATGAAAAGATTTCCAAACTCTAAATGTGCATTCATAACAAAAGAAATTGATTCATTCAAGAAGCATTTATCAAGTGCTTATTACATATTGAGATTTGGAACATAAAAGTAAATAAAGATGACACCTGCTCTGAAGGATCTGAGTCTAGCAAATAACTGAACATAAAAAAAGGCCACACATATAACAAGACCTTGCATGACTGGTGGCACAAAGGAGGGAAGAACTCATCTTGCTGGGACTTGGGGAGACTTTCAGAGGGATAAGTAGGCTTTCTCTGGAACAAATGAGGCAGAGGGAAGGGCATACTGGACAAAGGACATCCTGAGCAAAGACACATGACAGTTCATAATGCTTCCTCATGCCTACTTATTTCTTGGGAATGGTGATCTACAGTGTCATATGCCACCAAGACGTCACTGGGACAAGGTCTGTAAAGGGCAGAATAGGTTTAACCATTTGACAGTTACATAACTGGTATGCTACATTTTCCTTTTTTTTTTTCAACTGTTAATTTTTATAAGACTAGAGGCCACATCTCACAATTGTTTTTGAAAGGAACTGTGTGTTCTCTATGTAACAGGTTATTTACTACGCTAACTTACTAAATTTGGAGTAGAACATAATCCATTATACTCTTTGTTATGTTGCTACATTGAATAAAGTGAATAAAGCAAAGCCTCCTGCCCTTCTGCAACTTATGTTCTGGTGGGGAAAAGCAGAAAAATAAATGTAATTAATAAGAAAACAATATGTTATGTTAAATTTGACAAGTGCTAAGATTTTGTTTTAAAAAGCAAGAAAAAGAGTTAGGGGTTATTGGGAGCAGTTGGGCAGGGTAAGGTCATAATTTTAAATAGGTCTTTTTTTTTTTTTTTTTTTTTTTGAGAAAAAAAAAGTTTAAGTAGGTTTTCGGTAAAGGTTTTACAAAGAAAAGACCTGAAAGAGGTGACTGCACAGGCCCTGCAGACACCTGGAGGAACAGCACTCCAGGAAGGGGGAGGAGCAATTAAAAAGGCCCAACATGGAAATATGTTTGGCTTGTGATAGGGAGAAATAAAGTCAAAAGGTAGACAGGGACCAGCTTTCTAAGACATGGCTTCTGAGGACTTGGTTTACTAAAAAATAAGATGAGAAGCCTCTGGAGTGTTTTGAGGAGAGGAGAGACATGATCTGATAACATGTTTTGGAAGAATTACTGTGGCCACTCTATTGACATTAGACCGCAGGAGTCAGGAGACAAGTTAAAATGCTGTTACACAAATCTAAGCAAGAATTAATGATAGTGCCATCCAATAAAAATATAATGTGAACCATACATTTAATTTTTAATTTTCTGATAGTAATTTTGCTTTTTTCAGAAGCAAAAAGGCAAAAATGAAATCACTTTAAAAATATATCACATTTAACCTAATATAACCAAAATATTATTTCACTAAGTAATTAATATAAAAATTATTAATGAAATATTGTACCATCTTTTTTTCAAATTACATCTTTGAAATCTGGTGTGCATTCACATTTTGAGCATATTTTAATTGGGACTAGCCATATTTAATTACTTAACAGCCACATGTAGCAAGTGGCTACCATATTGAGATAGTACAAAACTAGAGTGATGAAGTATTTCTTTTTAAATTTTAATTATAATAGTAAGTCAAGGGTAGCAACCTAATGTTCAACTACAAGGGATTAGTTAATAAATTGTGGTACAACTAAGTAACTACTAACAGCTAGGTTTCAAATAATATTTAAGAGTATATAAAACATGTTCACAGTAAATGAGGGAAAAAGAGGAAGAAAACAGCATACACAATATGATCTCATGAGTGAGAGTGAGAAATAAACATGCATCCCCATAGGAGCCTGGACAAATACATACCAACATGTTAATATTGATGATTTCTGGGATAACTGAGATAGGAAATAGAAGAGCAAGTTTGGTAGAGGGAAATGACCAGGAGTTTGGGACATATTATTTGTAGGATGCTTATTAGATACCCCAAGCAGAAATATATTGTCTAGAGCTCATGAGAGAGGTTCAAATCAGCAATATGAATTTAAAAACTGTCAGCATATGGATGGAATTTAAAGCCATGAGACTTAATAAGAGAATAAGATCATGAAGAGAGTGAGTTTTAATAGAGAAGAAAGTAGGACTGAACTTTAGGATACTCCAACTTTTAGAGTCAGGAAGATCATGAGCAAATGAGACTGGAAAGAACAGTGAGTTAGGGTGAAGGAAAACCAGATGAATGTGGCACTTTTTGGAGTACAGAAAAACTACGTGTCCCAAATGATGCTGAAAAGTCAAGTCAGCGGAGGACAGAGCACTGACCACTCTCTTGACCTGAAGCCACCCGTGATCCTGATGTGAGTGGCTTTGAAGGAGAGGAGGGTTCTCAAAAGTGGGTTCAAGAGTTACCAAGAGAAAAAGAAATGGAAACAACATGCCCAGACTGTACTTGAGCAGTTTTGCTACTAAGGGGAGAAAAGAAATAGGGGCATTTGTACCAGTGTGGCATCACAGTCCTGTGTTCTCATCTTCTCTCTCCTCCTATAATGTAAGTTCCTTGAGGCAGAGAATGCCTTAATTCTCTGAGCCCAATGCTGCTTTTGTGGCAAAGAATTAAAATGTGTGTCCAGTGGTAAAATAGTAATTTTACACAGGCTGGCAGATGACTTAAACTATTGGATTAACATGAGAGTTAAACTCATGATTCAGATCATCAATAACATAAAACCTCAACTCGGAGTAAACACTTCTGAAAAATAACTGCAATCCAATAATTACTGGCTGTCAGGAGGCATAAGTATAAATTTCTGGATGACTCACTGAAACCTTTCAACAAGAATGATCTTTTTCTTTTTTCCAGATCCCAAGTTTAAAAACCGCTAAACCCAACATTTCTTTGACATTATTGAAAAGATGAAAAAATCTCAAATACTGAAACTTTAAACTAGATAACCAGTGCAAAATCTGCTATGATACAAAAATATATAGGCTGCAAACCAAATTTATAAAGGAGATTGTTATAATGAAAACTACAGTGACTAGAAAAATCAGTTACTCTTCCAACTTTCAACACTTAGTACTAAGTTTGGACAAATGCCAACTTATTGTTTCTGCACCACCAGTCTTTCAACAACAGTTCAACCTAATCAGAAAATCTTCATGGAGCTAACATGTTAGGAGATAACTCTAGATAACAATCAAGTCAGATATACGCTGATTTTTGGCATAAGAACAACTTCCTCTTTAGGTTTCATTTAGGAAGCACAAGTTTTTTCTGAATAGGGACTTCATTTTAAAAGTTAAGCAAGAGAGAGGGAGAAATGGGGGCCAGAGGATGGGCAGGATACTGGAATAGCTACAGTGATATCAAAGAAATGTAAGTAAGGTTTGGGGGTGTTTAAACTTGGATTCTAGCTAGCTGAAAAGGATAAACTAGTAATTTAATGCAGAAGGTTCAATGTGTAAATATAGTAATCTATTTTATTCACCATAAAATGCCTGATAAAACACTCAAAAACATTTTGCTGCTGCTGCTTCTTTACCTCCTCCTATTGCCCTAACACGATTCCAAAATCCCAACACAATCTCGGTGCTCTGTTTCAGTTCCCTTTCTCCTGGTTTCTATCTTTACTTTCTTCGCTCTATAACCAACAACATCCTTTCCTTCTGCCCACTATCTCCTTTATTTTACCTAACTTGTCCCCATCAGAAGGAAATACTGTTAACTGTAGAGGCAAGGATCTGCAGTGGGGAAATGACGGGGAGACCCCAGTGTGTAGCATAGTGTTTTACATTCAGTGGGGGTGCAATAAATAGGAGTTGGTTGCTTAAAATACAAGTTATAGGGAGACTAAAGGAAGATAGAGGAATAAAAGTAAAGAGAAGGACTAGGTTTAGAACAGCTCATTGTAAAGTAACTGTGTGTATGGGGGGTGCGTGTGTGTGCATGTGTGCTGCACACATGGATTTGTATAAGAAAGAGGGGAAAACTCTATCACAGAAAGAACACAAAAGAAAGATATGTGAGTTTTACAGTCAGGCAAGTGTGATGGGGGTTGGGAAAGCATAGGGCAGAGATACAAAGCTTAATGGAATAACTGCAGATCTGCCATCAAGTAAATACATCAATTTAGAATTTTAAGAAAAATATACTCTTTCACTGAATGCAAATAAAATGAATTTATGAAATCCCAACTGCAATTTGCTGCTTGGCAAAAATTACCATGAAAATAAAACAATAATAGCTTTTAAGTAATAAGAAAGTTATCCTCTATATACATATCAATATATGTATATATCAATATATATGTATATATCAATATATGTATATATCTATATATATGTATATATCAATATATATGTATATATAGAGAGAGGGAGAGAGAGAGAGAGAGACGCTTTTGGCTTAAACTACTTGAGATCTGAGGTCACACTGTCCCTTGATTAATTCTGCATTGTACTTAGTGCACCATCACCCACGTGAGGGCATTCAATAGTAATTGCTTGGATTGTATTCTGATTGAAGAAGACAGAACTGACTTTTGGCAATAAGGTAAACAATGCCACCTGACTCTTGTACTCTAATAACACCATTAGTAAATCATATTCCTCTGTCATTTTCTCTACTGAGACTCTTGGGAAGTTTTGAGCTTAAATTGCAGCATAAATTTCTTATTGGAAGGTTTGAATTTACTAAAATCTTTGCGTTAGTGAGCTCATTCCCTTGCTTATAAATACTAAAGGGGACCTGATGGTCTCCAGTTGCCATCCCCTCATGCACCCTTGGCATAAAGAAAAAGCACACGGGAACAGTTCTATTTCCCAGCATTGCTGGGGCTACATCCAGAAACCAGTCTCCTGCCCCTACCACAGACTCCTTAGTTTTTGTAAAATCATCTATGACAAACAGTAAGCAACAGGTATGGGGCACAGTCTTCTCTAAGCTTTTCAATCTGGCTAGTCCCCAGTGCACTGGTCATAGCAAACCCCCCACAAAAGATGGCTACCATCTGTTCCTATGGCTTCATGCCCTTTAAGGTATTGCTGCTTAACCTTTCTTCTCCCTATTTGCCCCAGGTCACAAGATTTTGCCTGCAGAAAGAGTACCCTTTATTTCCATTAATCCTCACTCCAAAGTAGACTGTTTTAGAGGAGTTAATGGAAAAATTGTTCCAGTTATAGAATTTCATTTCCATAGCAGACATTGGCAGAAATGGGGCATTCCACAAATTAAAGTAAAACAACTTTCTTCATAAACAGTTTCAATAATTGCATGTCTTTCTGCAAGTTTCGCCCTCATTTAAAGATGGAAGTAAAATTAAAGCAACAATAAATTAAAGAAAAACAACTGAATCAGTGAGATTAAGTGAGAAAGATCAGTGAGAAAAATGAGGAGAGCTTGCAATGGTTCTCTGATCTGCAATGTCTTTGGAGTAGTTACGACGTAGGATAACTTCCTAGTTCCATTGCTCACTTGCTGCATGACTTTACTGCCATCATTGGGAAAAATTCCCCCTGGAAATAAAACTCTGTACTGGTTTTCAATATAGTTGGTGAGAAATCAAGATCTTTGAAGTTTCTGATTTTGAAGTCTGCTTCTATTTTATCCACGCCCACTGACCAAGAAAGATTCAAAATCTCAAAACTCTCATCTCCATTAGTTCCTTTATCTCTGATTTCTCTCAAAGGTAAACTTTAAAGATAATTTTTAACAAAGTAAAGGGATTAGTAAAGCAACTGAGTCAGTTCAAAATGTTTTAAAGATTAAACAATCTCTTCTATCACAAAGAAGGCAACAGCTCTGTGAGGTTTTTTTTTTTCAAATAAGCAAAATAGATTTCATCTCTTCTCTAATTTACTGTAGTAGGATAAAATACATATTAAATTGAATATTCTGTATACTTTTTAAAAATATTCAAATGTTTAAAGGTATTTGGGTTTTGTTTTTATTTACGTGAGCACTTGCATTAGTATATACTATTGATAGATAAAAGAAACTAAACATTGAAATGAGCTTACTATGTACATAAAGAAATAACTAAATGTATATTTTATTTATGGAGGTATTTTTGATAGATTGCTATTTCATTATTTATTAAATAAAAGAGCCAGCTGATTTTCATGTTTAACTTCATTGTTAAATAATATCTCTCCTTTAATGATGGTATTTTGATTGACAAATCAATCTCATAATGACATAAAATCAGATTTTTTAAACATAGAATCCTAAGGTTGCTGTACACTGTGGTATGAAAAAGAATCAGTGTAAAAATAATTACTTCCTGCAAAGAAATGTAATTTTCACAAGCCATTGTCTAAGCAAGGGTCCTAAGGTACTATTTAGTTTTTCTCCAGGAAATGATTCCAAAAATAAAAAAAGAATATGTGTAGGAAAACAGTTGGTTTTCTTTCCATCTCCTTTTTTTCAGAGAACCACAGCAAAATGTAAATCTAGGCTTTCTGTCCAAAACTAACATACTACAGTAGTCTCTCTTCTGCATCTTTACCACTTGTATTTAGCAGAAGTTAAAATACAGCTACTAGATATAAATTATCTTACGCTTTGTGTGGATGGACCCATGTGCTATCATTTGGCTTAAATGTATGATTAACACAGGATGTGAACAATAAAAGAAACTATTTTTGCAGCTGTTGCCCTCATGTTTAAAGTTATTGATTAATGTATATATTGTACCTTTCCTAGGAAACTGTATAGGGCATAACTGTCAGATTCATCTGCTAGGTTTTGTGACTCATATGGCTTAATGCCAGATCCATAAACGACAGTGTTATTCAAAACTCAGGGTTACTAGATTTCACATTTGGCTCTCTAGTGGCCCAGGTATTACCCTTCTGTTTCTAAAGAAACCCCAGCTGATTCACATAGGAGTTAACTAATGGAAATTTTGCAGTCCCAAATCAGTTTTGTTTAATTAACTTCATCTGATGTGAGCCTCTCAATAAAAATATTAAACTAAGAATAGTGTCACTTTACGAGACTCCCATCTGTACCTAAGAGTTTTGAACATTTGAGTTGGTGAAACATTTCTTTCTAATCTGAATTTCCCACATTAATTATTTTGAGGCATTTTAATATCCTTGGGGATGATTACATCCAATGAATTAGGTCAAAGTTTCATAGTCTCTATTGGCAATCACTAGTTTAATTTATGATTTTCAGCAAAAATATCAGATGTGTGAATTTAATGTAGATTAAATCAGCCATGCATTTTGTTATCCTTCAATGGCGGGTAGAATAATGGCCCCCAAAGATATCCATGTCTTAATTCCTGGAGCCTGTGAATATGTTAACTTACATGGCCGAAAGGACTTTGCAGATGTGATTAAGTTTAAGGGTCTTAAAACGGGGAGAGTCTCCTAGATTATCCAGGTGGGCCCAATCTAATGACATGACTCTTCTAAAGTGGATAAATTTCCTGGCTGCAGAGAACCAGAGAGATGGCAAAGTGAAGATTCAGTCTGTACTTGCAAGCTGTAAAGATGGAAGGAGGTGGCCAGGAGCCACGGAATGCAGATGGCCCTAGAAGCTGGAAAAGACAAGGAAAGGAATTCTCCCCTAGAGCCTCCTGAAAGGAGATGTAGCCCTTCTGACACCTTGATGTTTCAGTGCAGTGAGACTTGTGTCAGACTTGTAACCAAGAGAACTGTAAGATAATAAATTTGTACTTTTTAAGCCACCAAGTTGGTGGCAATTTGTTACAGCCAACAGTAGAAAACTAATAGTTATTATGCTACTTTCATCACTCTTGTAATGGGAGAAAATAAGTTTAAAGGTTGGTTAGGAAAAAGTGCTCAACTCCAACTAGAGAGTATGCTGCCATGAAAATGAAAACTGGCCTGTAGAAGGGTGGGCACCAGTTCCAATCAGCCCTCGCTCTGCCACTGAGTGAACACAGAAAACTGAGTAAAGCACTTAACCAGTCCCTCACAACCCAAGCTTCTCCTACCACTGGACAAAATGTTTATTTCCAAGTCCATGTTCCCCACAGAACTTTTTCTAATTCTTTTGGATAGTGGTTTGATTTAACTTTTTTTTTTCTTTTTTTGAGATGGAGTTTCGCTCTTGTTGCCCAGGCTGGAATGCAATGGCGCGATCTCGGCTCACCACAACCTCCGCCTCCCAGGTTCAAGCAATTCTCATGCCTCAGCCTCCTGAGTAGCTGGGATTACAGGCATGCGCCACCACGCCTGACTAATTTTGTATTTTTAGTACAGACGGGTTCTCCATGTTGGTCAGGCTGGTCTTGAACTCCCAACCTCAGGTGATCTGCCTGCCTCAGCCTCCCAAAGTGCTGGGAATACAGGCCTGAGCCACTGCACCTGGCCTTAACTTCTTATCTTTCTAGTGAGAGACAAGGTGATCCTTTTTCTGCCATATTTCATTTATCTCATGCTGGAAAAGTCTACAGACCTGACATTTCCATATTTCAGCAAAAACAAGTTTAAGTATCTGTAAAATTTAAAACATCCTTATTAGAGCATAAAAATAAAGTAAAAACTTTCCTAAACCAATTTTAAAAATCACTGCCTAAAACTACTTGGAACTACTCCCTGATTCAAGCATGAAGGAAACTGTAATCTTTATAGTACACTCTTTATAGTGCTGCTCATATCAATCAAGTCAGCAAAAGTGTATTTTCGTGGATATTTTAAGGGTTCAAAATGGCAGAAATATTTCGTAATTATTACTACAAAGAGCTAGTTATTGAAGAAATTAAATTATGTCACCCCACACATTAACATGGCAAAGAACAAAAACCTAATATAATTTAGCTTAGACTATATTATTCTTGTTTCCAACATAAGTATTAGGTGAGTGTTTTAATGAAAAGGTTTTAAACAGTATAGAAACAGTTTATATTGACTTACTTTCTTCAATATTTAACCTATTATAATCTAAATTAGGTAGTATCATAATTTTTCCTACTTCTTAGGAACTATTTTCTGATAGCAATGAACAAGTAAATTTTCAAACACAAACAGGATTAAGTATTCAAAATAGTGAAGAAATGAAGTCAAAGCATTTAGACTATTTTCAGGGCAGAAAGAAATTCAAAGACTAAGCATTACGATATTTAAGATAAGACATATCCTTCACTTAAAAGCAATTAAATTTAAATTTTTAAGCAATGTTTCACCCTCTCTCACAGTTGTACTTCTCACTGATTCTTTGTAGAAAGGCGAATCATCTCATGCAGAAATAAAGCAAGTTAGACAGAAGGGTATATTTAAAAAGGCTTCAAAAATACAAGAAACAAAATGCAAATTTTAGACATTTCTCTAGGGAGGGACAGTCTAAACCATTTACCCACCTGTCAGCAACGCCATCTGCCTACCTTCCACACAGAATAAACGTTCAACTATATAAAGAAATGGGAGCCTTCTCCAGTCCATCCACTCTACTCTTGTTCTTTTTCTCTGCAAAGCTATCTATTAATTAATTAGAAACTGCTGTTATCTACCACTTCCATTAAATTTAAGGGTTTTTTTGTTTTTTGTTTTCTTTTTTTTTTTTTTTTTTTGGTAGAGACAGGTCTTGCTTGCTTTATTGCTCAGGCTGGTCTCCTGGGCTCAAGCAATCCTCTCACCTCCGCCTCTTGAAGTGCTGGGATTAGAGGCGTGAGCCACTGTGCCTGGCCAAGTATTACATTCTTCACAGAATGTACTACTGAATCATTCCTTGGGAATCAAGAAGAAGAAATAAATGCAAGACTAACTTTATGGGCAGAACTCTCAGAATGAAGAGATTCAGAAGGAGGCTGATAGAGAGGAACCGGTCATGTGTCTCATTATTTATTGTTTATTGATAAGGCATACCGTCAGAGAAAAACTGAAACAGCACTAACTTCTCAAGGAAAATATTCACGTATCACTGTTCTGTCTGAATGTTATAAGTGGTTCTACTATATTCTTTCTGTAAAGCTGAACATAGCTGGATTATCCTTAAGAAGGATGGATACATATTCAAGGAAAACTTTCATGAAGCACTAATTGCATTCATCACAATAATAGAAGCATTATTTTTACAATCAAATTGTGTGAGATATTGAAAAGCTATAAAAGTGTGGCATAACTATGGAATGATGATTATCACTGTACTTTGAACTTCATACATCTCCCCTTCACCAACTAAATCTTTGTCCTACATATTTTAATTTCTATAACATGCAAATTCTCAGCATGGTTCTTCTTTCTAGTATCTTCCCATACCATCTTAGATATTTCAAATGTTAATATCATTTAAACTGGGTAAAACATATCAAATGCCAATACAATATACTTACACACTTTTTAAAAATTAGCCCTACTTGCCCTGTGACACTTGTCAAAATATTTTAAGGAAGTTACATATTTCGAATAGTTTGAAATAAAAAGCTATTGCTGTTTACCAGGGAGAGTAGCAGGCGTTACACTGTGCATTCAGTTTTCTTTATAAGCCTACCCCACATGTGCCTGCCCACACACACCTATGCACATACACACACACACTTTAAGTACAAACTACAAATCTGTTCTAAGTAATTGACTGGATGCTCCCATTCACTATGATTTCAGTCAGTAGTATATCTTAGAAAGCAAGAAACCTGAAACAGAATAATAGAAGCATTTAGTAATTCTTCAATATGCAAAACAAGGCACTTACCTTCCATTGCTACAGATGTCTGAAATCACACTGGAAAGCGAGCAACGAGAGAGAGGGGCTTTATTGTGGGGTGAATCATCCCCACGTAGATGATCTGAACAACCCCTGTATGCATACTGACATCATCAGGAGAGACTTGGAGGCAGAGGATACTATGGTAACCAAGCAATGTGCTGGGAGACAGAAGCCTTTAATTGCTTTAACAACTTCCTGGGGCTCCAGCTACCAGGCTTGGATTTGCTAAGTAGGAAATGAAGGTTGTCACAGAGGCAGCGGGTGTGACACAGAGCAAGAGGACTCGATGAATTCTGAATCTACTAATTGCGATGTGACTTTTTAATGACAAACATCTTTACATGATTCTATTAGCATCATTCCCCTCACATCTGAAGCTCTGACGAAGGCACAGGTCAATAAATAATGCTCCCAGGTAGCAACAGTCTAAGTATTCATATATGGCTTTCTCATTTAGCTAGCATTAACACTGTCACATTACAAACATCCTTATCCTTAACGGTGAATACTTCATTTCCTTTCAAAAGAAAGCTCACATCTATGCCTTTGGAGGTCAGCTTACTGAAAACAATGAAAACTGACTCTATTTACTTCTCCATGAGGTGGCAGCTGCCCAGTCTATTTATCTCCTAAATCCTTGCCAATACATCACTTATCCAGAAAACACCTCCAGCGAATTGCCTAATTATGACACCCAGACAAAATCAGAAGGTATCTGTTGACTACTGCCACAGTTTTCTGGTTAAGTCTCTTCCATCACAGGCAGAATTACTTCTACTTCTAACAATCCTCCAAACTACACATAATTTAAATCTCCCTTTAAACTATTTGTCCTTCTCTGCCTCTGTGACCCACATTCAGAGGAATACAGCCTCTCTTTAAAATATCCAGTTTAAAGTAATTGCTTAAAATAACAATGTTTCAACATCAAACCAAGTCTATAATGAAATACTACACTTATTTGATCAGATGCAACACTTTAATAAGTATATAATTTATCATCTGTACTAAGAAAGCTATTGTTTTCTTCTCCATGAATATTACATTGACATGTTTTTAAACAATACTGAGGTCTAATTTTGCTATTGCAAATACTGTAATTGTAAAGATAAGCAAGTAACTTACCAGATCTTAAGATATTCATATCACAATCAAAAATGAAGGTTGTCATTCCGTACTGTATATTTAGATCTCAGCTAGTTCAAAGAAACTATTATTATCTCTATTTCAATTTAGATGAAGCTAAGCCTACCTTTTAATGTTTCCCTTGTGAGTAAATAGTGCGCAAACGTATAACAATAATACTGCTTACAAAAATAGTAAAATGGATTACAATAGCACCAATTTACAATCTGGAATATGTAGAAAATTTTAACTTAATTGATAAGTTGGGCTTTTCATTCCCATATAGATTAGAAAAAATTCTGAAAGCAAAACAGTAAAGTCAGCCCTCACAAAAACATACAGTAATTCAGATTTTCTAGATTCAGGTAAAGTACAAAAGCTTTCCAACAAAATGGAATTACTCCTATTCTTTCATTTGTTCTTCTGAGATCCTGAGTTTGAGAAGCAAAAATGCAGTTTACTATAAATTAACAGTACAAAACTCTGTGTGTGTGTATGTGTGTATATATATGTATATATCACACATATATTCAAATTTTAAAATAAATACATGTATTCATCTGAATATGCACTGAAAAATGTCCAGAAGATACACACCCAGGACATTTGGCCAGAAGTGTTGCTTCTAGCAGTGTCAATTGCAGACTAGGTTTGAAGGAGAGTCTTCCAATGTTCATATTATATGCTTTTAAAAGGTCTTTAACTATGAATATGAGTTACTATTGTAATTCAAACAATGGAAATTCATCGAACTCTGTTCTGGGCTTGCAATCCTGGCTTACCTGCCCTCAGAGAAGGCCAATGACAGCTTCAGTGGTCTAGGTCCTAACAGGCTAGCCAGACTATTTTAAGGTTGTTTCAAACAACTCTTAAGAGGAGATGACCCACCTGTCTAAACAGAATTAGGGTGGAAAAAGCAAATAAAGGTTATCTAGGCAATACACACACAAAAAGGGAGCACTTGTTTCGACTTTTCCAGAGATGTAACAATCATAAAGAACAGTCCAACAGTAAAGCTGCTTTGTTAGATGTTTTTTTAAAAAGGTACCATTTCAAAAAGAGCACATCCGAAAATAAGACCAAACCAAGAGGTCTCTAACACTATGAATGGCTGAAGGAAATATGGAAGACCACCAGCAGAAACAAAAATCAAGTGTGAGTGAGAAAAATGGCCCCACATGGCCAGATTATGTGGCCTGTTAGAGAGGCTTGCATTAGAGAAAAGAGGCCTAATTTATCCAACCTCCATTCCCTAATTCCAGGCCTCATTTAGTTTTTATTTTCCTCTTAATTTGCAACACTGTCACAGTGTCTTGTACTAGTTAGTGTTCTATTTCCTTCCACGACTTCACTAAATATTTTGGTCAGCGTGATCTCACCACCTTATTAGAGATCATAAACTATTTCTTGAATTGATAACTTCCAACAAAATTACCTCTTCCTTTGATTCTCAAGGACAGCAAGAGACAGACCTTGTGAAGTACACACCCACAGAAGCATGAGGTCCAGAGGTTAGAAACGGACCTGGAGCAGGGGCAAAACCTACCCAATAGCAACACTGGCCCCATCGAGCTCTGACATGTTCTTGCTGGATAACAGTACACCTTCTTTTATTCAGAAAAAAACACTTCTTTCCCAAGAGGATCCTAAGACTTCAAAGACATCCAAACAATAGTGTAAATTCTCAAACTGAAAGAAAACAGTAGTTAGAAGGGAAGATGAGGGGCCAGGTGCAGTGGCTCATGCCTATAATCACAGCACATTGGGAGGCTGAGGCGAGCAGATCATGAGGTCAGGAGTTCAAGACCAGCCTGGCCAATATGGTGAAAGCCCATCTCTACTAAAAATACAAAAATTAGCCAGGGTGGTAGCACGTGCTTGTAGTCCCAGCTACTCAGGAGGTTGAGGCAGGAGAACTGCTTGAACCCAGGAGGCGGAGGTTGCAGTGAGCTGAGATCACACTACTGCACTCCAGCCTGGCCAACAGAGAGAGGCTCCGTCTCAAAAAAAAAAAAAAAAAAAAAAAAGGAAAATTCCCTTTCATAAGAAACAGACAAACCAGCACTATTTCCTAAAGAAATAACTCTATCAGTTTTCAAAAGTATTATAAATCTCATCTCTCTCCCAGTCAGCCACCTTAAATTGATGTTTAGAGTTGAGCAAGACCCTGAAACTAACTTCTTTCTTAAACTAAGTGAATTCATCATGGCAAGTGCCAATTCAGAAGCAAATGAGGGTTAAAGTCCCACCTGAGAGAGGAAATTTGGCCAGGATTTCTAAAGCCCTGACTGTCAGCTACAGCGGCCATTCTTCTGGTTCCTCTAAGTCACTTTTCTGAGGATAAGGCAAAACACCCCTAATCCTGATACAGCTTAGCCTCATAATCTAGGTTGAGCTTCCTCCTAGTCCAGATGAGCAACAGTCATGGTTCCTCTGATCTTGATAGAACACTTTTTCTAAATCCAGTTAAGATGTTCCAAGGACTGAAAAGTGACAGTGGGATGTGGGACTTTATTATGAGCATTTGGATTTCAATATGTTAATTAAAACTAATTCATACTGACTTAATGAAAAAGTAGTCCAAGAACTTCTAATGACAAAAGGGTTGTAACTCCCCATCACCCTTAAATCCAGTTAGCAACCAAATTTCCCTGATCCTTCTCTTCCTGTTCCATTCCCACTACTGCCCCTCTAGCTTAGGTCTTCTTTATCAGGCATCTTATAATGTTCTGGCTTCCCTGACTCCAGTGTCTCGCCCCTTTAATAATTCTATATATCACTTTGTCCTTGATGCATCTTTATAAAACACTGCCTTGACCAGGTTACCACCAAACTCCAAAACTCTAAAAGGCTCCCCCGTGAGCTGCTAAATCAAGTGCACATTTCACCGTTTCAGCGTAAGCCCATCTTTACCAGAGAGACCTCCTGATACTTTAAGCAACAACTAATTAGACAATCTGATGCACAAATATGTCCCCATACTTTCCCTCCTCCAGGCCTGTGCTCTTACTGTTTCTTCCTCCTGGAATTCCACATCTATCTCCCCATCCCCCCCTGCAACCCTCACACTTCTCCTGTTTCTCCTCCCTACCATTCCAAACCCTATCAGTTCTTCAAGACCCATCATCAGAAGTCAGCTCCCTCTCAGAATTTTCGGTGTTCTTAACCTTGAGAACTGCACTTAAAACATACTTTTGCATAGTTATTTATCAAGTTGCTTATTTTCCTACTCTCTTTAATCTTCTGAAAGGTAGACACAAAGTCAATATTCACCTCTTATTCTATACATAGCACCGTGCCTTGCATTTGGCATTCCCTCAATAAATACTTATTCAATAAATAAATACAAAATTTATTATATCCTATTTTTCTAAGGTGCTTAAAATTCAATTTTTTCAATCTTTTAAAGAACCCAGTGTGGTAGGGAAAGGTAGAAATCAAAATTTCACTTTTAGAAATGAAAAACAAAACAAAACAGAGGCTCAAAATGATTCCATGGTTCCTCCTGTGTCACATGGCTTCTAGAGTCCCTGATGCCCCAATCTGCTCCTCACCTGGACCTCTACTGCTTCTCATCACAGCCAGAGAGCAGGTGTGCTCCCATTCCCTCACAGTGAATCCACTGTTTCTAAAGAATTAAGGCTGGAATGGCCTTAATTTTTCTCCCTTACTTATGTCCTATGGCATCATTACTCACCTCATCCTAACATTCTCCAGGCAACTTACGAGGGATGGAAGAAACATCTCTTGTTACCCATTTCTCTTACCTACATCTAGCTACCATCTTATCCTACTCAAAGGAAAAAAAATACCTCGTCTGACTGCTTTGGTGATTCAAGTTGAGTGCATTACTTTTCCCTTCCTTCCTTCCTTCCTTCCTTCTTTCCTTCCTTCCTTCCTTCCTTCCTTCCTTCCTTCCTTCCTTCCTTCCTTCCTTCCTTCCTTTCTTTCTTTCTTTCTTTTTTTTTGGACACAGAATCTCTCTCTGTTGCCCAGGCTGGAGTGCAATGGCACTATTACAGCACACTGCAGTTTCAACCTCCTGGGCTCAAGCAATCCTCCCACTTTAGACTCTCGAGTAGCTGGGACTACTGGCATGCACCACCACACCTGGCAATTTTTTAATGTTTTTTGTGTGTAGAGATGGGGTCTCGCTATGTTGCTGAGGCTAGCCTCCATGACTTTCCTAAACATCACTTCCTCATTTTCAAAAAGGGAAGAACAATAGTACTACCTCATATGTAGTTATGAAGATAAAGATAATGCATACAGTACTGGCACATCACAAACACTCCATAAACGGTAGTTATCATAATTAATAATAATAAACAAAACTACAGATAATCGGATGACACCACCTTCTTTGAGAGGCTTCATCTGTATTCTGGAACAGTGTTGTAACTGGGTGATACAGAAATAGAAACTGGCCAAGTAAGGGCCCTTAAGAGTTTGAGTAATTAAGTGGGGCCTCAGTTTTTTTAATATTTAAAATAAGGATGTTGGTCTGCTCCAATACAACATGCTATGTGCTATGAAAGTATTCTATGGCAATTCTTTGACCTCTCCCGCATAAATATCTGCCCTCTTCTGCAACCAACCCCAGCAGAGTGCCCCATGTATGGGTCCTTTTCTCAGTCTATGTAATAGACTGAAGCTATGCAAAGTTTTATCCTTAAAGGATTTTAATTTCACTTTCATTTAAAGGTCCAGAACTACATCTTTATACTAGCTCTGAACTCACCCAAGAGTTGATTAACTTTAATATTTTCCCCAAACTAAACACAAATTATAAAGCCTTCAATGTTTTGAATCTAAAAATCAAAGGAATTATACATGATGGCTTACTCTAATACCAAAAACTTACTTCAACATTTCATGATTCTAATTTTGATTATAAGTCCCAAAGGAAGAGCTGGATTAAGTTCTAATATACTTTTTCTAAAGAAGCTAGTTTAAGATAAGTTCCCATTTTCGTCTCTCAATTAGTGGAGTTTAAAATACCTTTTCCCGGCCGGGCGCGGTGGCTCACGCCTGTAATCCCAGCACTTTGGGAGGCCGAGGCGGGTGGATCACGAGGTCAGGAGATCAGATCGAGACCATCCTGGCTAACACGGTGAAACCCCGTCTCTACTAAAAATACAAAAAATTAGCCGGGCGTGGTGGCGGGCGCCTGTAGTCCCAGCTACTCGGGAGGCTGAGGCAGGAGAATGGCGTGAACCCAGGAGGCGGAGCTTGCAGTGAGCCGAGATCGCGCCACTGCACTCCAGCCTGGGCGACAGAGCGAGACTCCGTCTCAAAAAAAAAAAAAAAAAAAAAAAATACCTTTTCCCTAGGATACAAATAAGGAACTTTGAGGGAAATGTAGAGCATTTTTGTGAATCTAACCATGGATATTGTTTTCATGAAATAAAAGGAAGCATAAGAGGGGTTAAGGATGATGCCTGCAGCCTAAGAAGACCAGCAGAGCCGACAAGATCTGACAGCAGGATGTGGGTTATAACGCTTCTGAAGGAAGCAAGGTTTTTTTGTGCAAGGGTTTTACAAAGGGTATTCAGGCAGGACTGTGTTTGGATTTAAATTAATCAGCCAGTCAGTTCCACAGTGCTACGATTCCTTCTGTTTAACTGATTAAGGCAGGTTTACTGGCAGTTCCCAAATGATGTCAATAGCTTCTAAAAGGTCAAATGCAGCCCACATAAACCAAATGTCCTAGAATAAAAAGCATCAATAATTACTCCCCTATAATCTGCGGGCTGTGAATTATCCCATTTGAATCGAATGCCCTGATTTTTTCTTTTCCTAAAAGCTGAAAGATAATTTATATGTTTTAATGATATAAATTACAAGAAAACCTGTTTTATTTTATACTATGTCTAGTTAAAACAATATAAATAGCTCAGCTTCAGTATCACATGGTGAGGTGAGGTGGAACCCTCCAGTCGATAAGGACTAAGTTAAATATAATAACTTGTTACAGTAAGCAAGTTAAAACCAAAGCAATGTTATTAATGCAAACTCACAAAAAGAAAGCTACAGTTGTAACCATTGTCAAGTAAGAAATGCTCAGAAAACAGCAAGTATATAAAATATATATACTTATATATTTTCTAAGCCATGTGGAAAATTCCATCTGGGTTCAAAACTGGATTCTAGCCCTTTGGGAGTTTCTTTAAAATCTGATGTTTCATTGTTTTTTCCCAAGCAGTAGGGGATTTCATGCATTCCTGTAAAATATTAATTACACATATCTTGGGCACTAAGTCTAAAAGGAAAAGGGAAGAGAAGATAAGCCCAGGGTGATAGAGTATAAAGTGATCAGGACCAGCTCTTGTCTGTCTATGTCCAGACCAGGGACTCAAACAATAACTGCCAGCCCAGGGACTCAAAGGGAGTTCCAAGAACTCAGCGTAGCCCCCTCCCTCCCATTAATGTCCCTGACCTTCATTTGTGAAAAAGGAAGCAATGTTGCACAGTGTTTTAGAGCACAGCATGGGACCTAAATCCCAGCTCTGCCACTTCCAATCTCTGCGATCTTGGGCAAGCTACTTAACCTCCCTGGGCCTCACTTTTGTCACCTATAACATGAAGGAAAAAAGAATGACACTTCTAAAGGTTGCTGAGAGCACTTCTAAGAGCCAGGCAAGGCCACTGCTCTTAGAGAACTTGTATTTTAGAGTGAGAGGTAAAACAAGGAAAAATTAAAGAAATAAATTACAATTTCGTATACATGCAAAATGGCTCTGAAGAACCATACCACAGAGTGACTGGATAAGAGACTGACTGGATGGGGGAATGACTGAGATACAGTTGGCAGAGAGAAACCTCAGTCTCAGAAGAAATGACATTTGAATAAGGGGAAGGAACATGATGCATAAAAATCGAAGAATAGAAGCTTCTAGGCATAGAAAGCAGCAAGAACAAAGGTCCCAAGACAGAAATTAGCTTAGAATGTTTAAGGAACATAAGGAAGCCCAGTGTGGCTGGAGGACAGTGAATAGTGAGTACAATAAGTTTAGATACCCATTAGACAATGAAATAAAGGAGCCAGGTAATTAATGAATGCATGAATGGAGCTTGTGGTAGAGGATAAGACTGGAAATGTAAATTTGGGATTCACCTACTTAACACAAATCTCTGTAAAGCATTCAACACAGTCCCCAAACATTGTTGTGGATAACCAATCTCTCCATCCTCACCTTTGCAAGTATGTGAATTGATATTTTCATTAGGGAGGCTGTCAACAAAATAGAAAGAAGAGAAAAGACGGGTAGAGTTGAATTAGCTCAGGGAGTGCAAATATATTTCATGTTCAATGCCAACCTGTGAAATAGTAGGGACTTCCTGGTGTTGTGTGTTGAGACGGAGTCTGAGGCCATGTAGGAGCCTGTGTAACAGTGTGTTCCCTTATATGCAAAATATTATAAATGATAAAGATTTCTAAGGCTCTGGAACTGGCAGTTTTTGTTCATTACCCGTTTCATTTTGGCACTTTTCTCAAAATAATAGTATAAATTCGATATCATTACTATACCTACGCTATAGCTAAGAAATATGTGGCTGAAATAGAATAACTTATTTGCCCAAAGGGACCAGCCTTGAAATAGTTAAAACTGATTGGGTGTATCCAACTCTGGAGACAATGTTCCCACCTAATGTGTTATGCATGAAAATTTGCAAAAATAAGCTCCTTTTTTGTATCTCCCTAACCACAGTTTAAGGGTCTTTCCACCTGAGCCTGATACATCTGGATGGAGTATGGAATGTCTTGTACAATCATCACTCAGTCTGGCATGTTCTCTGGTTTCTAAATATACACGTTGCATTGTGAAGCAAGCATCCAGGCACTATTCTTTTGATGATGTTAGTGCAAAGCATCCTGTTTGTTAAAATGCCAAATCCGATGTGATTTAGTGATTAAGTAATCTTGTAAGCAAGCTGACATAATTTTAGAAACTGTCAGAATTCCAGGTTATTTTAGCAATGGTTGCATCACCTACCCTATTCTTCAGTTGATGGTTTCTTACCTAGCTGCTTTTAAAAACAAACACACACATTTTCTCAAAAGAAGTTATTGACGTTGCTATGCTACTTCATCCACACAACAGCAGATTCATATACATTAATTTACAGGAATTTTTAGTAATTTCATCCTAAGCAATAGGATTTTTAATTTTAAAGATTCTAGGACAGTGAGAAGTAAAAACTCACATAAGTTATAGACAAAACACGATACAGACAGAAAAGCTAAAATATTTTAAATCCAGAATTACCTTCTTTTCCCTTCACCCACCATGCTTTCCTTCCTATCTTTTTTCTGTGAGAGGGCTTTATAACAGAAAAAAATGTATTCCTATACTACATTGAATTGATTCCAGCAAACTAACCAGATTTGCAATTTTTATTAGCAAGAGCCATAGGCAAGAGCAATAATACACTATACCTATCAGTGGTTAGTTTTATTCATGAACCCATGCTGGGTGAAGAAAAAAAGAAGTAAAGCTAACTTCAAAGCATTATCGAAAGATGATTAACTCTCTAGCCACAAATGAGAATCACAAGCTACTTTGATGCGGGAGAATTTTTAGTGCCTAAATTTAAAGAAAAGACATCTACTATACAAGTTTAACCATTCAAAAAATTCAATAATATACCTCCTTCGCATGCTGAAAACCAGTAATTACCTAAGGGAATAAATAAAATTAGAACTCAGCTTCAGAAATTATGCTTTAAATGCAAAGCTCACAAACAATATTCCTCCCTCATCATATAGTCCAGTGGCAAAATGCCAGCTCTAATATATACAGTACGAGAAACAGAACTCTTTACATTGTGATTGTCTCCCATCACCCATACCACGAGGTACTTTGGGCACTGATCTGGCTGCAATGCACATCTTTATCTCAAAAATTCCACTGAGTTCAAATTTGAGTGTTATTCAGTGTGATACACACTGACAAAGACTATGGTTCTATAAAAATACTTGTGCCAATACTTAACTTGAAGCTAACATTGACAATGATCTGAAACTGTTAATCCTGGGGCCCTAAGCAATCTCTGTCATTATATATAGTATATGCCATTGTCTATTTTCACACAAAATTTGAAAATTATTCTTTAGTATGTATAATTCTTAAAGTTGTATAAAAATAGGCCATAGAATATACTGTATGAATTTCAAGAGAAAATGGAAATTACTAAAGAGAAAAGTGAGTAGGTTGAAGTGTGTTATTATTAGTAGTAGTAGTAGTAGGAACAATGGCCTAAGCATACAGGAAAGGTGGAAGGCTAATACCATGTACTTTATATGGCTTCTAACATGTAAATACATTTGACCTGATACTATTTTAAAAAAATGTTTGTATTTAGCAATCTGATTATACTTAAATATTCTTAAAACCTAAATGCTGGAACATTGCCAATTTTCTCTTCTCTTTCCTACCAAAATGACATATCTCTATCAATAATTCTTTGGAAAAATATTCAAGGCACTCTCAGAAAAATTATTGTGCTTCATTATGCAAAATGGAAATGCAGCTTTAAAAAATATTCTGCCTGACATTCAGTTCTGTATACTGCTACAGCAGGTCGAAAGCCATTAGCCACCTGCTGAAAACACATACTAGGAAACAAAATGTCCTTCAAAATCATTTTGCATAAGGTATTCTCTAAGCAAAAGGGTGAGGTTATATTCTAAATGTTTATGAATGTGATGGCTCAGAAATACACTCACCATGACATATTAATTTTAAAATAATATTTAATAATGATCTTATGATTTAGAGCATTCACATTGGATTTTTAAAAGCACCATGTCTATTATGAGAGAAATGAAAGTTACAGAAGATACATAAAATAACCAGTTCCATGGCTGTTGTTGTCTCCTTTTCCAATAAAAATAAGAGACTCATTATTATTCCTGGGATTCTTAGGACAATCTCTTTTATGCCAGTAGTCTTCTGAAGAATGACCCAACAGTCCTTTGGTATGTTAAAGATATTCTTTAAGTCTGTTTTTTACAGAAGAAGCAAAACACCAGCCCTTGTGCTGTTGCACATTCAAAATAATTCACAATTCATTTTTGTTTAGCATTTTGAAACTTGGCAATGAAGCATATGGCTCTCTATCATTATTCTATTATTAGGTTCCATTAGCAATAATTAGATAAATGGTCATTTAGCACTTTGTACAACCAGGTACTGAGTTAAGTGTTAGACACACCTTAATGCATTCAATCCATGTAACGACTTTATGACACAGGTAATATCTATTACCATTTTACAAATAAGAAAACCAAGGCACAAAGAGGTTAAGCAGCTTGCTCATAGTTACACAGATAGCAGATGACTATTTCAAAAAGGGAAATTTATAGCTTCCCTCATGTAAGATGAGGGAATGTGAGCTTCTGAATGTGATGAGCAAACGAAAGAAAATGAAGGAGGCAAAGTACAAAGAGAGTTGAATGAAAGGACTGAATTGAAAGAAATGCTTTCTCTTTCACAATTTTCTCTAATCTTATTTGGCTGACTGTGGTGCTCAAAAAAATGACAATAAACAGGTAAGAGAATTATAATCTTACCAAGAGCAAAGATGACTCCTACCAGACTCCTACCAGACACTAGGAAGATCAATTTTTCTTGCCTTATTTAAAAGGTGAATTTCCACTGTGTGGAACTGCAAATATCCAATCTCATTGCCCAAACTCTGGGATGACATCTGGGAAATAAATAAACATTTTGGTACCATGTCAGATTCCCTGGTTGCAGAGGCACAGATCGATCTATGAGTCCTAGACTATTGACCGACAAACCTGGTTCCTAACATGGATTGCAGGTGACCTTTGGAGACTGACTTCATGAAGGGCCCATGGAGCTCACAGACTATTAGCTACAGAGGGTCCAACTCCACTGGTGTTGCCCTCATTAACTTGAACAAATAAAAACTTGTTTGTACAGATCTCAAATTACCTCCTGTTACAAATGTCCAGTGCCTCTTCCAAGGGCCCAGATCCAAAAATCTGTCAACAGATCACAGGAGTTTTTGCTGAGGCTGGTGCATATTCTGATTTGTTTGGATCATTTAGAAGCCTTTAAACAAAATATCACAGGCCTCTAAATCTTCAAGTATAAACTAAAAAAAATAACTCATGGTTAATAAACTATGAACTCCAACAAAATGTGTCTGACAAAATGGAAATTGTAAAACATTTCAGGAAAAAATGCACTAAACTCTCTGATAATGAGGTTGGAAAAGATTCCCTTTTCCGCACCCAAAACAAAGGAATGAAAATCCCTGCTTTAAGTGAAGAGAGTTGCCATTTATTTTATGGCTGAAGACCAAATTATACATATTTTTGTGACTTTCCGTTAGGGATCAAGGTCAATCACCAGATTTTTCTCTCACACCAACCACACGGCAGCAGCACAAATACGTATGTTCCTCATCCCTTTCACTGTGAATTTTTAATTTTGGTTTTCCCTCTCAGAGCAGCTAAGATTTCTTCATTTGTCAAAAGGGTAGCCATTAAGAAAGTCATTTAGTTAATAAACAAGGAAATTAGCTAGCCTGATACAAAACAGATAGTAACAACACTAACAGCAATCTGTACACGCAAATTAAAGCAGCGAGAGTTGCTCTGATAAGCACTTTTAAACTGTTAGTGGTACTCCAAAAACGGCATCACCAGTATTAGAGGTTAGACAGCAGTTTAAAACATTTCTTCCTGTCTCATTTGGTTCCTGCAAAAATCTCAATAGTAATTTTTGAGTTTTACCTAAGGATGTGCAGAGAAAGACATCAGTAGAAAGAGGAAACAAGAAGTATCAAAGTAGGATAACTCATCTCCCATTCCAAGCACTTTTCTTTTTCTTTTTCTTCTCTTCTTTTTTTTTTTTTTTTTTTTTTTGAGACATTGTCTCACTTTGTCACCCTGGCTGGAGTGCAGTGGTGCCATCATGACTCACTATGGCCTCAACCTCCCGGGTTCAAGTGATTCTCCTGCCTCAGCCCCACAAGTAGCTGGGACTAACAGAGCCCACCACCACTCCCAGCTAATTTTTTTATTTTTTGTAGAGATGGGGTTTCCCTATGTTGACCAGGCTGGTCTCCAACTCCTGGGCACAAGTGATCTGCGAGCCTCAGCCTGCCAGAGTGCTAGGATTACAGGTGTGAGCCACCGCACCTGGCCCCAAGCATTTTCCTGCATCTTCTTTTGTTACTCTTTGGAGCAACCAGCTAATGCTTGTTTAAGTTTGAGGAAAGCCAAATAACCTAAGTAAACAACACAATGGACACAGGACTTGTAAATCTCATGAAAGACAATGCCAGATTTTAAAGTACATAGTCATCAAACAAAAAAATTAGCATCAGAATGTTCATAGCCACATGTAAATGTTCTATATTTTTTAAGCTGATAATCTCTATTTAATTTGTACATGTAATAATTTTTTGGTGGTGGAATCAGCATAAATATAAATATCACTGTTTCATATTGAATCAAACTATCTTCAGTTTTCTACAAAAAAAATAAATCTTTTTTTTCACCTAACCTTCCTTGGTACAAAAATTAAATCTTTCTTAATATAGAATAGGAAGAATCTGCTAATTCAATAATACTAATTTCTTTTTTGCTGATTAAAAAAGGAATGAAAAAAATCTCCTCATCTAGTCACTTCCTATAAAATGCTTGAAATGCTTTGTTCACCATTGGCTTTAATAATTCCTTCCTTCAGTTGGTGGAAAATGTATCTGAATCAGTAAGAATCTACTTCTGCCAATTCCTTTCAGGAAGACAACCTTCCACCTACTGAAATCACACCTCCACTCCAGGCTGTAGCCATTCCCAGCCTCCCTCCTTCACCTCAGTGGGACCTTGTTATCCTGATCCGCACAGCATTATGCTGAACTCCCAAGATAAGGGGAACAGAAAATAACCAGTAACAGGTATACATGTTTAAACTATCATTAAAATAGTTCTATAAAATAGAAAGCCAGAGTCTCAAGGGGGTAGCTGGCCAAGGATAAATAAACCACTTCAAGTATAATATAAATTCAAAAGTGTTAAATAAATAATAAATTTTACTTAAATCTACCAAATAAAAAGATAAGTAGTTATATAAATATGGTCAATACATTTTTTAAAAAGAAAAAAATATGCATTTAATTTGTTAAACCAAAATACTCAGATAAATATAGCATAATATATTCAATACATATTTCACATATTGCTGACTTTAAAAGTTTTTTATTCTAAGTATAAAAGTAATCTTCTCTTACTATAATCACTACAAATTGATAAATTAATTGTGTATATAAACTTAGGATAAAATACTTGCTATAATTACTTAAAGCATTTAATATTTTCAAAAGTGTTTTAAAATCTGTTCCTGGCTCAGTTTCTTAAATGACCAGGGATATTTCTATATTGCTGCTTGTCTGAGCTTTGAAAAAAACCAGTACTTAAAATGCTGCATTTAAGCAATAGCTGTTTTAGTTAAATACATTCTAATAGTTCCAAAATTTCAAACATTTCCACTGACAAGTGTCTTTGGTTGTTGTTTTGTTTTGAGACAGTGTCTCACTCTGTCACCCAGGCTGGAGAGCAGTGGTGCGATCAGGCTCACTGCAGCCTCCACCTCCCAGGCTCAAGCAATCCTCCCACGTCAGCCTCCCAAATAGCTAGTACCACAGGTGTGTGCCACCATGCTCAGCTATTTTTTTTTTCATTTTTTTTTGAAGAGACAGGGGTCTCCCTATGTTGCCCAGACTGCTCCCAAACTCCTGGGCTCAAGGGATCCTCCGAATCTGCCAAAGTGCAGGGGTTACAGGCATGAGCCACTGCACCCAGCCCAATTTACAAGTCTTTAACTTAAACATTAGAAATGGAAAAGCCTAGGCACTTTGGACTTAATTTACACGGAGGGAATTTTAAACGCAAAGAATCTTCGGTGTTCTATAAAAAATTCACACATTCAGAGAAGGTATCTTACCTAATTTTTAAAGGAAGAAAGGAAAAAGTATGAGTAAAACATTATTTTAGTGGAGAATGTTGTGCTCCTATGAGGCCCAAGATTCATAACCAACCATGATGCCAAAGGGGAGATTTTTTTAGAGGAATGAAAAAATTATTCCAATGTTACTTGATCAACACTAGACTCCACTAGGAGGCACTCTGAACTTACGTGCTACTGTATGACCTAATACTTTTGTGTCACTTTTTGTGTGTGTGTGGCTGCAGAAAGCACATTTCCTGCTCATAATCAAAGTGTCAGCCAGTAAGAGACCACCATAATAACTGTGGTAGGAGCCTCAAAAACTGAAGCTGTATTCTGATTTGTAAGAAAACCAATGGTAATCATGTGTTACAAACTCTTCACTTGATAAAATGATGGTTTCAGGGTTCCTTTAAATAGGGAAGACTTCTAATGTACTGAGAAGAGATTCCAAATTACAAATACTAAATTTGTCATCAGCCTTTCATGTTATTACACTGCCCCATTCCAACTCTTCACAATGCCAGTCAGTGGCAAATGGGTTACCATGCATTATGTTTTTAAAAGCAGAAAAGAGTGCACACAAAGTGCCCAAAGGCAACCAAAAAGACCTTAACAGCCAATTGCTTGGCAAATAGATAAAGAAGAAAAAAGTTTATGTAATTGCTACCTGCTTTTTATACAAACACATGTATTTCCTGGAACATGGTAAATGTTTGTTTTGAAAGTAACCTCCATAGTCTTTCCCCACGTCGTTTATCAGTACTGGATTGGAGAGCAGTTTATGACAATAAAGATTTCATTTACCTTTAATATTTTTCTCAACATTAAGATTTTAGATTACTTTTGTCACTTCTTATTCCCTCCAGCATATACACAAACCCACATATACACACACATTAATGTTAAGCTTCATATGTCTAAGGTGAATTTCCTAAATTCCATACATACCATGTTTAAATATAAATTACAACCCCCAAACAATAAATGGCTCTAATCTCCACTTGTGAAAAAAAAGAAGGATCAAAGAGTTTGTCAAACACTCTGCTGTAAAGAACACAAATCTGAGCAATAGTCCATTTTTTATGTTCACCCTTATTAGTATGGGTACAACTTCTCCCAATGTTTGTATATTGCCCAGTAAAGATGACATCTGGTGTTGTTTCAACAATATTTGGAGTAATGAAGCAGATCCAAATTAAAATGTTCCCTATAGCTATATTTTCCTTCAAGAAACTCCTACGATGTCCTAGATAAAACCCTAGAAACAGGCTATGTGAAACTACCTGGTTTATCTATTGTAAGACTAAATACAACTAATTAATTGACAGGATTTCAACCCAGGGTTGAAAGAAGGGAATTTACTACAGTATGCCTATCTTGCATTCAGAAACAAACCCCAAATAAAGTTAGCTATCTAAAGAGGTTTTTTGGTTTGGTTTTAAAATTTATTTTATTTTTTCTTCAGTAACACTTGGCAAAATGTTGAAAACAGAAGAATCTGCTGGAGAAAAAGTAGTTGCAAAAGAAATAAAATACAACTGGGTTAATGTCTTTAACACATAAATAAGTCTTACAAATATAAAAGAAAAGAGGAAAACATCAACAGAGTAACCACATGTAGAAGTAAAAATAATATAAAAATGTTCAAAAATAATATAAAAAATGTTCATGTTATCAATCCAAGTTATAACGTATTCTTGAATTGGCAGTTAAAAAAAAGAAAGCTAATTTCAGGCTGGGAAATGGGTGTTCTCATACAGACTGCCACAGAAATATAAACTGTCACATGGCTTTTTTAAAGAACAATTTGGCATATACGTATCAAACACATAAAAATATCCACACTCTTCTACTTAATTTTACTTCTAGAAATTTATTTTAAGAAAGTAGAGATAGGAAAAAATTAATCTAAAAGTATTTTCATCAGAGTGTCATTTATAACAGCAAAAACAAATTTCTAAGATCCCAATAATAGAGGACTGATAGAGGCATAAAATAAAATGTAATGCAGCTACTTAGATGCAGCTGTAAAAGAACATTTAGTGACAGGAGAAAATGTTCACTATCTAATGCTCAGTGAAAAATATTGCTCAGTTATCTTAATTTTATGTCTTATGGTTTTGAATCTCTGTTTGTATATGTGCATATATGCATGAACAGAACAGCAGAATGGCTGACACACAAACAAATGATATCAGTGCTTATCTCTGGGTAGTAAAATAATGGGTAATTTAAAAATATTGTCTTCTTTGTGCTTATGTTTTTTTGCATTTGACAATTTTTCATAATGAACAAGTATAATTCAAGAAAACAATGGGGGGAAATATAATTGCTCAGAAAAATAAAATTATGTGACTTCTTATATCTGATGCTCAGTTTCTGATAACTAGAATAGCACTGCTGAGAATAATGAAAATAGTGTTCTGTAAGAGGCTAAAATTGATTCTATGCCCACAGAAATGAAGAGAGAGGCATCGCTTCTCTACCTGGCAAAAGTATCTCTGTCTAACCTAATACCATATGAAGAAGCTCTATCTAACCTAATACCACACTATTAGGATAGGTTTCTCATCACTTAGATCTATTCCCAGGATAATAGTCAAATCATCCTCATAAGAACCACAGGCTTATTGAAAGCTACTGTCATTGTAAAATAAGCAGTAAGATGGCTACAAGCTCTGCTGTGATCTCTCTAAACCTCTTTGTGCATCTATACAATGGGAATAATAGCACTATCGATCCTAGAGGCAGTCTTTCAGCCAAACCAATTGTCCATCCTCAGATAAAGTTACTGTTTTTTTATATCAACAACAAAAATTTGCGGCATAGCCAGGACACATTCGTTTCCATAATCTCCTATGTCGGACAGGACATGTTTTAATTATTTGTATTTTAAATGCTGTGTTTTCTATCTGTTCACTGAGCATGTAAGCAGACTTTAAGAGTTGCAGTTAAGCTGATTATTTTGCACATGAAGCTATGTCTATAATTTCCTGAATAAACAAATAACAATCAACAAATATTTACTGAGCATCTTCCATGTTCCAAGAATTATGTGAAGTACTGAAATAAAATATTTTTTAAATATGGGCAAATCATTCCCCAGATCACATACAAGATAAGAAAATTGTATTTTTCCCAAATTTAGTCTAATGATAACTACTGAATATTTATGAATATGAATAATTAGCTAACCCTTACATTTGTCTTGTTAGTTTCTTTTCTAAAGGACTGGAAGCATTTTATTACTTTATAATGCCATTTTAGTAAGTTTTGCTATTTTATTGTGGCAAAGTATACATAACATAGAATTAGCCACTTTAACCATTTTTAGGTATACAGTTCAGTCCCATTAATTACAGTCACACTGTTGCACAACCATTACCACCATCCATCTCCAAGAACTTGTTTATCTTCCCAAACTGAAACTCTGTACCTATTAAATAGTAACTCCACATTCTCTCTTCCTCCCAGCCCCGAGCAACTAGCATTCTATCTTCTGTCTTGAATCTGACTACTCTAGGTACTTCAAGTAAGTGAAATCATACCACATTTGTCCTTTTGTGTCTCGCTTATTTCACCTAGCGTAATGTCTTCAAGGATCAGCCATGTTGTAGCACGTGTCAGAATTTCATTCCTTTTTAATGCTGAATGATATTACATCATATGCATATTCCACATTTTGTTTATCCATTCATCTGCTGACAACCACTTAGGTTGTTTCCACCTTTTGGCTATTACGAATAATGCTACAATAAACACTGGCATACAAATGTCTATTCGAGTCTCTGCATTCAATTCTTTTGGGTACATATCCAGAAATCAAATTGCTAGATAAGTTTTGCTTTTAAAATTCCAACTTCCAGTAAACATGTCTTCTGATTTTTAAAAAATCAATTATCCTCAAATTCAGTCTCTATACTGAATTTTTAACAGCCAAGGATCTATTTCATTATCTTTCACCACATGCTTTTAAAACCCAAATTAAAAAACAAAAGTACTGTTTATACCTATGACGTAAGGTATAACTCCCAATAATGCCAGTATTAGCTAACTTTTCTCTATCAAAGTCCATCTCTCTTTGGTAATGTCATCCATAAATACTCTTCCAGTTTCTTCACACCTAGCCTCTGACCGTTAGTGTCAACCAACAGAGCACTGAGCCACCAAATTTCTGTCACTGCATCTGACATGTTCCCCTGACAATGAACACATTTTATCTCCACTTTCAGATGACACATATGTATTTTAATAATGCCACCACAACACTCACAACTTTGTTATTAAAATAGTAGTTACTTAATAGGAAGAATTCCAGCCAAATGGAATAAGAACAAAGCAATATGTCTCAGGTAAAAGTATGACCCTCCTCCAGCATAATATTTAACTTCATATCATCAAAAATCAGATGTAACACCACTGGCCCATAATACAGATGTTATGATCTGTTACTCAGTGGTGTCAAAAAAGGATTCCACTATACTTAACAAAAATTAATTTGTGAGGATCCTTTGTGCTTTTTAAAATTATATAAAAATAGGTAAGGCATTTCATCTCTATTGTGAGTGGAAATATAATCTAGAGATACAAAGCAACCATTTTAAAATTCTTAAATGTGAATTACTGACCAGCTGAGGAGAGAAACGTAGTTTCTATCAAAAATAAATAGAGTTATTATGTCTTGCATACATTCCATAACTTTATGACACCAGTGGCATGACAAAGCTATTAAAGTCTTTCTGACAAAGTAAAGACCGTAATAACTCACTGCCACCTTCATCAAAGCTGGTGAATTATGGAGTATATGAAGGGTAATTACCCTTCAAATAAAGTATGTGGGCAGTTTCTTATCATAAATGTTTATTTTAAATATATAAATTATCACACCTTGTTAACAATTCAAAGCAGGCTGTGGTTAAATTATAAAAGAAAATTACTTCAGATCTGCTCATTTCTCATCCCAGGTATCAAATATATGATGATTTCTGTTACTAGATTCCAGTAAGTTGTACTGAAGTAAATTGGAGCTGTGTGAGTGCAAGTGAACTGAAATAGGACTTTCCTCAAGTATTTTTACGGTGAGGAATAGCAAAGGATTTTTCACAGATATGATACTATTTTAGTTCTTAAATCAAAAGCAAATTGATCTATTTTGCCAAATTTGCCAATAATGATAGCAGCAACCTGGAAATATCTACCATACATGAATAATTTAATAAATCCCAAGCCAGAGACTCACTATAATGGCTTAGAGAACTCCAGTTCCATAGATGGGAGATATGAATACTGGAAATACCCAACATTTCCTGAGAATAGCCAACATTTTTTTCTCTGAAATGCTCTATAATTGGTTGGATTTTCCATTCACTCACCAAGGGATTCGTAACTCTGAAGGAACTACGGGTCCCCTAGGAAGTATCAAATACAAATTTCCTTGCTAAGAGCTGCACAATAGTTTTCTTCCAGGAGTGAAGCTGACTGGGGTCTTGTTCAAGCTGAGTTTAGGCATTTAGACCATACAGTAGCCTATTTTCTGTACCTTTCACTAAGCCCAGGAAATCTGTCCCCATAATTGGGCACAGATTTCCTGGGCTTAGTGAAAGGTATAGAAAAATTTACATTCACATTTTAGCTGTTAAAGGAGGCAGTTTTGTCCCCACAGTTGGGACAGATCTGTCCCCATAGTTGGGATAGATTTCCTGTGCTTAGTGAAAGGTACAGAAAATATGTCTCAGGTCCCAGAACATAAGAACTCTAGACAGCACGGGATAATGGTAGCTACATTTAGAACATGGCTGGAACATGCTCAAGTCAGAAGAGCTGTGTGGGTCTGGCGGGACCTAGAGATGCAAATACCAAGAACTACATCTATTCTTCTTCTGCCAGCTCCCAACCCCACTTGAAATAGATTGAAAAATAAGGATGGTAAAACTATTTTGAGGAGGATAAATAAAATGCTAAGGATGAAGCATTTCTCCTTGGCCTTTCCACCAGCATAATGATTTCTAAATTAAGAGATTTTAAGTGAAATTCAGATCATTATAATTCAACAGCAGTAATGAACAGCCTTAATTTACAAATCTCAGATGGGAGAGTAAGATTTTTTTCTGCTTCCAGAGGTGTTACCTTCTTCTCATTACAGGGGTCAAATATATCTGCTGGGATTTATCATTATTATTATTAATTATAATCAGCCTTTGCTTGGTAGTTATCTTATTTATAACTTTTGATATAGAGTTTTTAAGATATATTCTTGACCTCTATACCACATATCAAAAGAGTAGTAAGTTACTTGTTTCTTTTCAAGTAAATTATTGATTTGCTACTGACTATGCTCAGAATGATGAATGAAGTAAGATTTCAAGCTGTGAAGAATCTGGAGCCCAGTACCTTTCTGACCCGCAACTTTGACCTAAAAAATGGCATGTGTCTAACTTGGAAAGTAATTTTTAGTTGCTATTTATTTAGAAATTATACTACATTTGTGATGCCTTTCTCCATTTTCTCCATGAATGGTTCAAAATTTAATTCCTAGAAATCACTAGTTTATAATCATTCCCTTTGATGTTCAGCAGTTCATAAAACTAACAGAAACCACATTAAAAAACTCAGAAACTGTTAATAGCAACGATTTAGAAAATAAGACTAAGTAGAGAATAAAAAATTGATATTAATAAGAGCTTACACTAATGATTACGAATTAAATTCTAGGCGCTATTCAAAGTACTTTTACAGGTTTTAACTCATTCAATGCTTACAAAAAGCCTGAGATGAATAATACTAATTTCTCCATTTTGCATATTAGGAAATGAAGACGCTCAGAGTTTAAGTAACGTCTGTTCAAAGTCACACCTTCTACATGTGGACAGAGCTCAGTCTGGCTCCAGGATCTGTGAGCTTACATGACACAAAATTGCCTCCTTTAACAGCTGAAATGTGAAATGTATTCTTGCTTGTGTCCTCTCAGTTCTTTCTCTGAAAATGAATGTGTTCACTGTACACTTGACCCAAGAATGGAACAGTAAATTTACAAAATGCAAACTTTGCTTTACCATAATTCTGCTAACATATTCCATAAATTCTAATAATTATTAAAAATAACTTCATATAAATGATCCAATGTAAGAGATTATAGTTTGTGTAAAGTTCAACATCTTTGGCTCAATTTGAAATAAAACGAACATGTTAAAAAAATAATTTAGTACATATATAACCACTTGAATGAATGATTTTTAAAAAGTTAAATACAATGGTGAGAACTTCCAACACCACTCCTTACTCCCCATTTGTTTCCAAAGTTCCAGAAACCAAATTTCCAACGAGACAAAAACATCTCTTACTAGATGCTTGAAGACACCTTATATTCAATACTTTTATGGTTTCCCCCAACTTACACTTTCTAAACACATTTCTGCCTTGTTTCATGATGTCACTTAACTAACTCAGAAAGAAATTATATTTTCTTTGACCTCACTCTCTCCCTCAACCTCTTCAAGCCAATCAGTCACCATATTTCACCATTTCTGTTTTTGAAACATCTCCTGATCCCACCACCTTCCTTCCTTCCTATAACCACCACTCTAGTTCTTATTGCCATCTTCTTACCTCCACATGATACTTCTAAAGGTAACAGCTCTAACAGGTTGCCTTACCCTCTGGTTTGTCCCTTATTTATTCAGTCTCCCACGTATCTACCAAAGTTCTTTTGTAAAACACAAAAGTACAAAGCTTTTTAAGTTTCCAATTGTTTATAACAGAGGTTCTCAAACTTTAAAGGGCATGAGATTCATTTGAAAGGCTTGCTAAGATACAGATTGCTGGGGACTCCCCCCTCCCTTTTCTTATTAAGTGAAACTGGGAAGGGGCCCAGATATCTGCATTTCTTACTAGTTCACAGGTGGTGTTAATGCTGCTGGGCTAGCATCACTACTTTTTAGTGTCCCAATCAGTGCTGTGCATTAAAACTACTTGGGATACCTATGTAACAAACCTGCATGTTCTGCACATGAATCCCAGAACTTAAAGTATAAAAAAACAAAGAACAACAACAAAAAAGTCTATTTGGGGAAGTTTTATAAAATGACTTGCTGAATCCTAAACCAATTATATGCGGGCATTGCTTTTTTGTTGTTTTTAATCCTCCAGGTGATTCTGATTTCCTAAAGTATGGAGAATCACTGGTGTTTAGTAAAAAGTTCCAAATCCTTAACATGGCATTTAAGACCACTCACCTGGTGTTTATGCACTTGCTTTGCCTAAAAATTCCTAGTAAACGAATAACAACAATAATAAAGTTTGCCTATCTAAAAGCATGTATTCCCAAATGATTTTGTGTGAATTAAATGAGATAATATATAGTAAATGCCCGCCAGTGACTGACACAAAGTCATGTTTCACATAAATGTTAACATCAATTCAATTCAACAAATACGTTGAGTATATTTTTAATTCAATTCTACATATATGTATGACTCACCCTTAATATGGAAGAGGCTACATTCTCTGCTGGGAATATCTGGTTAGATAAGACAGAGATGGTACCTGTCCTCAGAAAGTGAACAGCACAAAAGTAATCAGAGTTTAAGGTAATGAATACCAAACGTTAGTGACTTTTGTAATAAGTACTGTACAAGGAGGAGGACAGGGTCATATGAGAGCTTACAACAGTGATACCTAAATTTTTCCAAGCTTACGGTGCCAAGGAAACCTGAAATCTAAGGTGTGTGGGTGCAAGGGGGGAAACTGAAAAGCGCATTCTAGCCCACCAAAACAGCTTGACCCAATAGCACATAGGCAGGAGCAGCTTAGGTGTGCTAGGGACAGAAAGGCTGGTATGATTGGAGCTTAGAGGTTACACAGGGAGAAGAGGAGCACCAGGTAAGAACAGAGAGAAAGATGGGGGTAGATCAGCCGGGCGCGGTGGCTCACGCCTGTAATCCCAGCACTTTGGGAGTCTGAGGCGGGCGGATCACAAGGTCAGGAGATCGAGAACATACTGGCTAACACGGTGAAACCCCATCTCTACTAAAAATGCAAAATATTAGCTGGGCGTGGTGGCGGGCGCCTTTAGTCCCAGCTACTTGGGAGGCTGAGGCAGAATGGCGTGAACCCTGGAGGCGGAGCTTGCAGTGAGCCGAGATTGCGCCACTGCACTCCAGCCTGGGTGACAGAGCGAGACTCCACCTCAAAAAAAAAAAGATGGGGGTAGATCATGAAGAATTTTGAACTTGATCCAAGAGGAGAGGGAAACCATTCAAGTGTTCTACAATTAGGTCTTCCTGAGGCTGTCACCCTCCAGCTGGTATGCTCCCTGACGGCAGGCGCTGGGTTCTATTCATCTTCCCCTTTTCCATTCTAGTTAAGTGGCCCTCATACTGCTGCATGCACATCCCAAGGGATACTCAAAGACATTCCAGTATGCAAACTGGCACAGAGGTAGTTTAAAGAGAATTAATTTCTAGATCTTTGGTCTTCATATATATTCGTTCCTAAAATTGTACTGAGACTGAATTTGGAATCTGCAAATTATTTTCTCCCACCCAGGCCTTCAGGCTTAGTTTTACTATGAACCTTGTCTTACGGTGGGAAAACTTCAGTGGGGACCAAATAAAGGGATGATTCCAAATACTGGTGTTGGTATTGAAAAAATCAATGATTCTAGGCAACACCTTCTATTGCAACTCAGATGAGTTTTAACCTTTGCTTTCACTGAAATTGAAGACAGATCTAAGCAATGGTCATTTAAACTAATTTATGGTGATAGAAAACTGAATCATATTTGTCCCAGGATATTCTGGACATAATCAAAATTATTTATTGTTTATTTGAAATTCAAATTTAACTGGGCATCTCTATTTTTTTTTTTTTTTTGCTAAATCTGGTAATACACCCACATTTTCATTTTGAACTGGGCCCCACAAACTGTGTAGCTGATCCTGGTCATGACAACAAATATAAACATTCATTTCATGAGAGAAATAACTGGGTAATTATATATGCCACCAGCTAAGATCATACTCAATGAAAATACCTCTTATTTGAGTTTTTTTTCTTTCCTGCCCTTGCAACCCCACACAGAAATACACCCTGACATACAATTTTCCTGCCAAGTTTCCATCTTCAAAGTGTAAAAGTGGTACTGCCAACTGGGAAATAAAAACTTGAAAATGAAAGGCCATTAGCATCTCAGATACACCAAAAATATGGGGAGTATAATAGAAGGAAAGAAAACTTTGAAAAGGCAGATTTTTCACAAAAGCAAAATTTCTCAAAAAAAAAAACTGATTGACAAAAAAGCCAACATGTTGCCTGTACCAGTTTCACCAGTAATAAATAAAATTACACACACACACACACACACACACACACACACACAGAGAGAGAGAGAGAGAGAGAGAAATGGAGAAAGGAAGGGAGCAAGTGCTCTGGGTACTTAACTGATTCTGACTTTTCCACTACCTGGAACTTAAGAACCAAATATTGACTTTGGGAATATCTCTAAATCCTATGACGTGATTTTCACTTTCAAATATTATGTTTGAAAGATTTGCATGTACTTCTCACTTCTCAATAAACATAGATGTTTTCCTTTCAAGTATCTTTCTAAAACAAGAGCCAAGTTTTTTCCTTCTCCTCTATAGCTGTCAATCATATTTATTATTTGTATCTATTTCAAACTCATTTTGCAATAAAGGATTTCAAAATCTTCTCTCCTTCCTCTGGGGGGAAAACAAAGGGTGAAACAAACAAGGAAGATGACTTTGTATAATCCTTTCAATTTAGATCTGGATTCGTTCCGGCTATGAACTTCATACCAGAGTTCTGCTTTAAGTGCTTCAGATATGGACAAGATGAAAGAAGCTCTTATATCCTATAAAGAGCAAATTCACCTTTGGTGTAAATGTTGGAGAAGTGTGAGGTATGATTTACTCTTTGAAGAAAACATAATGTGTTCTAAAGTGTTCAGGTTTGAAATTCTCCAAATGTTGAGCTCCTAGGAATATCCATTTCATGAGCAAGGATACAAAACCAATCCATCCTTATTCAGTTCAAAGTTTAAGGCTGGAGTAAGTAGTGGACAAGAACACGGATGTGGACTGCAGACTGGCTGTTTTCAGATCGCAGACCAGCCACTTACCCTTACGACCTTGGGCAAGCTTTTTTAAGTTCCTGATGCCTCATTTACATAAGGGAGATGATTATAACAGTATCTGTTTTCATAGGGTTGTTATAAGCATTAAAAACGTGTAGTTCTTAGAAGAGCACGGCTAATCCACAAGAAGCACCATGTAAATTGTTGTTATTACATTAGTATTAAAAATATTTCTGGGCTTAATCTATGAATGCAAGTCCCTGTATATAATAACTGACCTTCTCACTTATTTTTCCTGGCATGCATTCTAAAGATCAAGGTTTTAAAGAAAAATGTTATTTTGTCTTTTATTTCCTATCAAGACTTAGAGCTTGCAGAAAGCTAAAAATATTTTATAAATATAGCCTGGCTGAGCAGCACTGCAATGTGGTAAAAGGAACAGCACAGGGGACACCAAAGCCATGCATTAAAGTCCTGATTCACAACTAAACTGTGAACTGCACTTTAGCATTTAGGTTTTTACTCACTTGTAAAATGAGAAGGTACCCACTGAATTTCTATTACTTCTTACAAAACTAAAATTCTGATTTTGTAACCTTTAACATGAATGTCAAACTTGTCAGAAAGGAATTCAATGAACTCTTACTTGCCAAAGGACCTTCTTGGAATAGTCTTTCTTGAAATTCTAGTTCTCCTATGCTCTCATACTACAAAATTTATCACCCTATACTGTACATAATTTCAACCCTTCTAAAGCCAGGCAATAATATAATCCCAGTGTTAAATGACCCAAAAAAATGAGTAATTATTAAAAGCTTTTCTTACTGGCTTCACCTGGCCCAAAAATGTTAGCAATATCTACAAGTATTGTATGCAATGTTTGCATATTAATCAATACTGTATCATTCTCATGACAGATTTTTGGAGCTGATAGAGATCTCAGAGTAGTGCTTTTAAACCTGGGGCAACTTTACCCTCCAGGAGACATTTGGCAACATCTGGAGTCATTTTTGGTTATCACAACTTGAGGAGTACACTGACATCCAGGGGGTAGAAGCCAGAGATGCTGCTAAACAGCCTCCAATGCACAGGACAGCCCCCACAACAAAGAATTACCTGACCCAAAATATGAAAGGAGAAAGAAAGAAAGAGAGAGAGAGAGAGAAAGACAGAGAAAGAAAGAAAGAAAGAAAGAAAGAAAGAAAGAAAGAAAGAAAGAAAGAAAGAAAGAAAGAAAGAAAGAAAGAAAGAAAGAGAAAGAAAGAAAAAGGTGCTGAGGTTAAGAAACCTGCCTTAGAGCAATGATTTTTCATGGGATGCAGTACTGCCCCCTAGTGTGAGATTCAGAAATCTGGTTGTCAGGGCTGGTGTGGGGAGAGCTGCCAGCAAGAGTAGGCAGGAGTTCAGTCGGGAGGTACACCATGCAATGTGCACGACCTTTTTTTAATGAAGTACGGCACCACATCCTACTTAACTCTCAAATGTCCTACAAATCACATAGGTAATAAATGTCTTTATGATGAGCTAAGCTTACGACCCAAATCCATTTTACATAAAAACACAAGTATTTTTTACATGGTTTAAAACCCCTTATGTTTAGAAATGAAGTTACTACATGAATCAAGAAAGACAATATTTAGTTTTATTTGAAATTTTGCCAAGAATTGCTCATCATTTTGGAAAAATCACATCACCAACAACAATGCCAATGGTGGTACAGTAGTCTTCCCTGATCCTCGGGGCATATCTTCCAACACTCCCAGTAAATGCTTAAAACTGTGGATAGTGCTGAATCCTATATATGCTATGTTCTTTTAAAATTTGATAACCCAGATGGCTAACAGGTGAGGTGGGTAGCATATGTAATGTGGATACAGTGGACAAAGAAATAATTCACATCCTGGGTTGGATGGAGCAGGGGGCACACGTTTTCATCATGCTATTCAGAATGGTGTACAATTAAAAACTTATAAATTATTTGTTTCTGGAACTCTCCAAATTTTTGGACCATAGTTGACCAAGGGTAACTATATTAGGATTCCCTGGAGGGTCAGAACTATTAGGAGATATATACATATATATATGTGTGTATATATATATATATATATATATATATATATATGTATATGGGAGTTTATTAAGTATTAACTTACATGATCACAAGGTCCCACAATAGGCCGTCTGCAGGCGAGGAGCATTGAGAGCCAGTCCAAGTCTCAAAACTGAAGAACTTGGAGTCTGATGTTTGAGGGCAGGAAACATCCAGCATCCAGCATGGGAGAAAAATGTAGGCTGGGAGGTTAGGCCAGTCTCACCTCTTCACATTTTTCTGCCTGCTTTATATTCACTGGCCGCTGATTAGATTGTGCCCACCAGATTAAGGGTGGGTCTGCCTTCCCCAGCCCACTGACTCAAATGTTAATCTCCTTTGGCAACACCCTCACAGGAACAATACTTTGCATCCTTCAGTTCAATCAGGTTGACACACGTATTAACCATCACAGTAAATGAAACCACAGATAAGGGGGGGAATACTTTATCTGAGTGGTCAATATAACAAAGACATCAATCTGCATTTGTAGCTGTCACACATACTGTTATTCTACATATAGGATCAAGCTTTTGAACACTTCATTAGGTCTTATGGTGTAATCATAACTAAACATTTACATATTGAATGAAATACACATTATCTTATTATAAATTACTTATTCCTGTATTGCTCTTTTATATTAAAGTTAGGAATTATATATATACATATATATATATACACATATATATACACACACATATATATGCATATTTTTGAATTACACACTTAGGCAGGTTATATTACACATAAATTTCATTTCTTGGTAATAAAGAGGGCACTGCAAAACATATGCTATGAAAAAGGAGACACTGGATCCAATAGGGTTGAGAATCTTTGTATTATAAAGTACCTCACTCAATTCCTTCACTTTGCAGAAGACAAGTTAGAGGCACAGAGAGAAGCCCATCAGGTTTTCTGACGGCAAATCCAAGGAGTTTTCCACAACAGATAATTCTATTCTATTCTGATCTTATATTCATACTATTAGTAGATCTCTGAGAATTAAGGACTGCCTGATTCAAATGCACACAAAGTATTCCCTCCAAAAACACAAACGGGTAAACCTGACCTGTATAGCATCTACATATAAAATATTACCATGGGAACCACGACAACTACAAACTGAGAAAACTGTCATCACCAACCCACCAGAAAACTAAGCTTCGTTCATTTGGTTGCTTGTCTATGCAATCTTCCATGTAAAAATGAAGTGAATGAAAATAAAAATGACTCATTTCAGAGGTTTCTAATTTGGTAAGATTTAATCACCACAGCTCTCAAGTTTCCTCTGGAACAAAATGCCACAGACCAGGCTTTGGAAGGAAAACAATAATAATAATCTACTTGAGCAGTCCCATGATTCATTTTATCCATCATATGGGGTCTAGTTTTTATTTCATTCTAAATGCCAGGGAGACCAAATGCCAGTTTTGATTATTCTGAATCCTTAATATGATTTTTGGTAATGTTACAGTCTCCTTCCTGAAACCTTAATTTTTCCTCTTGTTTACTTGTCAGGTAAACATTAATTGAATGCTCCTTGTCTAAAATACTATATAGAATGCTCTGGGCAATTTTAAAGTAAAGACAAACTGTTTGCCTTTGACAATGTTACCATCTTATGGGGAAGATAGAACGAATATAAACATATAAATACAAGTATAGGGCAAAATCAAGGACCATGCAGAAGTGCAAATGCAAGTATTACAGGGGAACACAAATCAACTCTTCAAAAAAATACATGTGGGGAGGTGAGAGGAGAAAGGCAACTCACCCGCCTCCTTTTTAATTCTCTATGGTGCAGGCTTTCTCCTTTAATTTTTTTTCTGTCTAACAGGGGTCCAAGAGGTGCTTACTTGATCTCTAGCAGGCTAACCCCAAGACGGCACAATGCCATTCAGGTGTTTTCCACAATTCCGCCTGCAGAAGGAATGATCGCAGGTCTCTCAAGGGCAAACCGAAATTTGGCAGGTGACCTTTCATTTACAGCATCACAGAAGAAAAATACATAGAACCACCCCATGTTAATCGCTAATCTAGCAAACCAACTTTCTCTCTTTTTATAATCCGTAAAAACAGAAAACAATAGCTTAAATGACCTCTGCTTTGTAGGGAAAATTAAAAAGGGCTTAAGCCAATATGCTGTCTATTTCTGGGGGGAAATAAAATACCTCTACAGAGGAAAACAGGCCCGGGAATGAATGGTGACATTCCATGTTCCTCACATATTCAAGTATAAATCACTTACCTCTTAGCTGAAGGGCTGTTTTCTTATCGTGAATTTTACCTACAGATTCCTTCTGGGAAGAAAGGGCCTCGTTTGGGCTAATTTTTAAATTCTCTAGTAGAATCCCTCTCTCAGACAATTAGGTCTTTTTTTTCCAGAAACTCCCACTTAAATACTTGATTTTACTAGAAATTTTATTCATTTAACTAATATTTATAGAGCACCTGGTATGTCCCAGGAAACTGTTGTGAAAATCCCAACCTAAGGAGCTTCAATTCTAGTGGGAACAGATAATAGGGCTGGGGGAGTAAATTATATGTTAGATAATAACAAGGTTTATGGGGAAAAAGGAGAGCAGGGCAAAACAATCAAGTAGTAGAAGTGAATGTTTGCAATTTTAAACAGCATAGTCAAGGCAGATCTCAATGAGTAACAATGAGATTTGAACAGTCTTCAGTTCCTAAAAAAACTCCCCTTTCTCTCTAGATTATATCCATTCATAATGTTGCTTCACTTTTTCCATATTTATATTACCCATTTTTATTGCTACATGGTGATTTTGAAAAAGATCCATTTCAAGTAAGATAAAGTCCCATGTTTAGAAAACTGCCCTACAATACAAATATCCCTGAATTCCAGTATTAAGTAGTTAAGAATAAAAAGGTGAAATTATAAAACAATTAGAATAAAAAACTTTTCTGCATACTTGCAAAAACAAATCAGAAAATACAAGGAAGCAGGGGGGAAGAAGCACCCATTTACAAAATTTAAAAACAAAACCCCAAAAACACCACTAAATATGAAAAAGTAACCCTGATAAGAAATGTGTGACATACAAAAGGAAAACAAAATTTTTCTGAGAACTATAAATGCAGTTATAGTTACATAACAATGTGAAATACATATTGTTGGCCAGTATTGTAGTACTATAAAAAGGGTTCCAGAGATCTTCTGCAGAACAATGTGAAGAAACTTAATACTACTGACCTGTACATTTAAAAATGGTTAAGAGAGTAAATTTTATCTGTTTCTTTACCACAATTTTTTAAAGTTCTAAAAATAGACAAACCTGACAAAAACAACAATGGGGAAAGTGTTCCCTATTTAATAAATGGTTCTGGGAAAACTAGCTAGCCATATGCAGAAAATTGAAACTGGACCCCTTCCTCACACCTTATATAAAAATTAACTCAAGATGGATTAAAGACTTCAATGTAAAACCCAAAACTATAAAAACGCTAGAAGAAAATCTAGGCAATACCATTTAGAACATAGGCATGGGAAAAGATTTCATGACAAAAACATCAAAAGCAATTGCAACAAAAGCAAAAATTGACAAATGCAACCTAATTAAACTAAAGAGCTTCTGCAAAGCAAAAGAAACTATCCCAAGAGTGAAAAGATAACCTACGGAATGAGAGAAAAGCTTTCCAATCTATCCACTTGACAAAGACTTGATACCCAGAATCTACAAGGAACTTAAAGAAATTTACAAGAAAAAAACAACCCCATCAAAAAGTGGGCACAAGACTTGAACAGACACTTCTGAAAAGGAGATTTATGTGGCCAACAAACATATGAAAAAAAGCTCAACATCACTGATCATTAGAGAAATGCAAATCAAAACCACAATGAGATACCATCTCATGCCAGTCAGAATGGTGATTATTAAAAAGTCAAGAAACCACAGATGCTGGCAAAGCTGTGGAGAAATAGGAATGTTTTTACACTGTTAGTGGGAATGTAAATTAGTTCAACCATTGTGGAAGACAGTTTGGCAATTCCTCAAGGATGTATTACCAGAAATGCCATTTGTCCCAGCAATCCCATTACTGGGTATATACCCAAAGGAATAAAAATCATTCTATTATAAAGATACATGAACACATATGTTTATTGCAGCACTATTCACAATAGCAAAGACATGGAATCAACCCAAATGCCCATCAATGATACACTGAATAAAGAAAATGTGGTGCATATACACCATGAACTATCATGCAGCCATAAAAAGGAATGAGATCATGTCCTTTGCAGGGACATGGATGGAGCTGGAAGCCATTATCCTCAGCAAATAGCACAGGAACAGAAAAACAAACACCACATGTTCTCACTCATAAGTAGAAGCTGAACAATGAGAATGCATGGACACAGGGAGGGGAATAACACACACTGGGGCCTTTCGGGGTGTGGTGGGGAGGGAGAGCATCAGGATAAATAGCTAATGCATGTGGGGCTTAATACCTAGGTGATGGGTTGATAGGTGAAGCAAACCATCATGGCACACGTTTACCTATGTAACAAACCTGCACGTCCTGCACATGTATCCCAGAACTTAAAATTAAATTAAATTAAAAAAATAAAGTTCTAAAAATAGACAAAAATTCTTAAAGTAACACAAAATTCTTCATATTACACCAAAGTACCAACACTGCAGACCAAAGAATAGTGTCATATTGACAACCTTGCTTTAAAAAAAATTTTTTAGGCCATATTCCATTTAACCAAATTATCTAAAGTACAATAAAAGTGGTATTTTAAATCAATAGGGAAGGAATAATTATTCAATTAATGATGTTGAATCAATTTGTAAAATCCATGGAAAAAATACATAGATAATATATCATAACATATATAAAATTAAATTCCAGAACTAAGTAGTTAAGCATAAAATGTGAAATTACAATACAACTAGAATAAAACTATAGGTAACTATTATCTGACCTCACAGCAAGAATATTTTTATAAAAATAAAAACAATAGAGGGAAATGAAAGAAATAAAAAAGAGAAGACATTGAATTTATCTTCACTAACTGAAATAATTATCTTTAATAACTGACTTACACAAAAATTAAAACATTAAGTATGTTAAAAAATAATCCACCATTTATAAAACCAAAAGGCCAACAAAGAGACAAAATGAATTGCAAAATATCTGACAATGGGTTGATAACCTTTATAAATAGTTCGCATGTATCAATACGTAAAGAACAAATAACACATATGAATACAGAAGTCACAAAAGAATAAAAAAATTAAGATGTTCAATAAGCACCTGAAAAACTGTACCATCTCAATAGTAATTAAAGAAATAGCAATACTTATGTACAGACTTCTTACCCTGTATCATACATGGCTTTTACTGTTGTATGTCTGCTTTCTATCTGCTTTCTAATTCCATCCTCCCACAAGTGTTTTAGGTAGAAAGAAAATTTTCTGCTATTTTCCATATGAAAAAACTGACACAGAAAGGTCACATTCGAAGGCAAGGTAGTCTCACTTTGGAGTGGCTCTCTTAATCCCCACACTATACTGCTGCCATAAATAAAAATGAGGGAACATTTACACACTTTTGGTGGGAGTGTAAATTAGTTCAACCATTGTGGAAATCAGAAGCAGTATGGCAATTCCTCAATGAGCTAAAAGCAGAACTACCATTTGATCCAGCAATCCAGTTACTGGGTATATACTCAGACGAATATAAATCATTCTATCATAAAGACACATGCACATCAACGTTCACTGCAGCGCTATTCACAATAGCAAACAAATGGAATCAACCTAACTGTTCATCAATCAGACTGGATAAAGAAAATGTGGTGGGATACACCATGGAATACTATGTAGCCACAAAAAAGAATGAGATCATGTCTTTTGTAGGAACATGGGTGGAGCTGGAGGTTTTAACCTTACCAAACTAATGCAGGAACAGAAAACCAAATACCTTATGTTCTCACTTATAAGTGGGGGCTAAATGATAAGAACTATGAACATGAAGAATGAAACAACAGATACTGGGGTCTACTTGAGTGGGGAGGGAGAGGAAGAGAAAAGATAACTATTATGTACTGGGCTTAATACCTGGGTGACAAAAAGTCTGTACAACAAACCTCTGTGACACGAGTTTACCTATGTAACACACCTTCACATGTACCCCCAGAACCTAAAATAAAAGTTAATAAAAAGTAAATAAGTTAATTAACTAATGAATTAAAAATAAAAAGGAGAAACCTTTTTACTGTATTAAATGTTGTCTAGGGCTGGCCTCCATAACTAGGCCCACAAGCCAAATGCCCTGCTCACTGTTTCTGCACTGCCTGCAAGCTGAGAATGAATGTTTTTTTACATTTTTTAATTGTTGAAAACAAATTTTAAACAGAGCAATACTTTGTGACACATAAAAATCATATAAAATTTAATTTCAATGTCCCTAAATAAAATTTTATGTATTGTCTATTGTTGCTTTTGTGCTATAAGAAAAGAGTTGAGTAGTTGCAACAGAGATCACATGTGGCCTACAAAGCCTAAAATATTTACCACCTGGTCCTTTACAGGAAAAGTATGCTAACTCCTAATACAGCATATGGTAAACTGTGAACTCCTCTACGTTGTCACTGCACTGTAAATAGCAATCAAATACAATACAAAGCAACAACTATATATCTTCATACTTATGGACCCAGTACTTTTAGTTTATTACAACAAAATGTAAATTTCATAGGAATTTGTATGTAAAAACAGTGTAGCAACTGTGAACCCAGGAAGTCTGACTCTAGGCCTCCTAAGCTCAGGGCTGGGTCTAGCATGAGATCTGCACTTAAATATTGAGCCAATGTCTTGACTCCCAAGGAAGTAAAATAGTTTTCCAAGTTTGTCAAGTAACACCCATTAAAATTGGCATTCCTGAAGTCCTATTGCTCTGAACTGCCAAAACCTTGATATTATTACCACCAAGGTATATGACATATTATTTCAAAATACATTGTTTTGATAGGTTGAATCATATGAAACTCCAGATATTTGAAAATCTGTGATACATTAAAATCATGAAATTAAAAGGTAGACACAGTTTGAACATAAAATCCATCCTAACTATAGATGAACCCAAAATTGAAGTTTACTTTCAGCAAAACATCAACATCCGTCACATAAATTAATGTAATTTCTCAAATTGTATTTGTGTTATAGTTTTGTTGGCATTTAATTTGTAAATGTGTTTTATTTTATAGCTGTATAAGTGCTATAAACTAAGACATTACTCCAACTTTGAATATATTTAAGTAATACTACGACAAGTATAATTAAGTCAAACTGGAAGTGAGGGTATTTTCCTTTGAAAGGGGCCTGTATAGTTTACTTATTTGAGAACCATGTGCATATCTCTTGAATTGCACAAGCATCCTAGCACATAAGTTTGAGAAAACACAAAATGCAATCCCCTTTTGCTCTATTTCACAAGCTTGGTGTTGGTAGAGAACCACAGAGGGCAAGAATCAGGATGAGGAAGACAGCACAAAACAGGCCATTTTCAAACACCCTCACATGCAAAACAAAACAATTACCTTTATAAGCCTCAATTTTCTCCTCTGTAAAATAGGGATGAAGGTTTACACTGCAGGGTTATAGAAAACATTAGAGGTACTCTAGGTAAGGTTTACAACATACAATAATAATGATATCCAACATTTATTAAGCAGTTAACCCTGTGCCAAGCATTTTCTATGCATTTTATGTGCATTAATCTCAAAGAATAATTACAACCACCACACTGTATGAAGTGACACCAATACATCCCTGTTTCAAAAAGGATAAAGCTGAGGCACTCAGAGCGTTTTTCAGTAATTTGCCCAAGGTCACGCAGCTATTATAGTAAGAGGCAGAGTTAAGACTTGACCCAAATGTCTAATGCCAGAAGGAAGCTGGTTTTCTTCTCCACTCTACAAAATGACCTCAACAAATGGGAACAATTATTATGATTCTGATGTCTATAGTTTACTAGGACAAGAAAACATAAACATTTCTTCTTTTAAACCCAGCCACAGCCCTTCTAGCATATCACAGCCCCTCTAGGGGCAGGTAGGTGGCAGGGGGATCCAAGCCACTGGGGTGACAAACCATTACAAAACATTATTTTCAACTTGGCACTGGACTTCTCTCTATAAAATCTGGGGCATACAGAGCAACTTTATTTTTGAAAGGCTTCAAAATTCTAGCCAACAACAGTGTAAACATCCATTTCCTCCTCTCAAGAATTTGAAAGGTCACTCCTCCAGTTTCCTTCCTTTGTGATCCTGTAGTTGAAAATGCTAGACCAAGCCACCAGACATGAAGACAAAGTATTTAGGAGAAGAAGCCAGACACATCTTCACCAAGGTTGTTGTACAGATGAAAAACTGCTTGGTAAACATTGCAAAGTTGGTAGCTTGAATACCAGGAGGGCTGTGCTTTCAAAACTAAGACTACTTTCTTCCTATCTTCTATGTTTCCCCTGTTTAGAATGCAGCACTAACAATAAACTTCAATTTCATTCCCACTTGGCAAATGGGTTTGTTTTCACTTTGAAAAGACAACCAAAATGATTACTATAACAGAACTATAGAATGTTTAGCAATGGAAACCAAAGAGGTTATTAGGTGACATAGTTCCCAACCACCCCTAAACTCCATGCCCTGGAATCAAGTATATATTGTAATGAAAAATAAAGGTTTTAAATTTACAGTACTGACCTCTCTCAACTTTTCTGAAGAGAATCTAAAATGGCCAATAGGAGTTTATAACTCCCAAAATGCTTAACGAAAACTGGCTTTTTTGTTTTCTCTACATAGCCGCAATCTTCAAATGGTGCCACTGTACAAAATATTATATAACATGCTGTAACAGCAGGTTTAAAAACAAATATAAACCCCTTCAGGGATCAATACAGCTCTTATCACCTTAAAACAAACAAACGAAAAACCTAGAGACACAATCAAAGCTATTTTTCATGGACTACAGAGAGTATTTGGGGGAAATTATTAACTATTATTAAAACACAGTTCCAAACTCATTCTGTGATGCCAATATTACCCTGATACCACAAACAGACAAAGATACATTAAAAAAAGAAAACTATAGGCCAATATCCCTGATGAACATTGATACAAAAATCCTCAACAAAATAATAGCAAATAAAGATCATTCATCATGACCAAGTGGGATTTATTCCAGGGATGCACAGAAGATTTAACATACACAAATCAATCAATGTGATATATCATCTTAACAGAATGAAGGACAAAAACCATATGATCATCATGATTGATGCTGGAAAAGCATATGATAAAATTCAATGTACTTTCATGATAAAAACTCACAGAAAACTGGGTCTAGAAGGAACACACTTCAACATAATAAAAGCCATATGTGACAGACCCACAGCTAGTATCTTACTGGATGGGAAAAAACTGAAAGCCTTTCCTCTAAGATCTTTATGACAAGGAGGCCCACTGTCACTATTGTTATTCAACGCAGTACTGGAAGTCCTAACTAGAACAATCAGACAAGAGGCAGAAATAAAGGGCATCCAAATTGAAAAGAAAGAAGTCAAATTATCCTTGTTTGCAGATGATATGACCTTATACTTGGAAAAACCTAAAGACTCCACCAAAAAACTAATAGATCTAATAAACAAATTCAGTAAAGTTGCAGAATACAAATCAATATACAAAAGACCAACATACAAAAATCAGTAGCATTTCTATATACCAACAGCCAAACAATCTGAAGAAGAAATTTTTTAAAATCCTATTAAAAAAGCCACAAATAAAATTCACTACCTATGAATTAATCAAAGATGTAAAAGATCTCTATAATGAAAACTATAAAATATTGATGAAAGAAATTGAAGAGGACAGACACATACACAAAACGGAAAGATATCCTATGATCATGGATTGGAAGAATCAATATCGGTAAAATGTCCATACTACCCAAAGCAATCTACAGATTCAATGCAATCCCTATCAAAATACCAGTGAAATTCTCCATAGAAGTGAGAAAAAAAATCCTAAGATTTATATGTATTCACAAAAGACCCAGAATAGCCAAAGCTATCCTGAGCAAAAAGAACAAAACCAGAGGAATCACATTAACTGACTTCAAATTATACCACACAGCTCTAATAACCAAAGCAGCATGGTACTGGCATAAACACAGACACATAGACAGAGGGAACAGAACAGAGAACCCAAAAAGTGATTCAAGCATCTAAATGAACTCATTTTCAACAAAGTTGCCCAGAACAAACATTGGGGAAAGGACAGTCTCTTTAATAAATGGTGCTGGGAAAACTGGATACTCATATGGAAAAGAATGAAACTAGACCCGTATCTCTTACCATATACAAAAATCAAATCAAAATGGATTAAAGACTTAAATCTAAGACCTCAAACTATGAAACTTCTACAAGAAAACATTGGGAAAACACTCCAGGACATGGGTATGGGCAAAGATTTCTTGAGTAATACCCCATAAGCACAGGCCACCAAAGCAAGAATGGACAAATAGGACCACATCAAGTCAAAAAGCTTCTGCACAGCAAAGGAAACAATCAACAAAGTGAAGAGACAATCTGCAGAACGGGAGAAAATATTTGCACACTATCCATCTGACAAAGGATTAGTAACCAGAATACATAAGGAGCTCCAACAACTCTGCTGGAAAAAAAAATCTGATAATCCAGTTAAAAAATGGGCAAAAGATCTGAATAGACATTTCTCAAAAAAGACATACAAATGACAAATAGGTATATGAAAAGGCGCTCAACATCATTTATCATCAGAGAAATGCAAATAAAAACTACAATGAGATGTCATCTCACCCCAGTTAAAATGGCTTTTATCCAAAAGACATGTAGTAACAAACGCTGGTGAGGATGTGGAACAAAGGGAACCTTTGAACACTGTTGGTGGGAATATAAATTAGTTCAACCACTATGGAGAAGTTTGGAGGTTCCTCAAAAAAACTAGAGCTACCATAAGATTCAGTAATGTCCTTTCTTTGGGGTATATATGTCCCACTGCTAGGTATATACCCAAAAGAAATGAAATCAGCATATTGAAGAGATATCTGCACTCTGATATTTACTGTTCACAATGGCCAAGATTTGGAAACAACCTAAGTATCCATCAACAGATCAATGGACAGAGAAAATGTGTTACATATACAGAATGGAGTACTATTTAGCCATAAAAGAGAATGAGATTCTCTCATTTGCAACAACATGGATGTAATTGTAGGTCATTATGTTCAGTGAAATAAGCCAGGCACAGAAAGACAAACTTTGCATGTTCTCACTTATTTGTGAGAACTAAAAATACAAACAATTGAACTCATGGAGATAGTAGAATGACGGTTACCAGAGACCGGGAAGTGGAGAGGTTAGAGGGGGAGTTGGGATGGTTAATGGGCATAAAAAATGGAAAGGATAAGTAAGATCTAGTACGTGATAGCACAACAAGGTGACTGTAGTCAATGAGAATATAATTATACATTTTAAAATAACTAAAAATGTACAATTAGGTCGTAACACACAAAAAATGTGTGAGGTAATGGATACCCATTTTACTCTGATGTGATGATTACATATGGTATGCCTGTATCAAAATATCTCATATGCCCCATAAATATATATACCTACTAGTTATCCACAAAAATTAAAAATTAAAAAAATTTAGAAAAATTTTTAAAAGACATGGTTAGGTATGAATCAGAGTGGAAAATGTTAATGGTAATAACAGTAGTTAACACCATTATAGTAATTATAGAACTAGCAGTATTCTTTGTCACTGTCATCACAGTAGTAGACTGAGTGCTTGCTGTGCACTGGTCTCCACTCTAAGTGCATTACATCGATGAGCTTATTAATTCCCACACGACAAGCTTGCCAGAGTGACACAGGTCCCCAAGCCAGAGTCTGTGGATTCAAATCCTGGTCCCAGCACTTACAACCTATATGACCTTGGGCCAACTACTTTAACCTCTGTGAGCCTCATTTTCCAACATCTACTTGAGAGTACACCAAGAGGAAATTTATTTCTACAACAGCAGTGAAATCTAATATGTCTTCTTCCTTAATTTTTTCTACAAAAAACAATAAGCAGAAATAAACAATCTATGGCTGTTTTTCGTTTAGTGAAAATCTTGATGCAGCAATAATAATGAAGCAATTTAATGAAAGTACAGCAATTAAGAATCTAGCTATTTGGAATATAGGGGCTGTACTAAGAAAGTTCTTCTGGTTGACAACAAAACAGCAACTTTTCTAGATAAAGGTCAAGTATTCAATTTCTATTCACTAAATCTGGGTGAATTCCTACAATAGGCTTCTTAAATATGCTCTATGTGCCACTCTGTTAGGAAACTTAAAATGGTGAAACTTTTAAACTGGCAAGCCAGGTACATAAGGAAGCAAAACAGCAGAGTCAGATACCTTCCTCAACATCAAGCAAAGGCTGTCCTAACACCAGAATAAGAGGCCAGATGAAGATTAAAGCATGCTCATCTGATAAAATGGGACATCTTAATGCCAAATCTGGATAAAACGCCACAAAAGGTGCACTTATATATTCTCCAACATCAACCGTTCAAAATGTGTCCAACTCTTTTCTGCACTATCAAAAAACAGCAATGCAAAATAAAAACAAAATGAAAACTGATGAGAAAAAATGTATATAATATTAAAGAAAGTTTTAATTCTAAGAGAAAAGTAAATTTTTATAACCAAAGGCTAGGGCATTTAATAAGATAAAAACCATAAACCCTTCTGGTTGTTTAACAGAGGGAGGTCAATCTGTTTCATGAAACCACATGTGGCCTTCCAGAAAGTCAAAGGGTCTGCAGGAACTAGATTTTACAGACAAAGAAAAGAAAAGAAGAAAGAAAGAACAGAAAGTCAAAGGGGAGCATGATGGCAAAAAAAAAAAAAAAAAAAAAAAAAAAAAAATCCACAACTGAAGCAATAAAATAAATCACACAAAAAGTCCACATAAAAATTATACGAATAAATATATGAATTGCATATTTTTTCACTAATGTCAGTATAAAAACTGAATGTACTATTAAAATTTGGAGGAAAAATTAATGAGTACTTTTGCTCCTTCTCTTGGCTGGCCTGCTGTACTCTAATTTAGACCAAGTTAAAATTAACAGGAATTGTTGAATTCTAAAATAAGTTATGTGAATGTTCAGAATTTCACATGCAACTTTTATCAAGTATTTCATTTATTTTTCCTTATATCAGGTGTCCCCAGCCCCCTGGCCACAAACTGATACTGGCCTTGGTCTGTTGGAAACAGGGTTGCACAGCAAAGAGGTGAGCAGTGGGCAAGCAAGCCAAGCTTCATCTGTATTTACAGCCACTCCCCATCGCTCACATTATCACCTGAGCTCCACCTCCTGTCAGATCAGCTGCGGCATTAGAGTCTCATAGGAGCAGGAATCCTAACGTCAACTGCACATGAGAGGGATCTAGGTTGCAAGCTCCTTATGAGAATCTAATGCCTGATGATGTGTCACTGTCTCCCATCACCCCCAGATGGGACAGTCAAGATGCAGGAAAGCAAGCTAGGGTTCCCACTGATTCTACATTATGGTGAGTTGTATAATTATTTCATTATATATTACAATGGAATAATAATAGCAATAAAGTGCATAATAAATGTAATGCACTTGAATCACCCCAAAACCTTCCTCCACCCCAGTCCATGGAAAAACTGTCTTCCATGAAACCGGTCCTGGTGCCAAAAAGGTTAGGGGCTGCTGCCTTGTATCATATGGGAAACTAGCTCTACATCTAATTTACCATTTAGTAACACAGAACTAATTCACCACATTTGTGATTACCCTTTCTTGTATGTGTATTGTATCATGCCGATATGGGTTGAGTTGTGTCCCCATAAAAAAAAAAGATGTTCAATTCTTAACTTCCAGTACCTGTGAATGTGACGAATTGGAAATAGGGTCTTTGCAGATGATCTAGTTAAGATGAGGTCATTAGGGTAGACCATAATCCAATATTACTGTGTCCTTATAAAAAGGGGAAACTTGGACACAGAGACAGACACACAAAGAGGAAGACAGGAAAGATGATGTGAAGACACAAGGAACCATGTATAGGCCAAGGAACATCTGAGGCTATCAGAACAGGTTCTCTCTCACAGCCTTCTGAAAGAACCAACCCTGCCAATATACTGATGTTGGACTTTTAGCCTTAGAACTCTGAGACAATACATTTCTGTGGTTTAAGCCACCCGGTTTGTGGTACTTTGTTACAGCAGCCCCAGGAAACTAATATGCAGGTTGTAGATGAAGTCGGCCCAAGCTTGCATGGTGTGGCTGGAAGCTTAAGAACCCTCACAGAGTTCCTGCAGCACACACTTACATGACTCTACACTATGTGAAATGGTGTGAAGAACCTGCAATTTAGATGAGGATATGGACTACACCCACCTAAAATATTAAAAATAATGTCGTACATTTGCTTAAAACACTTTGTACATGTTTTATTTCACTTTTTCTTCACAACTACACTGAATGAAAGAAGGGAGGCTTGGTATCTTCATCTTATTGACAAGAAACCTGAACGTTGACTGTTTTGGCCAATGTCACATATATACATGGCAGGGCAACTACTGGTGCCAAATCTTTTCTAGGAAAAATGAATACAATCATGAATATTTTAACTTGGAACAATGGTGGCACTTTAAAAGTAGAGCTTCTTCAAGTGACTCAAGGAAGGACAAAAATAACATCACATAGACTGAGTAGGCTGAGGGGTTCTGTGATCCAGGTAAGCTGGAATAAATCAGAAGAAACTGGTGGAAAAAATAACTCTTGAAGGAAGTGATGGAAATAGGCCAATAGAAAGAAAAGAGGCTTCATGATGAATAAAAACAATGCCAAAAAAGAAAAGAATAAATTATGTGGAAAGCCTAAACAAACATTAAAGGGAAGCCTTCAACTGAATAAGAAGTACAGAAAGGGTTGCAACAGCATGTGGGGTTGAAGTAAGATTGGGGACTTTTAGCTGGGCTGATGAAGGGATTGTCATTGACAAGACAGACAAGCAGTTACCACTGACAGTTTTTGAGCACGGTTTGCTGTTGTGGTAAAGGAAGCTGTTCTAGTAGCTGTGTTAAAATCAGTTTAGTGGCGGAGCAACCTGGGATTGTAGTTGATATAGTAAGGGACTTTGAAAAACTGATCAGGACTGAAGATAATGACCCCATATAGATGCTTTAAGTTTTAGCTACCAGCAAGACATTCTTAACACTTTTCTTCCCTCACGCCCCGTATTTCTGGACATACTGGCCTTCTTGGTATTCCTTGGTGGTGGAGGTATAGAGGCAGAGTTCCTTTGTTCCAGCCTCAATATCTTATACCTGTTACCGCTGCTTCGTAGAGAATCTTTGCACAGTTAGTTCCCCGACTTCATCTGGGTTTTTGCTCAAATGCTACCTCTTCAAGAGGTTTTTGTTGACCATCCTGTGTAAGAGGACCCTCTGCTATCATTCTCCATTCCCTTATTTGCCTAATTTTTCTTTACAGGACTTATTAGTACCTGAAATTATATATATATTTATTATATATATGTTTTTAATATATATGTTACACTTAATGATTATCTGTCACTCCCATTAATAAGTAAGCTCCATGAGTCCAAGGACATTTTATGTACTGTTCAGAGTTTTATTCCTAGAGCCTGGCACAGAGAGTAGCATAAAGTAGGGAGTCGCTAAATATTTTTTGAATAAATAAAAGAAAACCCCAACTTATTCCCGAGTTCAATTAATGGTATTCCCCCCAAAACACTTTCGATCTATCTTCACTGCCACTTCCCAGTATCCACCACCAGACTGGTACACACTGTCATGTCAAATTAAATTAATGCAAGAGCTACCCAATTTCACCCCACTGACATGCACACCCCAATCCAACTCACGCCCCCACAGATGATCTTACCAAAACACAAATCACATCAAGTCCCCAGCTCCGACCTAAAACACTCTCCTATGTTCTTATGAGGAAAACCAAATTCTTCATGTGGCCAGCAAGACCCTTTGTGGACTGGCCGGCCACCAGCCAAGGGGTCCAGCCTCACAGTAGCTCTTCTCTCCCCTTGATCTTCCTCAGTTACTTGATTTCATTCTGTTCCCTTCTGTAAAGGGCCTCTGCACAAATGGCAGTTCTCTCTGCTTTCTGGAACACTTTTCTTCCTACCCTATCTCACATTCTCCTACTCATACTTCAGATATCAATCAAGTGTCACTTCCTCAGGTTCCTATTATATAAGCCCACAAAATTCTACTGTTCTATTCAGAGCATTTACCTCTGCCTGTAATTATACATAATTATTTGTTGTTGTTGTTGTTGTTGCTGTCGTGTGTAAATTTTATTAGGGATTGTCTTCCTCCTATACTCTTCACTCCATGATAATGCAGACCAGGAATTTTTTGCTCATTATTGGATCTCTGGGGTCAAGAACAGTGCTAGGTACATGGCTGACACTGAATGAATATTTGTTGAATAAGTGAAACCCAAGAGCTAGAGGTCACTGTCAAATACATAGATAAAAAATTTTTCCACTAATACTGAGGTAAAGCTGGAGGCAAAGATATTAGTGAAAATCTATAATAGGACTTAGAGCTATTATTAAAACAGAAGGAGAGTGGAGGAACCCAGGACAATGCAAGCTGAAACAGTGCTAACTATCTACTGGATAATCATGGGACCAAGAGAGTCTGTTTAATTAGGGAACTAGACAAGAACTAGTTCAAATAATTTACTGACACCAGGTAGTTATGACTTAGGTAGTGACAGTAACTAGGTGAAAGGTTACATTTACATATCCTATTAACAGCTCCTTGACTCATCATCAGTCTGCTCTGGAAACATTTATCTGTGCAGAGAAACCATTAAAACTTTCCTCTCCTTGGCATTTTCTATTATAAAAATTCTGCAAAAAGTCCTTAGTTCCCTGGAAAATGTTTTAAAGGCATTTCACTCTGGTCGATTAGGCATACAGTAATAGCTAAGTGAGGCAGGGGCCACAGAGGAAATGGCATATAATAGAAAGAACCACTTCGCTCCTGATTAAAGTTACTCATGTGCAGCTTGAGAAAATGTACACACCAGAAAGCTCTGAGCACTACAGGGTATCACGGGTTAAAGGACAAGGCCTAATTTTTTTTTAACCCTCATTGTTACCGCTTTATTCCCCAAACACTAGAACCAATATAATTCTAAATTCTCCCCAGGGAAAGAAGGAGTTTATTAGCTTACTTTTATTTCCTTATTTCAGGCTTCTTTTAAAATAAGATGTAGCATTGATGAGCATGAAAAAAAAAATCTAATATTGCTTCCACTCATTGAAACCCATCAGTGACTCATGCAATAAACAGCAAGTCTCCTGGTTTTGTTTCTGAAGAGGGCACACCAACAGTTTCAACAGCATACTCCAGTTTTACTGGAAACAGTTCTCAAAAGATGACTTACCACACCCTGCCTGAGAAAGGACAGCATGAAACTGGGGAAAATTCTGATCTTCAGAAATACAACAGACAATGAGTATTTCCAATTTCATGCTGTTTATATGAAGAGAACAGAGGCACAAGGCAAGACAAGCCTGAAGCACAGGTAAGAACTGTGGCAAATAAAAGAGAAAGGAAAAATGAAAGCACACTGAACAAGTGACTTTACCAGATTCAGCAGGGCTGAGGAAGGGGAATTTGGGGGAGATAACCAGAGTTTTCTACCCCTACAAAAATAAGATTTCAAAACTCACAATTAAAAGAAAAAGACATTTAACAAAGTAACGTTTTTAAACTAAATGGGGAAAAATCTCACTAGTTAACAAATGCCTGCTTTATGCAAGGGACTCTACCTTTATACAAACCCTAATAGCATATGACCTCGGCTCTCCCAGAATTCACTGAATTTGAAAGGAATGTCTATGAAAATAAGGATTTGTTGATGTAATTAGTAATGTAAATAACAGGTATACATATAACCTACAAAAAGTTTTCTTTAAACACTATAGAAGCCTCCAGTTACATGCAACAATTATCATGCTATTCAAAATTAACTAATATCTTCATAAAAGTTCCCTTCAAAAGAGTTCTAAAAGATAACATAAGTGCTTAAAAATAATAAATTCTATCTTTAAAATATTCTAAACTTCAGACTTTTAAAAGCTTGAATTAATCTTTATATAAGTAAAATGTTACTGCACTACAAATGAGTACTATTTTAAAACAAACTTACTTTGGCATAAATAAGTGAAATTCTCAAGATATGAAATTTATAAGGCATTTTTAGCCACGGAAAAAGCAGGTAGTAGTATGATTCTTCCATAAGGGCCTCAGACTTTACTTTTATTTATTTCTACCACTGTTTTTGTTTTGCTTATGTTGTACATGCAGCAGTGAACTGTACACTCAATGCAGGTAAAAACCGTCCTTTGTTACTGCAACTGTTGGCTGGACCTATTATTCTTTGTGCATTTGCTTCCCAGTACTTGTGGCCCACACTCTCTACAAAATGAGCTTCTCCTATCTGATAGGGAAGCAGATCTGCTGCTTTGATTGTTTCCTTAATTCTGCGGTGTCATTTAAAGTTGTACTTTAAAGTATTATGTTTTATATTTTTTGAGTCCAGTTCCCTCCTTTCTTGAAGCTACCCTCTTAAACTCCCTGAACAAGAGCCATCTGGAAATCTTGTTCCTGTCCTCCATCCTTTCTGTGAGACCACACCAGCACAGCTGGGTTGCAGCAGGCACTGCCGAGGTGCTGCTGGACTGGCTATGCTCCAGACCCTCACTGTTAACATGCAATTCTTGTCCTTTTGTGTTAAGCATGGTTAGTAGACAAAGCTCAAGACAGTGTTCAGCAGTTCAATCTCCTTTGGGCACAGATCCTAATCTCACAATCACACATGATTTGAGTAACGCTGTTTATATGTAGAACTTCTGTTGCTACATGGTCCCAGTCTGCCCAGTCTCCAAATTGACAGTGTAGATACTTTTCCACTTTTCTTTTCCCCAAGAGGCCTGAACTAAGTACTGTATAGGTTATCCAAACAGAAATATTTTCTTTGTATTAAAGGGACTCCTGTGAATCTAACATGAAGTCAAACATCATTTTTATGCTGTCGAAATCAACAACTTCTACTGTCTCTACTCACTCACCAACACAAACAAAATTTGAAGCTTTAAACCAGCAATGTCCAATAAAACTATCTGCAATGATGGAAATTTTCTATATCTTCTCTGCCCAGTACAGTATCCACTAGCCTTGTATGGCTATTAAGCATTTGAAATGTGGCTACTGCAACTGAGGAATGGATTTTTAAAATCGTATTCCATTTTTAATTAATTTATACTTAAATTTAAACAGACAATGTGGCTAGTGGCTATCAATAATTAAGGGTCTGAGATTTTTATCCTACTTGCAGGCTAACGAAATCAGGGTGCCACAGTTTCATGGGGATGCTGGAAGAAGACAGAAAATTCTAGGGTGAGAAACAAAGGACTATACTACTCACAAAAATATCAGTAGCAGTAGTATCAGCATAGTTGTGCCAATGTCCTGAAACTCAGTTCCCCCCATGTGATGTGAAGCAGATACTTGATGATCTGCATTGTCAGAGGGGAACCCTGAGCTTAGGGTACTTGAATCTTTTAAACTGGACAGTAAAACCTACCTGCCCTTTGCTTCAGAGGGAAAGAATACCTCTATCTTCCAAAACTATCTACCATACAAATGTCTTTAAGAGAGTCTGGGATGAAAGCAGTAAATGCCTTTGCTCACAAGACATGCAAAAGTCTGAGTGACTAATGGAGAATTGAATCCCAACATAGGGGTATCATACATATCTCTGAAATCCACTCATCTCCCACCTGCTTGAATACCTTGCTTTTAGCCACACTTAATTTCTTCCTATGACCACGGTAAGCTTCCAAATGGTTATCTTTCTTCCACCACTGCCTCCTCCCACTCATTCTCTATACAGTAGCTAGACTGCATCTTGTAACACAAATCTCATCTTGTTTCAGTCTTCAATGTCACCCACTGTCCTTAGAATTAGGCCACCCCTCCTTAGCAAGTTCCACAAAGCCAGTGCTTCCCTTGCTTGTCCGTTTAAGGTTTATGCCTTTAGCCACATTAAACTCCTCTCAGTTTCTTACATGTAGAGGTCATAAAGTGGTGGCCCTAGGTTGAATTCCAACTACAGATTTGTCTGGTTTGGCCCACAGAATAGTTTTTAAAACATTTGGGTTAGTTCATATTTGGGAGATTTCATATTTATAAAATATGAATTTTAAGCTCCTCTTTAGAAATCAAGGCATCTGGCAACACTTGGCCTGCATCCCAACCTGACAATACTTGGCTGAAATGAGTATCTACTTTTCCCTTTAGACAGCTTGGATTCTCCAGATTGCCACGCCTCTCCCTCCTGCTCTTACCTATGTATTGTTTAACATTTTCTGCCTGACTTCCATTCTAAGGCATCATGCTCCCTTTGGTCTCTTTCAATCTTCCCACCTCTTCAGCTGCTAACTACCACTCATGCTTCAGGTCTTCATGTATTCATGCTGCTAGGAAGTTTTCCTTCACCACCACCAACCCAATTAGGATGAGATGATGCACTGTGTGACATTCACCTACCCAGGACCCTGCTATCCTATCTTCTGAGGTTCTCTTCACTACCCTTATCATGGCATGAATCATATGGCATTATAATTTTTTAAAAATTTTCTTTATAAATTTATAATTCTCTGTTTACAGATCTGCATCCCTCTCTAGACCTTTCAGTCATAAGAAAGTGACTATAACTGTCTTGTATACCATTGTATGTCAGTGCCTAGGAAAAAGCCAAACGTTTAGTGTGGGCTGAATAAACACTTGTTGCATAAATGAATGAAAAAAGTTAGCTGAGGAATGGCTATTTCAAAATATTGGGGAAGAGTGTATTTATATTTTTATATATGTATTCATTTTTAAAATGTGGACCACTGAAATTCCATTCCTTCCCCCCTCCCCCTACCCTGGAGAAACTAAAATAACTACTTGAGTCATAGAGCAATAGCTGTATACTGGCAATGTGCTAAGAACCACACATGGATTAGCTCATTTAATGCTGACAACAGTCCTTTCAGGTTAGTATTTCATTATTCCCATTTTGGAGAGGTAAACATTCAACCCCAGATAAAATGAAGGCCTTATTCTCCACAACACAGTAAATTGTAGGGATACATGATGACTGAAATTTCTGCCAGGATACCTGAGAGCACATGACACCAACAGCAGCTTTATTCACAGCCCATCTTTTGAGCTATTTGTATGTGGTTTTAATAATTAGCTTTCGCATTCAAATGGTAAAGAAAGTTCTTATACACACAAGAAGCATTTATGGCTATTATACCAGATGACACGGCTTCCAGGGCAGTAAGAAGGATCTTTAATCTCATTTCACAAATAGAAAAACAAAGGTATGGAACAATAAAGCCAAGTGTAAAGTTAACATTATGTCCCTCAGGCTGCCCCTCAGCCTGCCATGCCTTAATGTGAGAGTCCAATCAAAGCCTCAAAGCCCAGTATGTAAAGCCTAATAAATTCTGCACATAGCAGATAGATAAATTCTTCCTAGGAGGAGGAAAAGAATCAGAGATGTCACTGAGTCACACAAAATACAACCTAGACAGAAAGTCAAGATCCCTGGTCAATCTTTTCCAGGTGGAATTCTTGCTCATTCTTTGCCCCAAGAAAAAAAAAAAAAAAAAAAAAAAAAAAAAAAAAAACAAAATTCTAAGTCTTTTTTTTTTTTTTTTTTGAGACAGGGCCTCTCTCTGTGGCCCAAGTTGGAGTGTGGTGGCATGATCACAGCTCACTATAGCCTCAACCTCCCAGTTTCAAGAGATCCTCCCTCCTCAGCCTCTTGAGTAGCTGGGACTACCGGCGTGCACCACCACACCTGGCTTTTTTTTTCTTTTAATATTTTTTGTAGAGAGAAGGTCTCACTATGTTGCTGGTTTCAAACTCCTGAACTCAAGCAATACTCCCGCCTCAGCCTCTCAAAGTGTTGGGATTACAGGCATGAGCCACCACACTCAGTCTCACCAAGTCTCGTAACTTTTAAAGTCAAATTTCCAGAGTCACTTCAGGACCCACCAGGCCTTAAGGTCCAGCTTATTAAAAATCTTACATTAAATCTCTGTATATTTTTTCTAGGCATTATAATTTCCTTCCTCAAGGAGTTGAGAAAAAAACTGTATGTGGGAACCACAACATACAGTTGAAGGAAGTTAGAATTAAAATTTCTATAGCTTTTAACATTTGATTAGCACATCATACATGTGTAGAATGTTTTCCTAAGCTTTCATTCTAAAAACACAGAATTCATTTTATTTCCAAGTGCACCTTGATGAAGTAGGAGCACATGGCATTTTATTTTAGAAAGCAATGTCTTAACAAACTTGTTATTTCTTCCAATTATGCAAACTCACCAAATGATTTTTTATCTATTTATTTATTTAGTTTTATCTTTTTTTGAGAGAGTCTCACTCTGTCACCAGGGCTGGAGTGTGTGGAGTGATCTCAGCTCACTGAAACCTCCACCTCCCAGGTTCAAGCGATTCTCCTGCCTCAGTCTCCCAAGTAGCTGGGATTACAGGTGCCTGCCACTATGCCCAAGTAATTTTTTGTATTTTTAGTAGAGATGGGATTTCACCATGTCGGCCAGGCTGGTACGGAACTTCTGACCTTGTGATTTGCCCGCCTCGGCCTCCCAAAGTGCTGGGATTACAGGCGTGAGCCACCGCAGCCGGCCAAATGATGATCTTAAAGGGCCTTTGATAATGCATTCTTGACCTCATTCTACTTGCCATGTATAGTCATTAGAAGACTGTTCATATAAAAATATGAAATAAAACTACATAGTCTTTAAGTTACCTTGGAAGGCCCTTCAGGACAAGGAACATACTCTATATCTTTATATCTTTAAAGCATATAGCAGAGTGCATCGCGGAATGAAAATGCCTATTAAGTCAGGAATGCAGGAACGACAGGGCTTACCATTTAATATCAATTCTAAAGCTGATTATTTATTTTTGAGACAGGGTCTTGCTCTGTCACCGAGGCTGGAGTGCAGTGGTATAAACACAGTTCACTGCAGCCCTGACTTCCTGTAAAGCTGATTTTTTAGGCCATTTACTTGCTTTATAAAGTAACTAGAATGGCATGAACTATGCTTTTTTGTGCCTGTGATTATAAACTGAAAATTTACAAACAATATGTCACATGTTATTTGAGCTAAATGTCTGATTTTACTAAAATGAAAGTATCCTTCCTGGATTATTAGAATTAGCAGTAAATTTAAGTTTGCACCTAGAAGAGAAAAGCGATTGTAAAGAATGTAAAACATCTGAAGCAAACAAAGTCCAATAAGATCTTCCTTCTACTTGAATTTCTATGACCACAAAGGCACAGGATGTAAGGTCCATAGCTTTGTACACAGGGATTGGTGGGGACGACACGATTTCAACTCTGAACCCCAATGACCAGCTCCAGGAACACATGCCTTTTAGCCCCGCAAAGCTACTGACCAAATCACCCAGAGAGATAATCACATCTCAGCCAAAGGACCTGAACTCAGACGATCAGAACACAGGACCTGCCATCAGGCAGCTGCACGAGACAAGAGACCGTGCTCAAAATCACGTAATACCCTAAGTCATCCCAAGGGAGCCCCACAACTACCCTCAGCGGCAGGCAGAGCTGACGCATATTTTGCAGATGACAACATACAGGTTCCGATGGGGCGGGTCCCAAGGCCACAGAGCTGGGAAGGTGACTGAACCTAGACTTAACTAGTATCCCAAGTGGTGGATACTTCCCATTCTGCCTTGGAGATCGCCCTTCGCCCGCGTATTACATTCGGAGGCTGGCAAAACGGCAGGAAGAGAGCAAAGCTGGGCAAGGACGGGAAAGAAAGAGGGGAAGGAATTTCCACTGCTTCCCGGCACTCGCCCCCACTCCACACCCCAGGTTGCTACTCCGCGGCGGCCTCTACTTCCCCAAACTAGACTGAAGGGCGGGCGGAGAACCGAGGAGGCTTTCTAGGCGTCACGGAGAGTTCTCCAAGTTGGGGGCAGAAAAGGCGAATGAACAAATTGTACCCCCTAGGGAGAGGGCACAAGGAGAAGTGCGGAGGTGAGAAGGACCGGAGGGGAGGACGACCCCTCACAAACTGGCCAGGGACTTAATAATGGTGATGAAGGGTCGTGAGAGAGGTTTGGGAAATGCGAGAATAGCTCAGTCCCCAAAATCCTCCCTGGCCGCATCGCTGGATCCCCGCCCCATCCCCCCACCCCCGACCCGGGCAGCCCGGGAGAAAAAGCAACAACCTCCTGGGGCACCAGGAATTGGTGGCAGCAGGATCCCGAGCCCAGGCCCCCTTCCGCGCCCCCACCCTCACCCTTGCCCTGACCGCCTCGCAGTGGCGGCAGCAGCGGCAACAACACCAACCTGCGCGACCACGGGCTCTGTCCGGGACGGAAGCCGGAGCCTGCGGGCGGCGGAGCGGCGGGCGGAGTTAGTTGGAGGCTCCGGCTCCCTGGGCGGGGACAGGCTGAGCACGCGGAGGCAGCGGCGGTGGCGGGGGCTCCCTCTCCTCGGCGTGCGCCGGGCCCAGCCGGGTCCGCCGCTCGCCCTCGACTCCTGGGGCAGGTCTCAGTCCCTCCCCGGGGGCGGCTCCCGGGCCAGCCCCGCGCTCGCCTCCTCCACGCCGGCGGCCTCTGCTCCGCCCTGCCTCTTTGGGCGCAGGGGGCGCGGAGCTTGGGAAGTGGAGCCCTGGCGAGTCCCCAGCGATTGCGCGCAGCTTCCCGGGGTTTCCCTGCGGGGGTCGCGTGTGCTGGGTGTCTGAACTCACGCGCGGGCCAGAGGTAGCCAAGAGCTGGAACTCTTGCCCAAGTGCCCCGGGGAAGGGAGTGAAGGCCCGGCCTGAAAGTCTCTGACCCTCCCGAGTCTCGTGTCCCTAGAAGCAGCCTTGCGAGGTGGCCACGCCAGCTGCCCTGAGAGAAGCAGAGGAAAATGTCCGACTCTCCCTCCGCCCAGCTTCGCGCCAGAAGAACGTTTCCCGAGAGAAGGAAGGACCCATTGACCCCCAGCCCTTGCTCCAGCCTGGAGACCTGGCTGAGTGCATGGAACTGGAAGGATGGCAGAGTACCGGGGCTGAAAGCCTGGGAAATGTGCTATTTCTATTCACACCACCCCCTTGCCCGGCCCCTGGATTCAGGCCACCTCGCTCAGGTCTGCGCAGTGCTTCCCAGTTCACACCTCCGACCCGAGGAGGGAGGTCGGTATCCCTTTCTTAGCCTGGCTTCCCGCCTCCATCTGCATCCCTTTCTGCTAAACCTTTTTAACCCGCAGAGTGCCCAGCGCGCACACACCGATCACTTCGCCCCTAAACTGCGGGCAGGGAACTCTGGAGCCACCCACATCCCCAGCCTCACCCCAAAGCAAGAGAAAGCAGGGAGCCGCGCGTGGGGTGGTGGGGGCGGGGCTGGAGAGTTCCAGTAGGAAGGTTTTATACCCAAGAGGCTTGATGATGTGCAGTACTGACCCCACACACAAATTGATATGCGTTTAATTGAAGGCAGGTATTTGCCACTGTCTCTCCCTGTCTGCAGGTAACCGCTTGAGTGCGTTCACCTCGCCTCTTCCATCCCCAGCGCCAGCCCAGCCCCCTCTCTTTCTCCCAGAGTCCCATCCTCCTCTCCCTCACCTCTCCCATCCCAGCTCCCTGCAGCGCGGGTCCCGAGCTGCTCCAGATCCCCAGCACCCAGCTCTGGTCTTTCCAGACAACTCCTCCCCTTCAGAATCTGGTGTGGTAGCAGGGAGGTTGTGAGAAGGGACACTGAGGAAGATAAAGAAGGAGAAGCCAGTGGACTGGGAAGAAGGTAGGAAAGTGCGAACCGAAGGGGTACACCGGAGAGGAGCTATGGGAAATGAGGCAAAGCCTTCAGGCTATAGGGGGATTCCCAGAAAGAAAATCATTTTCTCCATAGGGAAACTACCGATGCTCGCTGTAGACCAGTTGGAAAATCTGTTGTACACCCTCCCAACAGAATTCCTAGTGAGCAGTGGCCAGACTGGTCAGGGCCTAGAGCATGTGTCCAGGAACTCCATCCACTTCCCAACCCAAATTCCAAGGCAGGCGGATGACCCTCATTTTGGAAACTTGATTCTGAGAAGGTGCGAGAAGACACCGAGCTGAGTCTGTTTACGGATCCCGGGCTGTTCTTCATCTTTAGGCATCTCCTAAGTCACTTTATCTCTTCCTCCTGGTCTGGGTTGTTAAGGAAAGCAAGCACTTGAGACCCTCCCTCAAATACGTCTCTCCTCTGTGTGTGTGTGTGTGTGTGTGTCACAGAGAGAAAGTTTGTGGTGTGAGAGAGAGAAGAAAATGTGGAGGGGCAGGAGTTCTAGGCTATGGTGTTTTGTTTCTCTTTGTTTTCTTTCTTCAATTCAGTACATTTTTGTGCCAAGATGATTTTCTTGTTCAGTGGTGACTATATTTTTGCCTTAAATGTGGGAGAGTAGTTGGGACAACACTTCTAAATGTAACCTGACGGTAACCTCTCACACCCTCAAGGTCCTGGTGTGTCTGGAATTGGTGAGTTCTTGGTCTCACTGACTTCAAGAATGAAGCCGCGGACCCTCTCTGTGAGTGTTACAGTTCTTAAAGGCAGCATGTCTGGAGTTTGTTCCTTCTGATGTTTGGATGTGTTTGGAGTTTCTTCCTTCTGGTGGGTTCGTGGTCTCACTGGCTCAGGAGTGAAGCTGCAGACCTTCGTGGTGAGTGTTACAGCTCATAAAGGCAGTGTGGACCCAAAAAGTGAGCAGCAGCAAGATTTATTGCAAAGAGCAAAAGAGCAAAGCTTCTCCAGTGTAGAAAGGGACCCCAGCGAGTTGCTACTGGGGCAGCCTGCTTTTAGTCCCTTATCTGGCCCCACGCACATCCTGCTGATTGGTCCATTTTACAGAGAGCTGATTGGTCTGTTTTACAGAGAGCTGATTGGTCCGTTTTGACAGGGTGCTGATTGGTGCGTTTACAATCCCTGAGTTAGACACAAAAGTTCTCCAAGTCCCACTAGATTAGCTAGATACAGAGTGCTGATTAGTGTATTCACAATCTCTTAGCTAGACATAAAGGTTCTCCAAGTCCCCACCAGATCAGCTAGATACAGAGTACTGATTGGTGGATTTACAAACCTTGAGCTAGACACAGGGTGCTGATTGATGCATTTACAAACCTTGAGCTAGACACAGAGTGCTGATTGGTGTATTCACAATCCCTTAGCTAGACATAAAGATTCTCCAGGTCCCCACCAGATTAGCTAGATACAGAGTGCTGATTGGTGCATCCACAAACCCTGAGCTAGACACAGAGTGCTGATGGAGCAGGGGGCAGCGCTAGTCTAGGAGGCTTGGGGAGGTTCGGTAGCGCAGGAGCCCACAGCCTTGGGGGAGGCTCAGGCATGGCGGGCTGCAGGTCCCGAGCCCTGCCCCGCAGGGAGGTAGCTAAGGCCCAGCGAGAAATCGAGTGCAGTGCCAGTGGGCCAGCACTGCTGGGGGACCAGGCGCACCCTCCGCAGCTGCTGGCCCGGGTGCTAAGCCCCTCACTGCCCTGGCGGGCGAGGCCGGCCGGCCACTCCGAGTGTGGGCCCGCCAAGCCCACGCCCACCCGGAACTCTAGCTGGCCTGCAAGCGCCCTGCTCAGCCCTGGTTCCCGCCCTCGCCTCTCCCTCCACACCTCCCTGCAAGCTGAGGGAGCCGGCTCCGACCTCCGCCATTGCAGGAAGGGGCTCCCACAGTGCAGCGGCGGGCTGAAGGGCTCCTCAAGCGCGGCCAGAGTGGGCGCCAAGGCCACGGAGGTGCCCAGAGCAAGCGAGGGCTGCCGGCATGCTGTCACCTCTCACTGGTTGGCACAGCCAATTTTAGCTGTGCTGTCAGACGCCCAGTAGTGCACCTCACCTCAGAGCCTCAGACTTACAGCCTCAAGGCATTCCATTCTGTGTGCAGGCCAGCTTGGGCAGTGGAGCCAACCACCTCCACTTAGGTGAGGAGAAGCCTCCCTTTTCACTCTCCTCAGGGCTCCACCCCACCTGAGGTTGTCTCTGCACTCTGTCATTACAAAACTAGTCCTTAGTGTCCCAGTTTTACTTTCAAAAATACTATATCCAATTTAATTTAAAAAATCTCTTTCTCCGCCCCCCGCTTGTTTCCTCTAATGCTCAAAAGGCTAGGCCATTGAAAGTTCAAGAGGGTAGAAATTTCTCTTTTTCTTCTCATCAAAAGAGAAATAGTCCTTGAAAGAACCTTATTAAACTTATATCCTTTCTGAATATGGTAATCCCTTGGTATTGATTATTTTAATTTTATATTAATGGTATGATCTTACTGCAAAAGGTGACCAGTCAGCTGATGAGGATAAAGGGTCTAGTTTCTTCCTGGAGAAACTCTGACAGCTAAAAGAATGGGAGGGTTTATTTACAGACAGGAGAATTGGTCTCCGTCAGTGTTGCAAAGTAGATGGAGATGGACATTCCTTTGTAAACGTCTCTCTTTTTTCAGTTTTATTTCATAGCAGCCTTGTCCAACTAATACTGCCAGTTCTCCAAGTCAGTTTGCCTCACACAAAAGTGTTAGGGACTTCAGATGCTACTTCCTACTAGTGTTTGCCTTGAAAAAGAGTGACATTTCAAGCAGAAGTGAGAGAGTAAAGGAGGATTCATGGAAAATATTTCCTGTACCCTTTAAGACTTTTCTCATAGTCATTTTATGTAAAGATGGGTCTGATGGACAGAACTTACTCTGAACAACTTGGCAACTGTTCAGGCCTACAGGCTTCTTTGAAAATTAAAAAAAAAACAAATGCACACTTTCTCATTTCCCAGCACTTCAAACATGATCTAAGAGTACAGAAGGTTACATTCAAGTAGCAGAATAAGCTTCAAAATGGTTATATCAAACAGTCAAATTTGCTTATGCATATTCAGAACGACAAGAGAAAATATTAATTTCAATTTAGAAGTCATCAAAAAGCACCTTGTGGGCAATATAATGAATAGCCCCATGTTAAAGTAATACATGTTTGTTCTTTAACAAATAAATTTTCCTCTGAAATATAGACATCTGTCATGGAGTCAATTATCTTGCACAGCATGTGCTGTAAAAGCACATAAAAGCAATAATATACTACATTGCTTATTTGAAATCGATCAGGAATAGGCAGCTCCATGCTGGCATGTCTTTAATTTCATGGTGTTAAGAAAAGACTATAGAAGTATGAAATAGCAAACCCTTTCCTACTGGAGTACTAATTCAATTACCTATCATGATATATATAGGAGGAAAAATTTTCCTCATTAGCTGGCAGAAACACTATGGGACTATTTTCTCGTCTTACTCTGCTAACCCCTGTAGCGAGAGTGTGAACATAAAGTTTCCTTTGAAAACAAAGGGATCAACACACTCTGATCAGCTCCAGGGGTGTGCAGAAGAACAAAGCTAGAAATGATATTCTAAGGACATAAATTATCATTTAAATGAGGTGAACATTTATGAAATTTATGCATCAAACAGATCTCAAGATTTGAAAAGTGGAATAAGAGGTAGTTAGACCAAGTTGAACCTCCTTGATGTAATGCAAATGTGAAATCTCTTTCTCTCTTTTCTCAGGCCAACTCACATTCTCCCCTCTATCACTGCATGATGAACACATAAATAAAACAACAAAATATTTTCCAGAAAGCTCTGCCAGGTTAAGTATACAGAGCCTTCTTGAATATCCCATATTACTTTCTCTTGTGACACTTTAAAATAGATTTGAAAAAAAAAATCTTAAGGGGAATATTTTAATAGCTTCCCGGAGAGTAGAATGTATTATCGTTACAATACAAAGGGTATCATTCATTTTTAATTCCTTGCTCCACAGGTGTTCCCTGCCCAGACTGTGGTTGACACTTAGAGGGCCTAATTATGATTCATATATCCCACATTCCCCAGAAATTGGCCCCTCTAACTTCACACAATGCTGTTATTCAGAGGAGAAAAATACGTTTCAGTACTACTGGCTAGACATAATGATTCTCAATCTTGTCTACATATTAGAATCACCTGGGAAGCTTTAACAATCCTGCCACCTCAGCCCTGCCTCGGACTGGCTTCAGACCCAATAAACAAAACTCTCTGGGGGTGGGGCCCGAGGATAGGTGTTTATTTAATTCCCCAGGTGGTTTTTATGTATAGTCAGGGCAACCATCTGTAGGGTATAAACACTTAGCAAGTAAAACTATTCTTTGTTAAAATACTATTAAATATGAACTACCTACCTATTAGATGCAGTTAAACTTTTTTTTTAATTAAAAAAGTTAATTTGGTTTCACAAGGTAAGTTCTCCATGCCAAGTTATGTTGTCTCTACCTACCTTAGGTTTCTGGCTGTGCTAGCAAGGCTGATTCACAAGGAAAATCCATGACTTTTCAAAAAAAGACACAGCAACATATCCATGACCTACCCTCATTTTGGTGGATCTGTGACTGGAATCAAAGCCATAGATCACTGCAGGAAAATAGACATGGGGGAAATTGAATCTTACAGGTCTTAAATTCCCACAAGTAATCCCCTTGAGCTATTAAGCCATTATCCAATTTCGCAGTTAAAAAACAGATACATGCTATAATTAATTCTTTCTATAAAGTCCAGGGTTTAGAAATAAAATAATTACAAGGACAACCAGGGTCATCAATTTTATGTAGATTCAGCACTAATGAAGAACCAAATATTTGATTCTGAAAAAGGAGTGTTAAAATGCTGCTGGCAGTTTCACACAAGTAGTTAATACACTCAGTATGCTTGTGGAATGAAAATAGCCTAACACAAAGAGAATACATGATAGTTTATATAAATAAGATAATATAAACCATAAAAACTTTGTCCATACATAGTTTAGTATGATGAGATAAGGTGGATTGAGGTGAAGTAGGAAGATACAAGAGGAAAATCTGTTGATAGAAAGTGGATATACTGGAGAAATTGAATAGGCTAATGTTATTTGACTGGACAGTTGAGATTACAAGGTCAAGTGAAGTCTAAGTAAATACTGCTTTTCTCTACTGCCTGATATGAAGAGATTACTAGCAGTCTAAGAACTGGTATGATGGTGATAGAAGCTAGAAAAATCATGGAATCACTACAATTTTCTGGAAATCAATGTCTATGACACTCAAAGCTCCAAAAGCTTTGATTTTTTAAATAAGAAATTTACTTAGTTTTTCACCAGATGGATGAATTTAATTTCCTAATAAAAAGGGAAGAAATCCCTCATATTTTTCAAGTGAAAAATGTACAAAAAGTATTTATGTGTATAAATTAAATTGGAAGGATTGATAGTTTCCTTTAAAATATTTGAGTGGTCTCAATTTTGTGAAATTTAGAAAATGCATTATACTTTTCTGGATTTTCCCAAATAAGCATGTGATACATTTACTGTTGGAAAAAAATGATGAATTTTATGTTCAAAGGGCATAATCTGCCTCCTTTGTCATAATCTATTTCTTTTCAATAACTTGAAAACTGAAAATGAAGTATATTTGCTACACAAATGTAAAACTACACAAATAGTTTTCTTGCTTATCATATTTGTATTCTTTTTTATTTTGCAGCTTTAGATTTGTGTCTCTATTTTAGGTTCATAATAGGATGGCATTGGAGATTTGTTCTCAACAAGAAAAAAAACCCAGATGTACAAAGAATGACATAGACTTTCCAGTCATATTTAGCAGCAACAGAAAACCACATAAGGGTATTGAAATTTTTTGGTTTTAACACAAATAGAAAAAAGCTTTTCAAATTAGCACACGGGAAGTCAGAATACCTGCTTCTCATTATTGTACATTTATTGGTAATAAGCTGTGTGACGTATACATTACTTCTCTCTGGGTGTCAGTTTTTTCATCATACATTGAGGTGTTAGCCTAGAGGACTGCAAGTTTCTTTCAACATAAAATTATTCTATGAGAAAAATAACATAAAAATTATTGCAAGGAAATGCCTTGAGATTAGAGCTCTGTGTTTCAGAAACATTGATGGCTAAAAGAAACAACCATTTTTAAATGTCAGTGTTTTCTTAATGCTTGACCCGCCAGCCATGATGCTGTTTCCTGTTGTGGGAGGTTGTTGTGCCTGGGAGCTATTCACCAGCAGGAGTTTTACTCTTCAAAGATAAGGGTCACAGCCTCCTCAGGAAAGGACACCTGAGAAATTGGCTGCTTGTATGCTTGAAGCAGCTATAGGAAGGGACTTGTCAAAGCATACTCTGGCCATTAGCAACCGGGTTGGTCCCAGAAGCAGAGAAATAAAAGAGAGATGGTCAGTAGGGGAATCATTGTGTGTGGGGGTATGGATGAATGACTCTGTGGACAGCAATAATGAACATCCAAGTTTATATTCCCTGCCTGCATTGTATTCTTTTTCTCATTCCTGTATACTGGTCTTTGCTGAGCTTAGAAGAGCAAAAAGAAAGGTGTGGGTCAGTCCTTGCGAAAGAGATGTAAGAGCTATTTGTTACCAGCCATGGCAGTAGGGAAATGTTGGTGACATGATCTGACTTACACAGGAGCCTGGGGTAGCAGTGCAGAGGGAGAAGCAATAAAGAACACCAGAACTAACTTGTGGAACATGTCATGATCCTTGTGAATTGCCTGGGAAGGGGAATCTGATAAAAGGCAGGTCTTCTTGTCAATCTAACTAGGTGGAAGATTGGATTACTGCGTGAGTATTAAAGGGAAAACACTGGAGGGTGGTATTAGTGAGGGCATTTGGGTTATAGGAGATCTTCTATTTGTTGAATGCCTACTATGTGTATTGTTGAATGCTTATTGTGCTATGCCCCTCACTTATTGCAACTTTCTTTCCAGAAAAAGAAACTGGAGAAATACACTAAATCAAATGGTGGGTTTCATTCATTCCTGGCATGGTTGCTCCATTAATCAATGCTCCATGGTTGCACATTAATAAGCATGTAGCTTTTATTTTCCATTTTAGTTTTTTTTTTTAAATCCATTGTAGCAGTAGATTAATGGCCTCCAAAGATGTCCATGCTCTAATCCTCGGAACCTGTAAATATGTTATCTTTAGTTACCAAATGAAAGAGAGTTTGCAGATGTGATTAAGATTAAGGACCTTGAAATGGGAAGATTATCCTGGATTATCCAGGTGGGCCAAGTCTAATCACATGGGTCCTTCAAAGTAGAAAAAGAAGGCAGAACAGTTGGCCAAAGAGATTCAAAGATGGAAAAGAGGTGGGAGAAATGAGACATGAGGTGGACCAGACTACTATGGCTGGCTTTGAAAATAAAGGGGACCACGAGCCAAGAATTGCAGGTGGGTCTAGAAGCTGAGAATAACTCCAGGCCAACAGCTAGAAAGGAAACAGTTTCCTTAGTTCTACAACTGGAAGAAACAAGTCTGCCGGCAACCTAAGTGAGGAAGGATATGGAAGCACCTCTAGAGCCACCAGAAGGGAACACAGCTCATCAACATTTTGATTTTCGCCTGGAGAGACACACTTTGGACTTCAGATCTACCGAACTGTAAGATAAAAAGTTTGTATTGTTCTAAGGTGCTAGGTATGTTATTTGTTAAAGCAACAATAGAAAAGTAGTATACCCACTACATCTAGTATGAAAGCTAAGACCCATGCCTCTTCACCTTTGGCTCTCAGTACCTTATACAGGATTGACATTTAGTTTGTGCACAGTCAACACTGCAGGAGAAAGGAAGGTAAAAACAGAGGGCAGGAGAGAGGGAGAAAGACCATAAGCCTTCATTTTCTATAAATATTTTTGGAAAAGTGAAAGAGAAATTCTATAACTAGTCAGGGAATCAATACCAGGTATGGAATTAGTGGGACAGAGGAGTGGGATGGAAGACCACCAGGTTGCAGCTCATATTTTGAGAAACTTACTGCATTGTACTTCTGAGTGGATAAATAGACGCTAGCATGCCTTAGTAGTTCATGCCTGCTATCCATCTACCAGGCCACCCTTTGCCAAAAAGCCTAAGAAAAGATTATTAGAATTGTTACTCTTTCATTCCAAATCCAAGTAATAGTTTTAGAGCATAATTGATTTGGAGCGTTTATCCTCTGCACTAGTATTGCCACTTCAAAATTGACTCTTGCAATAATCTTATCCAAATGATTGAAACATGCATCTGACCACCCATGCATTCCCTTATGTGTCCACAGTTATAATTCTAGGTCAAGTCTTTATTATTTGTTTTAAACATTTTAACTGGTGAAATATATCACAACTACTAAAGGGTATATAAAAGTACCTATGTTATATAAATATATATGTTAAATATATAGTATATATTGTGTATATTTATATTAAATATAGTGTATATTAAATATATATTAAATATAATATAATATAGTATATTGTATTAAACATATATACTGTATTTAATATAGTATATAAATCAAAAAGTGAATTCTTATAAAAACCTCCAGCTTAAGAAATGGAATATTGCTAGAACCTCAGAAGGCCCTGCCACTTCTTAGTCGTGCACTCCTCCTTTCCTCAGAGGTAAATGACATCCTGAACTTTATTATCATTCCCTTATAGGGTTTCCACATTTGTATGTATTTGTAAACAAAATATAGTCATTTTATGTTTTTGAAATTCATAAGCATGAAATAAGCAATCAATACAATTTGCAAAGAAGTTTATATATGTGTACACATAGAGATAATTAACAACATAATTAATATATATAATTCTCTTGTGAATTTTTTTTTCAGTCAACATGTTTTGGTGGTTCTTACATGTTGGTGTAGCTGTAGTTACTTATTTTCATTGGTCTGTGTGCATACACTGCAATTTATTTATTCTACTCTTAATGAATATTTGGGTAGTTTCCAGGTTTCTACTGATACAAATAATGCTTATATACATGTTTTGTGGTGCATATGTGAAGAGTTTCTTTAGGAATGTACAAAGGAACAGAATTGTTGGGCCATAGCATATGTGCCTGTACAGCTTTACCAGGTAATCCCAAATTGTTTTTTAAAGTGTTTGCTAATTTCATCCTTATTACTTTTCTAATTGAAAAGACTCTTAACTCGTATTTCTGCCTTCAGTTTTTCTCCAAATTAGTCTACCCTGTCCACTATCATTAGTCTGGTCTTCCTAAAATGCTGTTTTCAGAATATGTTTTCCTCACATCCTAAACTCCAGTTTTACTCAAGAACCCACTGTAACAACTTACTCTCTGCATCAGCAATCCCCAACCTTTTTGGCACCAGGGACTGGTTTTATAGAAGACCATTTTTCCGCAGAGCAGAAGGGGAGGGTAGGGAGAACAGTTTGGGGATGATTCAAACACATTACATTGATTGTGCAATTTATTTCTATTATTATTGCATTGTCATATATAATGAAATAATTATACAACTCATAATGTAGAATTAGTGGGAGCCCTGAGATTGTTTTCCTGTAATATGACAGTCCCATCTGGGGGTGATGGGAGACAGTGACAGATCATCAGGCATTTGATTCTCATAAGAAGTGTGCAACCTAGATCCCTCAAATGCGCAGTTCACATGAGAGTTTGCACTCCTAAGAGGATCTAATGCTGCAGCTAATCTGACAGGAGGTGGAGCTCAGGCAGTAATGCCAGTGATGGGGAGCGCTGTAAATACACATGAAGTTTCACTGGTTGCCCGCTGCTCACCTCCTGCTGAGTGGCCTGGCTCCTAACAGGCCACAAACCAGTACCAGTCTGTAGCCCAGGGGTTAGAGACCCTTCATCTACATCAACAAATCCAAACTCTTAATATTTTTCGAGGGTGTTCACATTCACTAGTCTCAAAAACTTTGTGCTAATAGGCTGATCTTTGTAGGTTTTTTTCCTTTAATGCATATTTTTTATTGTCTTCAAGCTTCAAGCTCATAAAATCTCCTTGCCTAGAAACCTTCCCTTTCCTCTCTGCACTTAAATACTACTCATGATTCAAAACCTTATTGAAGTCCTCTTTTTCTGTGATACCACCCCTAGCTAGTTCCATCTGCGTCCCCTGAAGTCTCCTAGCACTAAGTGTATGTTATTCAGTCATGCTTTAAACCCAGATTTGAGAGTTCATGGTATATGAGTTCCTGGTGTATGCAAGGAGAAAATATGAGGGCCTTAAGAAAAGTAAGGAGTTTGCTTCAGAACAATATAGCCATCAGTTACACGCCTTTCTTCAAGCAGACTGGGTGACAATTTGCCATGGGTGCTTGAAGAAGGAATCACAGGTAACCTAGTGGCTTGGACCTGTTAATCACCCCTGGTGTCTGTAATGTGCGATTCTATGAATCACAAGAGATTTAGCATGGAAAGCCCTCCACATTCTGATCTCAGCCTTCCCTTCCTCCTTTATCGGTCATCAGGCACTGACAGGACCATTTGTTCTAGTCCAGCTGATCTGCTTCCTATCTTCCAGAGACATCATTCTGCCTTTTTTCGAGTTTCTGCATGGGCACCTCCCTCTACATCAGGGACGTCAACACCACACCCTGCTGAGTGAAGTGTTCTCCATCCTCCGAGAATCATTTAGGAAGCCTTTCCAGACCACTTTAGCTTACTGTGATGCTCTTCTCTCAGAAAATTATTGGTGCCTCGCATATATTGCCTTATATTGTATGTGTAAACCTCAAAATCAGGAGTTATCACTTAAACTCAGCCTAGCACAGTGACGACACCAGTGATGTTATTTAAAGACTAGCTCTTGATTGACATATGATTGATACTGCTGAAATAACTCTGATCTGTGTTTCTATTTTGGTTCTGTAGATGGCAGATCCATTTTGCATTCAAAGAATATTATCTTTTCTATGCTGAATTTACCCTCATCAGCAAGATTTATGCTTGAATTCTTAACCGGAATATTGTTTTGTGATGATTATTTTTATTTTATTTTGTTTATTTTTTCTTCACTTTTTAGGCACACCAGTATTAAATACAGAATAAATATCAGGATTTGTGGTAGATACAATCCATGGATGTTGCCAGACTTCTATGTGTTCCCACAGTAGGAATACCTGGCATCTGTGATATTTCAATATGATATAGGTTTCCTATTTCTGACCAATCTTTAAGTTCTTTGAACATTTTCTATTGTTGTTTTCTTTGTTGGACCTAAGAAATACCTGTTTCTAATGCAAGATGGCATGACCTAAGATTATTGAAAAAATTGTATCTTCGTTTTCAAATCTTAGTATTTTTTGATGCATAAATTTTCTTTTAAGCCTAGCCTCATTTAAATGCTAATAGCTGCTTTCATGCGGCCAGTTTCTTGTTCTCCTCTATATACCCTCAGAGCTGATATGAGTGTGGAGATTCCATTCACTTCAAAGGAAGCTTCACGCTTGGATCTTCTCCACAGGGGTGCTTAGACTAAGACAAGAAATGATCCCTATAGCTTTTTTCTCCCTGCATTTGTGAAAAAAATAAAATGAAAATAAAGAGATTTCCCAATAGATTTATCATTTTAAGTAATTGAATCAGTACTCCATACTGGATTATTCATACACTATTGCTAGTTTATAATTATGAAAAGCCCTTTTTAACACTGGGATATTAAAGGTATGTTGGGATGGTAGAATATGCTAGTGTACCTGTTAGTTTCAAACAAACAGTATAGTGTGTTGCTTCCTTCATGTGCATGTATTGGGAATGGTCTCATGCTGTGAGAGATAATTGACTGCATGAGAGATAGACATACTTTATATGCAAAAAATATTTTAAATGGAGGAAAAAATATATTACTTTAATGAGGTCATTAAGTGCCCAATAAGATGTTTTTTCAGTGGTTTGTAAATTGCGATTAATCCTTTCTTCATCTCTGATCTTGGATCTTAATTTTTTTTTCTGTTTTTATTATGAGCCTTAGAACATGCATGATTTTTACAGCTGATTAGTTTGGAGATAGAAAATGATTATCTACATTTCCACTACTCCTTTTTGAAAAATAAAAGGCATTTTCCTTTATTTTTAATATTTATAATTAAGATGGTTTTCCCAATATTAGCATGCCTTAAGAAGACTTTAGGTGTAACCAAACTTAATTTGAATTGGAAAATGGTAATAAATATAACTATCAATTGAATTTTTATTACAATTTGTAAACCACTTTCACATACATTACTTCATTGGAAACTCACAGAAATTCTATGAAATTAAATTAATTTTATTCTTTTCCTTTTATACATGAGGGAACTCAGGATTATATAAATCAAACTCATCCAGGTACTTACAGATCTGAAAAGAGCAGAGCAAGGATTCCAACCCTGATTTTGTTTCTTTTAACCCCAAATTCTATTTACTATTTATTGTTGTCTATGATGGTATGTGTGTTATTCAAAACAGCAGGTTTTGAATCTTGTTTTTTATTCAAATAACTACATTGTATAACTATCTCTATGTCTCAGGTGAAGAAGTGGCATGTTTTGGAATAAAAATATGTATACAGTTTAGTAAAGAATAAAATCGAATGCACAGTGTCATCTACTTACATTAAACCTATAACAAAAATAAAGGTAATCATAATAAGTGTATTAGATGTTTGGGTAATAATGCTACAGGGATACTGTTTTAGACACTTTTTTTCTCTCAGAATAATCTAGTTTAACAGACTTTTCTAAGGTAATCATAAAGCCCATATTTTTATAATGAATTTATCATCTGATTCATCTTAATAAAAGGGTTACTGCCATTTCCCTTTGGACTTGCATGGACATTTGAGATAAGAAAGAACCCATGGTTTCTATGATGCCTTATGAATATCTCTGTCATATCCATAATATGTTTACTTCCTGGTTTACATCTGCTTTTATATACTAAATCTCAAACTAGAACTATTCTTATTGTTTTCTTTTTTGAAATATTTGTCTTTGTACATTTCTGGGGTGGTAAAGATATTTCAATCAAGTGTCCACAGGGCTAAATTGTTTCTTTTCTTTTTTTAGAGGTGGGATCTGGTTCTGTCACTCTGTCACCCAGGCTAGAGTGTGGTGGCACTATCATAGCTCATTGTAGCCTTGAACTTCTGGACTCAAGCAATCTGCCCTTGTTAGCTTCCTGAGTAGCTAGGACTACAGAAGCACACCACCACGCCCAGCTCATTAATTCATTCTTTATTCAACAAATATTTATTGGGCATCTACCATGTGCTACTTACTGCTCTAGGAGATGGTAAACACGAGTTGAACTAAAGAAGGAAAAGGTTTGTTATAACAGAGCAATGGGCTGTCAAAAAGTGATCCCTAGGGCCCTAGGGGTCTCATATACTTTCAGGGTGTCTATGAAGTTAAAACTTCTTAAATAATTTATTATGACATTACTTGCTCTTTTCACTGTGTTGCCATTTCAATGATGATACAGAAGAAATGATGAGTAAAACTGCTGGTGCCTTAACAAGAATCAAGTCAGTGGCACCAAACTGTGTTAATAATCATTGTCGTTTTTTATAGCTATACACTGACATTAAAAAATTAATGCCATTTTCACTTACGGATATCATAGATGTAGCAGTTAAACTAATTGTATTACATTTTACATGTGAATACCCTTTTTTCATGTTCTGTGTGACAAAATGCAAAGTATTCATGAAGCACTTCTTCTGCACACGAAGCACAACTAATTATTGTCTTGAGGAAAAGCACTTGTGTGATTATTTGAGTTGTAAGCTTAAATAGCCACTTTTCTATGCTGCACCATTTTTACTTGAAAAAAAAATTACTGACAGAAAAAATAGTTATTTAGGTATTTGGCAGATGTTTTCTAGCTAATGAACAATGTGGGCCTGTGATTTCAAGGAAAATAGAAGTATTTGTTGTCGATAAATACCAAAATTTGAAACAAAAAACATAATTTGGGAAAGCCTGTATTTGCCAATGCTTAAAGACAGCTTTTATAAAGTCAGCGATGATATTAACAAACTTTTTTTTTTGATATTCTATAATGGAAGGTGTCAACATGGGAAGATTTGCATAAAATAACTCAGTGAACAAATATTTTTCAAATTACCATTCACAATGTTATCAAGTAACTCTTGGGTGAAAAGTCTAGTTAAAATGCAAGATGGACCAACTGATTTTAACTAAAGAGTGCAAAATATTCATTGATATTATTAGTGATCTCATAATGTCACCAATCTTTAGGAAGCTACTTGTTGAGTTTTGGTACAGTATCAAGAAAGAATATCAGCAATTAACTAAAATGACTATTAAAAATACCCTACCCTTTTTCAACTATACATCCATGTAACACCACATTTTCTTTTATTCTTCTACCAAAACTAGATATCTTGAGAAACTGAGTACAGAAGCAAATAGGAGAATCCACCCATGTCTATTAAACCGCATGAAAGAGATTCGCAAATATATAAAACAATGCCACTCTTCTTACTAAATTTTTTGTTCTAGAAAATACTTTTTTTCATAAAACTTGAAATTTATGTTAACGTGTAATGGGTTTATCATTGCTAATTTTAAAGGTGTGATGAACGTTTTACATTTTTCTGTAATAACTTCCAATATGATAAATATTAATAGATATAATGTATATAAATGAGAACTCTTAGTGAAGTCAACTTAAAATTTTTAAATTAAACTTTTTATTATTTATTTATTATATTGGTTCACATACAGTTGTGAGAAATAAGACAGTACCATCGCACCCCCAATTTTTTCTGTAATGATTTCCAATATGGTAAATATTAATAGATATAAGGTATATAAACAAGAACTCTTAGTAGTCAACTTAATTTTTTTTTTTTTTAGACGGAGTCTTGCTCTGTCACCCAGGCTGGAGTGCAGTGACCCGATCTCGGCTCGTGGCAACCTCTGCCTCCCAGGTTCAAGCGATTCTCCTGCCTCAGCCTCCCGAGAAGCTGGGACTACAGGCGCCCGCCACTACATCTGGCTAATTTTTGTATTTTTAGTAGAGACGGGGTTTCACCATATTGGCCAGGCTGGTCTTGAACTCCTGACCTTGTGATCCCTCCGCCTCGGCCTCCCAAAGTGCTGGGATTACAGGCGTGAGCCACCACGCCCGGCCTTAAAATTGTTTTAACTTAACTTTTCATTATTTATTTATTATATTGGTTCACATACAGTTGTAAGAAATAAGGCAGTACCAACGCACCTCTTACCCACTTTCCCTGATGATAACATGTTGTAAAACTACAGTATACTATCATAATGATAATATTGACTTCATTGCAGTGAAAATACAGAATATTTCCATCATCACAGAGATTCTGCATGTATTTATTTATAGGCACACCCACTTCCCCCCCACCCCGCCCTCTCCTTAAGCCTTGCTAACCACGAATCTATTCTTCATGTTATGTAAATAGAACCATACAATATGTAACATTTTGGGACTAGCTCTTTACACTCAGTATAGTTCTCTGGAGAGTCATTCAAGTTACTGTATGTATCAATAGTTTATTCTTTTTAACTGTTGAGTATTCCATGGTATGGAAGTGCCACAGTTTGTTTAACCATTCACCCGTTGAAAGACATCTGGGTTGATTCCAGGGTTTGACTATTACAAATAAAGCTGCTGTAAACATTCGTGGAATTTGTGTGAACATATGTCTTCATTTCTCTGGGGTAGATGCCAAAGGGTACAATTGCTAGGTTGTATGGTTTTGCAGGTTTAGTTTTTAAAAGAAATTTACAAACTGTTTTCCATTAAATTCCACCTAGCAATGTGTGAGTGATCCGGTTTCCATGCGTTTTTTGCCAGCATTTAGTGTTGTCACTATGTTTTATTTTAGACATTCTGATGGGTGGGTGAAAATAGTCATTGCGGTTTTAATGTGCATTTTTCTAATGGCTAAAGATACTGAAAGTTTTCATCTGCATATTTGCCATTTGCATATCATCTTCAGTGAAATGTCTCTTTATTTCTTTTGCCCATTTTGTAACTGGATTGTTTGCTTTTTTACTATTGAATTTTGAGATAGTTTACTATTTAATTTTGACTATTATTTGTGTGTTTTTTATTACTAATTGTGGCTTCTAAAAAATCTTGCTTGGATTTTGATAGGGATTGATTAAGCCTGTAAATTTGGGGATAAGTAACTTCTTTGCTATGTTGAGTCTTTTAATCCACAAACATGGTCAGAGAACATATCCTGTATGGTTTCAATTCTCTTAAGTTTGTTGAGATTTGTTTTATGCCCAGGATTTAACCTATCTTGGCATCTGTTCCATAGGTACTTGAAAAGAGCTTGAAGTCTGCCATTGTTGTGTGAAGTGTTTTATAAATGTCTATTAGATCCTGTTGATAGATTGTGCTGTTGAATTCTTCTATATTCTTGCTGATTTCTTTCTAGTTGTTCTATCCATTATTGAGAGAGACGTAATGAAGTCTCCAACTCTGATTTTGTGGATTTGTCTATTTCTCCTTCCTTCCTTCCTTCCTTCCTTCCTTCCTCCCTTCCTTCCTCCCTTCCTCCCTTCCTTCCTTCTTTTCTTTCTTCTCAGTAATCTCCACAAATCTGTGAGCCAATATTTTATCTTATTGTTATGACAGTTTCAATTGGATTTCTGCCACTTACAATCCTAAGAGTCTTGGCCAGCTTTCTACCTGAAATGTGATTTAAATCCTAGACTATAGAGACATTCCAACTAATCATTTCATGATAACATTATTTCTCAAATTGTGACCTACAGACCTGTTCGTAAGGTGTCAAGAAAACTGTATATTAATTTAAGCATGTTCCTTTCAATTCTAACTTAAATTAATTAATGTAAAAGTAGTCTGATTAATCTGGATGATTCCCCTCATTAATTGAGGACAGACTGCCGTGTGATTTCATCACTTGTGTTTATCGCATCATTTTGTGAACCAAAAAGAAATAAATAGTGGTGGTTATAGTTAGAGTACAAGCTCTGGAACCTGACTGGCTGGATTTGGAAACTGACTGCCTAGATCTGAATCCTGGCAATACCTCTTGCAACTTATTCTACCTTCAATTATCAGCAATTTGTCTGTACAATAGGCAATAAAAATGATAGTAACAATCGCATAGGATTGGTGTGAAAATTAAAGGAGTTGACATGTGGAGAGCTCTTAGAATATTGTCTGCCATATAATAAATATTTATTAATGATTGTCTATTCATATTCATAAATAATGTGTTTGAGTCAAGTGAAGGGCATTAACATCAGGTATGCTATAGGTTTTGCTGTAGTTTGAATAGAGAAAAATGGTAGAAGAAATGACCTATTTTACACATGTACACGAGGAAATGTAAATAAGAATATTCAGAGCAGCACTGCTCACAACAGAAAAAAACAAAGGAAACAATCCAGTGCCCACTCATAAGAAAGTGGATGAATTAACTGCCGCATATCCACATAATAGAATATTATACAGTAGCCAAAATGGATGAAGTGCAGCACCATGCGGCAACATCATATGGATGGATTTTAGTGATATAATATTAAGTGAAAAAAAAGGCATCCAAAGAGAGAGGTATATATACATACACATATATATATTTCTCTTTCTATGAAGATAATAAATATATATATATTTCTTTTTCTATGAAGATAATGCAATAAAAATATATACTTTTTTGGAATATATAAACACTTAAAGGACTACATGAGATTATGTATATGAAGTAAAACTACATTAAAAAAAAATAAAGCATGATACACAAAGAATTTAGGATTATGATTGCTATGGATAGAAAAAGCCCAGGGAATGGAATGGGAGGGCCCTATCATTAGATGTAAATTATTGTTGGGGTCCTCAGTTTTATTTTGGGCAGTGAATTTAATGTTGTTTATAACATAAAAATCATAAAACCTAATTAACTTGATAAATAAATAAGTGAAAACTAAATAAAAGAGGACCATGAATTGATCAATGATGAGAATGTGTCCTGAACTAAGGACTATGATTTATCTGACTTGGTGCACCCAAATTTCAATGAGAGACAGAGAAAGAAAAGAAGATGTGTTACACATGGCACATATTACTACATACTTGTTGACGAACCTGGCTGCTAGAGCAGTGAGTATTATATTCTTGTTAGAAGGAGCAATTTCGTTTCAGCAAAACATCATCTGTTGCATTAAGCTAATGGTAACAATTTGAATGACATTAGGTTTATAATTTTGTTTACACATACTTTTTAACTTTATTCAGTTTAATAAACTTGTATTCAGTTTAATATTTGTCCCAGTGCTTACACAATGTGATTTCTAGCTAGTTGTAGTTTATACTTATATTAGAGATAATTTAAGTAACCATTAGAGAATCCATGAAATTATTTTTACTTCAAAGGGATTCCATTCCTTATTCACCTTTAGGAGGCACTGCACTATACTCTCTACAGTTCCTTTCTCAGGTTTCTTTATTCCAGAGATTCTCAAAATGTAATCCAGGGTTGCCTGACATATGCCAAGACCCCTTCTGGGTTATGTCACAGAAATTATGAAAGACCCCAGAATCAGTGAGGTTAACCTATAACAAGACATTTATTTGCTCTTATCACTCTCTCACAAGTGTACAATGGACTTTTCCAGAGACTATATGACATGTGCTATATCACAAGAGATTAACTGCAGTGCTGTAGGAGAAGCCAGAATTAAACTTAAATTCTGCCTATAAAGTCAAGCATTAAAGACATTTTCCAAAATGTAAAATGATGACACTTTTCTCACTAACTTTCTTTCATTGTAGAAAATACAGTTTTTCTCCCATAAATATATTATTAGAGTGACCAAGTAACGACAACAGGGGAGAGGGGAAATGAGAATATGGTCATAGATGGCTGCCCTTCATTTGGCAAGTCACCATGCTTTCCATGGCCTGCTGAGTGATGTCTGGTGGAGGGACTGTGGTCAGTTTGCCAGGAGGCCCAGAACATTGAGAGCAGGGTAGCATTTTTGTTTCAAATATATGTGCATGTAAACATACACACACACATGAACACAAAGACACACACACACACAGAGTGAAGAATGGTCAGATCACTATCAGATACATAAGAATCACTTTCCATAAACTCCTGGGGGGAAAACTGGATTTACTAGATAATCTCTATTTCAATATTTGATGAAAAATGAAATGTCTGGTTCTTTCTTCTTTTCTTTTGGCACTCATGTCACTGCAGTGAGACGAGCCATATTTTAAGCATTTATAAAACTTTCTAGTTTTATAAACTAGATTAAACCCCATGGGGATATAAATATGGATAATAAACTCAACAAGAAATGCATTTTAAAGGGAATTGTATCATGTGTGGAAGGTTGGATAATGAAACCTGTGTATGGAGGAGAAATATATATATATATATTTTGAGACTGAGTTTCACTCTGTCACCCAGGCTGGAGTGCAGTGGCGCAATCTTCGCTCACTGCAACTTCTGCCTCCTGGGTTCAAGTGATTCTCGTGTCACAGCTCCTGAGTAGCTGCGATTACAGGCATACGCCACCGTGCTCAGCTAATGTTTGTATTTTTAGTAGAGACGGGGTTTTGCCATGTTGGCCAGGCTGGTCTCAGACTCCTGACCTTAGGTAATCCACCTGCCTTGGCCTCCCAAAGTGCTAGGATTACAGGTGTGAGCCACTGCGCTCAGCCATTTTAGTATCTAATATGAGCTTAAAGCTTTTTATTTCATGAAACTAGTTAGCATCAGTACCATCCCATGCCCTGCTTTTTTGGCCCTTCAACTTTGTTGTTTCCTCAGAAAAAAATAGACACTGTTCATTTTTGGAAGATTTGGAATATTTTTAGACCTTTGAATCCCATTCCTCATGTAATTGACAAATTACTTCTGACTCAGAATTTTTAAAAGAAATTATGCTTCCTTGGGTACTTTGCCAGTAAACTTTGGTTACCTTTATTGTGTTTTATGTGATTGTTTTACACAGATATTTCTTCTAAGCATATAAATACCATCCACATAACTGAATATATGAGAGGATTCAGAGTCCCTGGCATGTGCAAAGCTTGTCACTTTTCTTTGTCCTCAACTCAGGCTGTCATTCTGTTTGATATCTAAGAAGGAATGTGTCAACGTGACTATTTTTTTCTCTTACTCTTTGGAGGTACGCAAACACAGAAATTATCTTATTTCAACAGAAGACCCCGCTGGCAACAAGAAAGCGTGAAAATCTTTAAAGATCTCGTTTAAGGATGGAAATTATCCCATAAATTCCTGCAGGCTTAAGAACCCTTCAGGATATTTTCTCTGGCAATCCCTCACACTTGCCTCCCCTCCTTTGCCCACCTCAAGCCCCCAATCCTAATAGCTCATCCTAAATTTCATTGCTTTTAGTAGAAAGAGAATCCTGCTGAGATCCAAACTTTCCATCCATCAGGGCACAGTTCTTTTAAGCTGATGTGCTGAGCTCTAATATCAAAGAGAGGAAAAAATTGACTTAAAAAGTCAATAAAATACCAACTATATGAATTCTAAAGCAGTGTTTAGGATTTCTGTATTCCATTACATTTTTGTATCTGCACAAACAAGGCACTGCAGATAAAGTCGAGTAGAAGAAGGTGCGATGCTTCTCATCTGTATCTACCATAAACAATCAGAGCAATATTTTTTTCTGTGAAGCAGTTAATACAGTAGTTTTCAGAATTCTAGTTTTGTTTTAAAATGCACTCAATGGAAAACTGAAGCAAATATATGGAAACGGTTGGAAAATGAGATTTAAAAAAATTGATACAGAATTGTAATTGCCCATCTAACTAAATGCTTTTCTTTCTGCCTCTTGTCAATGTATATTTTTATATTTTTGTCTCATAAATTCCATTCAAGTAGATGGACTTGAGAGCGATTGTTTTGATACTATACTCTTCTCTAATTATTTGAGAAAACAAAAATACTTTCACTTAGACAAAGAGTTTAATTGGTTCTAGGATCTCTATGTCCACAGATTATTTTGAGCTTCATTAGCAACCTGCTCCTTCCTGGGTCTGGTTTTCTTTTTTCATATAATGTCCATCAGAAAGATAAATCATCCCTTGTTTTTATTATGATAATTCAAGTTTATGTTGTTTTGGTCAAAATGGTAATGCATTCATCGAGAATGCCACATAAGAGATTGTTTATTTCCAAGATGTCCCTCTGAATTAACCTAAGAGCTTGAAAAGAAAAGTATGTTTTACCGATAAGGTTAAATAAAATGGTGACGTGTTATGGTAACACACTCTGCTCCGCTGGAGACTTGTTAACATAACTTAATTGTGTGTAAGTGTGTGTGTATAATGAAAATGTACATGACCTTGCATGATTTCTAAGCTTTTATTTATTAATTTTTTCAAAAAATCTTTTAAACCAAAATGTCAATAATCCTTATATTGATGTTGCAAATGAACCAAAACCATGTTTCTTCCCGTAAATTGCATTGGTTGGGGTCTTGGATTTGCAGTGACTTTTTAATGTACTTTCTTCTTAAAGTACAATCCTTTCTTTCTTTTGGAATATGCGTGTAAGATAAAACCTACTTTGTTTTGGGCCAAGGATAGATGGGCCAATGCAATTCCAATACCAGTCAACATTTATGGAGTGTTTGCAAGTGCAAATTGCTGTGAAGATTCATGAAGGGGACAAGAGCAAGAGCAATAGAATTAGATGGCTATGTGCAAAGCCTGGCTCCATCCTTACTATCTTTGAGAATTTGAACATGTTAGTGAATCTTTCTATTCCTCTATTTTCTTATTTGTAAAACAGTGATAATAATAGAACTTATTTCTTATGGCTGTGGTAAAGATTAGATGAGATAATGCATTCAAAGTGCTTAGCAGACTGTCTGGTACATAGGTGTCCAGTAATTGTAAACTCTAGTAGTAAGTTATGAATTGTTGATGTTACTCATTAACAAAAAGAGAGAGTCCTTACTATCCAAGAGTTCCATCTAGTGATAGGGGCCTCCAAATACCGAGCTAACTAATATCTTCCAAACCAAGAGTCACCTTCATTAGAGGAAGAACAAATAAGTGCAATTAGAGAATAGAGAGGTCCTGTGAAGGTCATATGGAGAAAAGGAAAGTTGAAAATGTGCTTAACACATTAGGAAACAGTAGACCTTTAACAGAAGAAGCAGAGGAAATACATTCCTGGAAGAATGAAAGATATAAACCAGGATAAGAAAGGTATTTATAGAACTTAGTCCAAAAAAAAATCATGCGGCTAGAACACATATTGACTGTTATGGTAGAGTGGACATTCCTGGTGTCAGTCCTGAGAAGAAAGAAAACTGAAGTTGACCCCTGGGAATGTAAGAGAGGAAACACTTCTCTCTGAATCCCACTGTGATATGGTTTGGCTGTGTCCCCACCCAAATCTCATCTTGAATTGTAGTTCCCATAATCTCCACGTGTAGTGGGAGGAACCTGGTGGGACATAATCGAATCATGGGGGCAGTTCCCCCCATACTGCTGTTCTCATGATAGTGAGTGAGTTCTCACAAGATCTAATAGTTTTATAAGGAGCTTTTCCCTGCTTTTCCTTGGTCCTTCTCCTTGTTGCTGCCATGTGAAGAAGGACTTGTTTGCTTCCCCTTCTGCCATGATTTTAAATTTCCTGAGGACTCCCCAGCCATGCTGAACTGCAAATCAATTAAGCCTCTTTCCTCTATAAATTACCTAGTAGTCTCAGGTATGTCTTATTAGCAGCGTCAGAATGGGCTAATACACAGTGCCTTGGTCTATTCCTGAGGAGGGCACATATTCAGATGTATGCTCCTGAATGCTGTTGGTTTCTGTGCAGAGTCCAAGAACCCAAGAAGATGGGACCCCGTAGTGGGCCATAAACTGAAGATGAGTCAGTTATATTGCAAATCAGATTCTCCAATTACACATATCTCTTTGGAATTTTTCCCTTTTATTATCCCCTAGCCTTCGGTAAAATCAGGTTTAAATATTTCGGCTTTGTTTCTGATGTGCTATAAGGTGTAAAGGGAAGACTTGCTTGTTTATGCAGAGTAAATGTTACAAGTGAAGCAATGTTACTTCTTATGTGCTGGAAAAATTCATCTTGGAATAGAATGATATCCTTTCCTTAAGATCACAGAAGAATTAAAAAGAATACGTTTCTGAGAAAATCTGAAATGATAAATGAATACCAGAATAGGAATTTGCTTCAGAAGGCTTTGGTCTTCTTTGTAATTTAGGTGTATGGCAAAGTTATTTACTGAGACTCAGTATGACAGGTGTGAGTTAGGTGCCTTGAGATGCATTTTCAAACAGTTGCTGTGGCAAGTGCAATAGGGAATCAATTAGAGTTAAATAAAAGAATTGCTGAGTAGCACTTGGGGCCCAGCTGAGGAATATGATTCAATGAATTTAAAAAAAGAACGAGAGCCAGAAAAAAAGTAGACAGTATTCTTTACATTACTGATAAAAACAGTGAAGATATAAGAGAGACTTTTCTAGAAGTGCTCAGTTTAAAGCCAAAAAGAAGGAAACTGTTATCACCAGTAATCAGGGATGATGTTGAAGAGGTATAATAACAGAGTATGGTTTTCAGTTGAGATTAGGCAGAAGAAGGTTACATATTGGCCATATATTTAAGTGATGTTTTAAAGTAGGATAATCTAAAATAAACTGGCAAAGTCCATTGAGCAAACAATTAAGTTGCTTAATGGTCTGTGCCTTTGTTTAATTGGCTAATTTCTGAAGATACTCTACTGTAGGTTATAGGCAATTTCAAGGGAATAATAAATATAATGAAACTAGTAGCAGGGATATGAAAAAAATGAAATACAATTAACCCATTGAGATATAAGGATGATAATTAAAATTAGCTGTTGAATTTAAAGGTGGGATGAAAGTTTTATACCTTATTGTTCCTACTGTGTTTTGCTTTTTCTAAACTTTTTGAAGCATTGCTGTGGAATGTGAACATAAGTGGGAATAAATAGACATGGAAATAGTCAGAAAACAATAGGCTACTTTACAGTTTCTGTGTGGTTTCACTTACTAACCAGGTAGCAGGAGCTATAGGCCATATATAGGCTCCACTGCTGACCTTATGAATCGATTTTGGAAGCAAACCAGGATTCATGTTTCGGAGATTCAGAGATGCCTTGTGGTATGCCATAGGATCTTGAATCTGCCATTATTCCTTCGTTCCCTGTAGGTACTGACAGCACCAGAATTTTAAAGAGAAGTCTGTTAAAATGAAACTATCTTGGTAAAGAACAACCCGGCGTAAGGAAAAATTGCATGTTCATTTTCTAACTCTAGTATAGAGCAAATCCCTTTGGAGAGAGAAAAATCAAGAGAGTGGGTACCGGTGGAGAAAGTGTTAGTGCATCAAAAGTAAATTTCTACTTCATGTATTTTCCTAGGATTGGGAAATATGAAGGTTCTTTTGTAATTCTTTTGCTAACATAAAAATGTCAGCAAGCACATCCTTCAGTATATATTGTTAGAATCTCTCTTTACCATTTAAAAATTCATTCCTCGGTGTCAAATTGTTCTTTAAAAATTGTTTCTTTATAGATACACAATAGATGTACATATTTTCAGGGTACATGTAATAATTTAATACATTCTTATAATTTGTAAAGATAAAATCAGTATGATTGGGATATTCGTTACCTTAAATATTTGTCTTTTCTTTATGCCAGAAACATTTGAATTATTCTCTTCCAGCTATCTTGAAATATACAATCAAATTATTGTTAATGGAGAAAAAGAATCAGTTTTTCATTGAAGTTTTTGATTTTATATATTAAAAACCATTATAATTGAATATTAGGACTAATACAAAATTGTAATTTAACTTAATTTATACAGTAATATATGACAGTATATACAGTAATGACAGAGGCTTATGATTTTGGGGGGTCACCTGGCTAAAAGCTGATTTTTTTTTCAAGAATGGCAACATCTCTATTTTAAAGCTGTCAAATCTACATTCATCTCCCTGCTTCCCAATACCTTATTATAAAATGTTTAAAAAATATAGACAAATTTAAAGAAATAACGTACAATGAACACACGTATACCTATCTCTCAGATTCTACAATTAGCATATTGCTATTTTTGCTTTATTATATATATAAATTAGATCAGTATATATTTATTCATAGATATATATGTGCCCATCCTTCTATTCATCCATACTTGCATCTTATTTTTCTTGATTATCTGCATCATTTCATAACATAGGAATATAATTACCAGTATGTGCAATTACTTTGACATTAACCAGAAGGACTGTAAAAACTATTTTGTATTATTCAACAAATGTTCCTTATAGAGGGTTGTATTAGATTCCTATTGCTACTGTAAAAAATTACCACAAACTTAGTGGGTCAAAACAACACAAATTTATCTATCTTACAGTTCTGGAGGTCAGAAACTTGAAATAGGTTTTATACGCTAAAATCAAGATGTCAGCAGAGATGCATTCCTTTTGGAGGTTTTAGATGAGAATCTTTTTCCTTACCTTTCCCAGATTCTAAAAGGACTCCTTCATTCCTTGGCTCATGGCCCCTTCCTCCATCTTCAAAATGTATTACTCCAGCCTTTGCTTCCATTCTTAAATCTCTTCTCTCTAATTCTGATCTTCCTGCCTCCCTGTTATAAGGACCCTAGTGATTTGATAGTGTCCACCCAGATAATTCAGGATAGTCTTCCTATCTCAGGGTCCTTAGCTTAATCACACCTGCAAAAGTCCCTTTTGCTATGTAAGGTAACATAGTCACAGATCTTGGGTATTGGAATGTGGACATCTTTGGGAAGCTGTTATTTAGATTAACAAGGAATATCGTGATCTTAACTGTGTGTTTTGCTATTAGTATCCCTTAGTACTAGGAGAAAACTTACACTGAGATTAATTCTTTGTCTTTTTGACCCATTCCATAAAATAAGTAATGTGATCTTATGAATGGCTCTTACCATAGAAGACAACAAAAACATCTTCATATAAGACCACACTTTATGATCTCAAAGATGTACTGTTATTTTATGTCCCAATAAATAAGAAAAAGTAAAGCACTGCCAATTAAACTGATTCACTACCTAATGCAAAATGCATTCCACCTTGATGGATTTATTTTAAGAGATGGGGTCTTGCTTTGTCACCCAGGCAGGAGTGCAGTGGTGTGACAAAGCCACTGCACCTGGAACTCCTGGGCTCAAGGGATCCTCCTGCCTCTGCCTTTTGAGTAGCTGGCACTGGAGCTACTGGTGTGCCACCATGCCTGGCTGATTTTTTAAGCCTTTGTAGAGAAAGGTGCTCACCATCTTGCCCAGGCTAGTTTCAAACTCCTGGGCTCAAGCAATCCTCTGCTCTCAGCTTCTCAAAGTGCTGGGATTACAAATGTGAGCCACAATGCGTTTACAAATGTGATAAAATGTGTGTCTTAGATTAAATATTTGATATATTTTTTCAGTGAACTACATAGCACAGAGATCCCCAAGTAGTTTCATCTTTTCCATTAAAAGTATGACTGCTACAAAGTTCCTATTTGCTATTATATGAATGTGTTCCCTCCAACATCATTGTTAGAAACTTAATCTTCAATGCAACATACAGTGTTGAGAGGTAGAACCTTCTGGAACGTGTTTAGGTCTTGAGGGTAAACTCCTCATGAATAAATTAATGCCATTAGGAAAAGGGCTTATGGGAGTGGGTTTGCTCTCATCTACCTTTCTGCCATGTGAGGATAAAACTTTTCCTTTCTTGCCCTTCTGCCTTTTCTGCCTGTGAGAATGCAGCAAGAAAGTCCATGCAAGTTGCTGACACCTTGATCTTAGACTTCCTAGCCTTCAGAACTGTGAGAGACAAATTTTAGTTCTTCATAAATTACCTCACTGGTGCTATTCTGTTATAGCCACACAAATGAACTAAGACACTATTTCAGGTGGGAAAGGCTAATCTGCTAAAATGCAGCATTTAACTAAGCTTTTATATGACATAGTGCTTGCAATGACTAAATGTATGTGCATTTCCACTTTACGTTACATTTAGCAGTTTCCTTTATTCTAGTACTTTGGATACTAAAAGTAAAAATACTAGTTCTGTTAAGGCCACGTCTTTTGAAAATGGACCTATTATTTTGTACCTCTCAGTGTTAAAATGACAGTGCAATCATCTATAGCATGCATTAGATACCAAAAGGGCACCAAAATAATTAAATGTGCATTATTTAACTGGAGTTTCCAGATCTTTGGGTTGAGAGTCACTTTATAGCCAGGATGGATAGGACTGGAATGGAAATAATTTTTTAAAAAAGGCTGTATCTTGATTGTCTTTATCTGCATTTCACCTTTATCGTTTCAGGAGCAATTCTTTCAGCACATAGCACAAGTCCTTGTGTTTTCATTATTTTCTGCCAACAATTTCTCTCTTTTCCCGAGAGAAACACCTAAAGTTAGTAAACAGATAAAACTTATTTTCTTCTAGCTGTGTTTTTTTTTTCAGATTTTTCAATATTCAATTAAGAAAGAGCAAAAGTTGGAGACCACCTTAGAAGAACATTGTTAGAATACTCTGAATTATTTTTCCTTCACTTAATGGTATTTCTCCACTTGAATTGTGAAATGAAGCCTTACCTTGCTTAGCTAGGCTGTGAAACAATGATAATGCTTCTGAATTCCAGGAATAAAAAAGACGATTCTCAATTCTCAAAGCCCTGCATTGTGGAAGACTCTCCTATGTTCAGGAATATGTTTCTGAAAAGCCTTCTTAGCAGGAAGTACAGCTTAAGGCCGTATATTTTCTGTCTACTGTTGTGAGTAGCATGATTTGAGATGTTGGTCTCGTAAGTAAGGACCTCCCAGGCTCAGAAAAAATGCAGCTTTGTTTCCTAGCCCAGCCAGGAGGAAGGAGAATCATAGAATGTTGAAGCTAGTGAGAGCTGTAGAATTAATCTAATCCCAAATCTTTAATTTTACAGATTTAAGTAACCATATCAGAACTGGTGCTGTAGATCAATGTTTCCAATTTTGAGGTAAATTCTCATTTATTGGTTAATTTCTTTAAGTTTTTGGACACACAGAGCTAAACTAATTTGTACCTCTAAATTAAGGCCACTACCAAGAATGAAATCAAGGCATCAGATATATACTGAGGCAGGTTTGGCTTATTTATTTTGCACTTTCCAGAGGAAAATGTCTACTGCAGGAATTTCACTAGCTGAGAGTTGTACGCAACAGAGTCAAAAGCACTTATGTTGTCTGGGACTGATATACAAATGACATCTGTGAAAAAATGATTTTTTTCTCTACCTCAGGATTTTTTTGGACTTGAGGCTAAAAAAAGTTATTTTGCTTGTGGTGCTTTATGGTTTCAAATGCAAATATCCTTCTTCTTACTAAAAAGTAAAATATATTTTCAAAGACCTGGGCTTTTGTGTCTCAGTTCATGTCCTAAACAAAAGGGATGTGAACAGCTGAGGTCCTTCTCGGGTTAAGGTGTTGGCGAGCCCTTGTACTTCCTGTTTCTATAGCAGAAATTTCTAGGATTTGTCTCTCATATTGCAACAGTGTAATATAAACAAATTAGAAATTGTAGATTGAACATCTTTTTGAGATAGCTAGAGCACATTTGCTAAACTTGTTGCCTTCTGCAATAAACGTGACCATAATATTCATATATGAGTCACATTCCCAAGATGCATTCAGCTTATGGACTGCCCTACAGCCAATAGAGGCTGAAAGTATGGCACTTCCAAATTCCTAGTAAGCAGTTGTAATTGCTCTTCTTTCTCTCCTACTCAAGAAAGCATAACAGATATTAAGTGCATGAGAATGTGTGTGTGTGGTGGGGGGGAATTTGCTCTATTATAATTTATTTTAAGAAATCATTCTCAATATCATTTAAAATATCAATGCTCCTTTTAAAAAGCTAACACAGTTATATTACTCAAAAATCAGAGTGATATAAAACATATTCATTGAGAAGTTTCCTTTCCAATTCCATTCTCATTAACTCTTTTCCTCTCTTGCCCCTTTTAGTAAGCATTTGTCTTCAGTTTCATACTTGTATTTCTTTAAGTACAAACGTATACAAATGTATATTCTTACTTTTCCCTTTTTCACAAATGAAAGCTAATATATTCATTGTTGTGATTCTTAAGTTCTATATTCTAGAATGCTTTCTATATCATACATTGATGTATCAATGCAGCAGTATTTTACTGTAACATAGTTTATACTATAAGCTATTTAATCAGTCCAATATTCATGGGCAAGAGATAATTCTAATCTTTTGCTATTATAATCAATGATACAATAAATAACCTTGTATATATTTTATTTTGTATGTGAGTGATATAAATATTTTCTTATTAAAAAACAGGAAGTGATTCAAATGCCATGGGTTTTTGAGTCCAGGAAGTTCAAAATCTGAAAAAAAATAATAAAAAAAATTCTGATAGCTCAAGCCCTTTTGGGGTTCAAGATAGGATAAACCCCCAGAAGTGGGATTGCTGGTTCAAAGGGTGTATAAATTTGTAAATTTTTTTATATTGCAAAATTTGCTTCTTTAAGTTTTTAACAGTAACATAGGATTTCAAAGTTTTCAAATGTTTGCATTTTGGCCAATCTGTTGTGTGAAAAACAGTATCTTGGTATATATTTCATTTGCATTTCTCTTGTTATGAGTGAGGTTATATATCTTTTTGTATATTGGTTTAAGAACCAGCTATATTTTCTTTCTTGTGAACTGTCTATTCATAACCTATGCCTATTTTTATTAATTGTTATTCATATTTTTATTGAGTTTATGGATTCTGGTACATATTGGGAGATTAGCTGGTACATATTGGGAGATTAGATTTGTGATATGAAGAACAAATGTTCTTTTCTAGTGTGTTTGTTCAGTCAAGTTGCCTGTGGTGTGACTTATCCACATTTAATGTAAAGCTTCTTCTTTTCAGGGTTTTCAGCTCTTTCTAATTTCTCCACCTTTTTTCTGGACCCCATGATTGCCAACCCCCTGCATTAGCAACCTTCCCTCTCCATCTTAAATCTCTTTGTATTGAGAGTTTTTAAGTTACCCTTAGTGCATACACATATTTACAGATCTCTCATCTTATAAAATATCTTCCCTTTATCCTACATTGCCCCTACTTCTATAGAATTTCCTTTATAGCCAAGATTCTTAAAAGAAGAGGTTTTACTCCATGTCTCCAGTTTTTCTTTCCACAGCTCTTAGCTTGGGGCAAGTTCCATCAAGCAAATAGCCCCCTAGTTATCAAATGATTGTGTACTTCCCCTCTTCATCCTACTTAATCGGTCCTGTAGAATTAGACACTTCAACCACTCTTTCATGAAACTATTTCCTCCTTTGGCAGTTTTCATGCTACTCTTCCTTCGGTATTCTTTAATTATTCTACTCCATCTTCTTCTTTGTTGTCCTTATGATGTATGTTCAAGCATCTGACCACTACCTATAAGTCAAGGACTCTTAAATCTATGTCCACAACCCAATCCCCCGGTTTCTAAGATCCAAATATACATATCCAAATAACCTTGTGATGAACATGCCCCAGACACCTCTCGCATGCTCAAAATTCAATCTCCAAATTTTATGTCTCCTGTATAAATGAATAGCATGATCATCCAACTAGTTACTCAACTCAGAGGCACAAGAGTAACCCGAGGAATTCTCCTTTATTGTAGTCATCATTTAGGCATTTCCTGTTATCTTTTTGTCATCATTTTACCTCCTAAACATTCCCACTGTCACTAGCACAGCAAATATTTTTACCAGATTTATTATAATAGTCTCCTAACTAGTCTACTGCCTGTAGTATCACTTCCCTTCAACTCCGTCTTCAAAGCATTGTTAAAATGATTATTATTCTAAGTATAACTGTGCTATTACCCTGCCTACATTTTCTTTGTGCTTCCAAATAGATTTTAGAATAAAATTCCTACTTTTGGGGTTAGCCTGTTAGGCTCTTCATACTTTGGCCTTAACTATGTCTTCAGCCTCATTCTGAAGTGGTCAGGTAACAGAGGTGGGTTTAGATCATGGACTTTGGAATTGGCCAGACCTCACTTGAATTATTAACTTTCTCACCTTGGGCAAGTTACTTAGCTTGTCTAAAATAGTTCTTTCATCCATAAAATCAAAATAAAAATAATAAGTCTCTCTCAGGGTTGTGGTGAGAAAAAAATAAAGTAATTCTTACAAAGTGATGATCACAATCCTGTCTCAATTACATGGTAAATCCTCAATAACCACATATGTGGATGGTATTAATGGCAATCCTGAGCCATAGCCTATCATGCTCTGCTTGAACTAATAATGCTGGTCCAGCCCTCCCAAATGGCTGGAAGGTATGTGTGATTGGCTCATGCCTTCATTCTCCTGCCTGGAACACAATTCTCTCTCCTCTGCCTCTCTCTAACCACTCAATTCTGTTTCTAGGGTGACTTTGATCAAGTTACCTAATACCTTTGCATTATGACCTATTAATTTGTAAAACAGGGTCCAAATTGTTACCCACCTCATAAGGTTATGATGAGGATTAAATAAGAAAACAAATGCAGAACACCAGCAATTAGCAATCCCTTCATATTTCTCCTTCTTTGTCTTCTTCATCTTAATGTTTTAATTATTATTAACACGTTGTTACTGTTAGTGGTTTTCAAAATGTTGTCCAAATTTCCATTGTCTCCTTCACTGGAAAGTCGTTCCTGGCAAGGACTCTGCTGACAGTGATTCTACCTTCAAGGAATATGTCTGGTGGAGAAAACAGATAAGAGAGCTAATCATTCCTGTAAGATGTGAAAAGTTCTAGGTTAGAGCCATGGAGGGCACAGGAAGCTTTCCTAGGCTAGCAATTTGTCTGGCACATAGTAGGTGTTCAATAAATGTTTGTGGAAGGAACGTCGATTAACTGGTGATTATTACCATAAAATGCATGTTAAAATAATGTAACATACATACAATTATGTGCTGTGATTTTAAAATCTACTTAATTTTCATGATATTAAGATGTGTTAGTATTTTTTTTTTTTACTTTGCTTCATACTAATGTTTTGGGGGCTATGTTAAAGGAAGTTTAAGTTATTTTTCTCCCTTTGTAGAATTAAAAAATTTTCACCTATTATTATCAGAACCTTGGGTTTGTGATAAATGCTGCCAAGTTAAGCAACCAGGCATTTTCTTTTTCTATGAGTCCCTGAAGGATTTCTTTAGTACTGGAATTAGTTTCAAAAATCATAAATTATGTAATTTGTTGGAGCAAGACCTTTTATATCTTGAATAAATGGCATTTCTTCTCCCCCTCCCTATCATTCACTTTTCATGTTACTAGATCAAGGAGACAAAAGGCACTCTACAGCAAAAGCTTTCAGAATGTCTCGTAAACAGGGTCTTGTGAAAAACAATAAACTAGAACTAAAAGGAGACATAGATACAATTGCTATAAAGCTGTTTGAATTTCTCTTTAAATCCTAGGGTTTATTTTCATGTCTATAACATAATATAGGCAGAGCAACATGGTCTTCTGACCATTGCTTATTGTTATCTCACATTTCCCAACACTGAGAAGCATAATCTCTGTGTTGATAATTTATCTTTGAAATGTAAATCATTAAATATTTTTGGGGTAAAAGTCATGCAGTTTAGAGTAACAGGAAAGTCACATCAGCATTCCACCTTTATAATGCATGACTGGGGTTTATTATTATTGCACTGACCTATGGAGATACTTTAGAGAATTAATGTACTGTACTGCGTGTGTTATATGCTAGATTTCACATATATAAATATCCTGAAAAATTAGTCATTTAGTTAGCTGGATCATTTAACAGACTTAGCAAAAAATGATAATCCTTTTTAGCAAGTATTTGTTCATATTGGCTAAATATTTGTTTAAAGGTTTGTTAAATATGTATGCAATTTGCAAATTCTGGTATCTGAAAAGATGATTAAAGCAATCATATTTTTGTAACAAGTTATTAATATTTTATATCTTCTTACTATATCTTCAATTTCTGGTATACATAAAATGATTCCTATCTTTCTTAATCTCTAAGATTATATCAAATAGCTTACCCAGAACAAAAATAAAATATGATGTCTGGCACTACCTCATATTTAATCCTTAATTGCAGTTCAGAAACAAATTTGATCCTTGGCTTAACATTCAAATGTGGTGGATTCCTTTCAAATGGTAGTGGATTCCTTTCTAAGGAATAACATGAAGAATCATACAGTCTCTCCAAGTTGAGGATACCAATATTCAAAGGACAATAGAGTCCCCTTTTTATGGTTTTTTTAAGTAACCTTAAGAAATTGCTTTCATATTGTTTGGGAATCTTCAAAATTAAAAATAAAATGGAATTATGATTTTCCCCTCTACTTCTAAATAATAAAAAAGAAAGAATACAAATTATCTCATTACTTCTCAGTTGTAAAATGCTGAAGTTAGAGAACTAAAATGTATATAACATTCTAAAATGAGGTGTCATAAGGAGGACAGAAGTATAGTATTTAAGCAATATAGTTCCAGGTGTGTGCATGTGTGTTTTCAAATCTACCAGGTCCAATTCAAGATGTCACCTCTCCTCAATATTGTCAAGGGGAAAAAAGGGCCCTGGATTTTAAACAAAGAAAAGGATCTTATCATGAGTGGCTATCGCCTGAATGTTGGTATCCTTCCAACATTCATATGTTAGAATTTAATCCTCTCTTAACATTATAGAGAGGAGAGGCATTTGGGAGATGATGAGGTCATGAGGGCTCCACTCTTATGAATGGAATTAATGCTCTCATGCAGGGGCCTGAGGGAGCTTACTTGCCCCTCCTGCTCCTTCTGCTATGTGAGGACACAATGTTGGCCTCTTTTGCCATGTGGAAACACAGCAACAAGGCACCATCTATGAAGCAGAGTGTGAGCCTTCACTAGACACAGAATTTGCTGTTGCTTTGATCTTGGACTTTCCAGCCTCCAGAGCTGTGAAAAAGAAATTTCTACCACTTATAAGTTACCCAGTGTAAGGTATTTTGTTACAGCAGCCAGATTAGACTAAGAGAAGTGTCAAGCTTGAGTCAAATCTTTAATAATCTCAGTTTGTGATATAATCATGCTACGTTGGAGGTTTTAATAATTATTATCATCTTACTAACTAGCAGCCCAGAAACTCCTTTAATTGAATGTTACTGGCAGTTTTAGCTTTTTTTCTCACATGAGTGCACTATAATATATAGCACAGGTGAGGGCAATTAACTCCTTGGTGGCAGGAACACGTCTTTCTTTTCTTTTGAAAGTTTCCAAACCATAGCAGGGCCAGTTGTTGGGGAATGTACTGTGTATAGTAAAATGTTCAGCAGCATCAGTAACCTTTACCAACAAGGTATCAGAAGTACTAAGCCAGTTGTGATAATTAAAAGTCTCTCCAGATATTGCCAAATGCCCGCCTGGGAGCAAAATTACCCTTGGTCAAGAATCACTGCTCTAGTTGGTTGATTTGATGATGATTTATATTTGAGTGATTCTTTTGCCAAATATGTAGGTGACATCTTCTTCAGCCTGCATTTCTTTAGCCACATGTGTAAGATAATTCTGGTTTTATATATCTTCATCATGCTGTTATAAAGTCTCAATAAAGGTATAGATAAATCTAGACTCCTAGTAAAAATGTGCTATGCCATATTGTGCAGAGCCAAGGAGATACCGTTACCTGTTTCTACAAGAGTCAGAACTATTAAGCAAAGCACTTTTTCCACAGTGACTGATACCTAAACAATGACTCATAAATTACAACGACCTTTGTTGTTAAACTTTTATTGTTAATAAATTTTAGAACTGTACATTCCTTTCTCTTCTGAAATCTGGAGTATCACCAAAAGTATGCTTAGCAATCCTTTGGAACAGAAATGTTCTCTCTCTGTCATGTGTCCTTTGTCCTATTTAAGAATACTTAAGTGTTCCAAACAGCGGACTCGGTAATGAGTTAAGTTGCCTTTCCTTCACCTAATGACAAATGGAAAATGGTGGAAATTCCATTAAAAAACTAACAAATGGAGTTTTTCTTCTAGAGCCACAGTCATTTTCTTAAACATTCACTGGATTTAAGAGTGAAGAGTTCAGCTTTCTAGGGAAATTTTCTAATTTCTTAGGGTACTTTTTATGGCTTTAGAACTGTTGTGAGTAACCCTAGCTCAGGAGCAGTTCCTAGATTTTCGACTTGGCTGAGCTTGTTGTATAACTGTGGATCAATACATATTTGTTGGTGAATGAATAAGTGATTAAATATTCTTCTTTTTCTAAGACATTTGATTTAAAACTAAGTGAATTTCCTTACAATTTAATAGCAGATGTGCTATTTTTATCCCTTATCTCCATGTCAGAGCATTTAAATTGAGGGTAGCTGCCAGAGGCAGAGTAAAAAAAAAAAAAAAAAATCATGTGTATAAGCTTTCTTCTGCCCTATTTCCTTTTGCTCCCATTTACTTCATAATAACATACATCCATCACTGTTGGGGTTGACTCTTGGCTAGTTTCTCAGTACAGGCTAATGTGAACTTGCTACAAACACTTACTGGGTGATGATAACAACTTAATTTTTCTAAAGGAATAATAAAAGTGTAAAACAAGTCCACTCTCATTCATAGTCAATATAAGAAAGCAGTGGGACTGGGCTTCTCAAGAGAAAATAACATTTCCTATGGAAAGGAAGCACACGTATAGTTTTTCTTTTTAAAGAGATATTTTATGGAAGCAAACTTAACGTGTTCTTTAATTGGCAATGTTATCTAAGTTATTTTCTTAAATGTATTAATACTCTCACATCTCATTCTTTGAGATAAGTTAAATGCTAAAATTTACGTTTACATATGTGAATGTATGTGTGTGTATGTGTACTTTAGGGTCTCTCTTTCTCTCTTTCCAAATTCCTAGTTTTCTCCTTTAAGCCTCTGCCATCTACAAAACTAAACAGCATGTAACACAAGGTCTGCCACATGATAAGAGTTCTGTAGATATTAATAGCTTGTAATTTTACTTCTACCCTTTCACCGTTATTGTGCCTGCTCCATGGTTTAGTGTTTTCTGTAGAGAGAATACTAAAAATGAATCCAAGGCATTTTCTTGAGTGTTGGCTCTGTTTATGCCAGCAGGGAAAAAGCACAGTTTTAGAAACTTCTATTTTGCCCTGGTTTAACATCTTCTCCTGTCATTATCTCAACTTTCATTACTTCGAGTGGAATATAGAAATAAGAAAGCAAAAGCAACTTTCCTATTAATAAAATCTACCTTTATCTCATTACATTCAACGTTAAAATAGAAATGCCAATAATTTAAAAAATTAAAATAGGCAGAACACTAAGTGTGCTTCTATTAGGGCATTGTATCCTTTAGTCCCATTTATTTGCAGTCAATCCATTGCTCAGGTATGACTGCCCACATTAGCTGACTTGAGGTAACACACTATAATGTTTACTTAGAGAGAGGTGGCTCATGTATTTCGGGCTTGTAGACACTGTGGGAGTTAAAAACAAAGACCATTTCCTTTACTACATTTACCTTAACATCTGAAAAGAAGAACAATGAATTTTCATGCATAGCTTTCCATTCTTCTTCTTTTCTAAACATTGGAAGTCCTTTCTACCTTTTTCCTCCTGCCAAGCTCACAAGACAAGACAAGGCCGAGGCCACAACCCGAGTGATTTGACGGGTAAATATACTATTCAATTTTAGGTTTAGAGAGTTTATTACTTACGTAGACAGCAAAAGGAAGAATAACTGAAGGTGCTATCTACTGGGTCCTTTTCCACAGGCCAAAAAGGACAACACTGAAATCAAAGGAGTCTAGGGACTGCAATGATAATGCAACAATGTCCATTGCTGGGCAGATGATTCTAGACTACAGCTGGGCAGTTTTATAGTTTGCCTCTATACCTGGAGCGGGGAGGGATGAAAATCCTTCTATATCATTAAAACCCCAAAGGCAATGAGAGAAACTATCAGTTTCCTAGAGGAAATAGAAAGGAGATTGGGAGATTTCCTCAAAGTAGCACCTCACCAGTCTCCCATCCTCCCATGTTCTGGGAGGATCTCAATGTCTCCTGCCAAGACTTGTATAGGTTGTGGTTCAAGTCTTTGCCTGTGTGGTTTGTGCGGATATGTGCAAAGTTACCAGGGCACCATGAAGGAGCCATTCCACTATTTTCTAATTCTTCTTTTGCTCCAAACCCTTTTCTACTGTCTATTAGGGAGCTGTATTCATGTCCTTTCCTTTCCTCTTACAAACAAAAATTTGAACAATATTCTCGGTTGTAACATGGGCACTGGGTATAAATTTTCACAACTGGGATGAAAAAAATGGTACGATCTTTCATTTTTCAAAACCATATCTTATGTAAACCCCGCATTCTTCAGGGCTAGCTAGAAATTAATTCATTGAAATGAATGTGACTCCTTTGCCTTCAGCGCATGCTAAAGTGAGAGGATTTGAAGCAGACCAGAAGAGGACAGAAAATATTCTCCACTTTTTCTCCCCACCATCGGTCAATGAGGAGACCTTCACTAACCAAGTCTCCGTGGGTGCTTGGCTCTTTGCCGCCTCTGCTTGTGCATGCGATTTGTGATTGAGATTGTCAGTCTCAGCTTAGTTTTCAGCTTTTGCAGGGGTGGCAGTAGTGGGAGGGGATGAGGAAGATTCTAAATCATTTTTCAGGTCCTGGCAGCTACCCTGGGTGCAATATCTGCTATTTCCCTAAACCCAGCAAAACCTTTTTCCTATACCTTCCTTTTTTGCAACTTCCTTCCCTTCTCCTCTCCTCATGAATATATAATCAATATAGTCTCTCTTGAATGAGGTTTTAGGATCACCATATTCTGCTTTTTATGAATAGTTGTGAAAGAACTACAGGCTAAGACCAATAAGTATTTTTCTTACTACATACCCTGTTAAACACATTATCATGGGTGTCCAATCTTCCCTGGCTTCCCTGGGCTACGTTAGAAGAAGAATTATCTTGGGCCACATATCAAATACACTAGCACTAATGATAGCTGATGAGCTAGAAAAAAAAAAAAAAGCAAAGGAACTCATACTGTTTTAAGAAAGCTTATGAATCTGTGTTGGGCCGCGGGTGAAACAAGCTTGCATTAAATCATCAACACATCATGTGGCACAGGAGTGACATACTTACAGAGAATTGACCTCATTCCAGATGTTTATCCAGCAGTTGCTAAACAGATGAACATTTCTAGAGCTCGAAGCTTATTATTATGAGTCATTTTTAGAGGTATGACATGACTCATGGAAATGTTATTCAATCAATTGTTTTTATCTCCAGATTTTTCTATTTTTTTCTAATTGCTTAGGAAGAAAATGTTGATTATGACATCTTAAAGAAAGACCTCACTCCAATTTATTGCAATTTACTGATAATTATGTTAGTTCAGTGGCTGTGTATTACTGTAATCAGTGCTTATATTCATTCTTAGGGTATATTCATGCTTAGGGTGAGGTTAATATAATTATGAGCTAACATCTGGGATTGGGAAGATGGAGAACCTTATAAGGACAGTCTTAGTAGATGTGTGTGCAGATGCAGTCAAGACTCTCAAATTAAAATATGGAATCCATTTTGACTTGTAGGGTGGTGGTCAAATACTGAGAATGAGGAGATAAAAACCTAAGCCAAGGGCGATATGCTTGTGGATGTGGAGAGATTCAGGACACAGTTTTGCCACATGCCAGTTTTTGCCTTTCCATATCTTGTTCAGCATTCACTGAAGGCTGCAGACAGCTTCAAACCACTTAGTTCTTGGGCCAATATTGGCTAAGCCTGAATGTGTGCATGTATGTGTGTTTATACACACACATACACACGCAGATATTTGAATATTTCTGCTTCCCACAAGTGAGGTTTAGAATTTATCTTACTACTATAAGTTGGGGGTGCCTGCCATGAGCTCTTTAGTGTCCACCTGATCGCCATATGCAGCTTTCTTCTAAACCCACATAGTGATATGCTCAGCCTATTGGATGTTCTGTTTCCTCTGTAGATACCCACCTGGAATACAGCCCTAACACCAGCTCATTTATTTGAAGCCTAAATGTCTTGATTATCTTAAAGTTCTGGCTTCTTGCACCTATGGTTACTGGCCCAGATCTTCCTCTTTAACCAGAATTGTCACCCACAGCCTAGAAACTCCTGTCCTTCATGCCATTTGTTCTAGTGTTAATTCTGGTCTTGCTAGACCCTAATACTTTGGCAGTCATAGTTTAGAGCATTGGTCACTCTTTGAGCCATAAGCCATAGTCCTCCCTGTAATCCCCTCCCTGACCCCATTTCCCTAGCATACATCATGGCTAAGCCCACACAGACCATGTTCCGGAGATTCACTGGGCTGGCTACCATTCCACCTATTCAATTTGTCCTGGATATGCATATAACTTCTCTTCAGAATTTTTCAACCTTCCTTTCCAACAAACCTAAATTCAGAAACTTCACTGAGAGGAACAACCTGTTCTAATTTTTGTAGAAGTAAAAGATTTTGATTTTTTTAAAAAAAACTTACTTGTGATTCATGAAACATCCTACCAGAAACATTTTTTTCCTTAGTGATTATTTCCAGGGAAGATTTCAAAATACAGTCCCTGCTGAGAAAATTCATTGTTTCCTCTCCATGGAGAAAGGTGAAGAAAGTTCAAGACAAGGACAAGGCTCACTGATTCTAGTTGCCTCCCACACTGATCTTTGACATCAACAATCTAAAGAACTAAAAATCATCTCTGAAATGCAGCCACAGATTTAAACTACCCTCAAATGACCCCAGCGCTTGCAGTGAATGCTAAGATATAGAAACATCAATCAAGCGTTTTCGATGCACAGGTTTTGTTTTAGGGCCATTGGTATTCTCACTTGCATATGTGTTTAGACTCAGTTAACTGTTTAATCTTCAACAGGTTTGGCTGATACAGATGTTTCCTTTGCACTGGCAGAGTCGCTGACAGTTAACGATGCATCTCAACTCATGAATCTCTCCTGCCGCTCACCCTGACAAGTTGGAGAGGAAAAGACTGCCTGCAGATGGTGTTTCAAGTGTGTACAATACAGTGGGTTCCAAACACATGGGGACTGTGTTGGGGTTGCCAAACTCACTGTGCTCTCACATGTAGCATAATGCATTTGATAAAAGAGATCAATTTATTAGCAGTGTTTTATGATTACAGGGAAAAATATTGGCTTTGTTGGCTAAGGAGAAAAATTTAAACTGAGCCCCTATGGAGAAGTGAGGAAAAAAACTTACTAATTTTAAAGGAGTTGCTTTTTTCAGATCCTCTTTTTTGGCACTTTATTTCTTCAGTACTGGAGGTCTCCCTGATGCGCTGTTTTAGGTCACAAGCTACCATGATTGTGGGCAATAACACTAAAGCCCTTGTCATTGCCAAGCATCCCTGTTCCTTAAATTCTCTGCAAAACTGTTCATTCGTCATAGCTATTGTTCCCTCACCACTGGCAAAGGGACACAAGTTAATCTCCATGTTGAGTGAAGGGCTCAATATTGGAACGTGGATTTGTATAACACGGAACACAAATTTCTATCAAAGACATATTTTGAGAAAGAACTATTATAATAGTTGGGGATGACTGAGGTGGACAGAAATTTCAGTTTTTGAGAAAATTGGGTATTCCTGGTTGCTCCAAAAGACAGAGAGTTTCTCAGAGATATCCTACTGTGTATCTACAGTGTTTCATTTACAGTGGGCACTCAATAAATGCTTGACTATATAAATAAAGAAGTGAATGGCATCAAATGGCATTGACTATATAAATAAAGGAGCGAATGGCCTAACACAAGGATTCGCACTGAATTTAGAAGACTTTTCTCCACTATTGTTCTCTCTGGAGAGTATAAGAATGAGAATAAAATGGAAATTTTAGAAAGCAGAGGGGTGCAGTGACCATTTAGACTGATCCTCTTATCTTGGAGATTATAATGACTATATTTATTTAGTATTTATCCTGCCAGGTATTGTGCTAAGAGTTGAACATGGCATATCTCATTTAATCCTCATAACAATGCTCTAAGTGGGTATTAACCCATTTTATAGATAAGAAAATTGAGGCACAGAGAGGTCACACAGCTAGTAAGCGATAAAGCTAGGATTAAACCTGGGCCCTCTGGCTTGACAGCCAGCACTCTTTTTTTTTTTGAGACGGAGTCTCGCTCTGTCGCCCAGGCTGGAGTGCAGTGGCGCAATCTCGGCTCACTGCCAGCTCCACCTCTCGGGTTCACGCCATTCGCCTGCCTCAGCCTCTCGAGTAGCTGGGACTACAGGCGCCCGCCACCATGCCCGGCTAATTTTTTGTGTTTTTAGTAGAGACGGGGTTTCACCGTGTTAGTCAGTATGGTCTCCATCTCCTGACCTCGTGATCCGCCCGCCTCCGCCCCCCAAAGTGCTGGGATTACAAGCGTGAGCCACCGCGCCCGGCCACACTTTTTTATTATGCTACTTTGGCTGCCACTCAAGCCTTAGAGAGGTTGAATTATGTATCCAAAGCTGTTACAGGGTTGGGTCTCAGACTTTATCTCATGATTTCCCATTCTATGGCTTTTTCTTCTACCACACATTTGATTGAGTAAAAAGCCTTTCGTATAACATATGGTCCTCAAACTACAACATAAATTGCAGAGATAACTGGTGAACTGGTGAAAGCAATTGCCAAGATTCCCGAAGCAGGATCCTGCCATCTTTACAGCTGATCTCAGGCAATCAGAATTCTAAATCCTATGGCTAGAGACTAGCATGTTTAGGAATTTAGCCTGGGGCAAAATCCCAAGGAGTACAAGTTTTTGACCTGATAGATTCTTATTCTCTATTCATGCAAGAGTAGGGGTGACTATAAAATAATTTAACTAATTCACACAAGTTGAATACCTTTAATTTTACCAGTGAGAGCCCGATTTTAACATTCATCATGGTAGTCAACAGGCTGCTATTTTTATCACTAAAAGCCCTTTTCTGACATTTAGTATGCTAATTAGCAAAATGGAAGTTATTGAGCAAGATACACATAACAGAAGTGCTTGTAATAGCTTTTCTGGAGTATTGACTTCTTGATGAGAATGCCAGCAGGCTACTCCTGTGTTCGTTAACCACTACTGGACAGGGAATATTTGAGTAGAATGCTTACAGCCTCTGGGTGACAGCTCATGCCAAGCTAAGTGCACATAATATCACAGTGTATATGTTGAAGTGTTTTAAAGTAAATTATAATCATTATAACAGGTGGCCTCAAGATTGGTTGATTCAGTAATTAAATGAAATCTTCAAAAACACAGGCGTCCCTCATTTCTTTTCTGCCATTTCACTTTGTTCTTGACTGGCACCCCTAATAGTAGTGAAATGATGCTGCCCATCATATACAGACTAGACACCATCTAAAAGAATATGGGGGATAATAGATGTCCCTTTGTGTCTCCTCTTCTTAACACCAAGGAAACTTCACCCAGAAGCTACTCACCAGATTTCTCCTCACCTAATTGGCCAGAATCATATCATATATTCATCTTAATCTAATTACTGTGAAGAACATAATGGGATTTTTTTTGACATTCGTAAACTTAAGATATAACTGTCAGTCATATGAGAAGGAGTGGATACCTGGAAAAATCAGAGCTTCATGAACAATAATAAAGAAGGAAGAGGCAATTGGGACAACGATCAGCATAGTCTGCTATGTGTGGAATAATTACTTCTTCTTCAATGTGACTGCTTTATCTTTAAGGCCAATGTTCATCTTTCTCTGACCCTTTATCCATCTTTTCCCTTAGCCCCAGATCTCTTTGTCCCTTTCTTGGTTGATTTGTCTTTGCTGTTGTGCACACATTCACTGAGTCTTCAGTTAATACCCCAAGATCTTGAATTAGAGGAAGGAAGTTATAGTTTTAATGAGGATTCCTCGCTTTGATAGTTAACCTGGAGTCATTTCAGGCTCCCTGATGTATTCTCAATTCAGTGCCTGCTGTTTATCATGTTAACTCTGCGATAAGTTCTTCAAGGAATATTCCTGATTTGAGAATACAGAGGCCACAAGAAATAGATTAGCTAGGGCATTATAAACACTGAAATCATCCCTTAAGGATGCCACTTCCAGGTTGTTTGCTTCCTTTATCTGTCCAGTCAGAGTCTCACTCAAAACAAGTGCTTGACATTTTTCAAAAAATGATGTTCAATTTCTAGTGATCACTTCCAACTTCTTCCTCTCCCCTGGCTAGTTTTAAGATGAAAGAAATGGCAGAGTGTTTTAAAACCACAGTAGAGAGCTTGTGTTGAATGATAAGGACATATTCACCAAATATTTACTTCTCCAATGCCTTTAGAGAAAAGAAAGAGATGGCACGAGTCAAGAATCAGTTTTCTAGAAATGACAGAAAATGAACTAAACTTTGTACAGATTTAAAAATTGGTTCTAAAAGCTTAGGCTTATTTAACGTGAAAAAAGCAGTAGTTCTAAATTGCAAAGGTCCAAGACTATTAAGAAGATGCAGGAAAAATAAATAATGGGTATTAGAGTTAATCTAATTACTGTGAAGAACATAATGGGCGATGAAATAATCTGTACAACAAACCCCCATGACACAAGTTTACCTATACAACAAACCTGCACCCGTACCCCTGAACTTAAAATAAGAGTTAAATTAAAAAAAAAAAAAGATACAGTTAGGGAAATAAAGACAGATTTAGTTGGTATTTTTTGAACTTTCATTTTGTTTGAGTCTAATACAGAGTTATGTATTAGTCCATTTTCATGCTGCTGATGAAGACATATCCAAGACTGGGCAATTTACAAAAGAAAGAGGTTTAATGGACTTATAGTTCCACATGGCTGGGGAGGCCTCACAATCATGGCAGAAGGTGAAAGTCATGTCTTACATGGTGGCAGACAAGATAAGAGAACTTGTGCAGGGAAACTCCCCTTTATAAAACCATCCAATGTCATGAGACTGATTCATTATTACAAAAACAGCATGGGGAAGACCTGCCCCCATGATTCAACTACATCCCACTGGGTCATTCCCACAACACCTGGGAATTGTGGGAGCTATAATTCAATATGAGATTTGGGTGGGGACACAGCCAAACCATATCAGTTAGTAACTAGAAAATATAAATAACATTTTTTAAAGTCTAAATATTCTGTAAATTGTATCCTAACGTTTATACCTTGCAGAAAGTTATCTTTTTCAACTTCCTCCCACAGTAATTTCCCATCATCCACTTACTTCATCTGTGCTGTAAGTGGGGTCTTAACTCATCCTTTAGCCATGTCACTTTCCACTAATACACACAAAACAGGCACCCACCTACAAACCTGACCCCCTTCTGCTTCATCAATGGCATAATCATTCTCCTAAGTACCCAGTCCCAAGAATGTTATCTGTTTCTCAATTCTCACAACCAATTATTGACAAGTGCTAGGAATTATATCTCCAAAATGTTTCCTGCTTCCAGTTTCTCATTTCTTTCCTTTATTACTTTCTTTGTTTCCACTTCTATCATACTCAGAGTTTTGTCCTAAACTCCCAGTGAGAGTCTTTGCTTCTTGCTTATTTCTTCCAATCTATCTTTCACACTACTGCCAAAATATTCTTTCTATAGGATAACTCTGATCATGACCTCTGCAGAAGCTTGAAGGTCTTCTTCAATTGTTCCTCTTTACCTGAAGAATTGGAAATCCCCCGCATGTCATCCATAGAGATTCACCAACTACATTTGCAGCCTCATCTTTTATAATTCTTTCAAGCATCCTACTCTGAATCTGTTATTCACCAATTTTATCCTCTTTGTCTTTGTTCTTTTACCATAAACACCGTCCCCATGATCTCTCCTGTCAAGATGATCCCCATCCATCAAGGCCTAGTTCAGATGCCACTTCTTCCATGAAGACTTCCTCTGTGACTTTCTGTTCCTTCTTAATTACCTGTCCAAATCCCTCCCTCCCTGACCTTGGAACTGCATCAGTGTTTCTGTTACTGTACTTAACATGACCTTTTTTTTTTTTTTTTGAGACAAGGTCATGCTCTGTCACTCAGGCTGTAGTGCCTTGGTGGGAACATGGCTCACTGCAGCCTCTAACTCCTGTATTCAAACCATCCTCCTGGGTTAGCCCGCAGAGTAGCTGGGACTATAGGTGCACACTACTAGGCCTGGCTAATTTTTTGATTTTTTGTATAGACAACGTCCCACTATGTTGCTTAGGCTGGTCTCGAGGTCCTGGGCTCAAGTGATCTTCCCACTTTAGCCTCTCAAAGTTCTAGGATTACATGTGTTGACCACTGTGCCTGGCTCATGTTCTATTTTGAATTATAGTTGGTTATGAATCTGTCTTTTTCGTGAATCAGTTACTGCCTAACAGTATATTTCACAGATGGTTTGGTAGTTGCTTTGGGTTGAATTTGGGAGTGCAGGCTAAATTCTATTAGCTTATTTAATGCAGAAGCCAATAGAATGTAGTGTTTTACTTTCCATAGAGCCAGGAATCAGTGCAAAGCCCAATTCAGGATAAAAGTCATAACATTTCTCTTAAACCTCACTATGACTTTTTAACATCTGTCATGGCAAGAACACCCTTTATACAATACTGCAATTTTTCCTTTTTCCTCTTACATGCTTTCTGCACCTCCTAACCTAACATTTTGACCTGATCTCCCCTCACTCATATTTTATAATTTCTATCTCATTCTGCTTATTTATACACCTCTTTCTATGCTGTGGTGGGCAACTTTGGCTTTTGCTTTGTAGTGTTATTCTCTCTTCATTAATAGCAGAAACTGATTTTTCTTTGGAGGAGGGCTAGCATTAGGATTTAGGCATGTGATCCAGTTCTATTGAATTATATTCAAGGTCCGTGGCCACAGTGATTGGCAAGAGATACAGTTTGCTCCAGTGAGACTCCAACAGGATAATAGTATTTTGATGATAGGAATAAAAAAATTCTGTAGTTGGTGGAATTGCTAAAGTGACACAATCGAAGCCTGTGGTTGACTCTCTTTAAACCTCTAAGAAGAGCTGGCATGAATGAAACTATCATAGAGAAAAATAGACCCATAAGATGGAGAGAGACCAAGTGCTGAAGACATAATTTGAGCCCCTGGATCCAGGTTTTGGATTATATAAGCCAACAAATTTCCATTTTTATTAAGTCAGTTTGAGCTGGGTTTTGTTCCCACGTGGCCAAGAGTCCCTACTCTTACATATACCAAAGATAGGCTTCCTCCTTAAGGCTACTCCTCTTAGCCTTTCTCTTTTTCATTGATCTCATAAAATTCAACTTGCCCTCTATCACCCCCAAGCCTTTTATAGAAAAAGTTAAAAAAAAAAAAGGCCAATAACGATATCTGGTACCTGTATCATATGACTTTTCTGAGGGCCTAATAAGTGTAAAATGCTTGAAATGGTACCTGTCATGTTGTACCATATAAGTATTTGTTATTTCCATCTCCATATTATCATCACTATTTTCATGTTACTCATTTACAATAATCAGATCACAAAATTAGAGACTTAAATCCACTGATACCTCAATCTCTATAAGCATTTACTTATAAATTGGCTTTTTTGGCCAGGATATCATCTATTAGTATGTCCTGCATTACTATTTGTCTGAATGACTTTTCTATTTGTTTGACAGTGCATTCCATTTTACAAATGTATAATATAAAGTTTGTGTCTGTTGAGTCTCTCTTGGGAGATGCATACCAAAAAAAATCACAGAATACCATTTGTAACTATCACTGGTTCACAATATTTGTACTGTGAATCTTTATATGCCTTTTAGGTGTCTAAGAAGACTATTTCTTTCACTTTACAAATAAAGAAACATGTAAAAGTATTATTTCTCAGGGTAATATATTAATGGGAATGGAACATAAATCTCTAGATTTCTAATACAAGAAGTGAATAATTGCCTCCTAAATAATTTCAGTATAATTGTTTCTTAGTATAATATTGTTTTGACTTGGAGTTAAGTTCCCTGAGTTCCAGTTTTTGCTCTGACATTGATTAACTGGATAATTCTGAGCAGACCATGGATCTATCGACCACAGTTTCCTTGTCTGTAAATGAAGAGTTTATACTCTACATTTAATGCACCTTTCAACCCCAAAATTCTCTGAATTCATTTCAAAGGATGATTTATCATGAACACATTTTAGAATCGTTGTTTTCTATGAGACAGAAGAGCTACAAAGAGAGACGCTGAAACTCTTCATTCAAGTATGCAAATGATACTCAATTTGTAAGATTCACTTGGAAGAAATAAAGAGGTATAGCATGTAAAATGAAAAAGGGTTTAGATCAATTTAAAGTAAGAGTATAAAGGTGGAAATTTCAGTTCATTCTAGTGAAAGGTAAACTAATTAATCTGGGAGCTAAGACACAAATTGGGGAAAAGGTGATGAGCTGTACCATCATCCAGCACAGTAATCAGGAAGAGGGTTTGGTGACTGAGACAGAGACCACTGAAACTATCTCCTTGTGCTAGAGAAAGGTTAGGAGAGGGGCATTTACCTTTTCAAGAATTACTACTGGTGGATCTGTTAGACATCACACACTTGTCCAGAACTGGTAAGGCCTCTGAGACAGATGAGGATTTTGCTTGAATCTCCCTTCTGAGGTACACCCAGGCTATGTATCATTTGGAAGCCATTCTGAGTCAGAGCTCTTCTCCCAAAATTAGCTCTTGGACAAACACACACAAAAGATTTATTTTTTCTGGGTCCAGGTTAATTAAATACAGCCAAAGTGAAATCAATTCTGTCTTAAGAGTGACAGGCCTGCTGCCTATCAGAAGAGCTGCAACAATTAGCTTAGACCTAACAATTGAAAACATTTATTTGACTACTGGATCACCTGTACCAGCAATTCAGTAAATTCAATATCTATATGGAAAGGTAGATAGATGTAAATATAAATTATATATATATATTTATATATGTAGACGTATAGACATGTTTTTAGGAACAGAATTGTGTTCCCCAAAATTTATATGTTGGAGTCCTAACCCCCAATGTGAATGTAGAGATAGGAACTTTATCAAAGTAATTAAATTTAAATGAGGTCGTGAGGGTGGGGCCTTAATCCGATAGGACTGGTGACCTTATAAGAAGAGAAAGAGACACCAGAGAGCTCTCTCTCTTTTCACTTGTGCACGAAGAAGAGGCTCTGTGAGGACACAGCAAGAAGTCAGATGTCTGTAAGCAAGAAAGAGAACCTTCCACCAGAAACCAACCCGGTGGTACCTTGATCTAGGACTTCTAGGTTCCAGAACTGTGAGAAAATAAATGTCTGTTGTTTAGGCCACCCCATCTATGGTATCTTGTTATGGTAGTCTCAGTAGACTAATTCATCTATACATCCCTATCTGTCTGTGTTTCTTGTCTTAGCTCATTTTTTGCTGCTATAACAGAATACCACAGATGAAGACATTTATAAAGAATGAAAATGTATTTCTCACAGTTCTGGATGCTGGGAAGTTTAAGACCAAGGCACTAGCATCTGATGAGGGCCTTCTTGCTGCATCCTCATATGGCAGAAGGAGGAAGGCAAAAGGGGACAATGCTATTTCCTCACATGGCAAAAGAGCAAACCCACTCCTGCAAGCCCTTTTTCTAAAAAATAAAAAATAATCTGTTGTCAACAAAGGTGATATATACAGCAGGAAAATAAATAACAAGGAGAGAGGGAGTGAATGAATCCTCCCGGAGGGCTGCTTCCACCCTCTTTAGAGATGGAGCGGGAAGAGGTAATGGAGGCTTACTGGTCTAGGAACCTGAACAAGTTGGGAAGGAGGAATGTCCGCTGAGGTAGTAGGACTCAGTTCAAACCCCATTTTGTAAGGCACTGTGCCAGGGGATGGTGGTGCAGAATTAGCCCATTCATGAAGAGTTTGCCCTCATGACCTAAACACTTCCCATTAGGCCTCGCCTCCCAACACTGTTGCACTGGGGTTTAAGGTACCAACACATGAATTTTTTGGACACATTTAGGCTATAACATCTTTCTCTCTCTCTATATATATATGTGGCTGCATTTTCTTATACAATTGAAAATTTTACTCAACCAATTTTCCTTGCCTATTCTCTACCCAGTTTTTCTATATTTAGTACCTCACAGTGAAGTGTAATCTCATATGGGTTTTTAATTCCAAGATAAAAAACACAAATATAAAACAAAGAGTATCTGATAATTCAATTTGCTGTCACTATGTTGAGTGGTTCTCATTCTACAGGTTAATATTAGAATCACCTAGGAAGCTTTTTTAAGCTTTCAAACTAGACTCACTCTTTTGGGCAGTTTATCAGAACCTTTAGAAGGGAGAAATGAAATGGGATATGGCTTTGAAATAGATAAACTGACAGTGTCTTCCCAGAATGTCTTCTCCCTTCTCCCCTAACTTCAGGAGGAGAATCACTCCAGCAACATGGTGGTATTGCCAGATCATAATCACTGGATGCTTGTTATCTGTCACTTAAATGACCTCCCCAGCAGAATTTCTTGAGTTCAGGTGTATGGTCTCAAATTTTATGTTTCTATAACCTGGTCCAGTGCTGTAAAAGGTGAGCAGCAATTTCTTGGATGTGGAACAAATTCTTTAGACTTGTCCTGGTATCACCTCTTCTCAGAACCTGACAGAATTATCCTGAATTGAGAGGATTAATAGTGTCACATGTGTTAGAACAGCACTTTCTAGACTTGGTCACTTGCTCATGTCACCTGTACTATCACCTTCTGTCTGTAGTAGAGCTCTACTACAGTCTATGCTCATCGTAGCAGCAAGGATGATCCTTTAAAAGATCTGCAATGACTCTCCATTTTACTCAGAGTAAAAGCTACAGTCCCTACATTGTCCTATAGATAGAGTGACCCTGTGTTCCAGTTTTCAGGGACAGCCCTGGTTTATGCATGCTGTTTTGGTGTAATTATTAAATGTGTCCTATGTTATTCTAATAAGTGTTGCAGATTGTTTGATGAGTTGTATGGTCATCCACTTAGAAGGCCCTACATGATCTGGTTCCCTATACTCTCTCTGGCCTCTTTCTTTCTTTTCTCTGCTACTCTGGCCACCTTATTGTTCCTTCCACACACAGGCATTCCTGCCTGGGACTTCTGCCCTAATTCTTCCCTCTACGTGGACTACTCTTCCCAGATACCTACTTTGTTCTCTCTCAACTTCTCCAAATCTGCTCAAATCTCACCTTCTCAAAGAAGCCAGTGCTGACCATCTTCTTAATACTTGTAGAATGACTATCAAATATTTTTCTTCAAATTGATATCTTTTTAGCCTTAAATATCTACTTCAATTTTAATCTTAACAAAATATCAATTAAAATGTGGGCATGACATGTTATTTTTTAATACACAATTTTAATGTTTACAATAAAGTAGATATGTTAGAAGAAAAATATTTTGTGTGCCATGTAAAATTATCTCATGACCACCAGTAGTATGCACATTGGATTTTATGAAACAGTTAATGAAGTTTTCATGAAAACTCTGCTATACATGATTCTGAGACCCACAAGCACTGCAGTTATGCTGGAATGTCCTACAATCCCCACAAAATGTGTAGTAGGTTTCAGTTTATTATTTGCGATTGCATGTCTCCCAGATCTTCCTAGCAGGCATATTATATCTTATTGGTCCCCAAAAGAACACACTGTAGTACATTTTAATAGATGCTCTTGCCCTACATGGGAGTTTGTTATGTCATGAGTCTTCAGTCTTTCAAAATTCGAGGGTTTTTTTCCAGCTACTAGGTAATTTGATTATTTTTTATTTGCTTGGCCCAACCACCAACACTTTATCTGGCTTCTGTTTTTATTGTTGAATCAGACAATCAATCTTAATTAATTCAGCTATCTGATCCACTTGTAGATTTTTATGCTACAAAGCTCAAATTTAAAAACCTAATCAAGACTTTATGAAATTAAAAATAGTAGATCTGGGAAATTCGAAGTTACGTGTATGAGTCCACTTGAAATAAAAGTGAAGAAAATAAGCAATGAATACTTCATGGTATTAAAAAACAGGAGTGAACTGCATTGTAGAAAAGAAAGTAATGGGACTGATTTTCACCCACTTGAGTCAATTCTAATTCAAATTTGAATAAGAATTGCCACTTAGAAAGCTAAAATGATCTATAAGTAAGTTTTTCCCCCTAAATCATGGTAGTAGGTGCAGTTTGAGCAAGACGTTTTGATTGTAACAATACAGAAAGAAATTGCATGATAAGAAGAGGTCTGTCTAAATTTATTAGAAACACATTTTCTTATCCAGGTTCACTGTAAATGTTTAAAGAAATAGGCTGTGCTAGAAATGCCCCAAATCTCTAATATGTTGTTTTTAATTAGCACACTTTTTTTTAGTAATTACACAACTATCACTATGATAGCTAAGAATGTGAAATGTATTTTAACATTGTTATTCAGGATAAAATAAGCATACATAAAATGTTATAAAATACAAAGTATCTAATAATAACCCTGATGAGGTTCCACTATTTCCAATTACAATTAAATAATCTACTTTGTGCTAAAACAGCAGAGTAAAAGAAAATCAGAACTCCTTTATTAATGACAAATGAAGATATACTGTACAAAGAAACTATAAAGCTCTGATAAAAACAACACAATAGCATTAAATATTTTAAGGTATCAAAGCCACATCTGAGGACATTTATTATCTTGTCTGTGTAACATCTCTATCTTTGGAGGACCACCTCTTCCTACCTTTGAAAAACTCTCTCTCACTCTCACCCTTCTGAGTCCCACTATAGCTATCACCATGTGGTCTAAATTGGAGCTTCCCTTATTCCTAGGTGGCACTTCCTCCCTGACTTTAGTAATGAGGCAGAGGCAAATACATGAATTGTCCATTTGGGGGAGGTTTTAAACTAAGGTTGGGACAAGAGAGAATCAAGAATGGTAAAATAGAATTTCTTCCTTCTGGTGGTAAATCTAGGTTGATCTGAACCCAGAGCCAGCTGCCAACATTTAAGTATTCAACAGCATGGAACTTGCCCTAGGAGAAACTAAGTGATAGACAACATACAGAAAGAAGAAGCGATGAGAGAGCAAAAGATGGTATATGAGCCCCTTGTTACAGCTACCATTGTCCTCTCCTTTGTGAGTTAATGATGTCTCTATTTCTGCCCAAGTTAGTTCAAACTGAGCTTCTTCACTTGAAATTAAGTCCTAATACACATCCTGAATTGCTATTTAGAAATTGTGCGTGTATGTGTGTGTATTCATAGGTGTGTGCAAATAAATTCCCCCAAGTGGGAGCATGATTGATTGAAGTGATTCTAGTCTCTTTACTTACTTGAAATTTCAAATCAGATTTTGGATAATCGAGAAAAAGTGGCTTAATATCTCTGCTGTGCAAGGAAATCCAGTATAACAAGTGTGCCAACAAAATATTTTTTTATCTCACAAAAACAAACTTCTGCTCTTCAGTCAGTGACCCACCTATCCAAATTCCAAAAATAACAAAAGCGTTAGATGATAACAACGCTCTTTGTAAGGGAATTTGATCTATCTCTCTTTCCATGGAATGATGAGTAGAAAGGTTTTCCTTATTTCCTGTGTTGGGACCTGAAAATGTTCCTCCCAGTTTAAGGAAGTGAAAGTCTCATAAATAAGATCAGCAGCAGGTCTTGACCTCTCATTTACAGACTTTTATAACAGCTCTTTAAATGCATGCACTGTTTTGTATGAGAGCAAGGATTGTGCATATTTTATTTGTGTGGCTATAGGTCTTATCACACTATGTACTTCTAGTAGCTAGTAAAAATTACTTGTTAAATTAAAGAATGACTGAAAGATTGGAAGATCCTAGACAACTCATTTTCTCTTAAAAATATTTTAAATCCTCTCATTCTATGGCCTCTAATTGCATTTGCATTTCTTCTTTAAGAGGCACAGATACTATGTAGTCTATACATGGTACAAATATACATTTTCTGGGTTTTGCTGTGCTGCTTCTTTCTTGCTATTGAAAAATCAAAACAAAAAAGAAAAGAAAGAAAAAAAACAAAAAAGGAAAGGAGTGCTTTGCACTGTGGGTTTATTTACAGTCTCTCTGTGTGCTAGAAGGAGACACCAACTCATGAGACTGATGTATTGGCAAGAGCTGCTGCCAGATGTTGACCATGACAGGTGCATAATAAAAATGCTCTTTGTGGCTTTCCCTCAGAATTCTAAATATATTTGGAAATAAGGAAAACATCTGCTCATTACTTCTTTCATTGACAGGCTACTATAGCTTTCTAAACTGTGATTTTAAAAATATTGGGGGCATTATTTTTGTGACATTGTAAATGCTTTATCTAAATGTTCTTCACAAGAAAAATGCAAAATTCTAGCACACGCTTTTATGCCTTTTCACTTACTAAATGGCTGCATTGTTTCTGCCATTCCTGCCCATCTGTATTTTGGTTCAGAGCAAAGCCACAAATACTTAACACAAGTGGAACAACCCTATTTATTATGATTTCAAGATTGCAAAATTGTGCTGCAACCAGAGTCACCATATGATTAGCATTCTTTTTTCAACAGCCTGACATGCAGTTACTGTGAATTGATACACAGTTTTTGGTAGTCAAATTAAGGATAGGTAGCAGTGCCCTGTGAAAAGTCTTATATTTGGAATCAGTAGCTTTGCTATAACCCTCAGTGGTGATCAGTAAACAAGCACCATGACAAGCTTAAAGGATAAGAAGTTTCTCAATCTATATAGCTTTGAAATCTCTAAGGAAGAGCATATGGAAAGAAGTTCACAGCAATTTCTTTTTTCTTTTTCTTTTTTGTTTTGTTTTGTTTTGTCTTGTTTTGTTTTGTTTTGAGATGGACTCTCACACTGTCACCCAGGCTGGAGTGCAGTGGTGGGATCCCGGCTCGCTGCAACCTCCGCCTCCTGGATTCAAATGATTCTCTTGACTCAGCCTCCTGAGTAGCTGGGATTACAGGTGCCTGCCACCATGCCTGGCTAATTTTTGTATTTTTAGTAGAGATGGGGTTTCACCATTTTGGCCAGGCTGGTCTCGAACTCCTGACCTCAAGTTACCTGCCTGCCTTGACCTTCCAAAGTGAAATTACAGGCATGAGCCACCGCGTCTGGCCTGCAGCAATTTCTAATGGCATATGAGCCCAGTTTGTCCAATGAAATAAATGAATAAATAGAGCTTTATCTTAGAATTCATAGTGAGTGGACAAGTGCAGAAGAGTAAGTTACGGATCCCTTATGGATGGTGGTACTGTAGCAGGTGCGGTCTGAGTCTGGGGCTGAAGTAGGAGAGAAAGGGAGAGTATCATGGTGAGAGGAAATGGATTCCATCATATGTAACAGAGGAAACCCTCAGGCATCTCTCACATTTTCAAGACAACCAATATTCATATAATCCCCAAAGTCCAATGCTATACTCCCTTTCTTTAGCCTCAACAGAACATTACATGTGGTCAAGAAAGCTTTGGTTAGAGAAAACTTTATCCTGCATTTCAGATCATAAAGAAATGATTGTTAAGGGTTATGGGAAGTACATATTATTTATTTCAGGTCATTAGTTCTTAACCTGAGGATCATGTAGAAAAGTCTGGGGCATTTAAAATTAGGAGGAAAAGAGTCTGTAACAAAGGTAGTAAGATTATGAACTATGGAAACAGCTTGAATTGGCCTCCTTTATATTTTTTAAACCTTCCTTTCCCCATATTGGTATCTGCTGCAAAATCTGTAATTGACAACAAGTCAGGGACCCTTAGGCTGAAATCTTGGTTGGGCTTTATGAGTTGTGAATCCCCTGATAAGACATACAGAAGTTGGAATGAATGGCTGTGTGTGCTGTTGAGCATACTTCCTTTCATAGCTTTCAGCAAATCGTTAGAAATAATCCAAAAGAAACAAAAAGGAGATGAAAACAATTGTTTTGGTATTTTTAAAATGCCTGTCACTTTTATGTCTTTAGCAGTAAAATAACTTTGTAAATTTCCTTTTTTCCTTTGATGCTTTCTATTAAAGTTGCTCTCTTGAAAGAACTTCATATTTGTCATTAACATTTTCGTATGAACACTCATATGTTACTTCCTAGGAATAGTTGCTGTTTTTTCTTTTCATTTCTTATTGTGGAGCTAAGTATGTTATTGCCTCCTTAATGGCTATAAGCTTTAGGAAGTTAGAGAAGTGTTGATTTGGGTAGGAGAATTTTCTAGATTGGTTGAAATAATACAGCCACATTTTAGGAGAACATAGAACTTATAAAACACGTACAATTTTATTTTTTCTAGGGAGCTGGAAAGCATCTTGGTGTGTGTTGTGAAAAAGAACTGGACTTGGAACTGGCCACCTTTGAGTTTATTTCCTGGCTCCATCAATTATTAGTGGTGTGACTATGGGGAATATACTTAATCTCTTTGAGCTCCAATGGCATCATCTATAAAGTGTCAGCTAACAACACCTCTATTACAGGGTTATGAGGGTTAGTAGTCATTTATGCAGTGTGCTTTAACGCTCAATAGATGGTTGCTACAATGGGTGAAAATAATGCAGAGAAAACAATGTGGTAAGAAAAAGTAAAGGCAGCGATAGTGATAGTAGTAAGCTTTAATGAGTGTTTTACATGTATTGTCTTGTTTAAACTCCAGAATATCTCAATTATTGCCCCATTTTAATTTTTAACTTTTAATTATTATTTTTATATTTTTATTTATTTTTTTTAGGCAGAGTCTTGCTCTGTCATCCAGGCTGGAGTGCAGTGGCATGATCTCAGCTCACTGCAACCTCCGCCTTCCTGGTTCAAGTGATTCTCTTGCCTCAGACTCCTGAGTAGCTGGAATTACAGACGTGCACCACCACGCCCGGCTAATTTTTGTAGTTTTGGTAGAGACAGGCTTTCACCATGTTGGCCAGGTGGGTCTCGAACTCCTGACCTCAAGTGATCCTCCTGCCTTGGCCTCCCAAAGTGCTGAGATTACAGGCCTGAGCCACCACACCCGGCCTTATTGCCCCCATTTTAATAAAGAATTGAGGCAAAAGTGGCTCAGTAACTTGCTCAGGGCTATTCAGTTAGCATTGGTGGAGCAGGGATGTCAGTGGGCAGTCTCCAGAGCTTCTCTCAATCTCTCGTTCACGCCACTCCTCCTTATGACAACAGACATGGGTGTGAGGGGTACAAGTTTGGGAATCCAGTTTTGATATTTGGTTTTGTACTTTTGTGATGTCTAGAAATGTAAATCTGTAGAATATCATTATTATGTTCAACATGATCTTACCCACAAGTCTTTCCCAGATATTAAAACAAAATTTTCCCTCAATATTTGCTTTTCACGTTAGTAAACAAACAAAACTTATTTGAAGTCTATTATGTCCTAGGCATTGTACTCACCTCATTAGCCTTGAAGAGCTTAAAATCTAGAGGAAGAAACAAACGCACAAACAGATAATTTTAATATGAATACGGTAAGAGGTAAAACACAGGTGTATCTGGGGTGCTGTGGTAAATAAAGAAGGAGGCCTTAAACCAGCCTGGAAACACAGGGGTGCTTCCTAGAAAAGATGACACGTAGTTAGCCTTGATGAGTAAGTAGGAAACAGCCAGGCCAAGGAGCACGAAGAAGGTGCTACCATCAGATGGAACAGCAAAAGCAAAAGCATGGAGGCAGAAAGCAGCATGGGCACGGGTGGTGAGGGGGGTACATGGTGTCAGAAGTTGGGCTTTGCCAGATGCAGATGGACATAGGGCAGAGATGTGACCAGAGCAGGCACACAGGGTTCAGGGCTTGGACTCCCATGCCCCTGGCCCCCATTGAATAGTCTGGTTGATTGGCTGTCATTGTGTAGACAATGGGAACTCAAAATATTAAGAATGACTGAAACGGTCAGCCCTCCATGTAGCTCCACTGTGAAAAATGGAGAGGGGAAGGGAACAAAATTCATCTCTTCAATACCCTTTTATTATTATTATTAGGTTTGGAAAGGGAAAGTTTATTAGAAAGGAAGAAGGCTGCAGAAGAGTGCAGTGGGGCACCTCAGTGAGAGGACTGAATGTGCCGCCGTGGATTTTTCCTTAAGGGTACTTATCCACCTTAAGCTGGGAGCTTAACGGTTGTAAAATGAGTTTCAGCATGGCATTCCAGAGATGTATAGAAATGTTAGTTACTTATAAAAGTTGAAAGAGGCCTGAAACCAGATGCCAATGAAGTGGTCTTTGCTCCCTTCTAAATTCCTCAGAGAAAGAGTTTTTGTCGCCAGGGACTGTTCAATGGTTACCAGGTCATTTTTGCTCTCCTCATTTTGCCCCTGACAAATATTTTGGTCAAATCTTTGACCCTTTATACCCCACCATGCCCATGTCTACCTGCTGCCTATTGGGTTCTCAAGAAAGAGAAAACACCCGCAATTAAGAGGGGCATTGAGTTTGTCTGGCTACTTCCTTCTGAAAGGGGATATTGAAGGGACAGGTTGTATTTTTCCCTTCTTGCTCTCTGTCGTAAAGGGAATGAAGGATTTTGAAACCCCATTCATGGAGGGGAGACCGGATTCCATCAAGAGGCTCCATGTAAGTGGAAGTTGCCGTTGCAGGATGGTATTGGGATTGCATAGCCATCTGTAGGTGGCATCTTTGTAATCTGGAAGATATAAATCTAATGAGGGTGTTAAAAAGACAGGGACTGAATATTAAAAGAAGAATAACAAGGAACAAAGACCCAAGGAATGGGAGAAGCCAAGTGATTTTTGGAAACCAATCAGTAAAAGTTTTGGTCCTGTCTTGGTTACTTTGGGAAAGTGTGTGCAGCCATTTGGCTTGTTTGAAAATTTATATGGCAGCCAGGTGCGTTGGCTCATGCCTGTAATCCTAGCACTTTGGGAGGCTGAGGCGGGTGGATCACAAGTTCAGGAGATCGAGACCATCCTGGCTAACATGGTAAAACCCCGTCTCTACTAAAAATACAAAGGCTGAGGCAGGAGAATGGCATGAACCTGGGAGGTGGAGCTTGCAGTGAGCTGAGATCACACCACTGCACTCCAGCCTGGGTGACAGAGTGAGATTCCGTCTCAAAGGAAAAAAAAAAAAGAAAATTTATACGGCTAGAAGGTGAGGCCTTAGCTGTAATTTAGCTTGTAATTTTGTGAGTAAGTCATGACCTAATAATGGAACAGGACAGCTTGGCAGGACTAAAAGAAGTGGGTAAAGGAATAACTGTCCATTTCCCAAGGGAGCAGTGGTGTGAAACAGCCTCATTGAGGTTTTCCATCAATACCGGTGAGGAAAATGGAGGACTGGCACATTGGGCCATAATAAACATTTAAAACTGAACCCTGTATCTATAAAGAACATTATCTCTTGTTAAGCCACAATCAGATTTACCTCATCTATAAAGGCTCATCTATACAGATGGAAAAGACAGGAGCCTAGATGGCCTCAAAGCCCCATCACTCATCTAGAGGATGACTTTCAGAGGCTTAATCAAAATCCAGGGATAGAGGTGTTTGTCCTTGCCCTTGCCCTCACCCTTGCCCTCATTCTGCAGGACCCCCTTGTTGGGTAGGTTGACAAGGTGGTGGCTGCGACAGCCCAGAAAGAAGTGGTGCCCCAACCCCTCCCCCGCCATGAGGGAGAGAGGGACACTCACTCTTCAAACAATCCTCTTGTTTGCAATGAGGACAGGGTCCCTGGGGCAGCTTGTAACCTGTAGATTTGGGACATTCTCTACTCCAGTGTCCTGGATTTCTGCAGTGATGACAGACCCTTGTTCTGTTAGTATTATGTGGTCTAGCCTTGGGGTTACTAGCTAACAAAAAAGAATGTTCCAATGCTGTTGCCATGTAATTAGCTGGTGACGGCATTTTTCCTCCTCCCATTGAGCTTTTTAAATTTTTGATGTTTCTTCCAGGTTATGGAAAACCTTAAAGGCCATATTTAATAAAGTAGAAAAGGGAGTTTGTGGGCCTTGCTCTAATTTGGGGTTTTTTTGTCTAATATCTGGGGAAGCCTGACTTATAAAATGTATGGCCAGAGTGGATTGGCCTTCAGGGCTTTCAGGGTCTAAATCTGTGTATTTATGGATGACCTCCACCAGTCTGGGTTTGAAAAGGGCAGGATTATCAGATGGCTCCTGGGTGACTTCTCATAATTTCGAAAAATTAACAGATTTTGTTACAGCCTTTTTCACTTCTTCCAACAAGCAAGTTTATTTGATCTTGTCTGCTCCTGCCTCTGGGTAGGCATTGGCGGCCTGGTATTGCCAATTGGGTTCTGTGTCAAGCACAGCTTCTGCCCCAGCTCTATTATCACTGGGATTACAAGCATGAGCTTTGTCTGCCCAAGCTCAAGCTAAAGACCATGTGCATGATTTTTCTTCATGGGAACAGCAAGTAATTAATACTATGAATATGTCTTGCCAAGTTAAATTGAAGGCAATAGTTAAAGCCCAAAATTCTTGAATGATCTTAGAGGGACCCTGGCCAAAAGAACCCAGTTTGGATTGAATTTGCAAAATATCAGACATTGGAAAATGGATATGAACTCGAATTGTTCCCAAATGCCCATTTGCCACCTTGAGGAGAGGCAAAACATTTTTGGGATTTTCTGAGGACTCTGTACGACTAGTGGCATATGTGACTCCTGTGTGAATATGTGAGGGGGGTAAAGCAACTGGACAGGGAAGTTGATTGGGGGATGATGGAGCAGATGGAGAGGGTGTAGGTGAAGCAGGAGCCCGCTGAGGAGACTGTGACAGGTAAAAGGAAGGATGATTTAAGACATCGGAATCGGGGAGAGAGGAAGTTCCTTGGAAGCATACACTACAATTTTTATGTAACTTTGGGTTTTGAGATAAAGCCCAAAAGACCAGAACATAAGGCACCTCTGAATACAAATGAAAATTATACACTTCTTTTTGAGAGTCTGTGGGTCAGAATAAGAACATTTTTTAAGAATGCAACCCAAGGGTGAGTAGGAATGAATTGAAGAATGAATTGAACCCATGTTAGGTTTAGGTAAGGGACTACAAGATTCGTGAGGCGTCCCTGAGGAATTTGGACTTCACTTTCCCCTTTGGCGCACTCTGTTCAGGGGCATCCCATCATGGATAGAGGGCCTGCTGCCCTTGCCTGGATGACCAGGCAAGGTGTGCCCTGGTAGGAGTGGTCAGCTCAAACCTAATGTAAACGGCAACTCACCGTAGCTTAGGATGTGGTGCCTGTGATTAAATTGAATCCAAAAGTGGGTCCACAACCAGTGGAGTGTGTCTGTGCAGAGTTGAGATCGCTGCCGCTCGTTTCCAAGACACGGTTTATAGAGCATTAAAGTGAAAGTGGACTTGCCACCCTGACGGGCCATAGCAAATTCGCTCTTTTGTCTTGGCCTTCAGGTAACACCGGGGAGTGCCCTCGGCCAAAAACCCTCAACTGCCAAAGAGTATTCAAGCTGGCTCACTGGCAGTCCGAAAATAGAAAATAACCCTGGCCAATCTCTCACCTCTAAGAACAGCCACAGACAGGTATCCCTTCTCCAGGGTTTCAGGATCCCACCAAAGAGTGGCCTCAGCCAGGGACCTTCAATTCCCACGAGTAAAGAACCAGACCACCACGCCTGTAATCCCAGCACTTTGGGAGGCTGAGGTGGGCGGATCACGAGGTCAGGCGTTTGAGACCAGCCCCAGCCTGACCAACAGGGTGAAACCCCGTCTTTACTAAAAATAACAAAAATTAGCCGGGCGTGGTGGCGGGTGCCTGTGGTCCCAGCTACTGGGGAGGCTGAGGCAGGAGAATGGCGTGAACCCGGGAGGCGGAGCTTGCAGTGAGCCGAGATTGCACCACTGCACTCCAGCCCGGGCGACAGAGCGAGAGACTCCATCTCAAAAAAACAAACAAACCAAAACAAACAAACAAAAAACCAGACCACTGAGGGAACAAATCCCAGTAAAGTCCCCATATGGGCCACCAAGATGCCAGGTGAGGCGTCAGAGCCCTGGCATTGGAAAGTTGTCGACTTGTGGGTTGGTAAAAAGAATTTACCGACAACAGTATGGGTTTGAAAAATGAAAGTTTATTAGAAAGGAAGAATGCTGCACAAGGATGCAGTGGAGCACCTCAGTGAGACGACTGAATGAGCCCTAATGCCCTTTTATTAACCAACAACCTTTGTGGAAGCTTTTAATTCACTCTATTCCTCCTTTCTTTTTCTCCTTGCTTTTGTATCTACAACCCAATGGGGAGATGAGAATTTAATAACTAAATGCAGTAACTTATGATAGCTTCAGCCCCTTCTTCTATACCTTTTTCAGTCCTTCATCTATATGTCTACTCAGATGTATTTGAGCTTCCATTTTGTAGTTATGTCTAGGTGAGTCTTATTCTCTCACTAGCCCTAGAGATCTGGCTTATGTAAACTTCTGGGCTTTGTCAGATATTCTGCGGGAGTGCTTCCAGAAGTGGAATAAGAATTTCCAAATCCCAAATCTGAAAATTGTCTGCATTGTTCTTAGTAAAGCCCAGGAAAATATTAGAGCCAAAAAACTTAGGTAGAAGAGTCATATGAGGAGATAAGAGGGAATCTGCTTTTCTCAAATAGAAAGCATGGGTTCCCTGGAGTGGAGAGGGTAAGTGGATCAATTTATACTTATGCTTCATAGTTAGCTTCTTAATCACCTTTCTTAATTATACAGGGCACACATGGAAACTCGTCCCACTTGCACAGCTTAATTCTGCATGGTAGACCTCTTAGTGGTTCTTAAGGGAAATGAAGGGCGCAATATAAACCAGCTCTGGGCCTTTCCCAAACACAGAGTTTTCTATGTCCTCTGATACTTTCCCATTACCCATTTCTGCACACTTGCCTGCCTTGAAAGTTACTGCCAAAATGAGTTGCAATTACTGATGGAAGTTTGTCACACCCCTCAGGCATATCTGGGTAAATAAAAGGTTGAGAGCAACTGTAGGCATCCTCTGGTGGTGTATGCTGTGGTGCGTAGGGAAACCTAAAAGAAACCTGGCATGATTGTACAAAGTTGGCTACCATGTTTTTTCCTGGTTCTCCACTGTCAGGTAGCTGTGTTTTCTTTTTGTGACAAAGAAATAATGACTTACAGTGTCATAAATCAAAGCCTGTTCTCTTACTTTTACTAGTTCCTAGAAGGCAGAGACTCTGTCTTGTTTATCTTGTTCCCACTGCCTTGCACAATGTCTGGTGCAGAGCACTTGCCCAACAAATGTAGTACAAAATGAATGAGAAATGATCTTGGGAGGGCAATGAACTAACAGGCAAAGAGTTGATAAACTTCCAATTATTCAAAACACTATGTTTTCCTACCAAAATATTTGAAGTGGGCCTTTTACACATTAAGCATTTGGCTTATTTGGTAATTATTATTCTGTTACCTCACATTTAGGAAACCCTAGCATTATGAATAAAACTAATTTGAGACCTTTGAGCAACTGTTGATTTTGAAATACTTTTCTTTCCTATAACAAAACAATACTTTTTAGGGCATATTTTTCCCATGAGTTTTAAAAATCTATCTTGATGAACTAAACAACAATAATTTGACAGTGAAGACATTTAAATCATGCACTTTAGTGTAATTCCCAGAGCTAGAGAAGACAGGCCACTGTGATTGAAGCAATGGATTGAATCTCCGCTGCCAGATGACAGTTGAAATATAATGGGCTTACAGCCGTCAGCCACAGCTAGAAGTTTATATGCAAAGAGTAAAGCATTTCAGTGATGGAAAATGGAAAGCTGGGTGGTTACTTGAAATTCTTGCATTGTTCCTAGTAGCTTATAAAGGATATGGGAAAACTCCATCCATGCAAATTCTGTTTAGGATAGTATTTGTAATGGAGCTGCATAAACATACTTCTTGCATCCTGGTACTATTGCTATTTTCTATATCTGTTGTGTGTGATTTTTAAACACATACATCTGAAATAAGGACCAGCATTATATTTCTCAATCCATGATGTTTATATGATTTTGCTCTAATTGTTCTTGAAAAACACAACAATCAGTGACAAATGGCTTCCCATGTCCCCAAGGCCCTTAAGCAGGGGATTTCCAAATTTTCTGTAATGACCAATTTGTTTTTTCTTGTTGTGCTGTGTATAACAGTTGGTTCAGGGTGAAAGTATTTTGATTTTTCTACCTCATGTCCGAATAGCCTTAAAATAATATAATACTTGATAGGATGAAGCTATTCTCCATGTTTCTATAAGTTCTGTTAGAGAATGCATCTGGGTCTATCCAACCATGTTCAATGTTTTCAAATGCCAAATGAGGGCTTCAGAAGAACCCCTTGAGGAAGAAGAGATGACATTTGCCATGCTCTGTTAATATCAACTCAGGAAGAATGCATCTGGCAACACATTTATCCTGATAAACATGACGATAGGGAATTTTTTTGTTTAGCATTGGCAGCGTGTATTTACTGCTACATCTGTATATGGGCTGTCAGGTCACATGAAGAAGCCATAGCAGAAGACAGTTGCAGGGAATAGCTTATGTAATGAGATCAAGCCAGTGAAAGTCTGGGTTCAAGCTGTAATATTACAGTGTGAAGAGCCCACTTATCTGCCCAAGTCAAGGATATTTTCTTCTCTTTTTGGTCACTGTTCATGAAATTACATTGTTATCCCCTTCAGCTGTTCAATGAGCCAATAGAAAAATGAATAAAATGCATAAAAATGGGAGGTAAAGAAGAAAGACTTCAGGCTATAGAATTTATGGCTGGATAACTCAAGATTTTTATGCAGGTAAATTTCCTACATAGGAAAAAAAAGCACTGAGTCTTGAGCCATTCAGGAATGAATATGCTGTTCTAAGTTTATGATGTTCACAAAATCCTATAGTATTGTAACTCTCATTCTCACAAATACAGGACACTAGTCTTTAAAACAGCCTGAAAAATCATTCAAATGAGGGAGATATCAAAACCTATTGAAGCAGGGATTCCTTAAGTGTAAGTTAGTAGGTTTTCAATCACTTTAGTTTCACAATTTGACACTATTAAGGCTAATATATAGGTGCCTGCCAGCACAGCTAACATTAAGAATCTATCAGTGTTTCCATTATATATCCCATTTTTCAGGGGTTAATAACTTGGTCATAAAAATTCACTGTAGGCTAAAATCAAGTCTTGAAGGGAAATCTTTTTTCTTAATCCCAACAGAAGAGTTTGCTCATGTTCCTGAGACTTAAGATGGTCAGAAATCAGAAAAGGTGGTGGAGCCAAGATGGCCAAATAGGAAGAGCTCCAGTCTACAGCTCCCAGCGTGAGCGACACAGAAGACGGGTGATTTCTGCATTTCCAACTGAGGTACCGGGTTCATCTCACTGGGGAGTGCCCGACAGTGGGTGCAGGACAGTGGGTGCAGCACACCATGCATGAGCCAAAGCAGAGCGAGGCATCACCTCACCCGGGAAGCACATGGGGTCAGGGAATTCCCTTTCCTAGTCAAAGAAAGGGGTGACAGAAGGCACCTGGAAAATCGGGTCACTCCCACCCTAATACTGTGCTCTTCCAACAGGTTTAACACACGGCACATCAGGAGCTTATATCCTTCACCTGGCTCGGAGGGTCCTACACCCACAGAGCCTCGCTCACTGCTAGCACAGGAGTTTGAGATCAAACTGCAAGGCTGCAGCAAGGCTGGGGGAGGGGCGCCCGCCATTGCCCAGGCTTAAGCAGGTAAACAAAGAGGCCTGGAAGCTCAAACTGGGTGGAGCCCACCACAGCTCAAGGAGGCCTGCCTGCCTCTGTAGGCTCCACCTCTAGGGGCAGGGCACAGACAAACAAAAGACAGCAATAACCTCTGCAGACTTAAATGTCCCTGTCTGACAGCTTTGAAGAGAATAGTGGTTCTCCCAGCACGCAGCTTGAGATCTGAGAACGGGCAGACTCTCTCCTCAAGTGGGTTCCTAACCCCTGAGTAGTCTAACTGGGAGGCACCCCCCAGTAGGGGAGACTGACACCTCACACGGCCGGGTACTCCTCTGAGACAAATCTTCCAGACGAACGATCAGACGGCAGCATTTGCGGTTCACCAATATCTGCTGTCCTGCAGCCACTGCTGCTGATACCCAGGCAAATAGGGTCTGGAGTGGACCTCCAGAAAACTCCAACAGACCTGCAGCTGAGGGTCCTGTCTGTTAGCAGGAAAACTAACAAACAGAAAGGACATCCACACCAAAAACCCATCTGTACATCACTGTCATCAAAGACCAAAGGTAGATAAAACCACAAAGATGGGGAAAAAACAGAGCAGAAAAACTGGAAACTCTAAAAATCAGAGTGCCTCTCCTCCTCCAAAGGAATGCAGCTCCTCACCAGCAACGGAACAAAGCTGGACGGAGAATGACTTTGACAAGTAGAGAGAAGAAGGCTACAGAAGATGAAACTACTCTGAGCTAAAGCAGGAAGTACAAACCAATGGCAAAGAAGTTAAAAACTTTGAAAAAAAAATTAGATGAATGGATAACTAGAATAACCAATGCAGAGAAGTACTTAAAGGACCTGATGGAGCTAAAAACCACGGCATGAGAACTATGTGACGAATGCACAAGCCTCAGTAAATGATGCGATCAACTGGAAGAAAGGGTATCAGCGATAGAAGACGAAATGAATGAAATGAAGTGAGAAGAGAAGTTTAGAAGAAAAAAGAATAAAAAGAAATGAACAAAGCCTCCAAGAAATATGGGACTATGTGAAAAGACCAAATCTACATCTCATTGGTGTACCTGAAAGTGACAGGGAGAATGGAACCAAGTTGGAAAACACTCTGCAGATATTATCCAGGAGAACTTCCCCAATCTAGCAAGGCAGGCCAACATTCAAATTCAGGAAATACAGAGAACACCACAAAGATACTCCTCGAGAAGAGCAACTCCAAGACACATAATTGTCAGATTCACCAAAGTTGAAATGAAGGAAAAAATGTTAAGGGCAGCCAGAGAGAAAGGTGGGGTTACCCACAAACAAAGGGAAGCCCATCAGACTAACAGCTGATCTCTCAGAAGAAACTCTAAAAGCCAGAAGAGAGTGGGGGCCAATATTCAACATTCTTTCTTTTTTTTTTTTTTTTTTTTTGAGACGGGAGTCTCGCTCTGTCGCCCAGGCTGGAGTGCAGTGGCGGGATCTCGGCTCACTGCAAGCTCCGCCTCCCGGGTTCACGCCATTCTCCTGCCTCAGCCTCCCAAGTAGCTGGGACTACAGGCGCCCGCCACTATGCCCGGCTAATTTTTTGTATTTTTAGTAGAGACGGGGTTTCACCGTTTTAGCCGGGATGGTCTCGATCTCCTGACCTCGTGATCCGCCCGCCTCGGCCTCCCAAAGTGCTGGGATTACAGGCGTGAGCCACCGCGCCCGGCCTCAACATTCTTAAAGACAAGAATTTTCAAACCAGAATTTCATATCCAGCCAAACTAAGCTTCATAAGTGAAGGAGAAATACAATCCTTTACAGACAAGCAAATGCTGAGAGATTTTGTCACCACCAGGCCTGCCCTAAAAGAGCTCCTGAAGGAAGCACTAAACATGGAAAGGAAAAACCAGTACCAGCCACTGCAAAAACATGCCAAATTGTAAAGACCATCAAGGCTAGGAAGAAACTGCATCAACTAACAAGCAAAATCACCAGCTAACATCATAATGACAGGATTAAATTCACACATAACAATACTAACCTTAAATGTAAATGGGCTAAATGCTCCAATTAAAAGGCAAGGACTGGCAAATTGGATAAAGAGTCAAGACCCATCAGTGTGCTGTATTCAGGAAACCCATATCACGTGCAGAGACACACATAGGCTCAAAATAAAGGGATGGAGGAAGATCTACCACGCAAATGGAAAACAAAAAAATGCAGGGATTGCAATCCTAGTCTCGGATAAAACAAACTTTAAACCAACAAAGATCAAAAGAGACAAAGAAGACCATTATATAATGGTAAAGGGATCAATTCAACAAGAACTAACTATTCTAAATATATATGCACCCAATACAGGAGCACACAGATTCATAAAGCAAGTCCTTAGTGATGTACAAAGAGACTTAGACTCCCACACGATAACAATGGGAGACTTTAACACCCCACTGTCAATATTAGACTGATCAATGAGACAGAAAGTTAACAAGGGTATCCAGGAATTGAACACAGCTCTGCACCAAGCGGACCTAATAGACATCTACAGAACTCTCCACCTCAAATCAACAGAATATACATTATTTTCAGCACCACACCACATCTATTCCAAAATTGACCACATACTTGGAAGTAAAGCACTCCTCAGCAAATGTAAAAGAACAGAAATTATAACAAACTGTCTCTCAGACCACAGTGCAATCAAACTAGAACTCAGGATTAAGAAACTCACTCAAAACTGCTCAACTACATGGAAACCGAACAACCTGCTCCTGAATGACTACTGGGTACATAACGAAATGAAAGCAGAAATAAAGACGTTCTTTGAAACCAATGAGAACAAAGACACAACATACCAGAATCTCTGGGACGCATTCAAAGCAGTGTGTAGAGGGAAATTTATAGCACTAAATGCCCACAAGAGAAAGCAGGAAAGATCTAAGATTGACACCCTAACATCACAATTAAAAGAACTAGAGAAGCAAGAGCAAACACATTCAAAAGCTAGCAGAAGGCAAGAAATAACTAAGATCAGAGCAGAACTGAAGGAAATAGAGACACAAAAAACCCTTCAAAAAATCAGTGAATCCAGGAGCTGGTTTTTTGAAAAGATCAACAAAATTGATAGACCGCCAGCAAGACTAATAAAGAAGAAAAGAGAGAAGAATCTAATAGACGCAATAAAAAATGACAAAGGGGATATCACCACCGATCCCACAGAAATACAAACTACCATCAGAGAATACTATAAACACCTCTACGCAAATAAACTAGAAAATCTAGAAGAAATGGATAAATTCCTGGAGACATACACCCTCCCAAGACTAAACCAGGAAGAAGTTGAATCTCTGAATAGACCAATAACAGGCTCTGAAATTGAGGCAATAATTAATAGCTTACCAACCAAAAAAGTCCGGGATCAGATAGATTCACAGCCGAATTCTACCAGAGGTACAAGGAGGAACTGGTACCATTCCTTCTGAAACTATTCCAATCAATAGAAAAAGAGGGAATCCTCCCTAAATCATTTTGTGAGGCCAGCATCATCCTGATACCAAAGCCTGGCAGAGACACAACAAAAAAAGAGAATTTTAGACCAATATCCTTGATGAACATTGAATCAAAAATCCTCAATAAAATACTGGCAAACTGAATCCAGCAACACATCAAAAAGCTTATCCACCATGATCAAGTGGGCTTCATCCCTGGGATGCAAGGCTGGTTCAACATATGCAAATCAATAAATGTAATCCAGCATATAAACAGAACCAACGACAAAAACCACATCATTATCTCAATAGATGCAGAAAAGGCCTTTGAGGAAATTTAACAACCCTTCATGCTAAAAACTCTCAATAAATTAGGTATTGATGGGACATAACTCAAAATAATAAGAGCTATCTGTGACAAACCCACGGCCAATATCATACTGAATGGACAAAAACTGGAAGCATTCCCTTTGAAAACTGGCACAAGACAGGGATGCCCTCTCTCACCACTCCTATTCAACATAGTGTTGGAAGTTCTGGCCAGGGCAATTAGACAGGAGAAGGGAATAAAGGGCATTCAATTAGGAAAAGAGGAAGTCAAATTGTCCCTGTTTCCAGATGACATGATTGTATATCTAGAAAACCCCATCGTATCAGCCCAAAATCTCCTTAAGCAACTTCAGCAAAGTCTCAGGATACAAAATCAATGTGCAAAAATCACAAGCATTCTTATACACCAATGACAGACAAACAAAGAGCCAAATCATGAGTGAACTCCCATTCACAATTGCTTCAAAGAGAATAAAATACCTAGGAATCCAACTTACAAGGGATGTGAAGGACCTCTTCAAGGAGAACTACAAACCACTGCTCAAGGAAATAAAAGAGGATACAAACAAATGGAAGAACATTCCATGCTCATGGGTAGGAAGAATCAATATCGTGAAAATGGCCATACTGCCCAAGGTAATTTATAGATTCAATGCCATCCCCATCAAGCTACCAATGACTTTCTTCACAGAATTGGAAAAAACTACTTTAAAGTTCATATGGAACCAAAAAAGAGCCCGCATCGCCAAGTCAATCCTAAGCCAAAAGAACAAAGCTGGAGGCATCACACTACCTGACTTCAAACTATACTACAAGGCTACAGTAACCAAAACAGCATGGTACTGGTACCAAAACAGAGATATAGACCAATGGAACAGAACAGAGCCCTCAGAAATAATGCCGCATATCTACAACTATCTGATCTTTGACAAACCTGAGAAAAACAAGCAATTGGGAAAGGATTCCCTATTTAATAAATGGTGCTGGGAAAACTGGCTAGCCATATGTAGAAAGCTGAAACTGGATCCCTTCCTTACACCTTATACAAAAATTAATTCAAGATGGATTAAAGACTTACATGTTAGACCTAAAACCATAAAAACCCCAGAAGAAAACCTAGGCAATACCATTCAGGACATAGGCATGGGCAAGGACTTCATGTCTAAAACACCAAAAGCAATGGCAACAAAAGATAAAATTGACAAATGGGATCTAATTAAACTAAAGAGCTTCTGCACAGCAAAAGAAACTACCATCAGAGTGAACAGGCAACCTACAGAGTGGGAGAAAATTTTTGCAACCTACTCATCTGACAAAGGGCTAATATCCAGAATCTACAATGAACTCAAACAAATTTACAAGAAAAAAACAAACAACCCCATCAAAAAGTGGGCGAAGGATATGAACAGACACTTCTCAAAAGAAGACATTTATGCAGCCAAAAAACACATGAAAAAATGCTCACCATCACTGGCCATCAGAGAAATGCAAATCAAAACCACAATGAGATACCATCTCACACCAGTTAGAATGGCAATCATTAAAAAGTGAGGAAACAACAGGTGCTGGAGAGGATGTGGAGAAATAGGAACACTTTTACACTGTTGGTGGGACTGTAAACTAGTTCAACCATTGTGGAAGTCAGTGTGGCGATTCCTCAGGGATCTAGAACTAGAAATACCATTTGACCCAGCCATCCCATTACTGGGTATATACCCAAAGGATTATAAATCATGCTGCTATAAAGACACATGCACAGGTATATTTATTGCGGCACTATTCACAATAGCAAAGACTTGGAACCAATCCAAATGTCCAACAATGATAGACTGGATTAAGAAAATGTGGCACATATACACCATGGAATACTATGCAGCCATAAAAAGTGATGAGTTCATGTCCTTTTTAGGGACATGGATGAAGCCGGAAACTATCATTCTCAGCAAACTCTCGCAAGAACAAAAAACCAAACACCGCATGTTCTCACTCATAGTTGGGAATTGAACAATGAGAACACATGGACACAGGAAGGGGAACATCACACAACGGGGACTGTTGTGGGGTGGGGGGAGGGGGGAGGGATAGCATTAGGAGATATACCTAATGCTAAATGACCAGTTAATGGGTGCAGCACATCAACATGGCACATGTATACATATATAACAAATCTGCATGTTGTGCACATGTACCCTAAAACTTTAAGTATAATAATAATAATAATAAATCAATCACGACCCTTTCATGTGAAATCTTTAGTGTTGTGAGCCCTTAAAAGGGACAGAAATTGTGCACTCGGGGAGCTCGGATTTTAAGGCAGTAGCTTACTGATGTTCCCAGCTGAATAAAGCCCTTCCTTCTACCAAAAAAAAAAAAAAAAGAAAAAAGAAATCAGAAAAGGTAGCATATTTGTATTATTCAGGGTTCTCCAGAGAAACAAATAATGGGATAGGTACGTAGATATACAAACAGATAGACAAAGATTTATTACGAGGAATTGGCTCACACAAGTATGGAGGCTAAGTTCCAGAATCTGCTGTCTTGTCTGTAAGCTGGAGGACAAGAAAGCCAGTGGTATAGGTCTGGTCCAAAACCAGAGGCCTCAGAACCAGGTGAGCCAATGGCATAAGTCCCAGTTTGAGTTTGAAGATCCAAAAACCAGGCGCACTGATGTCTGAGGGCAGGAGAAAATGAATGTCCCAGTTTAAGGAGAGAGAGCACATTTGCCTTTCCTCTGCCAATTTGTTAATTCTCATTCTCAACAGATTAGATTGGATGGTGCCCACCTGCGTTAGAAGAAGTTGATTCTTCTAACATGATCAACATTTGGACTTTGCTCAGTGGAGAAAGAGCAAGGAGTGTTCTATTCCATACTTAGGTCTGAGTCAGAGCTGTACATACATCCTACAGAAAATAAGCTCTGAGCTCCTTTTCGTTATCACTCTCTGTAAAACATTCTGCACAGAAACATTCTAAAATTTGCTCTATAAATTGGGAAGGCTGGAAGTTCTTTACTTTGTGGCTGAAGTGAGGAAATCAATCTATCAGCCCATATATTTTTGACTAATCAGCAAAATATTTACTGTCTTTTCCTATATTTATCAAATGCATAGTAACTCTAAAGGCATGTCAATGTAATATCTAGTAAGGAATTAAACAAACAGTTCCAATTTTCTTATGCTCAAGATCTTTTAGAACTAGGTTTAATTGCTTTCAGGACCTAGCTCTCTGGGCACATTCTGATAGGCAAGACTAGTCTACTTTTGGACCAAAGTATTTTTCTGCAATTATGGAATACTGAAAATTCTTCTCTTTTCTGGGGAGAAAAACAGTCAACCTACCCTTTATTATAGGCCAATGTACTCTTTAAGATGTTGTGGAGCTACTTTCCATGCAGGCTTAAAGGAATTGAGTAGAAGAAAAAGAAAAAGCACTTAGTTTTAACTATGAGAAATCAGGACAGAAGAATTCTAAACATTATGGATGATTTTGTCAGATTTAGTAGAATTAAGAGATGCTGACACATACGATTTCTAGAAGCATAAACATCTCAGTTCCACTCCATGCTTTCCATTGGCGTGAATGAAATTTTGATCTGTGTATTCTCACTATCTCCTCCTACTAGTGCCTTATCTGATGTATGGATTTCTTTTTCTGCATATCTGATGTTGCCATGCCTCCTAGACACTTCCTAGCTAACCTGGCAAGCCTCCCTCAAGTGTCACTGAGGGATCTGGTGTGCCTTGCTGCCCCCTATTGGTGGCCAAAAACTGTTAAGCTAGGGGCTCCAATGCAATCTTAGACTTTGTTGATTAATGCCAGCATCTGAGAGGCACTGCTTACAGGAGCTTTACTATAAAGTTGTTTTTAAGCAAAGCAACTATTATGTAGTGATTTTTATTACTTTAAAATTAGTGGTTTTGTTTTTAAAATATTTATTTTGACTTCGTTTTTCATTCTAAATTTATAAGGAATTTATTTAGTTCTTTTTATGGTCTTTTTCTAAGATTGCCACTACATTGCCGAAAGTGCAAGGCAAAAGTTTCCACTAGAATTGTGCAAATGTTTTATTTCTTTGCACTATTAAAACAAAAAATGGACTTCTTATGGCTGTGAACACAGTTCGTTCTCTAAATTGAAAACATGTCTATTGGATTTGCATATTGCTTCCTTGAATCAGGCGTTTTTTTTTTTAAGATTTTAGTGATGTATTAGTAGGCTTAGGCTACCATAACAAAATATCATAGACTAGAGTCTAAGTAGCTTAAAAAACAGAAATTTATTTTCTGACAGTTCTGAAGGCTAAAAGTTCCCACATCAAGGATCAACAGGGTCTGTTTCTGGTGAGGGTTCTCTTTCTGACTTGCAGATGGCCACCTTCGCGCATATGGTGAAGAGGAAGTGCTCCAGTGTTTTTTCCGTTTATAAGGACATCAGTCCTATCAGATAAGGGTCTCACCCTTACAACTTCATTTAACTTTTCCTAGCTCCTCACAGGCCCTGTCTCCGAATGTAGTCACACTGGGGGGTTAGAGTTTCAAAATATGAATTTTGGGGCGACACAATATTGTGTCTCTAACAAATGGTGACATGTGGATTTTAATAATCTAACAAAATTTCAATTAATCAAATTACTTTAAAAAATCATATACCATGAGATAAGAATAAATGGAAATGGGCTTGGTATCAGAATGATAAGGCATGGTCCTCACCGTGTGAACTGACAACACAGCTGAGGAAAAGGTTCTAAAATCAAGACTAACACAAGGGAAAAAAATGAGAATGTAAAGTACTAGCTCATCATACTGTCTTTAATTATAAAAGAAGTTTAAGTGTTGCCCAGAATAACCAGAGAAATGCTTTAAGACGAAATTGTATTTAGCCTCGTTCTAAAGGACGACTAAGGTTTTATTAACTTCAGTGAGGGAGGTATGAGGAAGAATATTTTACCACCAGGAAGGCACTGACTTCAGAATGAAGACAAAATGTGCATTACAGTTTAAGTACCTTAGCCTGACAGTCAGAGAGGACATTTAAATGCCTTCTACAATAAAATATTATCGTTTAATAATCCCTGTATATGCATAGGATGCTGGTTCAGAATATATACATGGTCTCTGTTCTTTGTAAGTTTGCAATCAAAGACCATAAATACTCAAGTCTGACAGTTTGGTGCTTTCAGAATTTGCTTAAATCACCTGATATTTTCCCACTAGGCTATGGACCTGACAAAAGCAGCGGGTTATGTGTCTTGGGCTGAAGCATGACACAAAGAGCCATTGATGTTGGGCTGAAAACAGAAAAAAACTCTTCCTCCCTTTGTTTCTTTGTTGTTGTTGTTGACTGCTTGGTGTGTCCAGAATAATTTTAGAGCATCCAGTGGAACCCCTAGCCATTCCATAGGGTAAGGGGTTAGAAACACCAATTGGTTTGAAAACCTTGATACTTAATACTTTCTGTGGCTTCTCTTTAAATTACTCTCAATAGTTTATTTATTCCTCAAACCATGGGGAAATCAGGTCTGGAAACATCAAGTGATAACACCAAGTGAATGTTAAAGACACACACCGCTCTACCTACCAGCAGCGCCTGTGAGCAGAGTCTATCCCACTGTGGACATATGTCTAGTGTTACCATCTCCAATCATATAAATGCCTTGGTCTGATCAGTAATGTACACCTGTAATTTAAACTGGATTCTCTACCACTATTAGACAAAAAGTTGTTTTCTGAAAAAGCCATTGTGATGTCAATCATATCTCCTTTTGCAGGGTCTGGTCTGGAGAAAAAACTTGTGTGGTTGTTGAAAATTGTCTTTGACTTTGTCCTTATTTTGAGATCATTTTCCTCCCTCTGTGGACTCTCTTCCGGCCCAGGTTACCACATTGCACTTCTCCTGCATGTTCACCTCTGCTCTCCCCCAATTAATCAAAGAAAACTCTCTGTTATCAGTCCTCTAAAAGCTGGTGTGAATTTAAGTCATGGTGTTATCTCTCTACAGGGAATTTATATTTTTAGTTTATCTATAATTATAGAATAAATGCCTTTATTCTTGGTAAAAGAAGCTTCAGGCATGAGCAGAGCAAACAGAAATGCTTTTAAAGTCAGGGGGACTTTCTGTTGCTGTTGAAATTACACAGAAGAGATAGCAGTCAACTTTATTGGAAAGATTGGTATCCAAATTGTAAAAGTACCTCAGACTTAGGGGTTTATGTAAAATGCAAGGTCAAAATTACAATTAAAGGCATATTACTAAAGTATTTTGGAGATAAGGAAAGTGAAATTGACATTTACTGGGCGTCCATATATGCCATGCAATGGTTCAGGTCTCCCCTCATCTCTTTAGCTCATTTTACAGTTGCCAGTAATTCTGTGAACCCTTCACCCCACTTTACCAGTAAGGAAATGAAGTTCTGGAGGTTAAGTTTCACAAAGATCCCACAGTTAGCAAATGATGGAGCCATGTCTCTGTGGCTTCAAAGTCCATTATCTTGGCACGGTGGAGAGAAAAGTTGTCAAAGTCCATGACATTTGAACATATGATTTTGTTTGTGCTATTAAAAGTTTGCTTTGGACATTTTGAATTAAACTCCTTTAATCATGAGGTGGCATGTAACTTTGCACCGCATTACCTTGCTGGTTTTTAGTATGCAGAACCAAGATGAATTGCCTTCAGAAAAAAATTTCAATTCATTTCTGTAATCAAAAACTGTCAATATAAAAGGATGGTGAGGTTATATTGTGGAAAGTTACAAGATTATTGACAAACTACCTCATACCTAGTTGGCATATGTTACTCTCCAACTAACTTCTGGATATTAATGTTTCTGCAACGATTGAAAGTAAGCCAGCCAAAGTCAAGCCACACAATCATATGAGGTGAGTAATCATATATCCTGAGCCAAAAATGTGTATGCATCAGTGAACTGACTACTTGAAATTATGGCTAGTCTTTTAAGAATTAAAGAGGCTAATGTTGTATTTTCTATAAATTAGATTTTCCTGTAGGTCTACTTGGGAATGTATTTTAATCTTTTGCTGAATGAATCTGCTCACTTTTTCATTTTATTGAAAACTAAAGAGGAAATTAGGTGATAAATAGAAACTGTTACTTTTCTATCAATTTGCAGTGTACAAACTGAGTTAGTGACTTATTTGCCAACCTCATTTTCTAAGAAAATACATAGACCATCTTGGAATTCTCAAAAGTAAAAATGCCTGAGAACTATAGTGAAGGGAATCAAAACCAATTCTTGTTCAGGTCAACAAACACACCCACTTGTAAAAATTGAGCCATCTTTATGAACCAAAACCAATTTGAAACCTCATTTTTGTGCTATGAAGACCATTTTGTATAATATTTTCAAAAAAATTTAAAATATAAAGTGATTTTTTCTCCTAAATCATTAAGTTACACTAAATCAATGTGAATAATAGTAATAAATCTTACTAATTTAAAAATGTATCTTCTGTAGCTATCTATTTTAGAGTGGACTGTATTTTATCAGATAAAAACGTTAACCTACAAACACAATATAAAATATATTGTTAACTGTAAATTATTCAATCTAATATGAAGATTATACACTCTTTTTGGTTTGCTTATTTTCCCTCTGGTTATCTGCCTTTAGGTAATCCCCTTTGCTTATAATTATCGTGAACAGTGATTGGATAGGAAAATGAAAGGTTACAGAAATTTACTCAGAGCTTAATCTGTCTTTGTATATGATGGCAGTGGGGAAACAATTTGTAACAAGTATGTAATGTGATAGTTGGGTTTTTAAGGGTTCTATCTTAGTCCATTTGAGCTGCTATAACAAATTACCACAGACTAGGGTAGTTTATAAACAAAGAAATTCATTACTCATTGTTGTGGATGCTGAGATGTCCAAACTGAAGGTGTTTGCAGATTCACTGTCTGGTGAGGGAGAGCTTTCTGGTCCACAGATGGTGCCTTCTCACTGTGTCCTCACATGGTGAAAGGGGCAAGGGATCTCTCTGGGCTTTCTTTTTATAAGGACAATAATTCGCTAAATCCCCACCTTCTAATACCCATCACATTGGGGGTTAGAATTTCTTTTTTTTTTTTTATTATACTTTAAGTTTTAGGGTACATGTGCACTTTGTGCAGGTTAGTTACATATGTATACATGTGCCATGCTGGTGCACTGCACCCACTAACTCGTCATCTAGCATTAGGTATATCTCCCAATGCTATCCCTCCCCCATCCCCCCACCCCACAACAGTCCCCAGAGTGTGATATTCCCCTTCCTGTGTCCATGTGATCTCATTGTTCAATTCCCACCTATGAGTGAGAATATGCGGTGTTTGGTTTTTTGTTCTTGCGATAGTTTACTGAGAATGATGTTTTCCAGTTTCATCCATGTCCCTACAAAGGACATGAACTCATCATTTTTTATGGCTGCATAGTATTCCATGGTGTATATGTATATGTGCCACATTTTCTTAATCCAGTCTATCATTGTTGGACATTTGGGTTGGTTCCAAGTCTTTGCTATTGTGAATAATGCCACAATAAACATACGTGTGCATGTGTCTTTCTAGCAGCATGATTTATAGTCCTTTGGGTATATACCCAGTAATGGGATGGCTGGGTCAAATGGTATTTCCAGTTCTAGATCCCTGAGGAATCGCCACACTGACTTCCACAATGGTTGAACTAGTTTACAGTCCCACCAACAGTGTAAAAGTGTTCCTATTTCTCCACATCCTCTCCCGCACCTGTTGTTTCCTGACTTTTTAATGATTGCCCTTCTAACTGGTGTGAGATGGTATCTCATAGTGGTTTTGATTTGCATTTCTCTGATGGCCAGTGATGATGAGCATTTTTTCATGTGTTTTTTGGCTGCATAAATGTCTTCTTTTGAGAAGTGTCTCTTCATGTCCTTCGTCCACTTTTTGATGGGGTTGTTTGTTTTTTTCTTGTAAATTTGTTGGAGTTCATTGTAGATTCTGGATATTAGCCCTTTGTCAGATGAGTAGGTTGCAAAAATTTTCTCCCATTTTGTAGGTTGCCTGTTCACTCTGATGGTAGTTTCTTTTGCTGTGCAGAAGCTCTTTAGTTTAATTAGATCCCATTTGTCAATTTTGTCTTTTGTTGCCATTGCTTTTGGTGTTTTAGACATGAAGTCCTTTCCCATGCCTATGTCCTGAATGATATTGCCTAGGTTTTCTTCTAGGGTTATTATGGTTTTAGGTCTAATGTTTAAGTATTTAATCCATCTTGAATTGATTTTTGTATAAGGTGTAAGGAAGGGATCCAGTTTCAGCTTTCTACATATGGCTAGCCAGTTTTCCCAGCACCATTTATTAAATAGGGAATCCTTTCCCCATTGCTTGTTTTTCTCAGGTTGGTCAAAGATCAGATAGTTGTAGATATGCGGCGTTATTTCTGAGGGCTCTGTTCTGTTCCATTGATCTATACCTCTGTTTTGGTACCAGTACCATGCTGTTTTGGTTACTGTAGCCTTGTAGTATAGTTTGAAGTCAGGTAGTGTGATGCCTCCAGCTTTGTTCTTTTGGCTTAGGATTGACTTGGCGATGCGGGCTCTTTTTTGGTTCCATATGAACTTTAAAGTAGTTTTTTCCAATTCTGTGAAGAAAGTCATTGGTAGCTTGATGGGGATGGCATTGAATCTGTAAATTACCTTGGGCAGTATGGCCATTTTCACGATATTGATTCTTCCTACCCATGAGCATGGAATGTTCTTCCATTTGTTTGTATCCTCTTTTATTTCCTTGAGCAGTGGTTTGTAGTTCTCCTTGAAGAGGTCCTTCACATCCCTTGTAAGTTGGATTCCTAGGTATTTTATTCTCTTTGAAGCAATTGTGAATGGGAGTTCACTCCTGATTTGGCTCTCTGTTTGTCTGTTGCTGGTGTATAAGAATGCTTGTGATTTTTGTACATTGATTTTGTAACCTGAGACTTTGCTGAAGTTGCTTATCAGATTAAGGAGATTTTGGGCTGAGACAATGGGGTTTTCTAGATATACAATCATGTCATCTGCAAACAGGGACAATTTGACTTCCTCTTTTCCTAATTGAATACCCTTTATTTCCTTCTCCTGCCTAACTGCCCTGGCCAGAACTTCCAACACTATGTTGAATAGGAGTGGTGAGAGAGGGCATCCCTGTCTTGTGCCAGTTTTCAAAGGGAATGCTTCCAGTTTTTGCCCATTCAGTATGATATTGGCTGTGGGTTTGTCATAGATAGCTCTTATTATTTAGAAATACATCCCATCAATACCTAATTTATTGAGAGTTTTTAGCATGAAGGGTTGTTGAATTTTCTCAAAGGCTTTTTCTGCATCTATTGAGATAATCATGTGGTTTTTGTCTTTGGCTCTGTTTATATGCTGGATTACATTTATTGATTTGCGTATATTGAACCAGCCTTGCATCCCAGGGATGAAGCCCACTTGATCATGGTGGATAAGCTTTTTGATGTGTTGCTGGATTCGTTTTGCCAGTATTTTATTGAGGATTTTTGCATCAATGTTCATCAAGGATATTGGTCTAAAATTCTCTTTTTTTGTTGTGTCTCCGCCTGGCTTTGGTATCAGAATGATGCTGGCCTCATAAAATGAGTTAGGGAGGATTCCCTCTTTTTCTATTGATTGGAATAGTTTCAGAAGGAATGGTACCAGTTCCTCCTTGTACCTCTGGTAGAATTCAGCTGTGAATCCATCTGGTCCTGGACTCTTTTTTGTTGGTAAGCTATTGATTATTGCCACAATTTCAGATCCTGTTATTGGTCTATTCAGAGATTCAACTTCTTCCCGGTTTTGTCTTCGGAGAGTGTATGTGTCGAGGAATTTATCCATTTCTTCTAGATTTTCTAGTTTATTTGCGTAGAGGTGTTTGTAGTACTCTCTGATGGTAGTTTGTATTTCTGTGGGATCGGTGGTGATATCCCCTTTATCATTTTTTATTGTGTCTATTAGATTCTTCTCTCTTTTTTTCTTTATTAGTCTTGCTAGCGGTCTATCAATTTTGTTGATCCTTTCAAAAAACCAGCTCCTGGATTCACTAATTTTTTGAAGGGTTTTTTGTGTCTCTATTTCCTTCAGTTCTGCTCTGATTTTAGTTATTTCTTGCCTTCTGCTAGCTTTTGAATGTGTTTGCTCTTGCTTTTCTAGTTCTTTTAATTGTGATGTTTGGGTGTCAATTTTGGATCTTTCCTGCTTTCTCTTGTGGGCATTTAGTGCTATAAATTTCCCTCTACACACTGCTTTGAATGCGTCCCAGAGATTCTGGTATGTTGTGTCTTTGTTCTCGTTGGTTTCAAAGAACGTCTTTATTTCTGCCTTCATTTCGTTATGTACCCAGTAGTCATTCAGGAGCAGGTTGTTCGGTTTCCATGTAGTTGAGCGGTTTTGAGTGAGATTCTTAATCCTGAGTTCTAGTTTGATTGCACTGTGGTCTGAGAGATAGTTTGTTATAATCTCTGTTCCTTTACATTTGCTGAGGAGAGCTTTACTTCCAAGTATGTGGTCAATTTTGGAATAGGTGTGGTGTGGTGCTGAAAAAAATGTATATTCTGTTGATTTGGGGTGGAGAGTTCTGTAGATGTCTATTAGGTCCGCTTGGTGCAGAGCTGAGTTCAATTCCTGGGTATCCTTGTTGACTTTCTGTCTCGTTGATCCGTCTAATGTTGACAGTGGGGTGTTAAAGTCTCCCATTATTAATGTGTGGGAGTCTAAGTCTCTTTGTATGTCACTCAGGACTTGCTTTATGAATCTTGGTTCTCCTGTATTGGGTGCATATATATTTAGTATAGTTAGCTCTTCTTGTTGAATTGATCCCTTTACCATTATGCAATGGCCTTCTTTGTCTCTTTTGATCTTTGTTGGTTTAAAGTGTGTTTTATCAGAGACTAGTATTGCAACCCCTGCCTTTTTTTGTTTTCCATTTGCTTGGTAGATCTTCCTCCATCCTTTTATTTTGAGCCTATGTGTGTCTCTGCACGTGATATGGGTTTCCTGAATACAGCACACTGATGGGTCTTGACTCTTTATCCAATTTGCCAGTCTGTGTCTTTTAATTGGAGCATTTAGTCCATTTACATTTAAAGTTAATATTGTTATGTGTGAATTTGATCCTGTCATTATGATGTTAGCTGGTGATTTTGCTCGTTAGTTGATGCAGTTTCTTCCTAGTCTTGATGGTCTTTACATTTTGGCATGATTTTGCAGTGGCTGGTACCAGTTGTTCCTTTCCATGTTTAGTGCTTCCTTCAGGAGCTCTTTTAGGGCAGGCCTGGTGGTGACAAAATCTCTCAGCATTTGCTTGTCTGTAAAGGATTGTATTTTTCCTTCGCTTATGAAGCTTAGTTTGGCTGGATATGAAATTCTGGGTTGAAAATTCTTGTCTTTAAGAATGTTGAATATTGGCCCTCACTCTCTTCTGGCTTGTAGGGTTTCTGCCGAGAGAACCGCTGTTAGTCTGATGCACTTCCCTTTGAGGGTAACCCGACCTTTCTCTCTGGCTGCCCTTAACATTTTTTCCTTCATTTCAACTTTGGTGAATCTGACAATTATGTGTCTTGGAGTTGCTCTTCTCAAGGAGTAACTTTGTGGCGTTCTCTGTATTTCCTGAATCTGAACGTTGGCCTGCCTTGCTAGATTGGGGAAGTTCTCCTGGATAATATCCTGCAGAGTGTTTTCCAACTTGGTTCCATTCTCCCCATCACTTTCAGGTACACCAATCAGACGTAGATTTGGTCTTTTCACATAGTCCCATATTTCTTGGAGGCTTTGCTCATTTCTTTTATTCTTTTTTCTCTAAACTTCCCTTCTCTCTTCATTTCATTCATTTCATCTTCCATCGCTGATACCCTTTCTTCCAGTTGATCGCATCGGCTCCTGAGGCTTCTGCATTCTTCACGTAGTTCTCAAGCCTTGGTTTTCAGCTCCATCAGCTCCTTTAAGCACTTCTCTGTATTGGTTATTCTAGTTGTACATTCTTCTAAATTTTTTTCAAAGTTTTCAACTTCTTTGCCTTTGGTTTGAATGTCCTCCCGTAGCTCAGAGTAATTTGATCGTCTGAAGCCTTCTTCTCTCAGCTCGTCAAAGTCATTCTCCATCCAGCTTTGTTCCGTTGCTGGTGAGGAACTGCGTTCCTTTGGAGGAGGAGAGGCGCTCTGCTTTCTAGAGTTTCCAGTTTTTCTGTTCTGTTTTTTCCCCATCTTTGTGGTTTTATCTACTTTTGGTCTTTGATGATGGTGATGTACAAATGGGTTTTTGGTGTGGATGTCCTTTCTGTTTGTTAATTTTCCTTCTAACAGACATGACCCTCAGCTGCAGGTCTGTTGGAATACCCTGCCGTGTGAGGTGTCAGTGTGCCCCTGCTGGGGGGTGCCTCCCAGTTAGGCTGCTCAGGGGTCAGGGGTCAGGGACCCACTTGAGGAGGCAGTCTGCAGGTTCTCAGATCTCCAGCTGCGTGCTGGGAGAACCACTGCTCTCTTCAAAGCTGTCAGACAGGGACATTTAAGTCTGTAGAGGTTACTGCTTTTTGTTTGTCTGTGCCCTGCCCCCAGAGGTGGAGCCTACAGAGGCAGGCAGGCCTCCTTGAGCTGTGGTGGGCTCCACCCAGTTGGAGCTTCCCTGCTGCTTTGTTTACCTAAGCAAGCCTGGGCAATGGCGGGCGCCCCTCCCCCAGCCTAGCTGCCGCTTGCAGTTTGATCTCAGACTGCTGTGCTAGCAATCAGCGAGACTCCGTGGGTGTAGGACCCTCCGAGCCAGGTGTAGGATATAATCTCGTGGTGCGCCGTTTTTTAAGCCCATCAGAAAAGCGCAGTATTCGGGTGGGAGTGACCCGACTTTCCAGGTGCCGTCCATCACCCCTTTCTTTGACTCGGAAAGGGAACTCCCTGACCCCTTGCGCTTCCCGAGTGAGGCAATGCCTCGCCCTGCTTCGACTCGCGCATGGTGCGCGCACGCACTGACCTGCGCCCACTGTCTGGCACTCCCTAGTGAGATGAACCCGGTACCTCAGATGGAAATGCAGAAATCACCAGTCTTCTGCGTCGCTCACGCTGGGAGCTGTAGACCGGAGCTGTTCCTATTCGGCCATCTTGTCTCCTCCCGTGGTAAGTTTTTTTGGGGGTTAGAATTTCAACTTAAGAGTGTTGGAAAGACACAAACATTCAGACCACAGAAGTTTCATTTGTATTTACAATTTGTATTTTCAATTTGACATAAATAAAAATGAGACTTGCAGAATGCAATTTAGAAAACTCAGCCATGCACGCTACTGTAATAGTTCTATTAAGATGTATTTTTAAATGCTGTGACAAAATATTCCTGCCATCTTTAAAAAATAGGTTTGATGATTTGAAAATGGACAGGTCACTTTAAAGAGATCCTTAGTAGTCTATGGAAAGTAACATTTATAACAACTTGAAACTCAAAGGAAAGGAAACTCGGGGAGAAGCACATTCAATAATTTCCAAGGTAACATGGATGCACACTACGTGTGCGGCTTTCATCTCATTTCTTGCTTCCGTGGCCTTCCAAGGAAGAACACAATGTATTCTTCATTGAAAAAAAATTGCAGAGAAGGCAGTGTAAGAAAGAGGTATTTTGAGAACTAATTGAAGTCTTTGTAAGTCACGTTAATGCCTTTCTGCCAATAACTTATTTGCGGATACAGGAGGATTTTCACCCCTCCTCTCCCTGCCACCCCCATCCCCAAAATATCCCACACCTGGGTTACATTGGTTGAAAAAATAATTGTTCCGGTACTTTTCAAGCATTAAAAACATTGTATGTGAGTGTTTTGTTTTTGTTTTTTGTTTGTTTTGTTTTGTTTTTCTTAGTGCAAGATTAATCAGGCGGTCTCAAGTGTATTTAAAAGTTAGGAATGAGGAGGGCACTGTGATGACCGTCATGGCCAGTAGAGGGCAGGAAACTGGAATGGACGGGGGAGCGGGCCATGTACAAAGCGGGGCTCTGATCTCTCTTGTGTTTTGGTGCAGTTTGTATGGACTAGATGGCTGAGAACTCCAGTAGAGAGGAATAAATCACCACCAGAATCAAAAGAGACTGGAACAGGTGAAAATTAGAAAGCTGTTGTGACAAAGTCCAGGATAAGATGTGAGATTTCTGGGGCAGGTATCTGGTGATGAAACCAAGAAGAGCATGCCGTTAAGAATTTGATCAAGATTGAATAACTTCTGGCAATTTACTTATAAAGTGACTTTTGCAGTCCTGGGTCATGGTACTCTTGCATGTACTACTGAGAAGTCACATTACAAAATAAAAAATAAATTTAAAAAGAAGGAAAAAAGAAATTTAAAAATCTTTGCCAAGTATGTAGGGGAAAAGTTGTATATAACTTTTTTGTCTACTATAAAAGAAGACGACTTTTTTTGTCGTCTACTAGTGAGTTTGGATATTTTTCATACTTTTAAAAACCAATTTTAATTAATTTTATTTTTCTTTCCCCTCAATTAAATACAGTCTTACCTTTAGTGAATATTATTTATGTAATATTATAAACATATATTATACATAAAGTAGTGCACCAAGATTCTGGAGAGGGGGCTGTAGGGAGATTAAAACAAAAGGCCTGGGCTGGGCATGGTGGCTCACGCCTGTAATCCCAGCACTTTGGGAGGCCGAAGCAGGTGAATCACGAGGTCAGGAGTTCGAGACCAGCCTGGTCAACATAGTGAAACCCCATCTCTACTAAAAATACAAAAAATTACCTGGGTGTGGTGGCTGGCTCCTGTAATCCCAGCTACTCAGGAAGCTGAGGCAGAAGAATTGCTTGAACCTGGGAGGCGGTGGTTGCAGTGAACCAAGATCACACTACTGCACTCCAGCCCGGGTGACAGTGTGAGACTCAGTCTAAAAAAAAAAAAAAAAAGAATGTCCACAACAAATTCCTCCTCTGAAATTGATATATTGGCTAGATAGAACAGCAGGTGCAGAATAATGTGAACAGAGAAGGAAGGGAATGGGGGCAGAAAGTGTTAAATGCAGACACACTGCTAAACAAAATCACCAGTAAGTGGAACTTATATACCTCCTTTGAATTCTGTCCCAGTGGTCAGTGTTGGAGAATTGTCTCTGGGTCAGGGGCAGAAGAGAAGGCTAGATGGAAGATCCAAGAAGCCCTCTGAGACTCAGGGAATGCTTTATAACATGTTTACCTGCTGGCTTACTATTTAAAGATGTCAAGGAAATTTCAGGTTTCACTTCTAATGGTATAAAACAGTGTTTTGCCAAGAAGACCCTGTAAAGGTCTTACTTAGGACTCCTGCCTTCACTCAGGAAGTGTGTTTGTGAACACACACTACAGCTAGTGGATAGTCTTAGGGCCACTAGCTGAGAGTCATTTTCGTTTTAGGAAAAGCAAGTTTTGCATTGAATAAAGGAGACATTTTATCCTATATTGTACCCTCCCTCTGGGCTTTGGCAGTGCACCCAGCTTTCAGTAGGGAGAGCCTAATTTGGTTACTTCTCTGCAGTCTTTGATTAATGCACAGGACCATTCATGCCATTCATGATCATGTTAGTGACTTTCTCAAGGGCTCTCAACTGGATAAGTCAGCAGATGGCTGAGAAATACTCACCTGCTGTTTACAGTCAGTACGAAGCTTGTTAATCTGGTTCTTCCAGGAATCTCATGTGAATGAGACTAGCCACTATGCTACTCTACACACAATTTCAAAAATCTGTTTTTTTGCTCAAGGTTCAACTATCAAAATGGTTTGATAGCATAAGTAAAGTATTTTGCAGTTCCCTTTTCTGAGATAAAACCAGTTTGACATCTATAAAAAGACAGAATTACGTTACAGGATTAGAAGTGTTAATGCGGATGTGAAATTTGACACATCTGCTAAAGCATGGAAGTCAATCCACCTATCAATCATTTGCATAGGGGAGAGAACACATTCTTTTCCTGGATGTATCATTTATCACCTGGGTGACCCTGGGTTTTGCAATTACCTATTCAATTACCATTTCCTTAAATCTGTTAAGTTGAGATTAAAAACAGCAAGCAAGCATACTTCACTGAGTTATCTTGAGGATCTAAGAAGACTACATAAATGAAAGAATTTACAAACTATAAAGCCAAACACAGATGTGAAGAGTTATGGCCAAGAAGTGGCATGCATGGATCATCTACTATGTTTCTGACACAGCTTTGGAAGATACAAAATAGATCAAAGGTGTGACCGTTGCCCTCCACGTTTGTATGGTCCGGAAAACTGAGAGCAGCACAAGACAGTATCTGATAAAGGTGTAAGGAGCTGCTGCAAAACAAGTGGCATCAGGGTTTAGAAGAGAAAGAGATGAACAAGGGTTAACACGCAGATTAGCAGCATTATGGAAGTGGTAGGTATTGACTTGCACTTTGAGAAAGGAAAATGGGAGAACGGAGAGGATTGATATCAAAAGAAGCTAAAAAGGGCTTTAAGTTCTAAGTTTATCATTTATCTCCTGTCCTAAAACGTCCTTTTTCTACTATGTTCACTGTCAAACTCCTTATTTATAAGTTAACTTCATCCTTGTCCCTAGGAACTCCTCCCTGACCCTCCCAAATGGAGCTGATCACTGTCTCCCTTAGTGGCTTCTAGCCTGGAATAATACACATTTACATTATTGAAATATCTCATCAACAATGGAGTAATTGGTATCATTTTTGAAGTAAGACAGACCTCGGTTCCAATCTCATTTTGCTGCTACTGGGCCCTTTGACCTTGGGCAAATCCTTTACACTCTTGAGCCTGAGTACCTTCATCTGTTGGTTGTGAATGATAATAACGACATAGGGTTATTATGAGCACTAAATAAGGAATAGTGTCTAAATGAGTCTTGCATGTAGTAAAGAAGTGACTTCAAAAACAACATCCATTGTTAAATTTTATGAATCCCGTTACCCTTGTTAGATAGTGTGGAGCTCTCATTATGCTCTTTTTAGATACTAGCACCTAGCACAGGGGCCAGGTACCTAGAGGGTACCTGATAAATATTTGAACAAATATGAGTATTCAAGATGGAAAAAGGCATTTTAGGACATGGCAGGAGCAAAGATACAGAAATAGAGATAATCTGTGTGAGGGAATAGTTGCAAGGGGTGAGACTAGGAAGGGAGAGGTAATGAGATAATTCTTCTGATCTGATCAGAGGAAAGATTTGTATAGGGGAATAAATTATGCTGGCTGGATTGATGGGGTCCAGGTGGAAGAAGACGAGGCCCAGAGTGTGGATTTGTTGTAGGTAAGAGGGGGAATTTCTTGAGGAAGAAAGACACAATGAAAATGATGAATAAATTGCTTAGGACTTTTGTGGTCCAATAAACAAGTTATTTTTAGAATAATAGATAAATTCCTACCATTATTTATAACTTTAATTTGTTACATTTTTACTTTATTATAAGAGGAACATGTCAATATTTTTCTCTTGATGCCAAGTTTTAAAAGAAAAGCAAAATAGGTATGGCTGTGTGGTAAGGACTCCTATAAATCAGTGAAGATCCGGCCTTCTGAAGAAATTAAAGGGTGTCTTAAATATAATGATTAATGTCTTTAAAATACCCATCAATCTTAGAGGAATGAACAAACCACTATTAGAACCATATGTCGCCCTCATTCTTTGTGTGGAACTTCCATGAAAGTCACTAGGAGTTCAGTGGAATGATGAAGAGAAGCATATGGCACTAGATCTGAACTAAATTAATAACAGTATGAAAACACAGTTAAATAGTGATAATCCCCCTTGTTATCCAGCTTTTTTCTTTTTCAGACAACTCTTGGTGTCTAGTTAAGCACCAGAAAGACACTTGTTAATGGGGAGAGCTGATGTGTGAGGAGAAACCATGTGGCATACCTTTTGAAACAAGCTGAAGAGGCAGTGATTTGGGGCTTCCGTGCTCAGGACTGCCATGGAGTCATTTGGAGATCAAAAAAAAGCCTAAACCTGATTATGCTTTAGGCATTCCATCTGGCTCTGACCCACACTGTTGCCATAGCCACCCATCTCCTAGCAACAATGAACAGGGTTTTCAGGGCTCTAAAGTGACAAAGCATGTGAGCAAATAATATAAATGTAATCACAATCGGCTAATAATCCAAGAGGTTATTCATAGTTAAAGTTTACTGTGAAGAGCTACAAGAATCTGTGGTTTCATGATTGTATCTTTTTCTGTGATGGGTTTTGATAAGAAAATGCCTTGGCTTAAACTGAGGCAGCCTGACAGCTTGTTATTGAACATAAAGACTACAAATATCATTATAGGGAAGATAATAAAAGTTGAACTTCATTTTAAATCATCTAGAAAACATAATCATTATCTTGAATAACCTGACCATCATCATCTAGAACTCTGGGTAGAATGGACTTGGGGTGGAAAAAAACTGGCCTTGAATCTGAGAAGAAGAAATATTCCATCCTAACACATTCAGGCTCAAACAATCCATTAGCAGTCTTTGCAATGAGCAATGAGTCTCAATTGAGGTCACTAATCAGAAGCAGTAAGAAGCTGAAAGAAAGATAAAAGGAAAAGGTTATATGCATCATGCTTGTCCTTGAAGCAAAGCGAAAAACAATGTGGCCGTTTTTAGAGGATCTTTAGTTGTTTATTTCAAAATGTTTGTACCACATTTCAAATTATCTTTATTTAAATATTCTGCCCAGAGATATCCATTGAGATACCAGCCTCATTTTTTAAAATGTCATGGCCTTGAATCCTAATAAACCTTCATTTTTATGCTGACCCATATGCATACAATGAAAACTCAGAAGAGCTTAGACATCCATAGAGATGTTAGTAATGAAGAAATCCATACCAGTTTTCATTTTAAAATGCCATTTTGTGCATTATTTACTAGTTCCATCAGCCATAGCCCATGACCCACCTCTCCTTTAAAAATAGGAGTTTATGTCATGGTTTGAATACTGCATTCCTGATTTTGTATCAGAGCCTGTGCATTTGGTAAATGTCAATGAAAGATGCACACAGTGGGAAGTAGATTCAGGATTGTCACTGAGAGATTGTACTGGAGGGGAAGTAGAGCATTGAAACAATGTTGTCTCCAAGAGGAAATAAATAATCCTCACACTTAGGGAGGGCATTGTAATATGTTTACACATTACATGGAGAGCCGGGTTTAACTGTGCTAACTGTTTTGTGAAAGGAAAATCCTCCTGAAATTAAATAATCAAAGAAGATAGGTGAGTGCTGATTTTGTGAAATAAACAGTGATTGAGGGAAGAAGAAAAACCAGCAGGACTCAGCGTGAAGCAAATTAATTCATGTTGGAGATTTACTCTCCTGAAGAAATTAAATTGCCTACTTCCTAATCAGTATAGTTCTTGGCATGCTGTTGCTTTCTCTTTCTTCCTAAATTTGTTTCATGTTAGAGCCCCTTAATTTTTCACCCTACTATTTTTAAAGTTACAGTTTGAAGCTCCAGTTCTTTGTGTGGTTCTGTGAAGTTTTGCACTCAATCAGTTCATTTACTGCTTATTTGTTTTAGAAAGTCAAAGTTTTTCTAATCATCTTACTTGTCTCTTTCACTTGCTTCTGCTTCAGAGGAGCATATAAGGCAACTCCATTACTGCATCTCTTCTGCATTATACGCATCTAATGGCTCGAGGGATAAGCATGTTTTCATTATACTAATTTGGAATAATTGAAGGAAAACCATACCTTAGTGTCCATGCATGGTGTATGGCTGCTCAAAGTAAACACAGATCGTTTGGTTCTTTCCCTGTTCTCACCCTTGTAGCAAGAAGGGAAAAAAAGCACAAACTGTTGTTCCTCCAGTTAGTTCTGCACACAAAGATGTCAACACACATTAAAACTGAAACCACATTTGAGAAGATACATAGAACTTTGCAAACGCCACTGCTGTTTGTAGAGCTCTGAGCTGGAGAGGGTATCATATGTTTTTCAATCTGTTTTTTACTCTTCTGCTGTCTTAAAATAAACTATGCAATTCTTGTTCTTGGCCTTAGAACATGAGTTATGCTATCAGTCTGTTGTGATTCATTTGCTAAAATATTCCAGTGATGAATGTCTCTTACTTCCTATAATGAATGTTGTGGTGTCACTTTTGCCTGATGGAAGACATTGTGCCTTTTGGAGGGCTGAGAAGTAGGGAAGGGCAGCTATGTGACACAAGCACTGGATGATAATGAAAGCTTGTAAGATCTCACATCAATCCTGTCTCCCTTAAAGGCACAGTTGGCTGATAGGAAAATTCCATTAGCACCACCTGTACACCAAGTTTGATATCAAATGGTGAGGCCAGATTTCCAAGAGTAAGGTATTGGAACATGGCCATGCCTGAGAGATGAAGCCAGTATTACACTTTGCTCTATGACTTATGTAGGTGAAGGTAATCTTTTTGGTGATTAACCTGTCCAGGCAGTCCTCTTCTGTCTCACATATCTGGATTGGACTGGTTTGCAGAAAGGAAAAAGTGTAGTGTTAATACCTTTGGGGCATTAATCATAGCTTCCTATAACCATTAGAAGAAAAAGGGCTATGCTGAATATCTAAACAGCTGAGTTACTGCCAAATATTCAAATTACTAAAGGCAAGGGAGAGACTCTCTTTGGCTCTTAATGAAAATTAAGTCTGTTGTTACTACTGTGGTTTGAAGGTGTTTTAATATGGTAAAAAAATCACTCTCCTGGTATGGGATCATTGATGGCAGCCATCCCTTGAAGAATAAGTGAAACAGGTGACGAAATAAAAAATTAAAAGCAGAAAGGACTTGATTGGTCATCGATATTTGAAATGTCAAGTCCTTCTATCCTTAAAATAATCTGACATTGGAAATATAGCTTGAAATAAGATAAAATAGAATAAAGGTCTCCAAATAAGAGATGAAAATTGTCTAGGACTAGATGTAAGGCTGTTGAGGTAATTATGTCCAGCATCCATGACACACGACTGTTAATGAAACCTGCCCAAATATTGGCTAGAACAAAAGGTAAAAGTTAGAAAAGCCTCAACAATGAATTTAGATAAAGTTAGTAGCTATTACAAGTAAACTCTTACATTTCAGGGCTTAACACAATAGAAATTTACTTTTCCTCCTTGTAACAATCCATTGCAGGTATTTCAGGTAGGCATGAGTTTTTCCTCTACGTAATGGTTCAGAGAGCAAGGCTCCTTCCATGGGGTGACTCTACCATCAGTAAGAGGTCAGTAAGGACCTCAGAGTTTTCTGATTCAGCTAGTGAAAGGAGGTAAAAGATCATGGAGAAGGTGTACCTTATGCCAGTTGTCCCAGAAGTCATACTTACCACTCCTGTTGATATTACATTGACAAGAAGTAACCATACAGCCTCACTGAGATGCAAAAAGGGATGGGAAATATTGCCCAGCAATAATACAATTCTCTGCCAGGGGAGGTTTAAATGTTGGTGGATAGCCAATTGGCAAATGTGTTTCAGGATAGTTAGTCAGGAAAGAAGGTAAAGAGACATGAGCAAATTAGTTAATTCTATAAATCAGAACCATAGTCTTTCCAGAAGAAAGATGATTGTAAGATTAGAATATGGCCATATAATATAGATCTTGGGGAAGAACACTTTGGGTCTCAGATGGAATGGAAAAGTGCTTTATTACAAATTGTGAAGAACAAGGGCAAGGACAATATATGCTAGTTATATAGGCAGAAAAAATAAATTATCTTAGAGGAAAATAAAGTGAGTCAGATTTCTAGAAAAGACTAAGGATTCCATGAGAATTTCCAGCAATGCCAATACAAAATTTTGTAAAGCAAAAGCTGACTAGCTGAGTAAAACATTACCAGAAAGGTTTTGAGGTCAGAGGTTAGGGGAATGCATACATTTATAAAAAGAAGGGCCAGATTGACTGGAGAGGTGGGAGGAGCCACTCAAGGTGTTAGGACAGCAGCTATTTGCAATCCACTAAGATTGTTTCTATAGTTAATCAACTGCATGATCATAATGGTTCATACTAGCTGAATATCACCCATATTCTATCCTAACGGAAGAGAGAATCAGATTCACAAAACTAAATAACTGGCCAAAGGGAGGAGCAATTTTGAGTACAATATTGTAATTGGTTCAATGTGTCTGAATACAAGATGGGGACGTTTGGGGTAAACAGAGAGAAGTTATAAATAAAAACAGAAGGAAATATTTCACTAAATACTCCCCAAGATATTGAAGAAGAAGAATCATAACTTTGATACATCCTTTATAGAAGGCAAAACCAAAAGGAGGCCATTTAGCCCCAATTTTGTTTTGATATATCTTGGAAGCATCATTTTAGGTTCCAGTAGGAGGTTGTTTTGGGAGTTGGTTTCATTCAATGGCAGATCCAGGTTTTGTGTGGCCTAAAACTTAATTTGGCAGGACCCTCTAAAAGAAAAAGAATATAACATTACAAGTAGAAAATTAAATCTGAAAACAAATATTTATTTAGAATGATAAAAGAAATTACAACAAACTACAATAAAAACAGCTAATGAATATCACAAATATTTTCTTTTCGTTTATGTTTTTGACTTCTATCAGGTTACTTTATTTCTGATGGATTTGAATTTTGGAATGCTCAATAATTTTGAGAAAAAAATAAAAGTAATTTGAAGCTAAAAAATACAAAAGAGGGGAAAAACATATTTTAGAATTGTTCATTACATACAACGTAATGGGCTACCTAAGTACATAACATTGAAACGGGAAAAGTTCCCTTATCCCCCTCACAGAGTGTGCGATGGGGCTGTGGCTTGCTTCTTCGGTGCCCCGCTGCTCAAACTTCTAGCGGGGCATGTGCAGAAGAGCAGGTGGTGGGGATCTGACCGTACAGCAGTGTCTGAGGTTGAGTGTTTACAGCTCCTGAGGCCCCAGTGGGTGTGTGTTACAGTGTGCTTTTTCAGTTTAGCTGTCTGTAGGTGGCTTGTGTTTGTCAGCTCAATTAGACCCTCTGCCTTACCACAAGGACAGAGGGCTTTACATATCCTGGGTTCTTGCCTTAGTGTACTGGAAAAATCAGATCACACATGGGCTTGGAGAGTGAGTACAAGGGTTTTTATTGAGTGGTAGTAGCTCTTGGCGAGGTGGATGGGGAGGCCAGAAGCGGGATGGAGTGGGAAGGTGGCTTTCCCCTGGAGTCAGGCCACCCAGCAGCCACGTTCTCCTCTGACCATCCCGAGCCAAATTCTGTATCATTCCGCTGGTCAGTGGCCTCCTGGCATCTGCCGGTGCCTGTCAGTGTGCTCTTTCACTGGTGTGTTCCTCTCGATGTCCAGCTGCTTGTGACTCTGCCTGCTAGGGTCTCAGGGGTTTTATAGGCACAGAATGGGGACGTGGCAGGCCAGGGTGGTCTTGGAAAATGCAACATTTGAGCACGAAAACAGAAATGCCTGTCCTCACCTAAGTCCGTGGGTACAGGCCCGGGGGTGGAGTCCTAGCCAAGGACCCGCCCTTCTCTACCCAGCACTTCCCTGCCCCCCTCCCATATCAACATGTATTGAACAAATTATGTGTAGGAAATTGGTCATAGAAACACTTGTCTCTTCAGGGTGTTTTTGTTGTATTAGTAGCGGTTTTTCTTGTCATTTCATCTGGAACCTCTGGTTTTCATCAGGACAGTGCATCGTGGAGGATTTGACCTAATACATTGGAATTTATAAAAACCTATTACTTCACATACAGTTATATGTATTTTTTGTAGTACTGCTTCAAGTTTGCACCTTAAAAATACAGAGATTTTCATGAATTCTTTTTTGCCCTAGTCCATAAAAATGTTCATTTATAATTGTATATGCTGTATTATTGAGTATGTTTATGACAGAACACTTCAGCTTTGATTAGTCATTGATGAGAATTAGTTCTTCTTATTACAATTCTACATGTCTGATAATTAGAAATTTTTCCATTGACTAGTTTCTAGCTCTGAATTTTCAAACCTAATTTCTCCACTACTCTTATACTTAAACCAAAATAAAACCTTTGGATTTGTACTTTCCTGCAGATGAACCATCATTCTGTCATTCCTGGCAGCCATTCCTGCACCAGGATCATTAGCAATGCACAAAAACATATGTATATACAGAAGTCTCTGGAAGCCACAGTAAACCCATGTTAAGTGAATTTACATCTCAACTTTTCCTCAGCTGGATCTCAAAATGCCCATAGCCGCTTCCGTATCACCAAATACATAGGAAAGTATGATGGAGAGGAAGTTGGAGTGGAAAGGGATGATAGTCTTAATTGTTTGCAGTTAAAATAAATTAATTTGAAAATTTGCAAATCATCACATGAACATCTCCCTGAGACCTCCCAGGGTCAAGAAAGTAAAGGGCCCTGAAGATTAAGCTTCACAAAAATCTTCCTATTTTTCCACAGCAGGAATAACTTAGACTGCTAGGCTCTTGATGGAGTAGCCCAAGTTTACTGTTGTATCTGGAACATCCCAATTTTCTCAGGTCACAAGAAATGTGAACAGCTGGAGGTGAACAAATCCTTTTATAGTTATAGCTAAAATGGGATAAAATGGCCCATCCAAAGCTCAGTTCCTGACACTGCACAAAACTCTCCTTTGGGAAACAGTGAGGGATATTGGGAAGCAGATTAGAACAGCGAGAAACTAAACAGGGGAGGCAGAATCCTGGAACCACTACTTTGTTGCTGTATAACCTTGGACCTCAGTTTCCTTATCTGTAAAATAAGATGATAACACTACTGACATCATAGGGTTGATGTGAGAATTTTAAAAAAGGCTGCATGTTAAGTGTTTAACATTGTCACTGGTACATGCTAGGCATTCAATAAGTATTAATTAAATATAAATAGAAGGAAAGAGTTCAGGACAATGTTCTGTTCACATTGCCACATTAATTGTGTAATAACCAGCCAATGTTGTGACTGAATTTTTCAACATTTGACGAAAGTACTCCTTTAATGGAAGTAATTCTGGGTCATAAAGATAAAAATTTGTGTTATGCTCAATAATAGTATCTTATCACCAAAACCTTGCACAATTATATTGCCCATGCCTTGTTATTAAAGGCTACCAGCAGTGATAGGGTGAGTGTGCTGATATGAAATTATGTTGCTGCCATGAACAAGACTAGAATAATTTTCTAACCTTAAATCTTGGTCAAATTTGCATCACAAATGAATTTAGCATTCAGTTGCGTCACAGAGACCTGCTTCCTTTTAACACCTGCTGGTCCCTATGTTGGGGACAGCACCACTTTGAGGCTTTTAGCTTCCTAATTCAGACACCGCATTTAAGCAAAACCTGGAGAAGAAGCAAATGACTGAAAAGAAAAACAAAGTTGGCCAAAGCAATAGCATTTACAAATGATGTAAAAGCAGAGCAAAAAATATATGAAAAAAACCCTCCTCCTCTAATCACACTTATATAACAAAAATTTCTACAAAATTGAAAACCTTCTTAGTATTCTTTTAATTCATGTAACATATACCATGCTGAGGGTGTAATTTTTAAGAGGTTTTAAAATCTATCAGTCTCTCTATGTATCCATCCATAAAATGGGATCATGTCACATTAAGATTATGAGGGTATCTAGGTGGGAATGTCCCACTGCAGAGTGTTTGATGTTAAAAGTCAGCAGTATTTGAGCTAAGCTCACATTTGGGAGTTGTTACACAGTTAATCTGTAACTGTGCTGTATGATCATAGAGTTCCCATGACAGCTATTGCATTAGGAGAGGGGCAGTCCTTATATAGCTACTGCTTGCCCTACCGTCTTTGTCCCCATCCACATATTATTTATTTTACAGCATAAGAATCCTTGTAGACGCAACCTAAAATGTGAGGGTGGCAATGCTCAATTTTTTTTTAAATCTTTCTGATTATTTCAAATAGCTTTTCAGAGAACAGTGGTGAAACAATTGTGTTAAAATTTCTTGCTCTTCTTGTTCCCCTAAAAGCTGCCTCTGTTGTAGGATCATGAAGCATGGGCAGATTTAGGAAGATTTTACAAATAGCTTACATATAGCTGTCCAGAGATCAGGAAATTGATAGGCAAGAGCAATGTCTTCCTCTTTAGACCTCGTAACTATTTTTCATGCTTCATTTATTTTTGTAGTTTTTTTTTTTTTTTTTAGACAAAGTCACTCCCATTGCCCAGGCTGGAGTGCAGTGGCACTATCTCCGCTTGTTGCAGTCTTGACTTCCTGGGCTCAGGTGATTCTCCCACCTCAGCCTCCTGAGTAGCTGGAACCACAGACATGGGCAACCATGCCTGGCTAATTTTTTTGTATTTAGTAGAGACTGGATTTTGCCATGTTGTCCAGGGTGGTCTTGATCTCCTGGGCTCAAGCAATTTGCCTGCCTTGGCCTCCTAAAGTGCTGAGATTACAGGCATGAGCCACCATGCCTGCCTATTTCTCATGCTTTAGACTGCAAAATAATCATCCAAATACTCAATGGAAATTTTGAAAGCATATCATGATTTTTAAAAGTTTTGCATTTGTTGAAGACCTTTTTCTAATAAGATCCAATCATAGAAGAGACATTAAACTATGGTTAAGAGATAGATAAGGCAGGAACTACCTGGAAGGATTTATGTGTAAAGTAATAGAAAACTAAAGTTTTCTTCACATAAATCTTTCTATAGTTCTAAAACCAAAGTTTAGATGCAAGATATTGCAGAATTATGCATTTAAGAAACTTATAAATGTATAAATTGTGGAATGGCTATTAAAGACAAAATGGCTATTAATACTAAATACAAAAAATTAACCAGGCATGGTGGTGCATGCCCATGGTCCCAGCTACTCAGGAGGCTGAGGTGGGAGAATCATCTGAGTCCGGGAAGTTGAGACTGCAGTGAGTGGAGATTGTGCCACTGCACTCCAGCCTGGGCTATGGGAGTGAGACCCTGTCTCAAAAAACAAAAAATTAAAGTTATTTTACATATAATTATAAAATGTAAATTATTAAATAAATTGGTAATTTATAAATTATGGGAATTATGAATTAGGAAGTTAAGAAAAAGTGCTCTTAGAAACTTTTCCAACTCATCCCTCTTTTACAGATGAAGAAATTATGCTTTATTTAGGAAATGCTTCACTAATTAACAAACTAATTCAATAAACTTTATGCTTAGTTTGTTTTAAAACAGTTCTGCCCTGTCCCCTGGCACTGTTGAGGAAAATACACTGGTTTTGCTCAATGCAAAGCTAAGTGTGGAATATTTGCTCTCAAATCTGTAAAAGTGGAGCAGCAGAGAGAAGAGTAAACCAGAGCTCTGTCTACTGTTTCTATGTGTGTTTTCTATAATGGAGATATAATTCAAAGTGGTATTGACACACTCTAACCTTTACAGTGAGCTCTAGGTTCCAGTCTCCACTCTTTCATAGCTTCTCCACCAGGTTCCCTCACCTCAGTCTCCACCAGCTCCAAGGAGTATGAATTCTAAAGTGAGTCAAGCAAGGCATTTATTGGGAGGAAGAGACAAGACATTAAACACTGTCTCTTCTGCAGGTCTCCCTTTTGTTCAAGTTTCTGAGTATCTCTTTTGACTCTTTTCTCCCTCTTCCTTCCCACAAGGTACAGTCAGATGGTGCAACACTGTCCTGGCTTGGGACCTTCCCTCTCTTGCAGTGGGAAACTTATTAGAACCCAGGTAATACAGCTTGGACCTGACTGTGTACCTGGAGGGCCAATAAGAAGCCTCAGAACTACACTGGGTCCCCCAAGATAGAAGATAACCCAATGGTTTGGGGCTGTAGTCTTAGCTGGTAATTAAGAATTCATTTACTTGAAGTGTTTTTTTGTGCACAGGGTTCCAGGCCATCCATGGTAGCAGGTCTTGGATACTGGGATTCAGGCTATTTGTCTTTACTAGAGACACAGTGAACCCAAGGCAGGCAGGTTGTTTTATCTTTGGCATCCCAGCCTCCTCTTTTTGTGGCTGATATCCAGTTTGGTGACCAGTAATCTCAGGGTCTTTTCTTCATCTCAGGTCATTAAGACCAACTAATAGGTGAGAATGTGGTAATTTATGAACTCTGAGTTATAACTGATAAGGAAGACTATTTATTTCCTGTTTACTGGTTTTTATAGTAGGTCATGGCTTAAAACCTCTGATTATTCTGAAATATACATGCAATACACAAAATAACAAATTTTAGATTTTTAGGTATCTGCAACTACATTGTAGGAGAAATCTCGAAAGCTTCACCTCACTTTGCAGAAGACTCCTAGCCATGGATGAGGCTGGCTTCATCCAGGAGGAGTTAGGGGAAGATGCCAGAGAATGTGAATTGCTTTGTTGCTCAGTGCCCTGGGCAGCATCTTGTGTAGGTGAGTTTCCTAAATTCTGTATAAAGTGAGGACGATGGAGAGTCTACCTACTGCCTTCATCAGGCATTCCATGCTGGCTGCAAGCAACGTTATTCAGTAAAAATCTCACCACTGTTAAAGCAAACTAAATGTGGCCTGAGAAGGACTCCATACTTCTATACTTGAGTCCTTGTGGATGAACTGTAACCTAGCTTAACAGTCAGACAAAATTGGAAACCTAACTTAGTAGTATGCACCTGTAACAATAGCTGAATGTTAGCCAATCCCAGCAGCCATACTTCAACCACTCATAGACTGCTGAATGTTCAAACTGCCTGCAAAATAAGGCAAATGCCGAGTTGTAACCAATCTCACTGTTTCTGTACTTCACTTCTGATTCCTGCACATCACTTTACCTTTTTTGTCTATAAATTTTTTCTGAGCACAAGGCACCCTTGGAGTCTCTGTGAATCTGCTGTGATTCTGGGGGCTGCCCAATTTACTAATGGTTCATTGCTCAATTAAACTCCCTTAAATTTAATTCAGCTGAAGTTTTTCTTTTGTCACCACTTACCAGTGACTTTGTAATAAAAAAAAAAAACCTTGTAGAAGCTGGAAACAAATGCTTTGCCTTCTTCCTTGTGGTTATTTGTTACCAACCTGCAGAGGTATATTCATATTGCAGAAATCACGTGTAGCTGTGAATACACTGTGGTCTTATTCTTTGGGTCCAGCAGAAAATTCCTGGTCTTTCAGGATATGTAGGCTGTATTGGAACTCTTCATTCTCTCTGTAAAATAACCTTTTTGAGAGTAACTCTGCAGTATTAGTTATTAAACTAAGAATGATTCCATTAAGGACATTGTAGAAAATGTTGCAATCTGTCTAGAATCATGACTTAATTTTCTGGCAGTGGATGAGGGCAGCCTGGTCACAACATCTGCTACCCTTTTGATTGCCAGGGTTGATTCAACCAATTTTTTAGTTTCTTTAACTCTTAAATGTATCTGGTCTGGAATTAGTTTAAGGTGTGGGTGTCATGGTGATCAGTGAAAGTAAAATTAACTTTTCATATACAATGTCTCTTTGGAGGCAGACCTTTATTTGGAGAAGAACATAAATAACTTAAAGCCAGATATGGAAAGTCTCTGTTTGTTCATTTTTAAATTAGCCATATCCCTTCTCTACATTGCAAGGTTGGGTAATGTTTGCTCATTAACTCTGTATCTGCTTGCAGAGCTTGTCAGTCAATTTCATGTAGTTGTCAGCTCGCAGGCAGGGCTCCCTGCCAGCCACAACAGAGTCCCATTTACCCTCAATGCAGCAGACCTATGGTACTCCACTGCAGGTACTCTGGGAACTGACAGTGGACTGACAGCAAATGTCTGGCATGGTAGAAGTAGAGTGGGCACTTACAGAGTCTGGGCTTGAGAGGGAAAAGATGGTTTAGAAAAAAAAAAAAAAGGCCCAAACACCTCAAGAGGGATTTTTCAAGTGAGCCTTACAGCAATTTCATTGTTGCTTGCATCATCAATTAATTCACTAAATAAATATTTTTCATGTGGCTCCTATGTGTTAGCATATTGGGAAGTGTCATGTTTGAAAACTCACCCTTTTTCGGCTTCATTTTAAATTAAGAGCCCAACTTTTCTATAATGCTCTTTGTCTATGATTAAAATGTATAATCCATCTTCAAAACATTCATGGGTTTAAGTCTGGGATTCCGCTTGAAGCATTAATTTTCCAGCTATGTTTCCACTCTCTTAGTCTCGATTTTCTTCTTCCAACTGACATATGGACGATTGTGAATCTCAACTCCAAATTCTCATTACTTGCAATAAGCTGGAGATAAATTCAGTGAGTGGAGGAGAGGTCTTTAAAAATTATGATGATGATAGATAAGGGAGAAAAGCCAAATGATTAAGTTTGTATTTAACACAGCTGGAAACACTTGGAAATCATTAGGGGAGGTTTCTACTCCCAGCTTTGCTTCTAGGTAAGAAAGGGGACATGCCTTGGGTACTGGTGAGGTAATTGCTCTGGAAGATCAGAGTATTCTCTGATATGATACACTTCAGTAAGCTGAAATTGTAAAGAAAACTGTAACAGGGAACCAAGCGCTTGGCACCTGGAAACAGATGATCATATTGACTTGAAGGATGCATAAATCAAGAAAGAAAGGGATAATTGAATGTTTCTGAACTTATTCTTACTGGCCCAACATCCCCCCAATTGTTTGAGCTTGCTTCTAGTTGTCTCTAGGCTTCCTTGCTCCTTCATGAATTCTGGTATCACTATTTGCCTGAAAGTAGCACATGATAGCTTGTCTAAGTGTAGCCATGAAGTGCTGAAAACACATTTCAATTAGACATTTGTTTTGCTGCAGGTCTTTTGAGGGGCTTTGAAATTTTAAGTCACTATGCAGGTGTTACTGGGTTAATGTGTGTAGAGATGTGAGGTTCCTTGAGACTTTGGCAAGATACCCTAACTGCTGTTGGCCTTCAGCCTCATCTGAAAATGAATGTAATTGAATGAGTGAGGAAGTCTCAAATCAAAAGCCATCAGGGGCCTAGCATTTGAGTGAAATTGGCCTAAAATAATAATGGGGAATGGTGGGGATTGGGGTAAGCCGGAGCAACACATTTCAAACTATCTATGTTATCATAGGTTAATTTTTAAAAATTCCAATTGGCATGAACTGATACTTTTGTGAAATATATTAAAAATGAATTACCAAGAAAAATACAATAAAAAACCAAAGACATAAGAAATATGACTCAATTTCTTACATTTGGATTCAATAGACATGTGATTACATTGCTAAATTGCTACAAAAGCTTCTAAAAGCTTATGCTCAATTTTCAGAGTTACCTTGTGGACCAATAACTGTTCATGGAACTGACACAAGTGGGTGGATGAAATTTAGAAAGAGCTGAGGACGTTAAAATGTGGAAGTTTTAAAAAAAATATGTGCAGATGAGATAAAACCTACCTTGTGGCAAAATCTGACCTGTAGCCTCCAGTTGTGACCTCTAGATTAGGGAATGACTGGGGAATTTTCAGTTTCTTAATTTTATCAATTTTTCCTGAATTATGTAAGCATGGTCTAAGTCACTTAGTGTTTAATTTCACTTATGACTTACATTCAACCCCTCATGCCACTCCAGACTAATCTCATATTTTTAATAATTCCTTTAATTTTTCATGCAAACGTTTCCATCTCATAAAAATCAGAAAATGCAGTGACATAGTTTTCTAACTTACTGGCATTTACTTATTTAGGCACTCACATATATGAAACATTTCTACAACAAATCTCTTTAAATGCAATCTTCTCTACTTCTTAAGTTCAATACAGTGAATAACATTTATTGGATGATTTTTAGGTCATTGTTTTGAACATCATCTAGTAATGTCCTCCTGGGCTATTATGTAGGGCTGGTGGGCAGTTGTCTTTCCCTAAAATAGCCTCAGACTGCTCCTTTTATGTCAATCAAAGATTTCAGATTTTTGTCTTGGAGGCACTAAGGAGCCATTGAAAAATTTTAAGCAAGACCATGAGAGAATCAGATTTACATTTTAGAAAAAGATCTTTCTGGCAGCTGTTGGGAACATAGGCTTTTAAGCAGGTGAGACAACAGACCAGCTAATGTGAGAAATAAAACATTAAGGTACTTTGACCACATGTACGTGGTGAAAAATAACAGAGAAAAAAAAAGAATTGAAAAATTTCATTTATAAAAACCAGCAGCCATTTAGTAATTGTTCAGTTATATTTACTATATTCAACTTGAAAAGTCAAGTTAGAAAATTTACTTGTACTACAGTACTTTCAGGTTTTAAAAGATGGAGACATTTATCTGAGAAATTAAACACATTTTTGTAAAGCACAGAATGAATTCAGACTGGCATTAGGAGTAGAATCTTGGACTCTGTTGCAATAAACCAGGCAAAATATTATCAGAAGTTAAAAGGCACTGGTAATGGAGGAGGAGAGGAGACAATGGATTTGGAGGTTCAAGAACTGTTAAGGAGGTAGAATCAATAAGATTCGATTTTCATTTGGATATGAGGGTAGAAGGAGAAGGAATTGTCAAGGATATCTCTTAGCTTGAGCAATTAGGTGTATGATATTGCCCATTAGTAAGGTAAGAGCTAGAAGAGGAAGAACAGATATGAGGAGGTGATAGAAAAGGTAAAGCATTAATTTGGGAGATGTTGACTTTGAGGAAACTGTTGCATATTGAAATAGGCATGTTCTAGAAGCAGTAAGATACATAGATCTAGAACTCAGGAAAGAAAGCTGAACTGGAAGGTAATTCTAGGAGTCATTAGCTCCCAGATTGCTGTTGCATCCATAAATTTGGATGAGATGACTCATCCTATGAGTAAATGTTGCGTTCGAAAAGCAGAAGGCCAAGGATGCAACACTGAGGAACATAAATAGTTCTGTTCAGGAAGGCAGTGTGGTATAAGAGAGATATCCCCGTTGAAGCCTGACATTGTCCCTAGTAGCTTGGGTGAATTACTTAACTTCTCAGTCTCAGTTTCTTATCTATAAAATGAGAGTAAATAATGTCTGCTCTTAGGATAGGTAAAATGGTTGCCAGGATTATTATAGATAAAGTAACATTCCTATCACAGTACCTAGGATATATAGCTATCATCAGCATCTTTATCATCATTATTTTATTATCACTACTGACAAAGATTGTTAGAAGTCAGTGCCAAGACAGAGTAAAAGCCTCTGAGTGAACAAAAAGGTGTTGTTCAGGAAACGTAGGTTTATTTTGGGCACTCAGAAAGCATTTTTGCTAATTTTTATTTCGCAACCACTTTAGGAGAGTTAAAATTTCTGGAAATGTACTATTTTTATTGTTTTTGTTTATTTATTTATTTATTTATTTTGAGACAGGGTCTTGCCCTGTCACCCAGGGTGGAGTGCAATGGTGCTATCATGGCTCACTGCAGCCTCCATCTCCTGTGCTCAAGCAATCCTCCCACCTCAGCCTCCTGAGTAGTTGGGGCTACAGGCCGCCACACCCAGCAGTTTTTAAATTTTTTTTTCTAGCAACAGAATCCTGCTATCTTGCCCAGGCTGGTCTTCAATTCCTGGGCTCAAACAATCCTTCCACCTCAGCCTCCCAAAGTACTGGGATTTCAGGCATGAGCCCCCATGCCAGGCCTGGAAATGTATTACTGCAATATTTCTATGTACATATTTCACATGGCTGTCATAAAAATATCAAATATTTGGCAAAAAAGACAAGAAGTTGACTACAGATTGTAGTGAAAAATGCAAGAAAATATTATCTCTACATAGAATCAAAAAGAATGTATAAGATAGAAATTGTTTAACTTCTTTTCTTGGCAAGTTGGAGAGATACTTCCCTACCTCATCAAAATTCATTTTCTCCTGTATTCACCTTATCAATGAATAAATATTTATCCATCATCCTAATAGGCATATAAGCAAGAAATCTTAAAGTCATCTTTTCATGAATAGTAAAGGAAAAGAGGATCCTGATGAATTTGAGAATAGCCTTCTGAACAAAACCATGGCATTTTTTTTGTTATGATCCCTGTGACCCTTGTGAATTTACAGGTGAATACATCAACCACAACTCAATTTTGTGGTCAATGGCATTGTCCTTCCCTGACCTCACCTAATTCAGCAGTCTAACTCCATAAGCCTGCCACAACATGACCCTAGGAAGAGAGAATTAGGCAAAATTTACAGTTGTTTCTATCACATGAAGATAAAAGCTAGTGAGTATACCATTATGTAATTCACCAAAATGAAAAGCTCTAGGACAAATTACCAGGCTTATCAATCAAAATAAATATGTCCAGCTTGATGAACAGGATTTAGGACATTTCCCTGCCGAAAACACCAGCTTTATACTGAAGCCTGTTAAACTAAAATCACTTTTTACAAATCAGAAGCTGTAGTAACCTGACAGTTAAAATGTAAGCAAAATTCGTGAAAGGTCAGCATGTTCTGGGACACATAGGCATTTCTTCAGAGGGCAAGCTATTAAATTTAATTTCCAAAATGGAGGAATGTGTATGAATGTTTTAGCATTCTGGGAATCTGACTTGTGAGTGGATTAAGTTGTGTCAACTTTCTCATGACTAAAGAATTTCTGAAGAACTTGGTGAAGGTTCAAGAATAAACCACAAAGTTGGTTAGAAAATAAGACCTTCAGGAAGATTAATTAAACTGGGTTAATTCTGCCTGAAGCATGAAAAACTAGTGAGAAATTTATTAACTGTTTATATCTTCATTGCTTTTATAGGTTACAAAGGTAATATATGCTTGTATAAAAAATTCAAGTGATGTAGTAATGTATATGCACAGAGTGAAGGATTCCTCTCATCTCCCAGCAACACCCACCAATACTGGTGCCATATTATATGTCTATATCTATCTATCAATCTGTCTATCTGTCTATCTATCTATCTATACATGTGTATATGTTTGTATGTATTCTTTCACACTTTCCTCATGCACTTATCAATATATTAATAATGCTCTTTAATAAAGATTTTCAAGTATGAAGCTTCTTAGGTTGGTGGGGGAGGAGGAAAAGGGATAAAGAAGTGTCACATTCACTATGGAGCTGAAGGAAACAGTAAAAGATGTTTGGTGAACATCTCTCTCTATGACCAGTGACATATTGGGTTGCAGTGAGCAAGAAAAGTTGTGTATCTAAGAATATGGAGAATGCAGATTCCATCCCTATTCCCTGCTTTCCCAGACTTCAGTATAGAGGCAAAGGATAGATTTCACATCTTGAAATCCCAAGTCACATCTTGGTTTCTGTGGCAGACATTTGGTTGGCCTACCCCACCCGTATTTCCAACCTCCATCTCCATTGTTCACCTCTTAGAAGCTGGAAACTCAATACTCATTTTGGCTAGAGGTGGCTAAAAAGATGTATTTAAAGTCTGCTGATAAAAGGGCTAGATGCAGTTTGCATAAACTGCTTTCCTTCTTCTTTCTATCTGGCACACAGCATGGTATGAAACACTGGTGGCCACTTTGAGATCATGAGGTCACAAGGTTGCTAAACACCAACACCCTCGAGATGGAGGGCCCAAAGACAGGAGAAGCCTGGATCCCTGAGAGCATCTTCAAGCAGCACTAACAGTGCCAGACCATACAAACTCTGAATGTCTTAGTGGTGGAAAAATAACCCCAATTAGTTTATGTTTCTGTCAGTTGCAATTTCTGTTACTGGTAGCTGAAAGTGCTCCTAACTGATAGATGTCAAAGCACCTTCTATTATTTGCCTGGACAAAACTTGTGGATAGAATCCCAACGTCAATATCTTTAGGGATTGAAATCACACTGATCTATCTTTTTTTAAATTTGTATTTGTATTTTTTGTGGGTACATGGTTGGTGTATATATTTATTGAGTACATGAGATATTTTGATACAGGTATGCAATGAATAATAATCACATCATGGAAAACAAGGTATCCATCCCCTCAAGCATTTATCCTTTGTGTTACAAATAATCTAATTATACTCTTTTAATTATTTTGAAATGTACAATTAAATTGTTATTGACTGTAGTCATCCTGTGGTGCTATCAAATACTATCATGCCCATCAGCCATCTCCACCTCCCCTTCACCCTCCCACTACCCTTTTCCTAGCCTCCGGTAATGGTCCTTCTACTCTCCATGTCCATGAGTTCAATTGTTTTGATTTTTAGGTCACACAAATAAGTGAGAATATATGATGTTTGTCTTTCTGTGCCTGGCTTATTTCTCTTCACGTAATGAACTTCAGTTTCATCTATGTTGTGGCAAGTGACTGAATCTTGTTCTTTTTTTACGGATGAGTAGTACTCCATGGTGTGTAAGTACCACATTCTCTTTGTCCATTCACCTATTGATGGACACTTAGGTTGCTTCCAAAGCTTGGCTGTTGTGAACAGAGCTGCAATAAACATAGGAGTACAGATGTCTCCTCGATATATTGATTTTTTTTTTATCTTTGGTGGGATCCAGCAGTGGGATTGCTGGATCATATGGTACCTCTATTTTTAGTTTTTTGAGGAACCTCTAACCTGTTCTCCGTAGTGGTTGTACTAATTTACATTCCCACCAACAGCGTCTGAGGGTTTCCTTTTCTCCACACGTTTGCCAGCATTTGTTATTGCTTGCCTTTTGGATATAAGCCATTTTAATAACGAGGGTGAAATGATATCTCATTGTAGTTTTGATTTGCATTTCTCTGATGATCAGTGATGTTGAGCACATTTTCATAGACCTGTTTGCCATTTGTGTGTCTTCTTTTGAAAAATGTCTATTCAAATCTTTTGCCCATTTTTTTTCATTTTTTCTTTTTTTTTTTTTTTGGAGACAGAGTCTTGCTCTGTTGCCCAGGCTGGAGTGCAGTGGCTCAATCTTGGCTTACTGCAACCTCCACCTCCTGGGTTTAAGTGATTCTCCTGCCTCAGCCTCTCGAGTAGCTGGGATTACAGGTGCATGCCACCACGCCCTGCTATTTTGTATTTTTAGTAGAGACAGGGTTTTGCCATGTTGGCCAGGCTGGTCTCAAACTCCTGACCTCAAGAGATCCACCTGCCTTGGCCTCCCAAAGTGCTGGGATTAGAGGCATGAGCCACCACACCCAGCCCTTTTGCCCATTTTTTAATTGGATGATTACATTTTTTCCTATAGAGTTGTTTGAGCTACTTACATATTCTGATTATTAATCTTTTGTTAGATAGGTAGTTTGAAAATATTTTCTTCCATTCTGTGGATTGTCTCTTCACTTTGTTGATTGTTTCCTTTTGCTGTGCAGAAGCTTTTTAACTTGATGTGGTCTTGTTTGTCCATTCTTGATTTGGTTGTCTGTGCTTATAAGGGTATTTCTCAAGAAATCTTTGCCCATACCAATGTACTGGAGAATTTTCCCAAATGTTTTCTTGGAGCAGTTTCACAGTTTGAGGTCTTAGATTTAAGCCTTCAATCCATTTTGATTTGACTTTTGTATATGATGAGAGATAGGGGCCTCATTTCATTCTTCTGCATATGGATATCCAGTTTTCCCAGCACCATTTATTGGAGATTCTGTTGTTTCCCCAGTGTGTGTTCTTGACATCTTTGTTGAAAATGAGTTCACTGTAAGTGAGTGGATTTGTTTTTGGATTCTCTATTCTGTTCTATTGATCTATGTGTCTGTTTTTATCCCAATACCACTCTGTTTGGGTTACTATAGCTCTGTAGTATATTTTGAAGTCAAGTAATATGATTCTCCAATTTTGTTCTTTTTGCTTAGGATGGCTTTGGCTATTCTGGGTCTTTTATGGTTCCATATTATCTGAAGACTGTCTTTGATATTTTGATAGGGATCACATTGAATCTTTAGATTGCTTTGGGTAGCATGGACATTTTAACAGTATCGAACCTTCCAATCATGAACATGGAATATCTTTCCATTTTTGGTGTCCTCTTCAATTTCTTTCATAACTGTCTTATAGTTTTTATTGTAGAAAATTTCCACTTCTTTGATTAATTCCTAGGTATTTATTTTATCTGTGGCTACTATAAATGAAACTACTTTTTAAATTTCTTTTTCAGTTTGTTCATTGTTGGCATATAGAAATGCTACTGATTTTTGTATGTTGATTTTCTATTCTGCAACATTACTGAATTCGTTTATCAGTTCTAATAGTTTTCTTGTAGCGTCTTCAGGTTTGTCCAACTAAGATCATATCATCTGCAGACAGGGATAATTTGATGACTTTTTTTCTAGTTTGGAATCCCTTTATATCTTTCTCTTGTCTGATTGCTGTAGCTAGGACTTCTAATACTATATTGAATAACAGTGGTGAAAATGGGCATCCTTGTCATGTTCTAGATTTTAGAGGAAAGGCTTTCAGTTTTTCCCCATTTGGTATGATATTAGCTGTGGGTCTGTCATATATGGCTTTTATTATGTTAAGGTATGCTCTTTCTCTACCAATTTTTAAGGGTTTTTATCATGAAGGGATGTCACATTTTGTCAAATGCTTTTTTACATCAATTAAAATGATCATATAGATTTTATTTTCATTGTGTTGATATGATGTATCACATTCATTGATTTACATATATTGAAGCATCCTTGCAACCCTGGGATAACTCCCACTTGGTCATAATGAATGATCTTTTAAATTTGTTGTTGAATTCTGCTTGCTAGTATTTTGTTGAGGATTTTTTTTTTTGCATCAATATTCATAAGAGATACTGGCCTGTAGTTTTCTTTTTTTGATGTGTCTTTGTCTGGTTTTGGTATCAGGGTAATACTGGCCTCATAGAATGAGTTTGTAAGTATTCCCTCCTCCTCTATTTTTTGGAGTAGTTTGAGTAAGATTAGTATTAGTTCTTCTTTAAGTTTTTGGTAGAATTCAGCAGTGAAGCCATAGGATCCCAAGCTTTTCTTTACTGCAAGACTTTTTTATTACAGCTTCAATCTCATTACTTGCTATTGGTCTGTTTATGTGTTGGATTTCTTTATGAGTCAACCTTGGTAGGTTTTATATTTTCAGATATTTATTCATTTCCTCTAAATTTTCGAGTTTATTGACACCTATTTGCTCATAGTTGTCACTAATGATCCTTTGCATTTCTATGATATTAGTTGTAATGTCTCCCATTTCATCTCTGATTTTATTTATTGGGATCTTCTCATTTTTTATCAGTCTGGCAAAAGGTTTGTCAATTTTGTTTATCTTTTCAAAAAACCCATCTTTTTGTTTCATTGATCTTTTGTACTGTTTTTTAAATTTCAAATTCATTAATTTCTGCTATGCTTTTTATTATTTCTTTTCTTCCACTAATTTGAGTTTGATTTATTCTTGCTTTTCTAGTTCTTTAAGATGCATGGTTAGGTTATTTATTCAAAGGTTTTCTTCTTTTCTGATGTACGCACTTGTGGCTATACATTTCTCTCTTAGTACTGCTATTGCTGCATCCCATAAATTTTGGTATGTTGTTTCCATTATCATTTGTTTCAATAATTTTTCAGTTTCCTTTTTAATTTCTTCATTGACCCACTGGTCATTTAGGAGCATATTGTTTAATTTCCATATGTTTGTATATTTTCCAAAATTTCTCTTGTTATTGATATCTACTTTTATTCCATTGTGGTCAGAGAAGATTCTTGATATGATTTAAATTTTTTTAAAAAAATGTTTTAAGACTTGTTTTGTGACCTAACATATGGTCTAGCCTTGGGAATGATCTATGTGTTGAGAAAAGGAATGTGTTTTCTGCAGCTATTGGATGAAAGGTTCTGTGAATTTCTATTAGATCCATTTGTTCTGTAGTGCAAATTAAATTTGATGTTTCTTTGTTGATTTTCTGTCTGAGAGATTTTTCCCATGCTGAAAGTGGGATGTTAAAGTCTCCAGCGATTATTTGATTGAGTTCTATTTCTCTCTTTCTCTCTAACAATATTTGCTTTATAAATCTGGGTGCTCCAGTGTTGGATGCATATATATTTAAAATCATCATATCCTCTTGCTGAATTGGCCTCTTTATAATTATATAGTGACCTTCTTTGTCACTTCTTATAGCTTTTATCTTGAAATCTATTTTGTCTGATATAAGTAATACATATATATGTATATATATATTTATATACTCCTGCTCTTTTTTGATTTTTGTTATGTTGAATTATGTAATGGAATAAAAAGAGTGACTTTTGCTTTTTTTTGGTTTTCATTACATCGAATTACACTTCATTTATAAAGATACATATAGACTGTAAATAAAGAGAAAGATATCTTTTTCCATCCTTTTATTTACAGTCTATATGTATCTTTATAAGTGAAGTGTGTTTCTTGTAGGCAACAGATCATTGGTTTTTTTTTTTTAAATCTATCCAACCATTCTGTTGTTTCATTGTAGCGTTTCCATTCAATGTTATTATTGATCAGTAGAAGTTTACACCTGCCATTTTGTCATTTGTTTTTTGTCTGTTTTGTGATTTTTCTCTTTCTTCTTTCTTTCCTTCCTGTCTTCCTTTTAGTAAACGTGATTTTCTCTGGTGGTATGATTTAATTTCTTGATTTTTATTTTTTTGTATCCATTGTGTGTTTTTTTGATTTGAGATTACCATGCGTCTTGCAAATGCTATTTGATAACCCATTATTTTAACCTGATAACAACTTAACACTGCTTGCCTAAACAAACAAACAGAAAGAAAACTAATAAAACTCCACTAGAAATGCTAAAGATAGGAGGATAATTCTAGTAGGAGAGTTCTGGTGTTGACAACCCTTAGCTTTGGTGTGGGCAAGTCTTTATTTCTCCTTCATGCTTAAAGGATATTTTCACTGAGTGTACTATTATAGGGTAAAAGATTTTTTCCTTCAGCACTTTAAATATGTCATGTTATTCTCTCTTCTCCTGTAAAGTTTCCACTGAAAAGTCTGCTGCCAGATGTATTGGAGCTCCATTATCTGTTATTTGTTTCTTTTCTCTTGCTGCTTTTAGGATTCTTTCTTAATCCTTGATCTTTGGGAGTTTGACTACTAAATGCCTTGAGACAATCCACTTCAGGTTAAATCTGCTTGGTGCTGTATAACTTTCTTGTACTTGGGAATGATATCTCTTTCTAGCTTTGGGGGTTTCTCTGTTATCACTGTGAATAAACTTTCTACCCCTTTTTATTTCTCTACCTCCTTTTTAAGGTCAATAACTCTTAGATTTGCCCTTTTTAGTTTATTTTCTATATCTTGTGGGGGTGCATCATTCTTTTTCATTCCTTTTTCTTTTAGGCAAATAGCCTATCTTTAAGCTCACTAATTCTTTCTTCTGCTGGATCCATTCCACTATTAAGAGACTCTACTGCATTCTTCAGTATGTCAATTGCATTTTTCAGCTCTAGAATATCTGCCTGATTGTTTTTAATTATTTCAATCTTATTGTTAAATTTATCTGGTGGAATTTTGAATTTCTTATCTGTGTTATATTGAATTTCTTTGAATTTCTTCAAAGCAGCTATTTTGAGTTATGTCTGAAAGATCACATACCTCTGTTTCTTGCTGATTGGTCCGTGGTGACTTATTTAGTGTGTTTGGTAAGGTTCTGTTTTCCTGAATGGTCTTGATGCTTGTAGATGTTCATCAGCATCTGAATTTTGAAGACTTAGATACTTATTGTAGTCTTCACAGTTGGGTGTTTGTGCTTATCCTTCTTGGGGAGGCTTTCCAGGTATTCAAAGGGACTTGGGTCCCAAGCTCAATAACACTGTGGTTTTTGCAGAGTCATAAAGGACTGCCTTGGCGGTCTTGGAGGAGATCTGGAAGAATTTTCTGGATTACCAGGCAGAGATTCTTTTTTTTTTTTCTCCCCTTACTTTCTCCCAAATGAATGGAGTCTCTCTGTCTGTGCTGAGCATTCTGGAACTGGAGGTGTGGTGATGCAAGCACCCCCATGGCCATCACCACTGGGACTGCACTGGGTCAGACCTGAAGTCAGCACAACACTGGGGTCTCACCCAAGGCCTCTTGTAACCTCCACAACCTGGCTACAACCTATCTTCACACAAGTCGCTAGGGTTCTGTGATCAGCAAATGGCAAAACCAGACAGATTTGTGTCTATCTCTTTAGGGTGGTGAATTCCCCTAGGCCCCTGGTGGGCACAGAGATGCTATCTGAGAGCCAGGGATTGGAGTCAAAAATCTTAGAAATTTACCTGATGTTCTATTCTACTGTAGGTAAACTGGAACTCAGACCACAATATAAAGTCCTTCCTGCTCTTCCCTTCCCTTTCCACAGACTGTGGAGCCTCTCCCTGTGGCCACCACCACCACTGGCCCGGGGAGGTTTCTGTAAGACTATTGCTGATATTCATTTAAAGCCAAAGGGCTCTTCAGTCAGGTTGTGGTAAATGCAACCAGGCCTTGGACTCATCTTTCAGGGCAGTGGGCTCTCCTCTGGCTCAGGGCAGGTCCAGAAATGCTGTCCAAGAGCCTAGGCCTGGACTCAGGGACTCCAAGAGCCTGCTTGTTGCTCTACCACAGTATAGATGAGCTGGTACCTAAGGTACAAGACAAAGTTTTCTTTACTTTTTCCTCTGCTTTTCTCAAACAGAAAAAGGTTTTCACCATAGCCATTATAGCTGGTAATGTGCTGGGTCATACCTGAAGCCAACACACCTCCAAGCCCAAGACCCATAGTGTACCATCTAGGTATTGCTGCTGGTTATTCCGGGCCGAAGGGTCTTTAGTCAGCAGGTGATGAATCCTGCCAGGACTGGATCCTTCCCTTCAAGGCAATAGTTTCTCTTTTGGCCCAGGATATGTCTACAAATGTCATCCATGAGCTAGGGACTGGAAAGGGGGACTCAAGCACCCCCTTAATCCCTCTGCTGGTACCTCTCTAAGTCATGTGCCATCCTGGTTCCCTGGCTTTAAGCCCACCTCTGTACTAGAAGTTGCCTAGGAATTGCAGACCTTGTGTCCTAGACTGCCTTTCAAGTTTACCTAGGACCCCAGAGCACTTTGGCTTGTGATGGCAAGACTGCCAAGAAACTCAAGTTCAGATGTGTGGGATGGAAGGTCCCCTCTGGCTTCATCTGGTCCAAATGTTCCCTCTGTGTGCAGGTGCTAGTTAAGCCCAGGCTGGCTTTGCTCTCTACTATGACAGGGTAGCACTGTATTCAATGTAAAGTCCCCCAGTCATGCATGCTCCCTCCCCCAAGAACACAGACCCCCGTCTTCATGCTGCATGTCTGCTGCTGGGGGTTGGGGAAGGGGTGGTGTTGGCAATTCTAGACTGTCTCTACTACCCTCTTCAATGCCTGCTTCAGCAATATGAAGTTAAAACAGGGTACTATGATAGCTCACCTGATTTGTGATTCTCGCGATGGAGCTTTTCAGTATGTAGATAGGTGTTAAAATTTGGTGTTCCTGCTAGGGGGACAAACATTGTACGTTTCTATTCTCTATGTTTCTCCACCCCCTCCACCCACTTCCTCTTGTAGGCCTAAGAAATACATCAAATAAAATGTGTTGTTCCAAGTCAGAAGCCTGTTAGGGAGTGATGACAATTCTTTTTTTGAACATCCTGCTTTCTTTTTTTTTTTTATTTTTTTTTATTTTTTATTTTTATTCTTAAATTTTTTTTTATTATACTTTAAGTTTTAGGGTACATGTGCACGCACACGTATGTTTATTGTGGCATTATTCACAATAGCAAAGACTTGGAACCAACCCAAATGTGCAACAATGATAGACTGGATTAAGAAAATGTGGCACATATACACCATGGAATACTATGCAGCCATAAAAAATGATGAGTTCATGTCCTTTGTAGGGACATGGATGAAACTGGAAATCATCATTCTCAGTAAACTATCGCAAGAGCAAAAAACCGAACATCCTGCTTTCTAAGGGACACACATAAGGGACAAAATTGTCCTAGAGATATATGAAAATACATATCAGAGATGTGTGGGCCAGTGTTTGCTCAAGGAACCAGAAGCACATCTGCTCTGTGGTCAGAAAGTGTTACGTTGACCTGTATGCCCCCAGATTACTATTTCTAACAAAGTACCATCTAATGAACATAAAATGCAGGCACTTTGCCTCTTGCTCACATCAGGAGTCATTACAGTGGTAGTGGTTAAAAAAGCCCATGAGGGGGTGAAATGCCTGGGATAGCATTAGGAGATATACCTAATGCTAAATGATGAGTTAATGGATGCAGCACACCAGCATGGCACATGTATACATATGTAACTAACCTGCACATTGTGCACATGTACCCTAAAACTTAAAGTATAATAATAAAAAAAAAAGATTCTAAAGAGGAAAAAAAAAAAAAAAAAGAAACGCCTGGGGTTTTACGCTGTCACTCCCCAGCTCTGAGTGTTTAGGTAAACTTACCCCTTTGTGCCCCTGTTTCCTCACCTGCAAAATGGGCATGATAATAGTAGCTGTTTCACAGGATTTATGCAAGGATTAAATGAAGGGATACATATAAATTCCTTACAAAAGTGCCCGACTCTCTGTAATTGGTGGGTCTACATATAAGAGTGTTGTTGCTTAGCACAATGCCTGTCATATGAGAAATGTTCCATAATGTGAGCGATTACTTTGCTTAATTTATTCTCCCCCAACTTTTTTTAGAGTACTTTTGGTGGAACGTTAAAAGTGATGCCAGATACATTTTATTGACATGCTTAAGTAAGCTCAATTAATATGTATATAATTTATTGCCTCTGCCATGCCTATAATCTAATTGTTCTTTTAAACTACAATCTAGTTGTTCTTTTAAAATATACCAAACAATTTAAAAAGCACTCTAGATGACTTTCTTCTTAAGACAATTCTGCCTGAACTGGCTTTAGTATTATTGTCTCTGTGAAAGTTAATTACACAAATTGGGTTATTTTTATCATACCCAACTAAATCAGACTTGAGAGGCCAGAAGGAATAAAAACACTCAGGGCACATAGCACTTGCCTTAAGAATTAAATTTCCTCCAAATCTAGCTACTGAAAAGGCCTTCCATAACCCTAAAACCAGTCTTACCTAGTAGATGCTGAAATGACCTGCTGTAACTCTAAGACTGGTTTTATTCATTACAGTCACTCACCAACCAGAGCTTGCCAGTTCCCAAAGCTTCTGGAGTGCCAATGAGCTTTCCTTCAAAACAATATGTAACATTTCTCTTTCTAATAAAACTCCCAAACTTCTCTTTGTTCTTTAGACATACTGAAGACCACCTGGTTTGTGTGTATGTCCAAAATTGGAATTCTTGCCTCCCAAATAAAATGTTTTAAATTGAGAGATTTGTCTCCGTATTTTATTTGACTTAGATACTTCCTTGTCCAAGGGCCTGGCCACAGGTGCTCTATAAATAGGGCTGCCACAAAAATCTGTTGTCCACACTGGGAACCACATATAGTACATTCCAAAGTTAAGTGCCAGTTATTTTCATTCCTCCTGCCTTTGGACTATCTGTATCATGACTCTTTTCATTTGTTTTGGATTATTCAGGACTGATTCTATTTGTATTTCACTTTTCCTTGAAGGGAAAAGAGAAAATTTTATGATTCATTCCAATTATAGTCTCGAATCACTTGCCCTTTAAAGGCAAACACTGTTAATGTGTAATTCTTAAAGACCTAGGACATTGCCACTAGTTGTCACCATAATCATATAACGTGGCAACATAAAGACTCTGTAAACAATTTGCTCATAAACAAAATGACCAAATTGCTATGAGTGCTTCATCTCCCAGATTAAATCAATCTTATCATGGTTCCTTACATAATTTCCTAAGTATTTTTTTAGCAATGAGGTTTATAATTCTGTAACTATAAACAGGTGGGTTTTTTTCTTCTTTCTCCCTAAAGGGGACTACATTTCTGAGGTTTTTGATGTGGTCTTTATGTTGGAATTTATTAGTTAGAAGGCAAAAGTAAAGATTAAACTATATGATTTGGGCTGCTGTTGCTGTTGAAATAATGAGTAAGCAGTGACAAAAAGTAGTTTGTGTAACTCTGCCCCATTAAGAGTATTTGATATGATCTCGTGTGTGTGTATGTGTGCGTGTGTGTGTGTGTGTGTGTGTGTGTGTAGCATAGGCTTTCCTCATCTCTTTTCCTCCTTTTTCTTTTTGCCTCATGTTTATTCATATCAAACTGAAGCATTGGTGGTTTACAACTGCCTTATAAAGGGCAGTAGAACTATTAAAAAAGGTATAGCCTCACGGGGTGACAAAACTGGGGCTGGGATACATGACAATATTTAATAATTTGTTTAAAGTAGTGGGTAATTTGAAAATACAAAAAAAGTTCACCTCCTTCTTAATGTCTTGTTACCAGGTAAGAGTGCCTTTTACAGGCTACTTAGAGCATGAACAAAATGATCACTGTGTAACTTCCTCCAGACCTCTCCCTAGTGTTTTAGTCACCGCTCATTTATCTAGTCTGGTTTCTAGGATTGAGACCCAAGACATTACCCCTGTTCCAGTCCAAGTTTGCTCAAAATTTTTATCATGATTTGGTGTTGAATTTCATAAAACATTTTTTCTTCATCTATTCAGATGACCAGAGGGTTTTGCTTCTTTAATTTGTTAATTTGTTCAATTACAATACTAGGTTTTCTAATTTAAACTATCCTTGCATTTGTAGAATAAGCCTAGTTTAGTCACAAGTATTTTTTTTATTTCAAGTTACTAACATTTATATGTCCATATTTATAAATGAGATTATACCATAACTTTTGTTCATTGTACTGTTCTTATTTGGATTTTCTATTAATCACTGATTTTTCTCCAGGTATTTGCAGTGGATTAATGTCATGTGTAGTAAGATTAAATTTATAACTTCGGCCCGGCCCGGTGGCTCACGCCTGTAATCCCAGCACTTTGGGATGCTGAGGCGGGTGGATCACGAGGCCAGGAGATCGAGACCATCCTGGCTAACACGGTGAAACCCCATCTCTACTAAAAATACAAAAAATTAGCCGGGCGTGGTGGCGGGCGCCTGTAGTCCCAGCTACTCGGGAAGCTGAGGCAGGAGAATGGCGTGAACCTGGGAGGCGGAGCTTGCAGTGGGCTGAGATCGTGCCTCTGCACTCCAGCCTGGGCGACAGAGCAAGACTCCGTCTCAAAAAAAAAACAAACAACAAGAAACAAAAAAAAAACTTATAACTTCATCTTCTAATAACTATATAACATTTCAGGAACTATCTTTAGGATTAAGGTGTTATAAAGGGTGATTATATTTCATGATTATGTTGTTAACAATTATTATATTTTTATTAATTAGTGAGGATTAGAGAAAAGAACCCCAGATCTAAGTAAACTAAAGGGAAGTCCAGGGTCTCTGATTCTTACTCTGATGCTTATTAACTGTATGAACTAAGAAATAACAGGATAATTTGATAACGAATTATGGATTTTAAAAATATAATTCTGTTTTAAGTGTAGAAGATGGACTGGCAAGGAAGAGATGAAAATAGATTGGTTAGAAAACTATTGCAATAGTCTAAGCAAGGATAAAACCCTTAACTAAGGCCATAGTAATGGAGATGAAGAGATGGTACATGTGTAGATCCTTGGGCCACAGTTAATCTTCACAACTTGCCCCTTACTTCTAGTGGAATTTAGACAGGCATAGATCCAAATGGTGGTTTTACCATTTACTAGTCATATGATTTTATGCTGCCCATAATTCAATATCATCAAGCTTTGTTTTATTCATGCAATATAGATAAAACAGTATCTATCTCATTTAAACCATTGCAAAATTAAATGGGATATTCTAGATAAAGCTCCTTTTATAGTGCCTGAAACATAACATGGACTTAAATAAGAAAGGGTAATTATTCTTGATTATGATAAAACTATCAAGATTCTGGATGTATTTTAGCCAAGGCAGAGTAAAAAGAGAACTGAGACAAGAGGCAGAAAATTTACATTTGAATCAAAGTCTGCCACTAAATAGTGGTTTGATCTTAGGAAAGTAGAGCCTCCATTTTCTAATTTGTAAAATGAAGGGCTTGTACTGCATAGGTAGCTCTGAAGTTGAAGCGATGCAGGTACCACTATTGGGTCATAGTAGCTGTCTAGATGGGGGGATATACTTTTCAAAGAAACCAGTAAAAAGCCTCTTCCTCAATCTCTATGACCTGCCTTCTTTTTCCAGTGCTGCCTCTCACAGGTTATCCATCTATAATTGAGTTGCTAGTAATAACCTTCAATTATTCAGTTAATCACGTTTCCTCTATGTATGTGACTCAGTTTTCCAGGTGTATTCCACATTGTCTCTACTAGTGAACTAGGATAATCCATTGTGTATCTCAACCTCCTTCACTACCCTGTGAAAGTCACATGTGAGAAGAAGCATCACAGATGATTCCATGGAGAACATCCTGGAAGTTCTCCAAATGGTAAGCTCCTGGCTCTTATTTGCTCAGGGCTCTCTTTGTTTTCTTAACTCCCTTGTGGATTACACCAAATGACAACAACAACAACAACAACAACATACAACTCAAAACAGTGGTGTTGGTTCCTTGGCTCTTGCTACCTCTTTCTGATCTTTTGCCATTTCTTCATGCCAATAAATGACTGGTCGAATTTATGATAGAAAAGAGTCAGTTATACTGGAAAAGGTAATTCCTAAGGTTTTTTTTTTAATAAGCATAAAGACTTTCTCCCAAAATAATTAAAGAGAAGCTTTTCTAGCTGATTTGTTTGAGTTCATTGTAGATTCTGGATATTACTCCTTTATCAAATGTATAGATTGTAAAGATTTTCTCCCACTCTGTGGTTTGTCTGTTTACTCTGCTGACTGTTCCTTTTGCTGTGCAAAAGTTCTTTAGTTTAATTAAGTCCCATCTAGTTATCTTTATTTTATTGCATTTGCTTTGGGGCTCTTGGTCATGGAAATCCTTGCCTAAGCCAATGTCTAGAAGGGTTTTTCCAACATTATCTTCTAGGATTTTTATAGTTTCCGGTCTTAGATTTAAGTCCTTAATCCATCTTGAGTTGTATAAGGTGAGAGATGAGGATCCAGTTTCATTCTCCTACATGTGGATAGCCAATAATCCCAGAACTATTTGTTGAAAAGGGTGTTCTTACCCTACTTTGTGGTTTTTTTTTTTTTTTTTTTTTGAGACAGAGTATCCCTCTGCCACCCTGTCACCCAGGCTGGATTGCAGTGGGGTGATCTCAGCTCACTGCAACCTCTGCGTTCTAGGTTCAAGCAGTTCTCTTGCCTCAACCTCCCGAGTAGCTGGGACTAAAGGCACGTGCTACCACCCTCAGCTAATTTTTGTATTTTTTTGGTGGAGATGGACCTTCACCATGCTGCCCAGGCTGGTTTTGAACTCCTGACTTCAAGTGATCTGCCCACCCTGGCCTCCCAGAGTGCTGGGATTACAGGCGTGTGCCACCGCACCTAGCCTTTCACTTTATGTTTTTGTTTGCTTTGTCAAAGATCAGTTGGCTGTAAGTGTTTGGGTTTATTTCTGGGTTATCTATTCTGTTCCTTCGGTCTACATGCCTATTTTTATACCAATATCGTGATGTTTTGGTGACTATGGCCTTATAGTATAGTTTGAAATCAGATAATGTGATGCCTCCAGATTTGTTATTTTTGCTTAGTCTTGCTTGGGCTATGCAGGCTCTTTTTTGGTTCCATATGAATTTTAGAATTGTTTTTTCTAATTCTGTGAAGAATGATGGTGGTACTTTGATGGGAGTTGCATTGACTTTGTAGATTGCTCTTGGCAGTATGGTCATTTTCACAATATTGATTCTACCCATTCATGAGAATGGGATGTAATTCCATTTGTTTGTGTCATCTACTATTTCTTTCAGTAGCGTTTTGTAGTTTTCCTTGTAGAGGTCTTTCACCTCCTTGGTTAGGTATATTCCTAAGTACTTTATTTATTTATTTATTTATTTATTTATTTATTTATTTATTTATTTATTTTGCAGATGTAAAAGGAGTTGAGTACTTGATTTGATTCTCTTCTTGGTCACTGTTGATGTATAGAAGAGCTACTGATTTGTGTACATTAATTTCGTATGCAGAAACTTTGCTGAATTCTTTCATCTGTTCTAGGAGCTTTCTGGAGAAGTCTTTAGGGTTTTTGAAGTAAACAATCATGTCATGAGCAAACAGTAACAGTATGACTTCCTCTTTACTGATTTGGATGTCTTTTATTTCTTTCTCTTGTCTGATTGCTCTGGCTAGGACTTCCAGTACTACACTGAAGAGGAGTGGGCATCTTTGTCTTGTTCCAGTTTTCACAGGGAATGCTTTCAACTTTTCCCCATTCAGTATTATGTTGGCTGCATGTTTGTCATAGATGGCTTTTATTAGATTGAAATATGTCCCTTGTATGCTGAGTTTGCTAAGTTTTAATCATAAAGGGATGCTGGATTTTGTCAAATGCTTTCTCTGCATCTATTGAGATGATCATGTGATTTTTGTTTTTAATTCTGTTTATGTGGTGTATTACATATATTGACTTGCATACGTTAAACCAACCCTGCATTCCTGGTATGAAACCCACTTGATCATGGTGAATTATCCTTTTGATATGTTATTGGATTCAGTTAGCTAGTATTTTGTTAAGGATTTTAGCATCCTTAACAACAGGATATCAGGGATATCGGTCTGTAGTTTTCTTTTTTGGGTATGTCCTTCCCCGGTTTTGGTATTAGGATGATGCTGGCTTCATACAATGAATTAGGGAGGGTTCCCTCCTTCTATTTTGTGGAATAATGTCAATAGGATTGATACCAATTCTTCTTTGAATGGTAGAATTCTGCTGTGAATCCATCTGGTCCTGGATTTTTTTTGTTGGTAATTTTTTTTTCATGGATTAGAGGTTTTCTTTATCTAAACAAACAAACTAACAAAAAATCCTTTGACTGTAGCCCTTGCTACAACGTTTCCCACTGAGCTGAGAGAGAAATTGAAAGTAAACTTAGGAGCTTTTTTTGGGGGGAGGGAGCTCTGAACACTGTTTTATTTCATATATATATATACTTTAAGTTCTAGGGTACATGTGCACAACGTGCAGGTTTGTTACATATGTATACATGTGCCATGTTGGTGTGCTGCATCAATTAACTCATCATTTACATTAGGTATATCTCCTAGTGCTATCCCTCCCCACTCCCCCCACCCCATGACAGGCCCCAGTGTGTGATGTTCCCCATCCTGTGTCCAAGTGTTCTCATTGTTTAATTCCCACCTATGAGTGAGAACATGCAGTGTTTGGTTTTCTGTCCTTGTGATAGTTTGCTTAGAATGATGGTTTCCAGCTTCATCCATGTCCCTACAAAGGACATGAACTCATCCTTTTTTATGGCTGCATAGTATTCCATGGTGTATATGTGCCACATTTTCTTAATCCAGTCTATCATTGATGGACATTTGGATTGGTTCCAAGTCTTTGCTATTGTGAATAGTGCCGCAATAAACATACATGTGCATGTGTCTTTATAGCAGCATGATTCATAATCCTTTGGATATATACCCAGTAATGGGATGGCTGGGTCAAATGGTATTTCTAGTTCTAGATCCTTGAGGAATCACCACACCGACTTCCACAATGGTTGAACTAGTTTACAGTCCCACCAACAGTGTAAAAGTTTTCCTATTTCTCCACATCTTCTCCAGCACCTGTTGTTTCCTGACTTTTTAATGATCACCATTCTGACTGGTGTGAGATGGTATCTCATTGTGGTTTTGATTTGCATTTCTCTGATGGCCAGTGATGATGAGCATTTCTTCATGTGTCTTTTGGCTGCATAAATGTCTTCTTTTGAGAAGTGTCTGTTCATATACCATTCAGGACATAGACATGGGCAAGGACTTCATGACTAAAACACCAAAAGCAATGGCAACAAAAGCCAAAATAGACAAATGGGATCTAATTAAACTAAAGAGCTTCTGCACAGCAAAAAAAAAACTACCATCAGAGTGAACAGGCAACCTACAAAATGGGAGAAAATTTTCACAATCTACCTATCTGACAAAGGGCAAATATCCAGAATCTACAAAGAACTTAAACAAATTTACAAGAAAAAATCAAACAACCTCATCAAAAAGTGGGTGAAGGTTTTGTTGGTAATTTTTAAATTACCATTTCAATCTCGCTGCTTGTTATCAGTCTGTTCAGGATGTCTAATTTTTCCTGATTTAAGCTAGAAGAATTGTATCTTTCCAGGAATTTATCCATCTCTTCTAGGTTTTCTAGTTTATGCACATAAAGGTGTTCATAGTAGCCTTGAATGATCGTTGGTATTTCTGTGGTGTCAGTTGTAATATCTCTCATTTCGTTTCTTATTTGCATTTTCTCTCTTCTTTTCTTGGTTTATCTTGCTAATGGACTATCAATTTTATTTATCTTTTGAAAGAGCCAGCTTTTTGTTTCATTTATCTTTTGTATTTTTTTGTTTCAATTTCATTTAGTTCTGCTCTGATCTTGGTTATTTCCTTTCTTCTGCTGGGTTTGAGTTTGGTTTGTTCTAGTTCCTGGAGGTGTGATCTTAGATTGTCAGTTTGTGCCCTTTCAGTCTTTTTGATGTAGGCATTTAGGGCTATGAACTTTCCTCTTAGCACCGCCTTTTGATGTATCCCAGAGGTTTTGATAGGTTGTGTCACTATTGTCATTCAGTTCAAATAATTTTTTAATTTCCATCTTGATTTCATTTTTGACCCAATGATCATTCAGGAGAAGGTTATTTAATGAGCAAGAAAAAAAAACAAACAATCCTATCAAAAAGTGGGCTAAGGACATGAATAGACATTTCTCAAAAGAAGATATACAAATGACCAATAGGCCAATAAACATGAAAAAATGCTCAACATCTCTAATGATCAGGGAAATGCAAATCAAAACTGCAATACAATACCACTTTATACCTGCAAGAATGACCATGATCAAAAAAATCAAAAAATAGTAGATGTTGGCATGAATGTAGTGATCAGGGAACACTTCTACACTGCTGGTTGGAATGTAAACTAGTACAACCACTGTGGAAAACAGTGTGGAGATTCCTTAAATAACTAAAAGTAGATCTACCATTTGATCCAGCAATCCCACTACTGGGTATCTACCCAGAGGAAAAGAAGTCATTGTACACAAAAGATACTTGCACATGCATGTTTATAGCAGCACAATTCACAATGGAAAAATTGTGGAGCCAACCCAAATGCCTATTAATCAATGAGTGGATAAAGAAACTGTGATATCTTTATCTATATAGATATAGTTATAGATATGATGGAATACTACTCAGCCATAAAAAGGAATGAATTAGTGGCATTTACAGTGACCTGGATAAGACTGCAGACTATTATTCTAAATGAAGTAACTCAGGAATGGAAAATCAAACATCATATGTTCTCACTGATATGTGGGAGCTAAGTTATGAAGACGCTCAAAGGCTTGCGAAAGATACAATTGACTTTGGGGACTTCTGGGAAGGGTGGAAGGGAAACAAGGGATAAAATAGAGTGCAGTGTATACTGCTCAGGTGATGGGCGCACCAAAATCTCACAGATCACCACTAAAGAACTTACTCATGCGACCAAACACCACCTGTACCCCAATAACCTATGGAAAAAAAAAGCTTTTTCTAGAATTAAAAAAAAGTGGTCAGCTTGATGTTTAATTGCAGAATTGATCTTTTTTTATAAAAGAAAATATAATGCTTATTAAATAGCAGAAATAAAGTTATGTTTGACCTTACAAAAGATATATCTGATATCTGAAGAGTTAAGATTAAGGAGGTTGAAAATGTTCCAGAAGTAAGAATAATTACAAGAAATGCATGTCTTGTAGGCAAATGGTTCTTATAAAGTTAAGAGCTTGCTTTTACATGGATGAGAGGACAAGGTTTGGATAAAGGCTTGATTGGCCTTCCACGTGTGGAGAGACATCTTTTTATCATTCCTGTAAGAAAGTTGGTGATGTATCAGGAACAAATAGTTTAAAAATCAGGTCTGAGACCTAGGTATTAAGGTGATAAATGCTTTATGGTTGAGTTATGAGTGTCAGCTATGTCTCTGCTTGCCTTAATTAGACACCTCACCAAATCTGCAGGTGGAGCTTGCGTCACTTTATCAACAGACTCATCCTCTTGTGAATGATACGGGCCAATGGCACCCTGCTCATCCCTGTGGGTGTGAGAGAAGGTCTGGGAGGGTGTGTGTGTGTGCTGTGTGCTCCCCATGTAAGGAATGGTATGTGAACATCAGCTATGGAAATTAACAGGTTTGGGGTAAGCTGGGTCAAGGACATGACAGACATACACAAAATGCTCTCTTAGACAAGAATAAAACATGCTAGAAATGTGTAGGACAGGAAGCAGGGTGAGCTTTTTGCTACAGTGATCAACAAAACATGTTACTAGGTATTTTTGTCAGGAGAATCTTAAACTTCCCAGACCCCTAAGCACTTAGCTAATTGATATCAGTTTATGACACTGATGGTAATTTTAGTGAAGTGACATGATAAGGTGAACAGCAATTCATATCTCTTAGACCACTACAAAGCCTTACATGGACACGATTTTCTCCTCACATTTACCATGACCCAGGGCTTGAACAGCACTTTCATTCTTACTTTCTTCAGTATCAACCATCCAAACATTAACACTCTGGTAATGGCAAGAGAATGGTTCTTAAGATTTACAAAGTTATAAAATGTAATCCGCTATATATAGGATAAGTAGACACAAGTATCTGAATACTACTGTGGCCTAGAAATTTTAGATAGCACTTTTACTGTTGTTGTATTAAAATTTTTTTATTATAATTATTCACTTTAATACATATTTGTGCAATTATATATTGAGCATAAGATAATATATTATATACATTTTAATTATTAAATTTAAAACACATATTTGTCTCCCCAATAGACCATAAGCTCTTGGAGGTAGGAGAAAGATTGTATTTTATTTATCATAGGGTCTAGCAACAAACAGATGCTCAATAAATGTTCATTGAAAGAAGGAAGATTACCAGATGTTTTAAAAAGAAATTAACACAAACATTTACTATGTATTAGACTTTACAAATCATTTCATTTGTTCTTAATGGCCACTGTAAAATTTAAGTATTTTATTATTTCTAACTTGGGGAAGAAGAAATGAAGGCCTAAGGGGTTAAGTAATATGCTTGGTGTCATTGCCAGCAAGAATTGTAGCTAGGATTTGAAACCAGGTCTTCATAGTTCCATAGTTTGAGCTGTGACTTCCAGTTTAGATGAACGCTCAAACAAACATTTTGAGAGAGTGTTTGTGTTTTATTGATTAAAAAGAGACTGGATAATACTACTTTTTGTAGAAATATGAAGACAATATGAAGTTTGGATTAATGACTCCTGGGAACTTGGTACTTTTAAAATCCTTTGATTCATAGACAGTGAAGATTTTTAGTTACTTAGTTGAATTTTTTATTCTATATAAAAACAGGTTTGGGCTGAAAAACCTGCTAGCTCCAAGTATAAATCTGGGAGGACAGGGCTGAGTCAGAGCTCACTGACCTTCTCAAAGAGGCTTGAGACATCTTTGTGCCAGCTGCACTACTGGAAGAGGGAGTCCTCAGGGGAAAAACACCCACTCTGTTTTATTAACGGAAAATTTGTCATTCTGGTTTTAACTGAAGGATTAAAAAGGAGACATGAGAATACTTCAGACATGAATTTCTGTATGATTTGGGCTCCCAGGCTTCAGAGATTCCTCTCAGGCAGACAAAGAAGGCAAGCCATGGTCAAGAGCTCTGGCCTTTATTTTGTTTCCCTGTGAAACATTTTGTGAGACACAGATGCAAGAGTAAGTGGCTTATTCCAGGTCATCCCAGGAAACAGCAGCAAGGGTGTGGGCGAGTTAGACAGTGAAGAAGAGGAAGTCAGAAAAGAGTTTGTGATCAAGCAAGTCACCACTGTGGCTAAATTGGCAGTCATTTTCATGAAAACTGAGCAGCCGTGTAGATGGTGCACCTCAGAGTTAGGGAAGCTGAGGTGTGTTGTCCACAAGTTTCTCATTTGTCATTGGTTGATGGCTACATCTAAGACCAGTAACTGGTACAGAGGCAAGTGTTATCAACATAAGTTATATGTTTCTTTTTCTAACCTTTTTTTTGTGCTTTAGTAACTTCAGTTTGTATATCAGAGAGTCAACCAATTCATTGACTATTGAAATTTACTAAATTCATTAACCTGTTGACTGAAATACCAAGCCCTGTATTCCTGCTCTCACACCTAGTCTTAGATACAGCATCACTGTGCTTATTCAATTTTTGTATTGAATAGACATAAATGTTGATTAGTCTTAAAGGAGCATCCACTTTCATGTAACATATATTGTATTCATTGTGAACATTTTTGAAGTCTCCATAATTATTCATTTTGGAAATACTACGTAATGCTAATTGCATAGATCCATTTATAAAATGGATAATATTTTGAAAGATATTAATGTGCTTTTCCAGTATTTTTCCTCATAGGGGGTCTTTCAACTAGTTTACCTGAGGCATCCCTGCCTCTGGGAAATTAAGATATTTAGGTAATATTAAGCTTTTGGTATGCAACATAGGATTGTACAGCAAGTTAGTATTCTTACAAGCCAGGCTATTGTCTTAAGGAAGGATTTTCTAAATTTTTTTGGTTCCCTCAGTTGCCACATTAGCAACAGAATGTCTTGTACCATGTTGTCAATAAGCTATATTAACAATCAAACTGGAGGTCTCAGCCTTTGCCTATCATGGGGCTCAGATGGAACCTGGAAGGAGACTATGATTAAAAAGATATAAATGAAAAGCTGCCTCTTCCTGACCTTGAAATGCTATGAGAAGAGTAAGAGAGAAAAGGTCTAGGAGCAGAGACATTTAGATGTCTGCTCAGATTTTCACTTATTTGGAATTGGTCTAGAGAGGGACAGGTATATTAGTGAGGATACTACAGTGATAGCAGATGACTCATGTTTCCTATATCATCTAACAAACTGCCCTATACTGATCTAGATTACATTAACAGTCAAATAAATTTGAATGTCTCCAGCATGATTCATCACTCAGATCCTGTTGGTTAGTTTTTCCAGCCTATTCTTGCTTTCCTTGTGGTGTAGAAAAGAGTCTAATTTGAAAGCTTTCCAGAGGGGTTTTGTGCAGTGGGGAAAGGTGGCTTCTCAGCAAGGGCTGCTGAGTGGACAGCCTGAGCTGGGGCTGAGTGGTGTTAAAGGCAGACCTCCTATAGACCTATGGGAGAAGTTTAGGTGCACTCAGAATAGCCAGGAGCCATCACTAGGAGCATTACTTGAACCAAGAATATCAAAAAGTTAAAAAAAACTTCAAAGTTCCTGTGCTTCTGTCCTGGAGGTCCATAGGACCCCAAGGAATGAGATAGCCAAGGGCATCGCCCAAAGGCCAGAAGATGAAAAGATAGCATAAGGACCTTATAGTTCCTCAGCACCACAAGGTCATATAAGAAGGTCCCCATAGCTCTTCGCTCATATACCCATTCACCACTTGCAGAGCAAAGAAGGGGGAAGGTGAGACTATCTAAGAAAAATAACATTTTTATCTTATAGAGACTAAGTACCACTTAAAGGGATTATTTTGCTTATTGCATTTTATTAAGCTTTAACAATTGCCTACTTAGTTCATTTTTTGCCGATTTAGTTAGCAGAGGAGTGGGCATGAAGAATCAAAAGGAAGATCACGGTAGCTAGCACAAAATGAAGACATTACTATTTGCTCTGCAATTCCAAAATGCAGTATGATTTAGTAGTATCTACTCTGATATAGTCATATTCTTTAACATATCAAGTATCCTAACCATTAAATATGGGGACCTCAAACTGGCCTTTACCAAATTATCTTCATTCTACCTCTGCAATATTTCTTTTCCTTCCTTCTTTCCAACCAGGTCTTGCTCTCTTCCCCAGGCTGGAGGGCAATAACGTGGCATGCAATCATAGCTCACCACAGCCTCAACCACTTGGGCTCAAGTGATCCTCCCACCTCAGCCTCCCGAAGTCCTGGGATTATAGGCATGAGCCACTGTGCGCAGCCCTCTGCAATATTTCTAAACTCTCTTTGTCATAGCTATCCTGCTATTGCCCTAGTCCAGACCTTTCAGCCTCACTTGGACTAAACCTTTTATACTGTGTCTTCAATTCATGGCTTGCCACTCCAGTCCATCTACAGTTTTTTTTTTTGCCATGTGGATTTTACTGAACACCTCACCCCTTGCCATTTCATTGCTCCAAAATCATCTTGCCTAAATAACAAATTCCACATTCTTTAGACTGGGATTTGAAATTTTCTTGGATAGAGCTTCAATCCACCAACAGGTCTTTTTAGGATCTTTGGAAGAGCATACACATCCTCTCTTTGTGTCTGTGTTTATATTGGCTCTACTTCTTGGAAAGTCCTTCCTTTCCCATCTGTATAAGCTCGTAAACTCTGCAAATTCAAGCTTTAGAACAAATGTACCTCTTCCAAAAAGTTTTTCGTAACCCACTCAGGTAAAAAGCATTTTTACTATCTCCTCTCAGCATCGTTTGCATGGTCCATATTGGGAGAGTCTTATCTGTTCTATGAGACTATATTTTTTTTACAGTGCCTTGCTCATGATGGTTGTTGAATATATTTTTAAAAATTTGACTGGGTAAAGGGAGGCTATATATATGTTAGACTGTAATGCTTAATTAGTAATGTTAAACAGATGTGTATTATTTACTCTACATGGACACTGAATGATTTTTAAGAGATACAAATTAAATAAAAATAATTTCTTATGCCATGTAACACATCCATAAATGTTGTTGCTGATAAGTTAAACAGGAATGTGTGAAAAGTCATTGTAAACTATAACAGTTGGAGCCTATCTGAAGGCCTATAAATACCTAAAGAGGGCTCTTGCAAACTGAAGGATGGTTTTAATAGAACAAACTGTTCCATTTAGATTACATGAACACACAGTTTTAAAAATACAAAATTAGTGTCTTGTTTATAGTTCTCTACCCACTGGATTTTAGCAGCTTCTTTATTTTCAAACCACTTGAAAAGAAACAAATGAAAACTTACATAACATGAACAAAGATTTTTGAGCCATGTTTTTTTTTCCTAATAGAAAATTTTTCTTCTTCTGAAACATCATGAGTAATTTATTCTGATGATGAACATGTTTTCAACATAATTGATGTCCTATAATTTCAGAGTGGAGAAGCAATATTGGATTTCATATATTAAAACAGTTTGATTTTCCAACTCTAAAATATATTTGAAATGTGGACATTCTCATTGATTTTTGTCTTCATAGTCTATATGCCAAGGACACTGTATATTTTGGAGACCAGTAGTGTTTTCTTTCTTTTTGATTCTTGTCTTTGTGAAGTAGCAAAATTGAGATAAGAAAGTGGAATATTCAAGCATCCTTATAAACTGTTAAAAATAGTCAACAAACTGAATAAATATCCCTTAGATGCTTGAGATCTTTCATAGACTCAATTCTTGTGTGTTAGGAAAATCTTTAGTATAGGGGACCCACTTATGGAGAGGAAAATAATTCTTTCTAGTCTTCCCTACCTCCCGTTTTTCTTTCAAACAAGGGTTTGTAAAAATGAAATTTGATTCAAGAATCTAATTTGAGAGTTATAAGATGAATACAAAAAGGAAATCTCTCTATTTTGAATGAAGTTAACCTTATTCAGGGACATATATCAGAGACATAATGTACGGTACCAATTTTAATCAATATCTCAAGATGAACCAGATCAAGACTGATGTTACACTTTAGCAGACTAAACAACAGGAAAATGGCCTGTCCTGAAAAGTGTGTGCACGTGAGTGTTTTTAAAGACCGATTGGGAAACTGCTATCATGATGTGCATTAAGTCAGAACCAAGCAGGCATTTCCCTTGCCCTTCGTGCTTGAATGCAAGGAGAGACAGGGAGGAGTGCCACTTCGGGAGGCCTCTACCTTCCTCTCCTCTTTGGCATGCACTAATTGACAGCCCCTCACACCTCGTTTCCCTTCACTCGGTTTATATACACAGGGTGACTGCTTTTTGGTCTACATGAGTCAGTATATTTATTTGGTAGAATTGATGAGCCTTGACCCCATAAAAACTGTATTGGAATAAAACAAAACACAATCATTTTCAAATCCAGTAATTTTACAGCCTATTAAAGGACTCTTTAGAGAAATCATTATGCATTTTATTAATCTAAAAAATTCAGTGTGTTCATATGAATGCATGTTCCCTCTTCTATTGTTGTGGTTGTTCTGTTAAGTTTCCATCTTATGAAACTAGCCCACTAGCCAAGGATAGATTTGCAAAGCAAATAGTATAGACTGATAGTCTGTGGTGTATTTATTACATGATTAGTTTAGATATCTTTTCTTCTTCCCTAGTGTAGCATTTTGATAATTAGTTGCTTGCTTTCTGATATTTAGTTTCTAATTCACTCTTTAAATCTAGCTAGGAGGAAATTTAAGTTAAAATGATAAGCATTGTATCTCATATACACTAATTAAATTGTCTTTTAAAAAGATGACTTGCATGTATATCTGTTTAACATGTTTCATTGAAACTGTTACAGTGGTATGTAATTTTAATGTAAAATAACCCTCTTTGCAGGGAATTGAGCCTGCTGCTGGATCTTTAAATTTTCAGTGTCTGTTGTCATAGTAACCAGAATTGACTCTGGTACCCACTGTGTTCAACATAAATTAATTTAAAGACACAGCGTTTGAAACAGTTTAGTCAATTTTAAGTAGGCATCTGGCTAAGCCTCAGATTTCAATGCTGTTTTTTATTTAAAATGTCATTAAATGTGTTCTTTTTATGTTAATTATACTTATTTGTAGGATTCAGTACCTCAAATGTGATTTAAGATAAATGTGGAAAAACTGGTTCCTGAACTGCCTGTGAGATGTACACTTCTAATGATGTAAAAGGTGTTTCCTTTTTAAAAACAGAGGAATGTTCCTGCTTGTCCTGCCCAAATACCCTGGTATTATCTGAATATATAGTCTTGACGTCACCTAAATAAATCTTCATTTCGCATGTATTTATCAAAGATCCCTCAGCCCAGTACTGTGATAATCTTTCTAGGAGGAGGAAGCTGGCTATCTTCTGGCACTTTTTATGCCGGATAGACCCATCCCTATTACCTTGATGAGGCATGGATTTTCTTATTAAATAATTTGAATGAGGTTTAAAATATTTTTTCATGTAACCTCTGGGGCTTTTGGTTTTCTAGGTAGATACAGTGAAAAAACCAAAGAGGAAGAGAGAGAGAGATCTAGAGAGAGTTATTTTGGTGAGGTTCAAACTCATCCTGCTTTTCTTTTTTGACCTAGACAATTTTTACAGCTATTCCTACTGTATTTGATCAGTGAATATTTTATTTTTCACACTCTATTACTATTAAAGCAAATATATAGACTATACATTATGATAGACAAAGCTTAAGAGAGTAGTGATGCTTTCACAATATCATGAGATTAATATTTTTATTATAGAAAATTTTTTTCCATATTTTTAGTAGTTCTATTTTTTCCAATTATAGATACTGTACCTTGTTTCTGAGGAATAACTTTGTTTTTCACAGCGCTGTTAGGCTTTATGTTATGCTTTTCTGATCATGGGAAATATCATGGCTACTATGCAGAAAATAAAATACACATCCAAAAATTTCTTCTCTTCTTAGAAAATATGCAGTTTACTCTGAAATGGCTTCATTTCCTCTGAACCATCAAATGCCAACTTGAAGTCTTCTGAACCATAATCCTTCACTTTTGGATTTAAATGATAGACTAGCGTGTAGGATTTCAGGAGCACTGCCTTCATATTTCTTCTGAAATTAGAAAGAACTCTATACATTAAATATTTAGAATTCTAGTTATACACATAAAACTCAGCTGCTACATCAGCCTAAGGTTTATGCGCATGAGTTGTTTTTTTATCTTGCTGTATTGATAGAAACCAGAACAAGACATTTAAGAAAAGACAGAAATCTGTTGCAGCCCTCGTGTGACTCATTGATGCCCACCAGATAGTGTCATTAATAAAACAGCAGAGACAACACATCTGAAATTCATTGCTCCTGAGGGGATTGTTCTGCAATATATGTATGTCACCCACGCACACATATATATGTAGACAGAGAGAGAGAGTGTGTGTCAAAATGAAGAAGTTTAAAAACTTCCTTTTTTTGAATTAAATCCCCTGAACATCTGTCTCTAAATGAGTATGCCATCAGTCATTATGCTAAATCTTCTTTTTTTGATTACCATAAATAAATTTGTATATTTATCACTAGATTCACTTGAGAACATGTTTTGAAAAGAAGTGTGAGAATTCCTTCAATAATAAACACATGCCTGGGAATTAAAAATAATCATAATTTAATGTGATCATTTGATCCATAATTCAATGCTTGATATGAATGAAATCTGATACAGTTTATAATGGTCCGCAGGAGGTGATAATTAAAGTTGGAGAAAAGAATCTACTAGGAAATTTCAGGGATGAAAATTACTCTCAATTTCATCCTGAGAAACCTACATTTGATATGGTGACAGAGATTCAGAGTTGGGGAAAAAGAGGAGTCACTTTTATAAAGCAATATCATAAGGCTCATGACCACAGCTCTCCCCTTCCCCAGTAACAGCATCCTGTGATAATGAGCTTTGTCTAAAATGCAAGGGGCTTCAGGACTCATATGACTATTAAAGTTATCCTGAAATGGATTTATAAATTCCAGCTCTGTTCATATTGCATAGTCATAAATAAAAAAAAATTGAGAATAATAATATTTCAAAAAAATTATTTTACTCCCCCTCTTTCTTACCACCCCCCTCCACCTTAGTGCTAGTAATCTTTGGCAATCTAGAGAGACAGCAGAATTTGCTGAAAAAGGAATACAAAGGCAGATAATAGTGATATGGTCTGGCTCTGTGTCCCCACCCAAATCTCATCTTGAATTGTAATGTGAATTGTAATTCCCATGTGTTGGGGGAGGGACCTCATGGGAGGTGATTAGATCATGGAGGCAGTCCCACCATGCTGTTCTCATGACAGTGAGTGAGTTCTCATGAGATCTGATGGTTTTGTCAGGGGCTTTTCCCCCTTTCCCTCTGCACTTCTCCTTCCTGCCACTATATGAAGAAGGACATGTTTGCTTCTTCTTCCACCATGATTGTAAGTTTCCTGAGGCCTCCTCAGCCATGCAGAAGTGCATGTCAATTAAATCTCTTTCCTTTATAAATTACCCAGTCTTGGGTATGTCTTTATTATTAATAGCAGCATGAGAATGAACTAATACAGTCAGATTCTGCCTTGCTAAATAAGATTATAATGTAACATAATAGTCAGTCAACTGTCTTAAGATAGGATTTCCCAATGTCCTCTATCCTCCTTTTGCTTTTAGTAGCTCAGGTGTTAAACTTGCAGCATTCTTTTGTAGAATAGAGGAGTTTCCCCTTCTGCCTTTGACAATGAAGCCACAGAATACATCTTAAGGACAGAAAGGAGAGGAGAAGAGGTACAGGACATAAACATATTATTTCCTGGCCTGGTAATTTGTTAGAGATCACAGAGAAAGCAAGAAAGATTTCCTTTCTCCATGCTAGTTATAGAGTACCTGTGGTATTAAGAGTGAAAGTGGTAGGAAAGGATGGAGGGCAAGGAGAAGGTATTGTCTTGCTCCCCATTTGTGATTCTGAAAAGTGGTCACCTCTCTGATTGCAACTGTATCATTTTCTAGGCCAGACCACACCAATGAGACTGCTCAGTGCTCAGGAAGGAGACTGTAAAGTTTAGGATTTCAGTATGGCATGAAAACAAGTTGAGCCAGATATCTGTCATAGCAGCAGAAGCAAAAGTCAAACCAATGGACTGAAAGAAGGGTCAGTAGGAATGGGAATTGAGGTGAAGTCTAGCCAGCCTCTGTTCTGCCCATGACAGACCTGAGTTCCAGTACACACAAGCTTTAGTTGTGAGTGCCAGAAGAGTCAGCTGCTTTCAGGAAGACTAGGGCTGTTATCCTAAAAATCAGAGGACCCTGATCCTTTCCTTCTGCCATGAGGTTAACCAACTGCTCTCAGCATACATCTTGGCATACTGCTGTCCCAAGTTCATGAGAGGCTCTGCTCATTATTTTTTTCAGTCATGCCTCTCTTTGTGCTTCAGTATATATAATTTATTTTGACTATCTTCAAGTTTACTAATGTTTTCTTGTATTGTATCCAATCCAGTATGAATCTTATTCAATTTTTTTTTACTTTGGATATATATTTTTTCAGTTTTAAACTTCTTATCTGTTCATTTTTGAACAGTATTCACATATGTCCTGAAATTTCCTAATCTCATTATATTCAACTTTTCCTTCAGATTCTCTTGCATATTTGTTAGGGTTACCTTAAAGTTGTCTATTAATACTAAGATCTGGTTTGTTTTAGTATATTAACTATTCTTCCTCTCTTGACTATGGGTCATCTATTTCTCTAATTGTTCATATGTCTAGTCATTTTTGATTACATACTGGATATTGTATGGATACGATAGAGACTCTGGATCCAATTGTTTTTTCTATCAGGCAGTTAAATTGTTAAATCACTTAGTCTTGGATTGTAGTCTTTAATCCTAAAGTGTGGTTCTTCTGCAATTTTTTTTTTTTTGTGAGACAGAGTCTCACCCTGTCACCCAGGCTGGAGTGTGCAGTGGCGTGATCTTGGCTCACTGCAACCTCCACCTCCCGAGTTCAAGCAATTCTCATGCCTAAGCCTCCCTAGTAGCCGGGACTACAGCCGTGTGCCACTATGCCTGGCTAATTTTTTGTATTTTTAGTAGAGATGGGGTTTCACCGTGTGTTAGCCAGGATGGTCTCAATCTCCTGACCTCATGATCTGCCTGCCTCGGCCTCCCAAAGTACTGGGACTACAGGCGTGAGCCACCACACCCAGCCTCTTCTGTGATTTTAATAGAAATCCTGAGGTACTTCATAAGCCAGTCAAACTTGATATAACTCTAATTCCCAATCTTGACTCTCCTGTAGTGTGCATCCACTAAAGTCATTGTTAACTGCTGCCTTCCTGCAAGCTCCTTGGAGTCTCACCCTAACTGTCAGCAGTTTAGTTTGAATGGGGGTTATACAAAGATTTTGGGGTTTTCCTTTCTGTAACACCCTCCCTTCCAGAATTTCTCCCCCTCAATATCCAGCCACTCGGGCAGCCCCCAGATCTCTCATCTGATTTTTCCAGTAATAATGTTTTGTTTGAGCTCTATCTATCCGGAGCTGTTTTCAAATCCTGACAATTTTCAAATATGACAATTTTGTCACTGTTTAGTGGCTTCGAATAGTAGTTTTTTTCCCACTTAACTTTCTAATTGTTAACAGCAGGAGGGCTAGTCTAATATAAGCTACTTTGCCTTTACTGAAAGCCAGAATTCCTAAAGTGGAAATGTCCTTCAGTGTATAGACCAAGAATGGTAGGTGATAAGGTTCAAAATACAAAAAAAAAAAAAAAAAAAAAAAAAGCTTAATCATGTATGGCTTCTTAATCCTTGGCAAGAGGTTGATGTTTATTCTAAGCATTATACCGGCATTACCAGGAAATTTTAAGCAAATGAGTGCTTCAATCTTATTTATGAATACAGTGGTAATTCTACATGAAAATATGCTAAATGATAATATTGGTAGTTCTACATGGAAATGGTAAATAATAGTACTGGATAGTGTTTATTAATAATAAAGTGCATGTCAGGCAGTAAGAAGTAACATAACATAAAACTTTATAGTGGGAGATGATACTAATGATTTACACAGGCAATGATACTCACCACCTGACTTATTAGGAAATAAAAGAGAAATAATTATGGCTTTAAAAATTGGGATTGTTTTGATAACTGAGGATGAGTCCTTTATTCACTCATTTATTTAATACTGTCCAGCTACTGTTCTAGATACTAAGGATACAACAGGAAATAAATACATTCTCTGGAGAAATGTAAGACAAGTCTATGTAGTTTTGACATTTTATCTTTGACAACCCCAAATACAGTCAGAAACTTACCTTCTCAATGAGATCTGGTAATTGAACATTTCTTTAACTTCTTTTACTAGAGATCAAATGTGAATCCCGAGTTACAGAAAAAAAAAATACATGATAAAAACCTCTTCAAATCATGGATAAGGCATGACAATAACAATTCCTTTTAACATGAGTTCCAATTTGATGAAATAAATTATCATTTTTATATTACCAAAGATTATTTCTGACAGAAGAACATGGACTACTTTATACCTCTCTTGGCAAAATGATGAGGTAGGGTTGTAGTTTATCTGTAAATGTTTTACTCTCACTTAGGAGGCTATAAAAATGATTTAAATTAGGAAGAAATTCTCCTGTCAGTTGCAGAAGGAAAACCATGAGCCTCCTAAGGAAAATCTCTGAGTTTGTGTGTGTGTGTGTGCGTGTGTGTGTGTGTGTTTGTGCAAGAGTGGCCAGCTCAAAAGCCATCAGCCAAATAATAAAACTAAAATAAATATTTACAGATCCATTGCATGCAACTCTGTTCTCTTGGTTTGTCAGGGAATCATACTTAACTTTCTTATTTCAGGGCTTTTGGCTCAATTCTGAATAAACAGTGAACATCCATGTGGGAGCAATGAGGAGGAACTGTAGCATCTGGTATGGCTTTAAAAATAACTTCCTACTTATGTAACTGAGATTTTACCAAAGATCAATGAGCTTTTTCAGGTCTGAGACCTAAGGTTGGATGGCATGAAATAGTTCCTTTGGAAGCTGTTGATTCATGTAGCACTGTTATTTTGAAAGAAAAACATTCCTACCCAAGAAGCAGATGTTAACAGACCATAGCCCTAGAGTCATAACTCTAGGTTATTGAGATCTAAGTTTTTGTTCTCAGCTTCATTTACAATCATTAAGAGTCTTTTACTTTTAGTTACTTCTTTATTGATCTCATACCACACATTTCTTCTAGTCTGTACAAAATGTCAACTTACGTAGGGTGGGCATATCTGCATCCACAATCAAGCAAGCCTGCTCGGTTACAACACAAAATGGTGCCTATTGGCTCATTGTTTCTAGATGACAATGTTATTCATGATGTTGCGTGCTTCCAAGACAAAAACCACTTTATTGCATTAGCAGCTAAACCCTGTGATGCCTTTGGAATATGATACTGTAGAACCGTCTTTAGCTTCTCAGCTCTGGGGAGTTGTAGAACATGTTGAAATCAGAACTTATTTGTGGTTCATCTGAAGAAATATTCATCTGGGTTCTCTTTTAAACTTCCTTTGTAAGATGTTTTTCTTCAATGACAAATGCATCTGTAAATGGAAAGTACTTTCTGAAGAATTCTGAACTTTGATATTTTATAATAAATGTCCCACCATCTCTGGTAAGTAGGAGCCTAATAAATATTAAACCAGTGTATAATAATAGGTACTAAGCATAGGTCCTATGCAATACTTTTGGGGGGATGAATAGGATTAACAAGTGGGTTTCCATACTAATTTATTGACACATCGTAAGACATTTCTATAACTTATATATTTTTCCTGTGTTCCCCTTTCTTATTCTTTATTTTCTACAGCATATGAAATTGCTACTCCTGTAAAATGAGTCTGAGATTCAGGGGACACTGAAATACTGGAAGTGATGTATATTTTAGAAAGAAAGTTTGTGCAAGTCTACCTCCACATATCATCAAAAAGATAGAAAAAAAATAAAAGGAGGAAGACCACATGTCTTGAAGGCTGTAGTGATATCCAGTATATATTTATGGTTTGTCATCCTGTCATCTGATCATTAGCTCTTGATTTAGCTGTTGTGGTTGTTTTTTTAAATAATTTTTGTCTCTACTGAACTCTAGGAAAATAATTTGTGCATCCTAATTGGCTATCTTTGCCTTATTTGTGTGAATTATGCAAATTTTTAGTCATTCCTATACCCCATATAATCAAATTATTGTGCTAATAAAAACAGACTGCATATGCTTAGGCCATAGACTCTACCTTCATGTGCTACAAGAAACATTGTTGCTTTTCTCAATCAGATTGAATGTAACAAAAAGTTTTTTTCATGGAAAAGGAAATAAACCCTGAAAGATTTTAGAGAAGCATTATGCAATGTAGAAAAGAATGGAGCAAACACTCAAGAAAAGAGATTTGATGAAAGACTGAGTGGGGTAAATTTGGAAAATTTTACCTCTGAAAGAGTTAAATTTATATATATACATATCAATATTTCAATAAACATTGAATAATATTAATTTACGTTTTGTTACTTATTATACCCCAAATGCGTACCCAGAACTCTGCTGGAGGAACACATAGTTAAAGCTCATATCCTTGATGTTTTAACTTTTAAGCCAATACCCAAATTTACATATTCTCCAAGTGACTGGTTGTGCAAAATATTGTTTGATTTGGTAGATTCCCTCCATATTCTTTTAAAAACTTGATAGAGACAAAATAATAGGATGTGTCTGTTAGCCATCTATGAAGCTGATTATGAGGTTATTGTAATGGAGATTAACTGTTAGAAAATGACTAGCAATAACTTTGTCATTAGATTGCATGTAAGAACTGAAATTCTCCATGCTGACCCAATCTCAATCTTTGTATGGTCTTCCCTTCCCTCAGAGTGGATTGTTTTCTTGCTTCGTCTTTCCCATGATTATCTGATGCCTACTTTCAAAGAAGCCCTCCACATCTTTGAAATCAATAGTCTACATTCCTGAGGTTGCAGGCCTTCTATGTTATTTTGAATCCATTGCTTCCACTTTGTGCCTTTACTGAAAGAAAAATTTAGAAACATGGGGAGTTTTCTTGGCATCTTATTATTTTCATATTTTCTCTTTCCGTAAAAGATGTTTCATCCCAGCAAATAAAATGCAATACAGTTTTCAAAGTCAAACAAAACCCAGCATATTCACATATGGTATTTCCTTTCTAAATATTTCTTGTCTCCTTTAACTTGGCATTCTGGTTGGGTCGGTGCTGAGATTCATCAATATTATTTTGTGTGATTTGACGAAACCCATTTCCTTAGCTCCTATCCCAGAGATAATTTTTGTTTTGTTTTTCTTTGTGCTCTGAACAGGCAAAGCCTTCTTAGCTGTCATATAATCTTTAGGGATGCTGTTGGGCTCTTGGGAGAAATATTCCTTTATTCAAAGAAACGATCTGTCAGGGTAGGCTAGACTCAGCAGCAAACCCTGGTAGTGTTTGACCCATCACATCAAGAAACTTAGCAGCACTTGTATGATTGGGAAGGAGAAGAAGGGGATGTGAAATAATTGTATTATCAGGGTCTCTAGCCTCTCTGCTCCTGTGCTAAAAAGATACTAGATGAGTAGCCCCAGGAGTAAGTAATAGTGAAGAGAAATGCTTTAAAGTATTTTCTCAAACTTAGCAAACTTTGTGGACTCCCAAAAAGGCATAAGAAGATAAAAGGCTGAGTGATATGTTCTTCTCACCAATTGGGTGATTAAATGTCTGAGCTGGGGGAAAACTCTTACCTTACATGGGCCCTATAAGTAAAGGAAAAAAAGGAAAGCATTTGGCTGTGATGTTGTAAGAGAATAGTTATACTTAAAACACCTCCAATGTATCCCATTTTTCTGGATCCTTTTCAGACAAGCAAATGCTGAGGGAATTCATTACCACCAGACCAGCCTTACAAGAGCTCCTGAAGGAAGCACTAAATATGAAAAGAAAGGACCATTACCAGCCACTACAAAAACACTCTTAAGTACACAAACCAGTGACACTATAAAGCAACCACATAAACAAGTCTGCAAAATAACCAACTAACATCATGTTGGCAAGATCAAATCTACAAATATCAATACTAACCTTAAATGCAAATGGGCTAAATGCATCAATTAAAATACACAGAGTGGTGAGCTGGATAAACAACCAAGACCCACTGCTACACTGTCTTCAAGAGACTCATCTCACATGCAAAGACACATATAGACTCAAAATAAAGAGATGGAGGAAAATCTACCAAGCAAATGGAAAATGGAAAAAAGCAGGGGTTGCAATCCTAGTTTCTGACAAAACAGACCTTAAACCAACAAAGATCAAAAAGACAAAGAAGGGCATTACACAATGGTAAAGGGTTCAATTCAACAAGAAGACCTAAACTATCTTAAATATATACACACCCAACACAGGAGCACTTAGATTCATCAAGCAAGTTCTTAGAGACTTCCAAAGAGACTTAGACTCCTACACAATAATAGTGGGAGACTTTAACATCCCACTGACAGATCATTAAGACAGGAAGTTAACAAAGATATTCAGGACCTGAACTCAGCTCTGGATCAAATGGACCTGACAGACATTCACAAAACACTCTACCCTAAAACAACAGAATATACTTATGTATTAGTCAATTCTCATGCTGCTATAAAGAACTGCCTGAGACTCAGTAATTTACAAAGGAAAGAGGCTTAATTTACTCATAGTTCTATGGGGCTTGGAGGGGGCCTCAGAAAACTTACAATCATGGCAGAAGGGGAAGAAAACACATCCTTCTTCACATGGCAGCAGGAAGAAGAGTGAGTGAAATGCGGAAGCTCCTTATAAAACCATCTGATGTCATGAGAACTCAGTCACAGTCTTGAGAACAGCATGAGGATAACCACTCCCATAATTCAATTACCTCGCACCAGGTCCCTGCCATGACACATGGGGATTATAGGAACTGCAATTCAAGATGAGATTTGCTTGGGGATACAGCCAAAACATATCAACAGCTCATTGCCACAGGCTCTTATTCTAAAATTGACCACATAATCAGAAGTAAAAGACTCCTCAGCAAATGCAAAATAACTGAAATAATAATAAACAGTCTCTCAGACCACAGTGTAATCAAATTAGAACTCAAAACTAAGATAGTCACTCAACACCATACAATTACATGGAAATTGAATAACCTGCTCCCAAATGACTTTTGGATAAGTAAGAAAATTAAGGTAGAAATCAAGAAGTTCTTTGAAACTACTGAGAACAAATATACAACATACCAGAATCTCTGGGACATAGCTAAGGCAGTGTTAAGAGGGAAATTTATAGCACTAAAAGCCCACATCAAAAAGTTAGAAAGATCTCAAGTTAGCAACCTAATATCACAACTAAAAGAACTAGAGAACCAAGAACAAACAAAGTCCTTAGCTAGCAGAAGACAAGAAATACCAAAACTCAGAGCTGAACTGAGGGAGATTCAGACACAAAAATCATTCAAAAGATCAATGAATCCAGGAGCTGATTATTTGAAAAAAATAATAAAATAGATAGATTGGTAGATAGATTAATAAAGAAGAAAAGAGAGAGGATTCAAATAAACACAATCAGAAACAACAAGGAAGATATCACCACTGACCCCACAGAAATACAAATAACAGAGAATATTACAAACACCTGTATGTACATAAACTAGAAAATCTAGTAGAAATGGATAGATTCCTGACACATACACCCTTCCAAGACTAAACCAGGAAGAAATTGAATCCCTGCAGCAAACCACCACAGCACGTGTATACCTATGTAACTAATCTGCATGTTCTGCACATGTACCCCAGAACTTAAAGTATAATAAAAAAAAATAAATTGAATCCCTGAACAGACCAATAACACGTTCTGAAATTGAGGCAGTAATAAATAGCCTGCCAACCAAGAAAAGCCTAGGATCAGACAGATTCACAGCTGAATTTGAGCAGATGTACAAAGAAGAGCTGGTACCATTCCTACAGACACTATTCCCAAAAAATTGAGGAGGAGGGACTCCTCCCCAACTCATTCTATGAGGCCAGTATCATCCTGATATTAAAACCTGGCAGAGATACAACAAAAAAAGAAAACTTCAAGCCAATACCCTTGATGAACATTGATGCAAAAATCCATAACAATATACTGGCAAACCGAATCCAACAGCATGTCAAAAATCTTATCCATCACGATCAAGTAGGCTTCATCCTAGGGATGCAAGATTGGTTCAACAAATGCAAATCAATAAATGTGATTCATCACATAAAGAGAACTAAAGACACAAACCACATGGTTATTTCAATCGATGCAGAAATGGCTTTTCATAAAATTCGGTGTCCCTTCATGTTAAAAACTCTGAATAAACTAGGTATTGGAGGAACCTACCTCAAAATAATAAGAACCATATGTAATAAACCCACAGCTGATGTCATGGTGAATGGGCAAAAGCTGGAAGCATTCCCCTGGAAAACCAGCACAAGACAAGGATGCCCTCTCTCACCACTCCTGTTCATCATAGCATTGGAAGTTCTGGCCAGGGCAATCAGGCAAGAGAAAGAAATAAATGGCATTATTTTTAAATTGGAATAATTACCTTTACCTCTTTTTACCAAAATGTTAAGGCTGAAGTATTTTTAGCATCTCAGGACAGTTACTCTCATCATATATCAAACTAAATCTCCTAGAAGCAATCTATCCACATCCATATCAGTTCAATCTCAGAAATCAGTATCTCAATGGGTACTGTGTACCCAAATCATCTGCTAGAATAAAACCTCTCTCTGTGACAGGAACAGTCCAAAAAGGAAGCTGGGAGTCAGCCCATCACGAGGTTGCTTGATCAGAATCACATGGTGAGAAACTCCATATATCCTCCTGATATTCTGAATGGTCTGTTGGGTGAGATTCTCCCTTTCCCCCAATTCCCCTTTCCTCCCACACTGAGAGTTCTAGCCTTACAGGTGAGAATATGTTAGATTCCTTGTGGATGCTGGGGAAGGGAAAAGGTAATTAAATACTGAATTTGAGCCTGATGTGGTAAGATTATGTTCATAGATCCCATTTGCTGAAGGTTTTTGTCAAGTCAGACTCTTTTCCTTAGCCCATGTATTTTGCTCTTGTGAGCAACTTGGGGAGACAGTTAAAAGGTTGAGCATGAATGGCTTCTCCTTGCTGGAAAGTTGTCTATATGCCTTGTCGACTGTGGGTAAGCCAGATCATCTTGCCATATATAAGACACACATGAGTCATCAACAGCTTATCCAGGAAGACACAATTACAGCTTGATCCCTTCTGTAAAAGTTCTTCAGGATACAGAGAGGACATGCCAACTAGAGATTAAGTATGTTTGCCTGAAATCAATAATTAAAATTCATTCTCCAAATTTGGGCTTTTTGTGCTAAATCAAGATTTGAAATTTGGGTATTGACAAGCTAATATTCTGCTTCTTAAACAATGTCCAGAAAAGGATTACTTGAATTAAGTGTATCATTATTAAAATAATTAAAATTCTACCTTTTATAAGGTAATACATTTTCAAAACATCACATTGAGCCTCTTTTTAATGATTCAAAATGAAGAAGTTAAATTTAGATAAACATCAAGGACTAATCAATAAAAAAATTAGAGTAATACTGAAACCTTATATGATCTGCATTTAAAACAGTTCTGCTCAGTACAACAAACATTTATTGAATGCATACAATATCCTAGGTACTAATAATAAAATGATCAATAAAACATTATTCTTGTCACTTAATCTCAGGTAAGGGATGAGAGAATTGACCTAAACAATAATACATGTAAAAAATAGGCAGTAGAATATGGAAGTGGATGCTGCATAGTAGACTTTGGAGACAGATAGGACTTAACTACTTAATTAAGAGAGCTCTTGCTCTTGCTCTAACTCTGTGTTTTTACATAAGCTACTTTATTCTTCCCTACCTTTGTTTTATCATTTTTGGCACAAAATAAGCATTCAATAAATAGAAGCTAATAACAATAATAAAAAAAATGTGTTGGGTACCGAAGTAATATGCCATAGAGAATGATTTTGGGAAGTTGATCCAGGAAGGCTTGTAAGAGGAGATTATGTGTCCAAAGGGTTTTGATACAGGAAGAGAAATTTGCTAGGTAGTTAATATTTATAAAAATACTCCAGGCAAAGAAGACATGTTCAAAGGCAGAGGAGGCAGTAGCTCTAAAACCAGGTAACAGTTTAATATTGCTGTTGCATTCATTAGCTGTTGAAAAGTAATGAGAGATGAGGCTGGAGAAGAGGCAGGGGCCAGTTTATTAGGAGGCTTTGCCCTGACAAGAAGTTTGAACTTGATCTTTTAGGACAGAGAGTGAAGATATACTTTTTTGTGATTTTTTTTGTTTCACATTTGCTTTATTTTCTTTTATTTTATCCAAGATTTAAAAATGGGATATTGCCCTTAAACTCCATGATTTTTGGCTTCTCTTGAAAATTTGCCACCATTAATCTGCATTTTCTCATGGCAGCTATTGATTGGAGATAAGCAATGTCTGCCTCTTCACAGGCATGTGCTCTCTTCATGGGCAATGAGAAAACTTCGAGGGTTTTAAGTAGATTTGTTATGTGGTGAGCTATGTCATAGGACTCTCCTTGTGTTTTTTCACTGTAGTTGAGGAGGAGGAGGCCAGGAGTTGAGAAGGGGTAATTGGATATGACACCGCCAAAAGCTAAGTTAATGGAAGAAGGATACATAATGTGATTAATCTTGGTTAGAGAAAGATACGTTAAAAAAAGCAAAATAAAGTTAAACATTCCTCTAGAAAAGGGGATGGGAATTTCATATATAGAGTTGGTAACTATTATTGTTTGGAAATTAACTCTTGTGGGACAAGATATCTGAATTTTTAAAAAAGATATTGCTAAAGAAAAACAGAAAAATAAAATTAAGCTGCAGTACAAA